>NC_000007.14:33990242-34615242 GCF_000001405.40 Homo sapiens | reverse complement strand
CTTTCACTTTCAACTTATTTGTGTCTTTGGATGTAAAGTATCTCTTGTAGACAGCATATAGTTAGATCATGTGTTTCTTTAAAAATAATCCATTCTGTCAATCTCTGTTTTTTATATGGAAAGCTTAATCCATTTACATTTAAAGTAATTACTAATAAGGAGGGACTTATTTCTGTCATTTTGCTATTTTTTTATGCTGCTTAAAGGTTTTGGATGCTTGACTTTTCTGTTCCAATGCTCTCTATGAAATACTGCACATATATGCAGAATTTTAAAAAGAAGATTTGTGGTTTCTCTTGAGAAGACATAAAGGTATAATGTTCAGAAATCCAGATTCTTTGTTTGGACTCTATGGGCCTGTATAAGCATCAATGACTGACTGCTAACATGTTGCTGACTACTGATTTTCTCATACTCTTTGCTCTTTACTATTATTTGCTATGTATCTGCCATAACTCTCAAAACCTTTAATGACCTCGAAAGTTCTCCAGTAAAACTATGTGATATTTGTATAACCTGTTCTAACTTTCTGTTTAGAAAAATGAACCATATCTGCATTATTGCACACTTATCCCTTGACATAAATGTCTTAATCAAAATAAACAAAAATACTAGCTATTATAATTGCCTATGCATTTACCTTTATTACTATCTTTACTTCTTCATCTAGCTTTCAGTTTTGTCTGATGTCATTTCATTTCACCTTGCAGGACTCCCTTAAGCACTACTTGCAGAACATTTCTACTGGTGACAAACTCCCTCAGTTTTGCTTATCTGGGAATGCCTTAATTTCTGCTTCACTTTTGAAGGACAGTTTTGCCAGATACAGGATTCTCGGTTGACAGCTTTTTTGTTTGTTTGTTTGTTTGTTTTTTAGTACTTTGAATATATTGGCTGACTGTCTTCTGTTTACCAAAGTTTCTGATGACAAATATGCTGATAATATTATTGAGGATCCTTTATATGTAACCAGCTACTTCTCCCTTGCTGCTTTTAGGATTCTTTCTTTGTCTTTGTATTTTGAAAGTTTGATTACAATGTGTCTCAGTGTGAATATTTTTTTAGTTCATCTTACTTGGTGTTTGTTGAGCTTCTTGAATGTTTTTATTTATGTCTTTATTCACTTTGGGGAAGTTTTCAGTCATTATTTTTGCAAATATTCTCTCTGTTCCTTTCTTGTTCTTATGGGACCCCTACAATGCATATATTGGTCCACTTGATGATATCCCAGAGGACCCTAGGCTCTGTTCATTTTTCTTTAATCCTTTTGTTTCTCATACTCAATAATTTTTATTGTCCTATCTTCAAGTCCTCTGATTCTTTCTTCTACCTGCTCAAATCTGCATTTGAGTCTCTGTAGTAGATTTTTCATTTTAGTTATTATACCTTTAAGCTTCAGAATTTCTCTTTGTTTTCTTTTTAAGTTTTGTCTTTATTAATATTTGAACTTATTCATACCTTGTTTTCTTGACTTTCTCCACATCTTCCTTCAGTTATTTGAGAATCTTTAAGACATTTTTGTTAAAGCCTTTGTCTGGTAGATTTGTCATCATGTCATTTTTAGGGACAGTTTCTGCTTCTTTGGCATGTGCCATATTTCCTGTTTCTTTGTATGCCATGTAATTTATTGTTGAAAAGTGGGTATTTGAATCTAATAATTTATCTAATTATTGTAACCTCATAAATTATCTAATAGCAAATCAGATTCTCCCTCTTCCTCAGGGTTTGCTTTTTAAAAAGTTGTTCATTGTTTTGCTTTTTGGGTTGTCATTGACTGTATTTGTGCCAATGATTAGCTTGAGGTGTAAACTTAAAATATTTTCAGGCCTTTCTGAGTCTGCAGTTTTCTCTAAACATGCATGATCCCTTTCCAATTTTCCCTGTATATGTAGTTGTTTCTCAGTATCTTAGTGTTTCATGTCTGGCTCCAAAAGTTGGAAAAAGAAAAATAAAGAAAGGGATGAGAGGGTACTGGTCTTTTAAATCCTGTGAAAGTCACTCTAGCTAGAGAAAGAGGGGTTTGCAACAATGGGGAAATGGCCACTCATATCTTTGTCTGTACCTCTGTGGTCAGAAGCAGCAATTAGCAATCCAAATACAGATTTTAGGTATTTGGAGGATTTGGTCCCTATTTTCCACTTTGGTTCCTGCAAGTTGTATACATGCTGCTCCCGAAATGTGCACAGCTGCCTGTCATGGGGCCTTGGGTGGGGATGGGTAGCTGTTCAAATATGTTGTCCTAGACAAAAGGGAAAGGCAATCTTCATGCTGGGTCTGTTTTATTCCATGAGGAAAAGGTTGGTTGGCTGTAAAGTGTAGGAAGGCATTTCAGTGGAATGCATTTGCAGGCTACAAAGCACATTCCTTGGCTTCTTTCCCATGCATGTGGGTACAGACAGAAGTTGTCTGGAGCTGTTTTCACCTTCTTTAAGTGGTAGTGGGAGCACTCTGTAGTAAGTGCCAGGCCTTCTATTCCACATGCTGAGAATGCTCGCTTCCTGAGATAACTTACAAGTTTGAGTCTACCCTAATATTTACTCCCTGGACAACTTCACCTTTATCTCCCATTACGCAGCTTGTACAGAGTCTGTGAAGCATCAGGCAGAAGCTACCATCTGATGCTCGTGATTTTCATTATTGAAGTCCATGCAAATGGGTTCACATCTATTTCCAATTAATTTTTCAAGCCTCCACCACCTATAGCACAACATTGGATGTCTCTCTTTCAGAGTTTTCTTCATACTGTGTCAGAACTCCCAGGTGACTTTAGATCTATAAGAAATCACTTTGGTCTTCACACCCAGGACAAAAGTCCACTTCTACTTTTCGCTGCTAAGTGATGCATATTTAAAATTGCAGGTAGGATTGGAAATCCTACACTGAATCCTACACAGTGATATGCTCTCTAGTCCAGATGCCTGAATGAAGAGAGGACTCCCACACTCCCCAAATGCCAAGTTCAACTAAGCAGGCCTCATCTTAGGTGCTTAGAGCTCTGCTTTTTCAGCTTTTACACCCAGCCTCTTCCCAGATCCCCATCCAAGATCATGAGCTCTGCCTGGATCAGGCCTTGTTCTGGTGTCCTTCCTCTACTGGATGAAGAATTACTGGCCCCTTCTGTCATTATGGCTGTACATTCAAGCAGTAAGATTAGATTCTCAAAACCCAAAGGGCCAAACACAAAACTACTCACACACACTGCACAAATTATTTCATTCTTGTGAATATCAAAGATGTAATCTATCAGAGGTAAGATATACATTATTATATACATTGTATCACCAGTATACAGTAATGGCTTAATAAATCATAGTATAAAAGCATAATAAAATATGAAGCTTTTTTGGAGACTTTTTAAAAAAATATGGAAACTACTTGACATAATGTATAGTTCAAGTAGATTATAAAATAGCATGATGACAATATTAGTAAAATTTGAATGTAGAATGTGACACATACAGTTAACACAAGGGAGAGTGGTGGAATAATGGATGATTTATTATCATCTCTTTCAAAGGTCCTTTAATATTGCTGTGATACTGTCTTTTCTACTAAAAATCAGTTACCTAGTACTTGATCTAGCTACTCAACCCATTTTTTTCTTTCTACTGCCTATTCTCTGAAGCGAGTGAGCTTCCCAGGCTGCCTTGTCCTTTTCCAGACCTCCTCTGCTCTGACTTCTACCCTCACCATGTAAGTGTTGGCATATTTTCAATTGTCTCCAGGTGCCACCACCACCACCACCACCTTCTTGGTAAAGATTTTCTTGGATCTTACTTACCTTGACCTTTATATAAACTTAATGCCACAGAGTAATCCTAACTTCTTCGATTTTTCTTCATGTATTGTAATTGTAAAAATCCAGCCATAGAGATAATTTGAAAGAATAGTGCAATAGTACAATGCCCTACAACCAGATTCAAAACTTGTTTCTTTTTGATCATTTGCTTTCTACCCACCCTGTGTGTGTGTTATTGTTGTGATCATTTTTGCTGAACTATTTGAAAGTAAGTTACAGACATTAAAATATCTCACTCCTAGATACTCCTTCATGCAACTCCCCCAAAGTAGGGCATTTGCCCACTTAGCTATATTATCACATTTAAGAAAACTAATAGTTCTCCAATATTATGTAATATTCAGTATACTGTCATGCACTGTTCAATGACGAGGATATGTTCTGAGAAATATGTCACTAAGGGATTACATTGCTGTGTAAACATTATAGAGTATTCTTACAGAAACCTAGATGGTATAGCCCACTACACGTCTAGGGTGTACAGTATAGCCTATTGCTTCTAGGCTACAAACCTGTACAGATCTTATCATACTGAATACTGTAGGCAACTGTTACGTAATGGTAAGCATTTGTGTATCTAAACATAGAAAAGGCACAGTAAAACTATGGTAATGTAATCTTACGGGACCACCATCATATAAGCAGTCCATTGTTGACTGAAATGTCATTATGTGGTGTGTGACTATCTAACAATTTATTCAGTTATCCAAGAATGTCATTTGTTATTGCTGTGTTTTTAATCAGGGTCTAATCAAAGTTGATATATTTTACTTGGATATAAAGTCTCATTTTCTTTTTTCTTTTTTTCTTCTTTTGATTTTATTTGTTTGTTTTACCTGGTAGACATAGAGGAGGATCTAGCTGAAACTATAGTACCATATTAAATGATACAATGGACTAAATATGAAAAGCTACCTAAAAAGTGTCTGTTAGTATTTTTAATTAGGAAATATTAAATAATACAAAGAAAAATAATGCCAATGAGTGGTAAACTAACCTGGAATTAATAAGGGTATTTTGATTGCTGTAGCATGAACTACTTGAAAAGAAATAAAGCTTGAAATAAATGGTGATCTGCAGATGTTACTAAAACATCTTTCAAATTGGTGGAGTCCATTAGGGACATTTTGGCACTTTTGACTTTCTAACATAACACATTTGAAATGAACCACTTTTACCAATTTGACCATTTTCACTTGTTGCTTTACTCAACTGCTCATGTTTTCCTACTACTTGCTCACTGACATCTTTGGTAAATAAACCCTGATACTCAATGCTAACCTTTCAGCAGATACAATAAGTAGAAAACTTCACTGACTTTTTGTTGTTATCAGAGAACATTACCTAAACATTTATCTGCCTATTGTGGTTACTCCTAGGTATTGCATAAAATCAGTTAAATAAATGCCATCACCAAACTATGGATAGGCAGTTTGGTCAGAGTGACAGACTCAGCAGATTGAGCACCTCTACTACTTACCTGCTATGTGACTTTAGGCAAGTTGTTTAAACTCTCCTTGCCTTGGCATCCTGGTTGTAGTGAAGATTCTATAAAATGAATGAAGAGTTTGACATAGCAGCTGGCATGTAGTCAACTCTCTTTCTTTGTATCTAAGTCTCTATACCTTTTTTTGTCATGACATTGTCATTTTTTGATGAGTCCAGGCCAGTTATTTTGTAAAATGTTCCAACTTCTAGATTTGTCTCATTGTTTTCTTGTGGTGTTATTTGTTCTTGTATCTATATATTTCTGGTAAATTAGAAATTATGTCTAGAAGCTTGATTAGGTTTGGTTAAACATTGTGGGTAAGAATTCCTCATGCTGATGTTGCTTATGTATATAGTGAGTTACATCAGGAGCTCCATCACCTCAGGTTGTTGCACTATTCATAATGCTAACTTTCATCATTTGATTAAGATGGTGGCCACAAGATCTCTCCATTGTAATGATAAATTTCACCATTTGCAGTTAGTAAGAAAGCAGTCACATGATACTTTGGCATGGAAGAATATCTCCCACTTCTAATGGTTTTAGCATCCATTGATAAAGCCTGCCTAAATCAATTACTACATTGAGGGTTGAAACATAGTGATTTTATAATTCTACCATTTCTTCTCCACTTATTATCTCATAGTATTCTGTATAGAAGAGCCTTCATGTTTTCCCTTTTTATCTTTATTATTTTTTATTTTGAGGTGGAGAGATGGTATCAGTAGGGACTCAGGATTTTTATTTATTCAATATATTACAAACCACAACAGTCCATCTTTTCTGATGCTCATATTTTATCAAATTTGATGCTGAATTTATCCTTGCACTCTTTTTAATCTGACTCCTGGGTCCTTTGAACATGTTCCCATTAGTTTTTGAGTGCTTTCTTGGTTTCCACTACAAAGGATGTCTCAGACTCACCTGTGCATTCTCTGTCCCAGGTCTAGACTCAGTCATTCTCCAAAAAGCTTAGCTCATATTAGGGGGAATGGTAAAATCCAGGCACTGGCTATGTTCATGGCTACCTGGATGTCATTGCTTCTAGATCCTGTAGATGTCAATAGTAGGAAATAAGAATTATAAATGCCAACTGATATTTCTATTACAAAGTTTTATCTTATCTTTTTGTACATGTATTTCTTCTTTATTAAAATCCTGTTTCCTAATAACATTAATATATTTACTTATTTGCTTTAACCTACAATATACATATAGTAGTTTCCAATTTATAATACCATTTTATTTAATAGCAGTAAACCTAAATTTAGTTTAATTACCTGAGTAAAAATTGAGCCCGAGTGAAATGTAAGCTCTCTTGGCAGTTAATTTTGTTCTTAGAGTACTATGTGTTATACTAAAGCTGTATAGTTAGAGTTCTGATCCAAGAGTTACTTGAAGTACATTTTTACGGGCAATTTTGTTATTAATTATATATACACACACACACATATATATATACACACACACATATGTATATATATACATACACACATACACATGTATGTATATATATACATACACACATACACATGTATGTATATATATACATACACACATACACATGTATGTATATATATACATACACACATACACATGTATGTATATATATACATACACACATACACATGTATGTATATATACATACACACATACACATGTATGTATATATATACATACACACATACACATGTATGTATATATATACATACACACATACACATGTATGTATATATATACATACACACATACACATGTATGTATATATACATACACACATACACATGTATGTATATATATACATACACACATACACATGTATGTATATATATACATACACACATACACATGTATGTATATATATACATGTATTTAAATTCATTTGTTTCTGATTGTATTCAGTTTTAAAATGTACTTTTCTTTTTGATTTAATTTGATTTTTGAATACATGTAAAACATTCATATAACTTAAAGGTCAGAAATAAAAGAAAAGCTACTGTCAGATTACTTTTAGAAGTAACCATTTTCATAAGTTTCTGGTCATTGTTTCTATGTTTCCTTTGGCAAATATAAACATATACACATATATACTTAATTCTTATTTCCTAAAGACAATTAATATCTTTGTTTTCCTTTCTTCTTACCCAAAAAGTAGGATGCAACAAACATTGTCCTATATATATATTTTTTTCACTTAAAAGTATGCCCTAGGAACCATTGCTGTGAGTTTGCAGCAACCACATTCCTCTTTAATAGATGCATCATAGCCCACTGTGTGGGGATACTATAATCCTTTATTGAAGGATTTTTGTTGCTCAAATAATGCCATAATTCATAACCGCACACATATACTTTTTCATATTTTCGGAGGTTTATTTTCAGGGTAAATTCCTAGAAGTGAGATTGCTGAGTCAAAAGTCATATGTAAGTTCGTTAAATATTTCCAGATTTTCTTCTGCGGGCAACATTTACTTCCTCGCACTCCTCATTTAATTATCAGGATACTGATGTTTCTGCGTTTTTATCCTGACTCTCTGACTTTTTTTAATTATTCACCAGGGATAATTCTTCCTTCTAGTTATATTCTTTATTCTTACTTCAATAGACTTCTGTTGAGTCTAATGCAAAGTACCAATATTTGAGAGATAAACAAGACACAGCTCCTGCTTTCAAGGAGCCCACAGTCTTAAGTAGATAATCACCTGCAAACTGATCCTGAATCATAAGGACTGCTGCACTGATTAGAGAATAAACAAGGTATTGAGGGATTCTGTGGGGGATCCAGCCTGAGGTTGTTTTGGAAGTCTTTGAAGAGGAGTAATCTTTAACATAGTTCATGTGGGAAGTGAGGAATGGCAAATAGATGAACAAGATTTATAAGTCAGGACATTGTGATAGAGACTGGGGCATTGAAGGGTGGGAGAGGTTGTGAGGCTGACACACCAGGTGTGTGTGAAGAAGCATGGTAAGACAGGCTGGACAGGTAGCTGGAGGGTAGTTAATGAAAGATGTTGTATGCCAATATATGGATTTGGATTTTGATATCACAAAGCAAGTAGAAAATGGGATATAATTAATGTTTAAATGAATCTATATCAGATTTGTGCAAGATGGCATGTTAAGTAGTTACTGAAGATAAAAAGTCAAGATACAAAGATACAAAGTCAAGAAGTCCATAGGTGCATTTTGAGACAAATAAACCATTTAATTGTATACGCACAGGGCACCATAGAAGCACAAAAACAAGACACTGAATTCTGAGTCTGCTCTATACCTACTACACTTCTCAGATTCTTCATTTTTTATGAAGTGGTTTAAGCCACAAATCTGGGCAACATCCTTGGCACCTCCTCAGTCCCAACCTCCACATCCAATGCATCACCAAGTCCCGTTGATTTCAACTTTAAAATTGATCTCAAAATCTTTCTTTCCCATTGTCCTCGTTCTAATCATGCCTAGACTATCAGTCTCCCTTCTTCTACTCTTTCCACCCCCTGACCCATTCACGACAGCTCGAGTGAATATCTACATAAATCTGATCAGCTTTCTGATCCTCTAAATGCTTACATCTTCCCACTGCAGTTTGAATAAAGTTCAAGACCTTTAACTTATCCCATAAGTACATATAATCTGGTTCCTCTCACACCTTCCAGTTCAAGTTGAGCAACTCTTCCTCTTTTATTTATTTACATTTATATTTGTATTTTTTTTGAAATGGAGTCTAGTTCTGTCACCCAGCCTGGAGTGCAGTGACATGATCTCAGGCTCACTGCAACCTCCGCCTCCCGGATTCAAGCAATTCTTCTGCCTCAGCCTCCCAAGTAGCTGGGACTACAGGCATGAGCCACCATGCCGAGCTAATTTTTGTATTTTTAGTAGAGACAGGGTTTCACCATATTGGCCAGGGTGGTCTTGAACTCCAGACCTCAAGTGATCTGCCTGCCTCAGCCTCCCAAAGTGCTGGGATTACAGGCATAAGCCACTGTGCCCAGCCTTCTACTCTTCCTCTTAATTACCTCCATTGGGTTTCTTGCAGCTTCTAAAGCATGCAAACCTCTTTTCTACCTCCAGGCACTTATATATGCTGCTCACTCTGTCTGGAGCACATTTCATCCCCCATCTCTACACACAGCTGCCTTCTCCACAGGTTTATGTCACTTCCTCAAGGAGATCTTTGCCAACCCTTGATCTGCATTCTTCTATACTTTCTCGAAACAGAATGGACTTTTCCTCTATGTCTAACAGGGATGAATTGCTCTATCACACTCAGAGTGTAAGAAATGTCACATCTGTATTATATTCTAAAGCATATACTACAGTTCAGGGTTTCCATTTACCAAGAATGAGAATTTATTTAGCCTGGAAAATGGGAGAAGTGCTCTATTCCCTTGATCTGTATTGTTAATTTGGTTGCTTCTGCTAAATGATGCTGGATTTGAGGGTTGCCTTTCATCAACTACTGATCCAGAAATGGAATACAGATACGCCTCTCTATCACCCAAAGATATGATCACCAGGGTCTTTGCTAGGATACCAAGTTTTGGCAGTTCGTATTTATGTCTCAGAATTACCACAAACCAGTTCAACTGAAGGTCTTCCTACCACAGGAAAATAACTTTAAAGAAAGATGTAGCTAGTCCAAATAGAGATGTGTTGTGATTTTAACACTAGATATTGAAAAGTTGATGTGAAAAAAGAATGTAAAATTTCTCATTAATGGTTTTATACTAATTACATGTTGAAATACTATTTGCAATATTGAGATTAAAATCTATTATCAAAATTAATTGTGCTTTTTTTTTGTTTTAATGTGGCTATTAGAAAATGTAAAACTACATATGTAACTGATATAACAGTTCTATTGTATGATGTTGTTCTACATCTTCCAGAACAGAGGCCAGGACCCTATCCCCATTTAGTTGCTCCACTTCCAGGGCCTGGGAGCCCTAACCTACCTTACACAAAGCCTGAATGTGTTTTGAAGGGAGAGAGAGAAAAACTACCTTTATACTTTTTTTCTAATAAGTCAGCTACAGAAAAAGAAAGGCACAGGGTAATTTATTTACTAAATTATTGCTACATCATTATTCTGGCATAGTAGCCTTATCACAATCTGTTATTATATATGAATTCTTTGTTTAATGTTTGACTCAACCACTAGACTGTAAACTCCATGAAGGTAGAGATTACTTCATTTTTGTTCACTTCTATCTCTCTGACACTTGCATAATTTTGAGTAAGGATCACAATATCTGTGGAATAAATTAATGGTGGTATAGTGAGGGAAGGTTGTTAAGAGGCAAATCTTTGAGTTAAATTCTGAAGGATGATTCAGAGTTAGTTACATGAGGAAGAAATAATTACATTTCAGACAGAAAACAATATATAGGAAAGATGGAGCCTTGACTCAACTCCCCATCCCTACCTTCCACTGCAGAATCATGATTGGCAGGGGTCAGATCGTGGATATCTTTATTTTTTCAGCAGGTATTGATATTGTTTCTTATAAAAGAAAATAAGAATACTACGTTTGTGATGTTCTTGGACTATAGGCTGGGGGAAAGAGGTAGTTACATAAAAGGCAAGAGATTGTTATGCTGTGAATTGAATTATATTTTAGGGTGAGGGTAAGAAGTACACTTTGTGGGAGACATCTGTGCTCAGACATGGAAACCAGATCTGACTGTATTTGAAGTCTCCAGCTCTGCCTGAGGTTAGCTTCTCTGAGCTTAGGGACACTTGTGTTTAATCCCTTTAAATAAGTATTAGGTTGGTGCAAAAGTAAATATGGTTTTTGACATTACTTTCAAGGGCAAGAACCACAATTACTTTTGACCCAACCTAATATCAAGGACTGGAGGGTCAGTCATTTATAAATTCTAACTGTGGTGCTCACCAAATCTGTGCAGAAGCAAAAAATGCAGAACAACCAACATTATCTGTTTGTTAGTAACACTATGGACACATCATATCAACCCGTGCTAAATTAATCTTAGTATTTTTAGCAGCAACACATGCATTCCTGGCTGCTACCACACAAAATACTGGCCTTTGGCTGGGTCCCAATAGCTGGCATGCTACCTCTCCATTTCTTTATGCTTCATCCCTAGTGCTAGAGGTCTTACAGTTCTCCTGGCTGTAGCCAGCAGCACGATTCAAATTATGTGGGGTCTTCAAAAAGTTCATGAAAAATGCATATGATGGAAAAATTATGCATGAATTTCAAAAATATTTTGCACCAAAATAAACTGGTACTAACTTTTTATAACATGTATGAACAGAATCTAGTTTGAGGCACTAAGAAAGATAAAACATCAGTTTGAAAAGAGCCTCTGTCAGAGCAAGATGAATTCTGCTAAAATTGAAGCAAGAACAAACATCAAATTTATAGTGAAACTTGAGAGAAAGAATGGTGAAATCATCGATGCTTTATGAAGAATTTATGAGGACAATTTCCCAAAGAAATCAGCAGTTTACAGATGGATAACTTTTTTTAAGAAGGAAGAAGTCAATGTTGAAGATAAGGCCTACAGTGGCAAATTATCCACATCAATTTGTGAGAAAAAAATTAACCTTGTCTGTGCCCTAATTGAACAGGACTGACCATGAACAGCAGAAACAATAGCTAACACTATAGACATCTCAATTGGTCCAGCTTACACAACTCTTACTAAGAAATCAGCTGCAGATAAGAGCAGAGCTTTCAGTGGAAATTTTTAAAAAGGAAATTCAAGATCCTGAAGCATCTCTTTAAAGAATTGTAACAGATGAGGAACCATGACATTACCAGTATTATCCTGAAGACAAAGCACAATCAAAGCAATGGATACCAAGAGGTGGAAGAGGTCCAGTCAAAGCAAAAGCTTTTGCTGGTCAAGAGCAAAAACTATCACAGTGGTCATGGCAATACTTTTTTGAGATTTGCATGGCATTTTTTCTTGTTGACTTTCTGAAGGACCAAAGAATAGCATCTGCTTATTATATTTTGAGAAAGGCCAAAGCTTTAGCAGAAAAATGCCCAGAAATCTTCACCAGAGAATTCCTTTTCACTACCACAATACTCCTACTCATTCATCTCATCAGACAAGGGCAATCATGTGAGAGTTTCTATGGGAAATCATTAGGCATCCATGCAACAGTCTTGATTTGGCTCCTTCTGACTTTTTTTTCCTTATCTGAAGAAAGATCTGAAAAAGCCACCCAGTTTTCTTCTGTTAATAGTGTAAGAAAGGCTGCATTAACATGGTTAAATCCCAGGGTCCTCTGTTCTTTAGGGATGGACTAAATGGCTGGTATCATCACTTACAATATATTGAGTCTTGAACTTAATGTAGTTTATCTTAAGAAAGAAAATATATATTTTTTATTTTTATCAATTCCATTTTTTCACACACTTTTTGCGGTCCCCCTGTAGAGTCATTGTCTGAGTCCCTCAGCCCTTAAGTCTGGTATTGTTGTGACTGATGGCTTCCTATGGCTGCTGTTGCTGTGCTGCCGTCACCTACCACAGCCTCTGAGGAGCAAACCTCAATAGTGACATGATTCTGCATTTCTTTGGAAGTCATTCTCCTACTCAGACCTAATCCAGGATACAGGCTCTGTATTAGATTTTTATTGTTGCAGTAACAAATTACCACAAGTGTTTAGCACTTAAAACAACACAAATGTGTGAGCTCATAGTTGTGTAGGTAAATAGAGCACATGGCCTAGCTGGGTCTTTTGCCTTGAGTCTCACAAGGCTAAAATCAGGGTACTGGAAGGACTATCTGAAGCCTCTGGGGATGAATATGCAACCTCTGCCTCCTGGGCTCAAGCAATTCTCCCACCTCAGTCTCTGGAGTAGCTGGACTACAGGTGCATACCACCACAGCCAGATAATTTCTGTATTTTTATTAGAGATGGAGTTTAGCAATGTTGCCCAGGCTGGTCTCAAACTCCTGAACTCAAGCAATCCTCCTGCCTTGGCCCCCCGATGTGCTGGGATTACAGGCATGAGCCACCATGGCCGGCCTGCTCTCTGCTTTCAAGGATATATTTGATTGTGTTAGGCCTACCTGATAATCTAGGCTAACCTTCCTATTTTAAGGTTCATAACTTTAATCACACATGCAAATTTACTTTTGCTGTGTACTGTAGCATATTCACAGGATTCAGAGACAAGAGCGTGGACACCTTTGGGGGCCTTTCTGACTTCCACAGTCTCTATGTTTCCCTTTGTTCTCACTGAGTGAAGAGGTGAGGTCCCTTCTCATAATAAAAAAGGCTACACTTGTTGTGAGCCTGCTAAGTTGGGCTACATGCTTTACATTCAGCATACCATTTAATTCTTGCAAGAATTCTAGAAATTTCATATACTTATCATTTTATGACCCACTAGAATGTAAGGCTCCAATGGGGGGACCAATCAAAAGAAAGTCTGTGTTAATAATCATACTGATAATAGATAATACTGTGGGTGCCATGGAAGGAAAGCTTATGGGAGTTGGCTCAAACCCTAAGAGTCGTTTATTCTAAGTGGTTTCAGAGTGTTGCTGGGGTGAAAAGTCAGCACTTTGTTTAACTTATGATGGAAAACACATTCATAGCTAGGACGGCAACAGCCACAGACAGTGCAGCAGAATCAGACTCAGGGTACTGGGAAAGAATGAGCTCAAGAGGAGGTAAGTTGAGGGCAAGAAAGGAGGGTTTGAGGGGTAGATTAAGGTAGTTCAGCACTGAGTCTGTGAACATAAATTGTTAGAGCCTACCCTTCACAAGGTGCCTAGTGAGTGGCAGGGGTCAATGGATACAGATAGAGGCTTAAAGGCTTAAGGCGGGACACTGGAAGGGCACCGAGAACCTCATCTTCTCAGAACAGTTTTTGTGGAATCCCTTAACTAGCCAAAAGAGCTGAATTACTTGCAGCTATTATAAAGCATTCCCCTGGGATGATCTTAGGGGGTGCTATAAAAATATTAAAGATAAACCAACACTCTAAATGTTTAAGGAGAAAAAATTAAAAATAATATGACCAACAAAACACAAACCCCTCAAAACAGCTTCCTAAAACAGTCTGTGAAAAGGCTCTGCCTCCAATAGTACGCTTAATCTACATCAGAAAGAATCTTTTCTGCATGCTATTTCCTGTTGCTTTTTTGTAATAACAGAACTGAGTCCACTAAGATGTCCTGGTCATTGCCCCAGGTCAGGTCTCACAAGAGCCTACCATGGCTCCTGAGAGGTGGCAGAAGGCTCCTGTCTCCATGGCACGAATCTCACCTAGGTAAAAGTAGCAGATGGAAACGTGAATCGTAGAAAGACATGCTAAGATCTTATTTTAAGCCTTTGCAGTTAGAGAAGAAAATTAATTCTGGCCATCTTCCCAATCAGCAGAGTGATCCTCTCATTAAGATCATTAAATAAAATCTTTTCAAATAAATTGATGATGGAAGAAAGGAAGAGACTGGACTCTCTTAGTGGGGCAGGGGGAAGAAAAAAAGAATTATGACTGTTGTGAAAATGTTTTCTTGTTTTGTGTCATTTTTTTTTCTGAGAAACCAGCCTGGTTCAGAGAAACAAGTGCCCTGTCTCTAGAAGTTTGGGTGCACCATTGCACCATAAGGTGAGCCTAGTGATCTAGGACAAGTCACATGTCTGCCTTAAACCCCTAACCTTTTCTGTAAAAATTGGCCTCTCTCTTCTCCCAACCTGTTTAGGCAGTTTGCAAACACAAACATTAGCTATATTCATCATATGGAACCGGCAAAGCTTTATATAAGACTCAGTACAGCATGAGGGCTGATAACAGCTGCCATCTGCAGAGTGACTATGCAACTAGGAATTGTTCCAAGCCGGAAGTTCTGAACGTTCTCATTTCATGGCATCCGTAGTAATAGTAATTTTTCCATAGCACATCTAGGCCAAAAGAAATACCCGTCATATCCATTTATTAAGTAATTATGTCTCAACCACTTAATACATATTTATGTCCTGATAACTTGGTAGAAATTTGAAAAAATAATATGCATAAATTGAAAGAAAAGATAATACTTTTATTACATTCTTAAGTAACACAAGAGTTACTAATGGCATGTGTGCACCTGTTGGGGGCTGTACAATGTCTGGAACCTTGGAGTCAAGATCTGACACCTCCACCCTCATTTCCGGCTCCACATTGATTTTGGGATGGTATTTGCTTTTCATCACAGCAATAGCTGAAAACCCAGTGCTGTGAAGATATACTGCCATCAAAAGGAATGCGGTGTGATCTAACGTTGAAACTGAACTACCTCAAGCTAGTAGTTCACTCAATGACTGACAGATGTCAGTTATCCCCACATTTCCCTTGAAAATGTTAAATGTTCCAACAACCCTTTGCAAGTTGACTGCAGTGCCCTAGGACATATTAGTACATGGGATGGGAATCTCAGATCTAAGCATCTAAATTATATTAACTCTTTTTATCCTCACAGTAGCCCTGTGATTTATGTACTGTTCCTATCCCTATTCTCCATTTTGGAGATGACACTGAGGCACAGAAATTTTAAAACTTGCCCAAATTCGCACAGCTATGAAACCAGAATTTGAAGCCAAGCATTTTGGCTCTAAGTCCTTACATTGCATAAGTACAGAGGTCGGGGATCAGGGACGCTGGATTCCGTTTCTCAGGATTTGCGTGACCTTGGGCAAGCTAACTGACTTATCTAGGGCTCAATGTTCTTTTCAAGTAAAAGGGGATAATAACCATTGTCTTAAGGATTAAATGAGATAACACGTGAAGATCTGAACTTAGTGCCTGGCACAAAATCTTTACTTAAAACTAGTAAAATTTCACAGAGGGGTTCACTGTGTCCTTTCCCCCAGTTTTTCCCGTAAGAACTCTGTGAGATGTAAGTTAGTTTTAAGAAGCCAAATCACAGAGCGAATTCAGAGGACTTTGCAGTAAATTTGTGATTAATTGCTCACAACCCTAGTATCGTCCCAAACCTCCTACCCACCTGGGCTTATGTAGAGAAGGGGAAGCCTTGAGCTTTCAGGGGAGATGTTTCCTATCCACACATAATAACATTCTAAGGCACTGGTAGAAAAACATCAAATATTTTGGTTGAAATGCTTTGTTTTTTAATGACACAAAGGGAGAGTGAAAAAGCTGTTGAGTTCCCCTTATCTGACAAAATAGAAGAAATGTCACAGTGCAGTCCTAGGGACCCCCTTTTTTAATAGAATAAGAAAAAGAAGCCCAAAAAACAAAATACAAAAAAAAGCCTCCCACTTATTAAAATACAAAGACCTAGGGGAAAAAAATCACCCCCTGCCCCCTAACCAATTTCTTTCTGCTCCAAAGTCTAAAACTGTTTTATTCACGACCTCCAAATGAATAAAAATCTGTTCTGGCGCGGCTATTCATCTCCACAGGCAGCCCAGGGTAGCATCCCACACAGCAAACTTCCCTCAGAGCCTTGCACTCATTTCTGAAGCTTTTCTTACACATGAATTATAATATTCTGTTTCAGTTAGCAATGGTTTTGATAGTCGTGGGCTTCTTCTCTGTGCTACAGAGAATAGTTTAACAGGAGGAGCTGAACCATGAAATGAAGCATCCCATGCGTTGAGTCTCGCGCGGCTCTGCCACCCAACAGTTGTGTGGATTTGTAAAGTCTCACCTTCGTGCATCACCATCTCCTCATCTGTAATACTGGGATAAAACTATTCCCCCTCACCCCCAGTGTCATTGGGAAGATTATCTGTGATAATATATGTGAAGACGAGCTATGCAGTAGACATTGTATTGCCGTTGTCTCAAAGACATTCTGTTGATGTTTTCTCAATGCTGGAACATTGCTTTCTTCCCACCTCTACTCTCTTAAGAAAATACAGGAATTCCTGGGCTGTTTTCTTCAAGGATGCTAATTTTTCCTACCTTAAGCGTTTATTTGCCTTACAAATATTTGTCTGTTTTCCCTCATATTAGTATATAAATTGGGTTTTAAACTTAAAGAGTTTGTGTGAGCTATGATCTGCACAGAATGTATTCATTCGGCTCTTTTCTATTCCCTGGAAATGGACACTGCCGAGATCATTTAGAAGTTATAAAGACATTTAGAGTTATAAGACTTACGAGGACATTTAGAAGGATAACATGAAGGATATTAATGAATATATTCAAATTATCTTTCAAAACAATTTCTTACAAAGTAGGTTTTTTCAAGCCATCTTTTCCCCCTTAGGATAAGTAACACTTAGGAAGTTTTACCGTACAGTATTTTCTCTGTTTCCTTTCCTTCTTCTCTGGGAAGCAGTAAACTCAAGCCTAAATGAGGCTCAAATAATTTTATGCTTAGAAATAGCTGGGGAAATTTTAGCTTTTGATAGCAGAGATTGATTGATAGAGGGAAAGGTGATTGGAATTTTATAAACTTCCTTTCTCTTACTTGATAGGTTTAATTTGGGGTAGCAGTTTGGTCTAGTTTCAAGTACAGTCTTGCACCATGTAATGGCGTTTGGTCAGCAATGTACTACATGTTACAATGTTAGTTAACATATTACAATGTTATTCTCATAAGATTATATGACCACAGTTTTACGTACCTTTTCTCTGTTTAGACATGTTCACAATGTCTAAACAGAGAAAATACACAAATCCTTACCATTGTGTTACAGTTGCCTACAGTATTCAGTACAGTAACATGCTATGCAGGTTTGTAACCTTGGAGCGACAGGCTATAGCATATAACCTCAGTGTGTAATCAGCTCTACCATCTAGGTTTGTGTAAGTACACTCTATGATGTTCGCACAATGATGAATTTGTCTGAAAGCATCCCCATTGTTAAGCTAGGCATTGTATAGAAATACAAAAGGCAGGAGCCTGCAGTTATGATATTTGGCCAAGATGTGGCAGTAATGGCTCACAGGTGGTGGTGGCATGGCCTATACTTCAATAGAAATGATGTTACCAATAAAACAATAATAACAATGCTTTCAGTATGTTGGGTACCATGTTCAACACTTCTTATGAGATTAAATCATTTAATTATTATGCAACCTTAGGAGGTAGGCATAATAATTATCTTCCTTTTACAGATGAGGACATTGGGGGTTAAAGAAATTAAAAATTTCCTGAAGATCACAGGGCTTGCAGCTTACAGGGTCAGGATGGTTCTCAACCCCTATTTCATATTAATCTTGGAGATATTTGGAAAAACAAAACAAAGTATCTGTCTAAACTTATTTTTTAAAGACTGATTGATTAGATGGAGGTGGAACCTGAGAATTTTAAAAGCTCAGTGAATAATTTGTCTAATTCTTGCTCCCCAGTCACAATGTGCCTGAGAAGCAAGAGTTAGGATCTCTAGATGACTGCTGATTTACAGCATCAACTAAACATTCTACTTATAAGATGCTACCTAATTGTGATTGTTATACTATTAATCTGAACAAGAAATACTGATTTATTCTAGATGCTAATAAGAAGCTTATGTTCCAAATAAATTCATCCTTTAATTTATTCTGCAAATGATTAAACACCTACCATGTTCTTGGCTATCCTGGGGCTACAGATATTTAAAAAACATTATTCTTGCTCTGAAGAATTATTTAGGCTAATGGGGATAGCTCGAAAAGTTGAAAATACGATATACTGAAAATTTGGACAGATTTACTTTCTTTAGGTTAATAGGCTTATTGAACGCATACTTTGTGCCAATCTTGGGGAAACAGAGATGAATGGAACTGTCACTGCCCTCAAGGAGCTCACAGTCTAGCTCAGTGTTCCCCAACCTTTTTGGAACCAGGGACACGTTTGGTGAAAGACAGTTTTTCCACGGACAGGCAGGGGATGATTTGGGGATGATTAAAGTGCATTACATTTATTGTGCACATTATTTCTATTATTATTACATTATAATATATAATGAAATAACATACAGCTCACCATAATGTAGAATCAGTGGGAGCCCTGAGCTTGTTTTCTTGCAACTAGATGATCCCATCTGGGGATGATAGGAGACAGTGACAGATCATCAGGCATTAGATTCTCACAAGGAGCACGCAACCTAGGTTCCTTGCATGCGCAGTTTACAACAGGATTTGCACTCCTATGAAAATCTAATGCCGCAACTAATCTGACAGGAGGGAGGCAGAGGTCAGGTGGTGATGCAAGTGATGGGGACCAGCTATAAATACAGGTGAAGCTTAGCTTGCTCACTGCCACTCACCTCCTGCTGTGTGGGCCAGTTTCTAATAGGCCATGGATAGTACTGGTCCATGGCGTAGGGTTGGGGATCCCTGGTCTAGTTGAAAAGACTATGCATGACAGTCAAAATACCACAAGTTAAATCCTATAATAGTTATGAACAAGAGCCATGCAGCCCAGAGGAGGGAATGCCTGGGGGACATGAGGAGTGTGAACCCCAAATATCTGAGATAGGTCTCAGTTAATTTAGCAAGTTTATTTTGCCAAAGTTGAGTACACGCAGCTGTGACACAGCCTCAGGAGGTCCTGACAGCATGTGCCCAGGCTGGTCAGAGCACAGTTTGGTTTTATACATTTTAGGGAGACATGAGACATCAATCAACATATGTAAGATGAACATTTCCTCTGGAAAGGTGGGACAACTTGAAGCCGGGGAGGGGGCTTCCAGGTCATAAGTAGATAAGAGACAAATGGTTGCATTCTTTTGAGTTTCTGATTAGCCTGTCCAAAGGAGGCAATCAGATATGCATCTACCTCAGTGAGCAGAGGGGTGACTTTGAATAGAATGGGAGGCAGGTTTCCTCTGAGCAGTTCCCAGTTTGACTTTTCCCTTTAGCTTAGTGATTTTGGGGCCCCAAGGCGTATTTTCCTTTCACAGGAGTCACGGACTTGGGTAAACATTTGCACGTGAATAAGAAGAGGAGGCAAGGCAAAGCCTGCCTCATGGAAGAAGCCCTATGGGCAGGGTCCCACAAGCACAGATAGTCCACAATTGGCCAGAGTTATTTAAGAAGTGGTGAGAAGTTCACAGTTATTGGGGCTTGGAGTGGGTTGCCATTGCAAGTGGGAGAGCCCACTAAGATGCCCCTTGGCAGGAGGGGCCCAAACAGTGACCTAGAATCAGCCCAAGGAAGCCACCCTCTTTAGTTTTTAATCCAACTATAAGTCAGCCTGAGTGGAAAAGATGTGTGCTGATCTCATACATGTGGGGAAGGTTGGACTGGAATGATTCTCTCCTCCACTGGATAGTAACAACTAACATGCAATATTTATGTGAGCTGGATTATAAACATTTTGTGATTGTGTCTATTTTTCAGAGCAACGCTGTGAATTAGGTAATATTGTCATCTCCATTTTACAAATGTGAAAACAGGCATAGAAAGGCAAGTAACCTACTCAATTTCGCATAAAGAACTAAGGCCATGATCTGAACTCAGCAGTTTGACTTCAGAGTCCACACACTTTGCCATCATTACAATTACCCCTTGGTATCCACAGGGGATTAGTTCTAGGCCCCCTGTGGATACCAAAATTCTCAGATGCTTAAGTCCTTTATATAAAATGCTGTTGTATTTTCATATAACCTATGCATATCCTCCTTTACACTTTAAGTCATCTTTATCCAATCCTTGCACACTCTCAGGCCCACTATTTCTAACCCAACCATCCCCCAAACATCCATGAGAGATGCTTGTCTGTTTGAACTTCTCAATCATGGGGCACTCACTTCCAATTTAGGCAGACTATTCCTTCATAGCTCTTCTCTACACAGATTTGCAGCTAGCCTCCCTCTGCAATGGCAATCAATCTTGTTCTTTCACTGCATGACAGTCCTTCAAGTATATGGGGACACACATCATGTCTTTCATAGATCTTATCTTCCCTTTATTTCTTAAACAGCTCCCCATGTGACAATACTTTGATACCTTTACCATTTCAGGTATCCATCACTGAACTTGTTCCAGTTTTTCTGGATCTCTCAGTTCTTAGTTGGATCCAGAATGGAACCCTGTAATGCAGCTAAACTCTATGATGGGCTCAGCACACCTTGGAAATATGGCCTTACTTTTCCCTGATACTGTATTAACCTAAGATTTATACTAACTGTATTAGACATCATGCACCATTGTTAATTTCCACTGAATCTGTAACCAAATAAGCACGTGGCTGGCTGATAGGGAATGGCTCTCATTCAATATGGTGGTCCATGTTAGACCCTGGTTCTACTGTCTGATACACTAATTTCTACTTCATGGATTGGGGAAGCCAGACTAATCCTCTCTACACACTCAAGCGAGGGTACTTAGGTCACCATAACATTGCTGTCCACATTTCAGTCATTAATAAAATATTGCCCAGAACAAAAATGAAGACTGAGCCAACCATCAAAAATTTTATTTTCTTTAAAATTCTATTCTCAAAGATAAGGGATTAAGACAAATTGTCATGCTGAGTACAGAAAACACGTTTTCAACATGTTCTTTTTATGAATTGTGACCTCTATGATAGAAAGTGTCTGGGCAATCTTTCAAAACCATTCATTTTGATTTATACTTTCATTGAACTACTATTTCAGTTTTTATTACCAAAAAAATAAAGGAAATATGTATCTGGCAATTGTGATATTTTGCTAACTGAATAGTTATTAGAATAATTTCCAGCTCTCTTTCATTTGGACTTTTCTTATTATGGTATTATCTACAGTAACCTTTCACGTAAAGAGGGAGCATAAATTCCTAATACACTTTTGCATTTTGTTTCTTAATAAGGTTAGAGAATGATTTTTTAAAGTTTCATCAAAAGTCTGTTCATTTCCTTTCATGATGAGGTATGTGAATAGAATAATTTTATCAAACTAAAATTTTCCATAAAAACTTGGGTACTGAAATATTTATTTTTCCATTGTGGATGAAGAGCTGACTTCCTAGACTATTCAAGTACCCACAGTAAAGAGAACAATGTAGACTGCTGTACATTTCTAAACCCAGGGAGATCTTAGCCTATTCAAGAACCATTTCATAGGAAATTATGGCAATTCAATAAGAACCATACGGCGTAGCTTTCTCAAGTACATCAGAGCCTCATTATATAACCATAACCCTAATTTGAGATATGAAGGATAAATATAAGAAAACATGAAGGATGTTTACCAGTTCAGTTACTCCTGTTCCCCTGCTTGGTTTTTCATGTTGCATAAGTCCTATCCATGCCCAGGGCTTCTTGAGTATTCTCAAGTCTTATTCTCTAAGGGAGAACTTCTCTATGGAAGGAACTTTTTTCCCTTCTGTCTTATCCTGTTTTGTGCTGCCGTAAATACCATAGAATACCATAGTTGGGATAATTTATAATGAAGAGAAATTTATTGGCTCACAGTTCTGTAGGTTTGGAAGTCCACTATCAAGGTATCAGCATCTTGTGAGGGTTTCCTTGCTGTATCATTCCATGGTGAAAGGGCAGAGAGAGGGCAAGAAAGACAGAGAGCAAGAGGAAGTGAACTCACTCTATGTATTAGTCCATTCTCACACTGCTAAAAAGATACTACCTGAGACTGGGTAATTTATAAAGGAAAGAGGTTTCAACTGAGCAATTTTCAACTGAGCAATTACTATGCAGTGTGACGAGCATTGCCCCAGCTGAAAGAGTGGGCACCATGGGGCATGTGGAAGAAGTGAATAGCCTAGAGGAGAGGGTAGGAGGCTCTCCCAGAGAAAGGGAAATTTAGGTCAAGAAAAGAAGGCTGGCAGGTAAAGGAGCCTCCGGGGAGGCAGGGGACCATTCTGGGCGTAGGACTGGCATGTGCAAAGGCCTGCAGCTAAGGCAGTACGTGATGTGCAAGGATGGGCTGGCCAGAGGAGTTGAGGGGTAGATCCCTCATGACTAAATGCCTCTTAAAGGTGTCGCCTCGCAATATAGTTACAATGGCAATTAAATTTCAATATGAGTTTAGGAGGGGACAAATGTTCAAACCATAGCACCTTCTATATGTCCCACTGCAGAGAATGCTGGAAATATCCCTTTATTGTTCTCTAGACCTTTATTGTTCCCTAGACCTTTCCCAGGAAAGAGAATGCCCAAGGGTTGCCTCTTGGTCAAGTGGTTTCAGAGAGGTTGAAGCTAGTTACTCTATGCACTAAACATTCCAGGTCGTGGAATCCTGCCACTTTTCTAAATCATCATTTTCTGACAATGTCAATACTCCTCGCTGTGAACCTCTCAAAGGGTATAAAACTTGGAAAAAGAGTAGAGGTGGTTGACAGAAACCACATCATGGAAGGCACAGTCACCTACTGATTTCCAGTAGGAGGACAACCCTAGTCCCATTAATTTTTTTGTTTTTTTGGGAGATAGATATTCTTTGTCAAATTAAGTTCCCTTCTATCCCTATTTGCTAAGAGATTTTATCATAATTTGGTTTTAGCCTCATTAATTTTTTTTTGCATTTATTGAAATAATTATTTCTTTAATTTTTTTCTGTTAATGTATAGAATTACATTGATTTTCAAATATTAAACTGATATGGTTTGGATTTGTGTCCCCACCCAAATCTCATCTCAACTTGTAATTTGATAGTATAATCCCCACATGTCTGGGGAGAGGCCTGGTGGGAGGTGATTGGATCATGGGGGTGGTTTCCCCCATGCTGTTCTGCCACTGTCAGATGCAATGTTCTATACATGCCAGTTAGGTCAATTTTTAAAAATTTGTCTCTCTGATCTTGTATATTCTTACTCATTTCTTATTTTTAATTCTATTTGCTTCTTATATTGTTTTTCATATTTAAAAATTCCCAAATCATTTTTAGAAAGTAAGTAGTGAGGATTAAATCTACCAGAGAATATGCCCTAATACCAGGACATTGTCATAAAGGAAAAAAAATAGGTGGGCTACTGGTTCAGGTACAAGCAGGTAAATATAATTCCATGGACAGTCAGAAACTGAGCCATGTATTTGGGGGAACTTAATGTAAGATGGTACCATGTCAATGAGGGAGAAGATATATTATTAATAGAAGCTCATGTGTAAAGAGCTATATATCATTCAAAATACAAGAATTAATTCCAGTGAATTATAAATATTAAAAGTCAAAATAAAGATAACAGGAAAAAAGTAGAGGAGGTTATCTTTCTGACTTCAGGTCAGACAGATATTCTTAAAGAGGACCTTAGAAATATAACTCACAATGTGAAAAATTAAGATTTTATTACATCAAAAATGGAGATTTCTATCAAATGAAAACACCATAGACAAAATTAATAGACAGACAATGGATTGGAGGAAGATACTTGTCAAAACTAAGACTGACAAGAGATTAGAATTTAGAATATTTGAGATTTCTTCCAAATCATTCGGGAAAAATCAAAACACCAAAAGGAAAAGTAGACAAATGTGTATACTCAAATCTCAGAAGTGAAAAATTAAATGGCTCTTAAGTATATGAAGTGACAGTCAAACTTACTAATTAATAAGATGTGAATTATGACAGTGGTGAACCACTACATTATACTCATTACATTAACAAAAGTTAATGACAAGTATTGGAAAGAATGAAAGGAAATTAACCACATGGACAAGTAGATGATAATGAAAAATGGTACAGACAATGTGGAAAGCAATTCAAAAGTACTTTGGGAAGACAAGAATATATATTCTTATATATTATCCTGTGTCCCAGCTAAAGTTTTGCAGAGGTCCATAATGGAAAGCTCATGGGGGATGATGTTCATTGCCTTATTCCTTGTGATAAAAAAATCCTAAATAATGTATAATCATAATGTGATATATGATTACTTGGGAAGGAGGAAAAAGGGAATGAAGATTGGGGATTTTAAGGAAAGAAACATGGAACAAGAATCAGTCCTGTGGAAAATAAACAAGACATGGTCCTTCCATGTGTGGATGATGGCAGTTAATGTTTCATGAGTGGAGAAGTGCGATAACTTCAACTCTTCATTTTGCAGTTCCAAAACAAAACAGACAAAACCACCCCAAAACACCCTTTGACATATATCTTTGCAGACCAGCCTTGTACATGTTAGGGAAAGCTTCACCAAATTGGTATGTTAGATTAAAAAAAAATGCATTTTAAATTTTCATACATTTTGCCAGGCAACTTCTTTATTCGCTGTTTCAAAATTTTTTCTTACATAGTCTTATTAATTTATACCTTAGGTTGAATTTAGAGTGAACTAATCAGGTTCTAAAAGAAACCCATGGGGATTTATGTTCGAATTGCATTCTAATAGGGAATCGCAACTTAGCATTACATTAAATTAATAGCTTAATTTATGGGTAATTGACCTACTTTCAATCTGAGGAAATATAAGCATAAAACTAAGAAGAAATTATAAGTGAAAACATTAAAATGTTAATGATGATTTTTCTTGGATAATGGGACTACATGTACTTTTTTCCTCTGTCCACTTTTCTGGGTATCCAAATTTTCTTTAATATGCACACTCTACTTTTAAGTGAAAGCATTTATTTAAAAACTGAACCATACACTAATAGAGCTGAGAGGGATGGTTATTTTCAAAACTAGTTTTTTTCCTTTTTAATGAGAAGAGAGATTCAGGAGCCACATTTTAAATGTTAGAAATTATTCATCAAAGTTGCATTTAATGATTACAGAAATAAAAAAAATTGATATCATAGTTTCAGTTGAGTAAAACTACTTTCCTTGTTCATGAAGTAATGTTTTAAAACCAAATGGGTCTCATTATGTGGTGTGGTCCCTGAGGACAATGTTATCAAGGTTCTCTAATGAAGCATGGAGCAACCGTTTCTGTTTTTGGTTCTAACATATTTAATGCTCAGAAATAGCTAGAAGGCAAGAGGAGTAGATTCCAACTGGGAGACATCAGCTCATCCTGTCAGGGCGATGAACCGCAGAGTGCAGTACTTTTCCAAAAGTGAAGAAGAATAAACTTTGGGGTTGTACTCTTTCCTAGCAACAAATACAGCAGTATATCAAAAGTCCACTTTGTAAGTTCTTTCTGAACAATTGGGAATATCTACTGAAGTCTGTGACTACCTAGAAACTGAAGATGAGGCAGCTGCACATCTGTACATTTCAACTCCATCCTAATTCTATTAATTTTGAAGGGGTGGTAATAAAGAAGGAGAAAACTGGGAGTTGGCAAGGGGCACGAGAGACACAGAAAGTGAAAAAGCATGTAGATGTGTTGTAGCAAGGAGCCAAGTCAAGGAACTCTGGGCGTAGCACTGCTGCATGGGGTCTGAGAGGCTGGAGGGAGGTAAGTCAGCTGTATGAGTGGTTTCTCCCACTACTTGATCCAGAGTGTTCTGCAGGAAGCAACAGAAGAAGCTTCCATTACAGGTGAAGTTCCATTACAGGTAACTTCCATTACAGGTGAAGTTAAGGGCTCTATCATAAGCCCTTTACCTGAGATGAGCAGAATATGAAATTAGAAGGCATAAATATTGGACTTTAACAAGCAAAAGTGTTAATTTTTGGACTTTAATTTCCCTCTGAAATTTGATTAGGGGAGCAGTTTTAGTAATCAAATTCAAGATATCTATCTATTTGGCATTTTATTCATTCATTTTTATTCAAAACCTCTGATATGCTCTCTGGATGTAATTTGGCATGAGAAATAAAATAGAGGACAAATTTTCAGCCTTGGGAACCAAATGACCCTGGGGTTGTCCTAATTAATTAGCTGTTCTGACCAATTGCTGAATGTGGTGGAGGCAAATTACAATTGGCCATCAGCACCCTCATGAGGATACATAGAGACGCAGAGGTCAGTGCTGGAGATGGGCTTAGTGAAGGTGAAGCAGGTCTGTCCTGTAGACCTGGGCCACTCTTCTCCCATGAGGGAGCAGCCGTATTCATCGGTGACAAAAAGCTTAATGGTCAAGCTCAATAGACTAAGATAAAAATGAGCTTGGCAGTGGAAGGGTAGGGGGCTGGTACCATTCTCTCCCTTCATACGGAGGGACATCCATAGGCATTACAAGCCTGCTTCCCAGAGTAACTGATTTGATTGGTGAGTTATATAGAGGAAACACACCTAGTCTCTCTCTCCCTTCCCTCTTGGGTGAAGCTGCCCTTCGGAGCAACACTTCCCTCTGCTCTCCCACATTGTAATTCTCACTTCTTAGCAGGATCAAGAATCTACAGGAAGCTTCAGGAGCTCTGCTCTGGTCCAGCTTGTACTAAGATAGATATCTATTTAGTTTGAGTCACTTTCTTCTATCATTTCCTTGCTCTAAGCTCCCTTGGGACCCATTCTTCCTGCAGACAGCAGGGACTCTTACTTTCCTCCATGCTTTCCATTTTGGAAGTGGCTACTCCCCTCAGACCCTTTCCTACCAAGGAATTTCCTGTTTAAAAGCCCACTTGACCACAGATATAAGTGCTCTTCTCCAACCTTGCCTCTAGTAGCCATTTCCAGGAATAAGAGAGTATTTTGTTTATTCCTTGACTTATTTTTCACTTGAGTGAATATCAGTACATGGGTATTGTAGAGGCCAAGTGCAGTGTTCAACACTTGGCCTGTGTGAACACAGGGAATCATGGTACTACTACACTGAACAAAGACTTTCAACTACCATGCATTTTCATGGTCATTACCTGAGTTATATTCATCCTTTCGTAACCTGTGGATGAAGAAAAATGTCAAGGAAGATAGTCTGTAGTCTCTCAAGTGTGTTTTATCATCTGATGGTCTATTAGCTTTTCAATTAAGTAGAAGATGTAAGCTGTTGATCTGAAGGGAACATGGACCAACCCCATGGTGTGGTATGCTGTGGCCAGGTTGTACTGGCTCAGGAGAGAGTGGCTGTGGGCACCTCTTACAAACCCTGCACTTAGTGACATCGCTTTGGTAGCTTGAAAACAACAATGATTAGGGCATTTACACTAAGAAAATTGGCAAATATGACAAATCAAGGCTTTATGTAATGGTCAGTCTTTCCAGCACCCCACTTTCTCCATTGCTAATATCTCCACAGCAGTTTTTTTATTACAGGGTTTAAGTACATATCATAAACCAGTACTGAATTTGATGACTGAGAGTTGTGACTTTATTTAGCTATCCATATCTTTGAACTTGGAAGGAGAGTGAGAGACTGAGAGGGAACTCAGAGACAAGACCTGCTCATTAGGTCTTTGGAAGGCATCCCATGTGGGACCTTCCCTCTTTCAACCAGCTCTCTCCCTCTCTACAGTCCTCTGTACTTCTTTACCTCTTCATTCTCACCTCCTTTCACAGGACATGCTACTTCTTTCCATATGATAACAGTTGCCCCATCAACTCTCCCCTGCTCCCTCCCCATGTCTAACAAATGCTGACCCCCAGTCTTTATTTAGCTCTATGTGAATGAAGCTTTTCTCTATCTGGGCTTTCCTTGGTTCTGAAGAGGAAAGGGATATCTTGCTTGTTGGAGGATATGGGAGGGAGTAGCTGGCTTAAACTGCATATCTGCTCTCTCCAACAATGAGACTATAGCTTGTTTTCTCCTGAATAGCCTGAAGGAAAATACAACTACCAGGATTATGTATATTCTTCCAAAGAGTAACTACAGTTGGCTCATTTGAGGAACTAAAATTCACCTATTCACAATGACATTGACTTTACTTTGGTCTTCAGCTGAAGGTGCAAGAACCCATCCCTGTCACAAAGGCCCATGTTAATGGAGCCATCAGAAATAGCACTCCCTTCATCAGAAATGTCCTGTATGCGCTTCAGTTCAGGCATGGTTGTCGTGATATCTTATTGTGTTTTATTCGTACGATTTGGGGCTCCCACACAAGTATGGTGGGAAGGGGCGGTTCTCTTTAATATTAGCAAAGAAAACAAGCAGGCATTGCAGGTTTCAGAGCACTGATTCAGCTGCTTAAAACAAGTCCCCTCTTAGCCATATGAAAGGGACCACCTCTAAGTAATAGCCATTGCAGCTCTATGTTCATAGCACTGAGTGCAGTTTCTCCTCAGTCTCTGAAAAGCTGGAGAAAGCCTATTAGAAGGAAGCCTCCTTATAAGAGATTCTACTGTAGGCCCAGACCTACTCATTCACCATTCTGCTAATCTAGAGAGTGCAGTTAAAATACAGCTTTTTTCTGTAAAACCCACTTTAGTTTATCCCATGCAATTTTCAGGAGGCATCCACTTGCTAACGATTAATACTCAACATGAAGAGGATTAAATACTTATACAATTCCAGCCGTCAAAAGGAGATTAGAAAAATTATTCTATCTTTTGCCTGTTGGCTTCGAAGTACCCACAGTACATTGTTGGTGGCTGGTGATTTTAGTTTCCAGTTAATGCAATGTCAAAGAACTTTTAAAAAGTAATATTTTACTTTTAATGATGCAGCATAATATAATAGGTAAGAGCAGGAATTTTGGAGTGAGATGTCTGAATTTGAATTTTTTACCCTGTTAGTTATTAACCATGTGACCTTGAGTGACGTACTTAACCTTGATGTGTCTCAGTTTTCTCATCTGTTAAAGAGAATATTTTATCTCATATGGTTGAACATTAAATAAGTTAACAGTCACAGAGCTTTTAAGAATAGTCCCCACATATAGTGAAGGCTGTATAGGTGTTGGTTAAATAAAATATATTTTTAAAAAATAATACAAGTCAGTTTGATGTGGAATCTATTTTATGTCCCTGAGAATTTTTTTATGCTCACAAGAAGCAATGAGAGGAAGGAAACAAATGATCTGGAGATAAAGAATATTTGATTCTCTCTTGGCTGTGTGGTTTGTACCTAGATGCATAAACATATGATGTCATCCTATGACATGATTTGATAGCTCCCAGTAAGCTACTCAATTCTGAAGAAGATCGGAAAATTGCTCCTTGAGTCTCATTATAAGGCTTCCTCTCTGAACTTGTGTAGGCTCTAGAAAAATAAGGTAGTCTTTGGGGCCGCATACCACCGCCAGTCATCCTTGTGTCTCTCAGAAATACGAATAATAACAGTAAACTTAAAATTCCTAGCTACTGCATTTAGCAACAAAGTGAGTAAAAAAAAAAATCTGTCACTGCCCAAGGGGTTCACCTTGCCTGCTGCCTAGACAGAGCCAATTCATCAAGACAGGGGAATTGCAATAAAGAGTATTTCACACAAAGCCAGCTGTGAGGGAGACCAAAGTTTTATCATTACTCAAATCAGTCTCCCTGAGCATTCAGGTAGCAGAGTTTTTAAGGATAACTTGGTGGCTTGGGGGAAGCCAGTGAGCCAGGAGTGTTGACGGGTCAGAGATGAAACCACAGGGAGTCGAAGTTGTCTTCTTGCGCTAAGTCAGTTCCTGGCCGGGGCGGGGAGGGGGCACAAGATCAGATGAGCTAGTTTATTGATCTGGGTGGTGCCAGCTGATCCATCAAGTGCAGGATGTGCAAAATATCTCAAGCACTGATCTTAGGAGCAGTTTCGGGGAGGGTCAGAATCTTGTAGCCTCCAGCTGTATGACTCTTAAAACATAATTTCTAATCTTGTGGCTAATGTTAGTCCTACAAAGGCAATCTAGACCCCAGGCAAGAAGGAGGTCTGCTTCAGGAAAGGGCTGTTGCCATCTTTTTTTAAACTATAAACTAAGTTTCTCCCAAAGTTAGTTCAGCCTATGCCCAGGAATGAACAAAGACAGCTCGGATGTTAGAAGCAAGATAAGAGTCGGTTAAGTTAGATCTCTTTCACTGTCTCAGTCATAATTTTGAAAGGCAGTTTCAAATCTTCATGACATTTAAAAGATGAGAAACTAAGACTCCTAAGGATTAATGATTTTCTAGAGCCAGGAGAGTAACATGATCCAACCAGGTCTGTATCGCTGATGTTCTAACTATGGTGTCATGATTTGTACTGTGCATCATAAACTGAGCTTGAAGAGTATCTTAGTCTGTCCTTGCTGCTATAACCAAATACCTTAGACTGGGTAATTTGTAAACAACAGAAACTTGTTTTTCACAGTTCCGGGGACTGGGAAGTCCAAGATCAAAGCACTGGCAGATTCAGTGTCTGAGACTCAATCTTTGCTTCCAGGGTGGCACCTTGTTGTTGCGTCCTCACATAGTAGAAGGGGTGAATGCTGTTTCATTGCAGAGATAAAGGGCAGGAGGGGAAAAGGGACTAAGATTCTTCCTTCAGCCTCTTTTTATAAGACCACTAATCCTATTCATGAGGATGGAGTGCTTATGACTTAATCACTGCCTGAAAGGCCTTGCCTCTGAATACCATAGTATTGGGCATTAGGGTCCAACATATGAATGTTGGAGGTACACATACATGCAAACCATAGCAAAGAGAAATGTTAGATATGCCCATTGATATTGTCTTTAGGGTACAGAGGCAAAGGGGTGAACATCCAGGGCAGAAATCAGAATATGCACAAGTAGAAGACATTAAACTTCAAATCTATTTACTTGTGATTTTCCAGATGTTCTGACCATTTCCTTCCTATATTTACCTTCTCTACTAAGAGAAAGTACAGTTTTGATGTAAGTGAAAATAACAATGATTCAGCTTCTTCATTCTTTCCATCTGCCAAGTGATGTGTCTTGGGGTTTCATTGCTTTTCAGAACCACCTCCACTTACACACACACACACACACACACACACACGTCAAACTTCAATTTTTTTCAAATGCCATTTTCCATGGATTACTAGCACTTTCTGCTTTCCACTGTGTAAGATTGTGGCAAAGTTTTTATTTACCATATGGAGTTTACTCTGCTTAGCTAAAGTTTATTCTGCTTAGCTGAAGGCATTAACTTAAGCTGTATTTTTATGTAGTTTCTTTCCATGGAAATTGATACTGCAATTAATCAGTGACTACACATGAGTCCTCCATCAGGCAATGTTGTAAATTCCAGTTTCTAGGACTTCTGGATGAAATGCTGGATGACTAACTTTCTCCCAACTTTCTCCCATCTTTAGCCTTGCTAACATGGTAAAGTGTGCTGGTTTACAAACTATGTGGAGTAGATCTCTCAAGGTAGCGCTGGGACCAGTCAGTATGCATTAGCATGGGCCTACAGTTGTGACTAATGCATCTCTTTTATTTTTTCCAGAATTTTTATTGTGATAAAATACACATATACGTTACTCTCTTAACTATTTTAAGCATACAATTCAGTGGCACTAAATACATTCATAATGTTGTGCAACCATCACTACCACCCATCTCTGTAACTTTTTACATCTTGTAAGATTAAAACTCTATAGTCATTAAACACTAACTACCCATTCCTCCCTTCCCCAGCCCCTGGCAACCACCATTCTATTTTCTGTTTCTAAAATTTTGACTACTCTAAGTATCTCATATAAGTGGAGTCATACAGTATTTGTGTTTTTGTGCCTGGCTTATCTCAATTAGCATGATGTCCTTATGCTTCATCCATGTTGTAACATGTGTCAGAATTTCCTTTCTTTTTAAGGCTGAATAATATTCCATTTTATGTATTCACCCCATTTTGTTTATCCATTCATCCACTGATGGACCCTTTGGTTGGTACATGTTTTAGCTATTGTGAATAATGCTTTTATGAACATGGTTGTACAAATATTTCTTCGAGACCCTTCTTTCAATTTTGGGGGTATATATCCACAAGTGAAATTGCCGGATCATATGGTAATTATATTTTTAATTTTTTGAGAAACCACCCTACTATTTCCACAGCGGCTGTACCTTTTTACATTCCCACAAACAGAGCACAAATGTTTGAATTTCTCCACATTTTTTTTTTTTTTAGAATTGGCAGAGAGAGACTTTGTTTTTCATTTTTTATTTTTTTGACAAGATCAAATCTGTATTTCTGAAATATGATTACAACAGCATACAGATGAACTGAAGAATAATTTAAATAATCCAGAAGAGAAGTAATGATAATCTGAAGGGCTATAACATAAAGATCTCATTATCACTTTTTGGCATAAGAGGCTGTGTTAGTTTGCTAGGGTGGCAATAACAAATACTGCAAACAGAGTGACTTCAACAAAAGAAACTTATTGTTTCACAATCCTGGAAACTAGAGATCCTAAATCAAGGTGTTGGTAAGGTTGGTTTCTTTTTTTCTTTTTTTTTTTTTATACTTTAAGTTTTAGGGTACATGTGTACAACGTGCGGGTTAGTTACGTATGTATGAGCCATACATATGTATGAGTCAGGTTAGTTACAACATGAGTCATGTTGGTGTGCTGCACCCAGTAACTCGTCATTTAACATTAGGTATATCTCCAAATGCTATCCCTCCCCCGACCCCACAACAGGCCCTGGTGTGTGATGTTCCCCTTCCTGTGTCCGTGTGTTCTCATTGTTCAGTTCCCACCTATGAGTGAGAACATGCAGTGTTTTTTCTGTCCTTGTGATTGTTTGCTGAGAATGATGGTTTCCAGCTTCATCCATGTCCCTACAAAGGACATGAACTCATCATTTTTTATGGCTGCATAGTATTCCATGGTGTATATGTGCCACATTTTCTTAATCCAGTCTATCATTGCTGGACATCTGGGTTGGTTCCAAGTCTTTGCGATTGTGAATAGTGCCACAATAAACATACGTGTGCATGTGTCTTTATAGCAGCTTGATTTATAATCCTTTGGGTATATACCCAGTAATGGGATTGCTGGGTCAAATGGTATTTCTAGTTCTAGATCCCTGAGGATTCACTACGCTGACTTCCACAATGGTTGAACTAATTTACAGTCCCACCAACAGTGTAAAAGTGTTCCTATTTCTCCACATCCTCTCCAGCACCTGTTGTTTCCTGACTTTTTAATGATTGCCATTCTAACTGGTGTGAGATGGTATCTCATTGTGGTTTTGATTTGCATTTCTCTGATGACCAGTGATGATGAGCATTTTTTCATGTGTCTTTTGGCTGCATAAATGTCTTCTTTTGAGAAGTGTCTGTTCATATCCTTTGCCCACTTGTTGATGGGGTTGTCTGTTTTTTTTTCTTGTAAATTTGTTGGAGTTCATTGTAGATTCTGGATATTAGCCCTTTGTCAGATGAGTAGATTGCAAAACTTTTCTCCCATTCTGTAGGTTGCCTGTTCACTCTGATGGTAGTTTCTTTTGCTGTGCAGAAGCTCTTTAGTTTAATTAGATCCCATTTGTCAATTTTGGCTTTTGTTGCCATTGCTTTTGGTGTTTTAGACATGAAGTCCTTGCCCATGCCTATGTCCTGAATGGTATTGCCTAGTTTTTCTTCTAAGGTTTTTATGGTTTTAGCTCTAACATGTAAGTCTTTAATCCATCTTGAACTAATTTTTGTATAAGGTGTAAGGAAGGGATCCAGTTTCAGCTTTCTATATATGGCTAGCCAGTTTTCCCAGCACCATTTATTAAATAGGGAATCCTTTCCCCATTTCTTGTTTTTGTCAGGTTTGTCAAAGATCAGATGGTTGTAGATATGCAGCATTATTTCTGAGGGCTCTGTTCTGTTCCATTGGTCTATATCTGTTTTGGTACCAGTACCATGCTGTTTTGGTTACTGTAGCCTTGTAGTATAGTTTGAAGTCAGGTAGCATGATGCCTCCAGCTTTGTTCCTTTTGCTTAGGATTGACTTGGCAATGCAGGCTCTTTTTTGGTTCCATATGAACTTTAAAGTAGTTTTTTCCAATTCTGTGAAGAAAGGCATTGGTAGCTTGATGGGGATGGCATTGAATCTATAAATTACCTTGGGAAGTATGGTCATTTTCACAATATTGATTCTTCCTACCCATGAGCATAGAATGTTCTTCCATTTCTTTGTATCCTCTTTTATTTCATTTGTAGTTTGTAGTTCTCCTTGAAGAGGTCCTTCACATCCCTTGTAAGTTGGATCCCTAGGTATTTTATTCTCTTTGAAGCAATTGTGAATGGGAGTTCACTCATGATTTGGCTCTCTGTTTGTCTGTTATTGGTGTATAAGAATGCTTGTGATTTTTGCACACTGGTTTTGTATCCTGAGACTTTGCTGAAGTTGCCTATCAGCTTAAGGAGATTTTGGGCTGAGATGATGGGTTTTTCTAGATATACAATCATGTCATCTGCAAACAGGAACAATTTGACTTCCTCTTTTCCTAATTGAATACCATTTATTTCCTTTTTCTGCCTGATTGCCCTGGCCAGAACTTCCGACACTATGTTGAATAGGAGTGGTGAGAGAGGGCATCCTGTCTCATGCCAGTTTTCAAAGGGAATGCTTCCAGTTTTTGCCCATTTAGTATGATATTGGCTGTGGGTTTGTCATAGATAGCTCTTATTATTTTGAGATATGTCCCATCAATACCTTGAGAGTTTTTAGCACGAAGTGTTGTTGAATTTTGTCAAAGGCCTTTTCTGCATCTATTGAGATAATCATATGGTTTTTGTCATTGGTTCTGTTTATATGTTTGATTATGTTTATTGATTTGCATATGTTGAACCAGCCTTGCATCCCAGGGATGAAGCCCACTTGATCATGGTGGATAAGCTTTTTGATGTGCTGCTGGATTCGATTTGCCAGTATTTTATTGAGGATTTTTGCATCAATGTTCATCAGGGATATTGCCCTAAAATTCTCTTTTTCTGTTGTGTCTGTGCCAGGCTTTGGTATCAGGATGATGCTGGCCTCATAAAATGAGTTAGGGAGGATTCCCTCTTTTTCTATTGATTGGAATAGTTTCAGAAGGAATGGTGCCAGTTCCTCCTTGTACCTCTGGTAGAATTCGGCCTTGAATCCATCTGGTCCTGGACTTTTTTTGGTTGGTATGCTATTAATTATTGCCTCAATTTCAGATCCTGTTATTGGTCTATTCAGAGACTCAACTTCTTCCTGGTTTAGTCTTGGGAGGGTGTATGTGTTGAGGAATTTATCCGCTTCTTCTAGATTTTCTAGTTTATTTGTGTAGAGGTGTTTATAGTATTCTCTGATGGTAGTTTGTATTTCTGTGGGATTGGCGGTGATAGCCCTTTTATCATTTTTTATTGTGTCTATTTGATTCTTCTCTCTTTTGTTCTTAGTCTTGCTAATGGTGTATCAATTTTGTTGATCTTTTCAAAAAACCAGCTCCTGGATTCATTGATTTTTTTGAAGGGTTTTTTGTGTCTCTATTTCCTTCAGATCTGCTCTGATCTTAGTTATTTCCTGCCTTCTGCTAGATTTTGAGTGTGTTTGCTCTTGCTTCTCTAGTTCTTTAAATTGTGATGTTAGGGTGTCAATTTTAGATCTTTCCTGCTTTCTTCTGTGGGCATTTAGTGCTATAAATTTCCCTCTACACACTGCTTTGAGTGTGTCCCAGAGATTCTGGTATGTTGTGTCTTTGTTCTCGTTGGTTTCAAAGAACATCTTTATTTCTGCCTTCATTTCGTTATGTACCCAGTAGTCATTCAGGAGCGGGTTGTTCTGTTTCCATGTAGTTGAGCGGTTTTGAGTGAGTTTCTTAATCCTGAGTTCTAGTTTGATTGCACTGTTGTCTGAGAGACAGTTTGTTATAATTTCTGTTCTTTTACATTTGCTGAAGAGTGCTTTACTTCCAAGTATGTGGTGAATTTTGGAATAGGTGTGGTGTGGTGCTGAAAAGAATGTATATTCTGTTGATTTGGAGTGGAGAGTTCTTTAGATGTCTATTAGGTCCGCTTGGTGCATAGCTGAGTTCAATTCCTGGATATCCTTGTTAACTTTCTGTCTTGTTGATCTGTCTAATGTTGACAGTGGGGTGTTAAAGTCTCCCATTATTATTGTGTGGGAGTCTAAGTCTCTTTCTAGGTCTCTAAGGACTTGCTTTATGAATCTGGGTGCTCCTGTATTGGGTGCGTATCTATGTAGGATAGTTAGCTCTTCTTGTTGAATTGATCCCTTTACCATTATGTAATGGCCTTCTTTGTCTCTTTTGATCTTTGTTGGTTTAAAGTCTGTTTTAACAGAGACAAGGATTGCAACACCTGCCTTGTTTTGTTTTCCATTTGCTTAGTAGATCTTCCTCCATCCCTTTATTTTGAGCCTATGTGTGTCTCTGCACATGAGATGGGTTTCCTGAATACAGCACACTGATGAGTCTTGAGTCTTTATCCAGTGTGCCAATCTGTGTCTTTTAATTGGAGCATTTAGCCCATTTACATTTAAGGTTAATATTTTTATGTGTGAATTTGATCCTGTCATTATGATGTTAGCTGGTTATTTTGCTCGTTAGTTGACGCAGTTTCTTCCTAGCCTCGATGGTCTTTACAATTTGGCATGTTTTTGCAGTGGCTGGTACCGGTTGTTCCTTTCCATGTTTAGTGCTTCCTTCAGGAGCTCTTTTAGGGCAGGCCTGGTGGTGACAAAATCTCTCAGCATTTGCTTGTCTCTAAAGGATTTTATTTCTCCTTCACTTATGAAGCTTAGTTTGGCTGGATATGAAATTCTGGGTTGAAAATTCTTTTCTTTAAGAATGTTGAATATTGGCCCCCACTCTCTTCTGGCTTGTAGAGTTTCTGCCGAGAGATCAGCTGTTAGTCTGATGGGCTTCCCTTTGTGGGTAACCCGACCTTTCTCTCTGGCTGCCCTTAACATTTTTTCCTTCATTTCAACTTTGGTGAATCTGACAATTATGTGTCTTGGAGTTGCTCTTCTGGAGGAGTATCTTTGTGGCGTTCTCTGTATTTCCTGAATTTGAATGTTTGCCTGCGTTGCTAGATTGGGGAAGTTCTCCTGTATAATATCCTGCAAAGTGTTTTCCAAATTGGTTCCATTCTCCCCGTCATTTTCAGGTACACCAATCAGACGTAGATTTGGTCTTTTCACATAGTCCCATATTTCTTGGAAGCTTTGTTCATTTCTTTTTATTCTTTTTTCTCTAAACTTCTCTTCTCACTTCATTTCATTCATTTGATCTTCCATCACTGATACCCTTTCTTCCAGTTGATCAAATCGGCTACTGAGGCTTGTGCATTTTTCACATAGTTCTGGTGCTTTGGTTTTCAGCTCCATCAGGTCCTTTAAGGACTTCTCTTCATTGGTTATTCTAGTTAGCCATTAGTCTAATATTTTTTCAATGTTTTTAACTTCTTTGCCATGGGTTCGAACTTCCTCCTTTAGCTCGGAGTAGTTTGATCGTCTGAAGCCTTCTTCTCTGAACTCGTCAAAGTCATTCTCCATCCTGCTTTGTTCCGTTGCTGATGAGGAGCTGCGTTCCTTTGGAGGAGGAGAGGCACTCTAATTTTTAGAGTTTCCAGTTTTTCTGCTCCGTTTTTTCCCCATCTTTGTGGTTTTATCTACCTTTGGTCTTGGTGATGGTGACGTACAGATGGGGTTTTGGTGTGGATGTCCTTTCTGTTGGTTAGTTTTCCTTCTAACAGTCAGGATCCTCAGCTGCAGATCTGTTGGAGTTTGCTGGAGGTCCACTCCAGACCCTGTTTGCCTGGGTATCAGCAGCGGAGGCTGCAGAACAGCAGATATTGGTGAACAGCAAATGTTGCTGCCTGATCATTCCTCTGGAAGTTTTGTCTCAGATAAGTACCTGGCCGTGTGAGGTGTCAGTCTGCTCCAACTGGGGGGTGCCTCCCAGTTAGGCTACTCGGGGTTCAGGGAGCCACTTGAGGAGGAAGTCTGTCCGTTCTCAGATCTCCAGCTGCGTGCTGGGAGAACCACTACTCTCTTCAAAGCTGTCAGACAGGGACATTTAAGTCTGCAGAGGATTCTGCTGCCTTTTGTTTGGCAATGCCCTGCCCCCAGAGGTGGAGTCTACAGAGGCAAGCAGGCCTCCTTGAGCTGCAGTGGGCTCCACCTAGTTCAAGCTTCCTGTCCGCTTTGTTTAGCTACTCAAGCCTCGGCAATGGCAGGCACCCCTCCCTCAGACTGACTGCCACCTTGCAGTTTGATCTCAGACTGCTGTGCTAGCAATGAGCAAGGCTCCATGGGCATAGGACCCTCCGAGCCAGGCATGGGATATAATCTCCTGGTTTGCCATTTGCTAAGACAGTTGGAAAAGCGCAGTATTAGGGTGGGAGTGACCCGATTTTCCAGGTGCCATCTGTCACCCCTTTCTTTGACTAGGGAAGGGAATTCCCTGACCCCTTGTGCTTCCCGGGTGAGGCAATGCCTTGCCCTGCTTTGGCTTATGCTTGGTGCACTGCACCCACTGTCCTGCACCCACTTTCCGACACTCCCCAGTGAGATGAACCCAGTACCTCAGCTGGAAATGCAGAAATCACCCGTCTTCTGCATCGCTCATGCTGGGAGCTGTAGACTGGAGTTGTTCCTATTCGGCCGTCTTGGCTCCATCCCCCAAATTTCTCCACATTCTTGCCAACAATTGTCATTCTCTGTTTTTTTCAATAGTAGCCATCCTTATGGTTGCAAGGTACTATCTCATTGTAGTTTTGATTTTCATTTCCCTAAAGATTATTGATGTTAAGCATCTTTTCATGCACTTATTGGCCATTTGTATGGCAACCAACAGGTGAGTCTCTGGGCCCCACATCTGCTTTGAATTTATCCTCTTTATATATTGCCTTCCTCATAATATATAATTAGCAGGAAGAGCCCAATGGCTAAAAATACTTTGAACCGGTAGTGTGTGAGTGAAGACTGCAGTGTTGAGTCACAGATCAGCATAGAGTTTCTGTCAAAAACAAGCAATGTCTCCTTAGGAAAATTACTTAATTTTCTGAGGCTTCATTTCGTGATTTACAAAAAGAAAGAGGTTTGACTAGGTAATCTTCAAATTTTTTCTCTTGCTATAACTTTGTGTGATTCACCAAGGCTAATTGAAAATCACTTAATGTCAGCAGCACAAGCTGTAATTAAAATAAAGATGTAGACAGCAACATGAGAAGGGAATGTCAGTGGTAGCAGATGTCAGGAAGGAAGCACAATACATTAACACAGTTGGCTCATTTTACAGGTGAGAAAACACAACCATGTGACCAGGGTGGCCAAATCACCCCTTGAAATATTATTGGACTTTGTCTAAATTTTCCATGTTGACTAGGAATTCAAACAGAGGAAAGGCTTGATGCTGTTGATTTAGAAAGAATCGTAGAACACAATAAGGTAGAAAATTTGGTAGGTGCTCCTTTGATCTCCGAGTGAAATCATGACAATTGCTCACCTTGATTTGCTGCATAATTTCCTGTGGGCAAACCCACAGAATTCCTGGAATTTTGTCCTTGGATGATTAGACAGGTCTGAGAAGCTCAAGAGCTTTCTTCATTAAGATCAGGAGAAATAAACGGTAAAATCTAAGTATATTAGGGTAGAATTTTAGAAAACATAGTGAGACCTGAGTTTCCATATTTGCTTCATATTAGGGCAGAAAGCCTACTTTTTGAGAATTTCTACCTTTCTATCTGCCTCTATGTTTTTTTAATTGCCGGAAAGAAGAATTGCAGAGTGCCAGAGGTACAGGTGTGAACTTTTAGTCTTTCAAAAGCCAATTAAATATCCCCATTAAGATGACCAGCCACCATAAGGTAATATATACATTATTAATTAAAGGAGAATGAGGCAGGGTACAGTGGCTCACACCTGTAATCCCAGCACTTTGGGAGGCCAAGCTGGGCAGATCACTTGAGGTCAGGAGTTCGAGACCAGCCTAGCCAATATAGCAAAACCTCATCTCTACTAAAAATACAAAAATTAGTCCCCCAGGTGTGGTGGTCCACACCTGTAGTCCCAGCTACTTGGGAGGCTGAGGCAGGAGAATTGCTTAAAACCGGGAAGCAGAGGTTGCAGTGAGCTATCGTGCCACTGCCCTCCAGACTGGGCGACAGAGTGAGACTCCATCTCAAAAAAAAAATAAATAAATAAAATAAAATAAAATATAAAGGAGAATGAGTCGAAATGTATCTGACCCAAATATGTCAACATCCCTAGTTCTTCCAGACCGACATTTTCATAGATCTCTATGGAACGCTACATGAAGGGTAGACACTGGCCAAACAACAGGCTCCTCTGAGTGCAAATCAAGAACTCAGACTGTCTTGTGTAAAACAAGAGACAGCTCTTTGGAAACTCTGTGATTTGGTCCTTTCTTTTCATCTGAGTGCTTTTGGGAGGGGAAAAAATTGCTTCATATTAGTTGCATAGATCTCATTGATCTCACTTCCATGCAGTGATTTTTCATTTTTATGACTGAAAATTATTGAAGTTCCCCCGTGGCCCAAAGGCTGAGGAGGTGGTCCTCAGACAGCCAAGAGCAGACTGGGGTAAACAATGCCCTGCCAATTAATGAGTCCTGCCTCATTACTTTGTGTAAAGTTTCTCAGGTGGGCAGTTACCTCGTTAATTTCATTTTAGCAGAATGAGAGTTAAGAGACCTTGATGCAAGTGCACTGCTCCCTTCAATCATTTAGTCAGAATAGCTTTCAATTTGCAGGGAGTTGCATAAGGAAAAGGAGGAAGATTGAACTTCTTAAATTTTTTGAAGGCAACATACATTTTATAGACATCATATTGTGGAATAAAGAAAGTTGTCAAATGAGGGGTTTCTTAATAAAGTTGCTTTGCCTGTTATTTTGTTTAGTCTTTTCTCTTGACCAAATTTCTCTTTGCTTCTAAGAAGAGATAAGAGTAGAGGACTGGAAGGAAGAGGGAGTGAGGGGTCAGAAGACCTAGGCTTGAATACCTATCTCAACCTCCAAATCCTACTCTCAAACAGGGGGAATGGGTGATATTTTCCATTACCTCACAAAGTTATGTTGAGACTCAAATGAAATAATGTCAGGAACAGCAGTGTTTAAGATGATTTTTTAACATTCACAATTATAACTTGTTTTTCTTAAGGAGAAGTTTGAAGCTCTTCTCCCCCTTTCCCCACCCAAGAGAAATAGGAGTTCATATGAGGGTGTCAGGGTTAAGAACATTTTATTGCTCAGTGAGAGTGCATGGAATCTCACTGCCTGGTGAAAAGCTGAGCTCTTTTCTGGAGTTCCTCAGTTTCACTTGGCAAGAGTTAAACCCCAGGAAAGCCAGCTCAGCATTCCGTTTCTATCTCTTTGCAGATGCTTGGGTACCACTTAGACCACAGGCACTGAGACACTCCTAGAATTTGAGTGCTGACAATAGCAAAGACTTGGAACCAACCCAAATGTCCAACAATGATAGACTGGATTAAGAAAATATGGCACATATACACCATGGAATACTATGCAGCCATAAAAAATGATGAGTTCATGTCCTTTGTAGGGACATGGATGAAGCTGGAAACCATCATTCTCAGCCAACTATCGCGAGGACAAAAAACCAAACACCGCAAGGACAAAAAACCAAACACCACATGTTCTCACTCATAGGTGGGAATTGAACAATGAGAACACTTGGACACAGGAAGGGGAACATCACGCACCGAGGCCTGTTGTGGGGTGGGGGGAGTGGGGAGGGGATAGCATTAGGAGATATACCTAAAGTAAATGACGAGTTAATGGGTGCAGCACACCAACATGGCACATGTATACATATGTAACAAACCTGCTCGTTGTGCACATGTACCTAGAACTTAAAGTATAATAACTATATATATAAAGAAAAAAAAAGAACTTGAGTGCTGAATTTTTCATGGCCAATGTTTACTAGTATGTATATCTCTACCATTCTAGTGGATCATTGCATTCTCAAATAGGAAGGTACTTGAAAGTTTAGGTGCATAAAGGCTAAAAATTCAATACAAATCATTCTTAAGAACAAAATCAATTTCTTTGTAGTACCATGAATTTTGGCAGATTAGGGGGTTCACACTAACTGGTATTAGAATCAGTAAACCCTTCCCTTGCAACTGCCTTAAGAAAGTCAGAGACTACACACACTATAGAGAAAGGATTCAAAGAAACCTGATGAAAGGTAAATTAATAGAGCGTTGACCTTGAGCCATTTACTGCAGATAATCTCTTTCTGCAGCCCACCCTGTCAATCCCCCACCCATATCCCCTTGTCTACCTGAGCTCTGTACTGTCGGAGGGTATTTTCTGTCTGCAGGAGTGTGTACTGCAGCTCACCTACCCCGATTGCACAGCAAGTTGGAAGTGCCAGATAGAGTCCTAGGAATGACTTTCAGCAAAAGAGTAATGCGAATTGGTATCAGTAATTGAAGAATCTAGGTGGCAGGTGTACAATGTAAAATTCCTGACACTTTTCTAAATGTTTGAAAATTTTCATAATAACATGTTGAGTGAGATGGTGTTATAAAATGCATGCATGGGAAAATATTCAACATATGTTGATCGATAAAAGTGAATGAAAGTTACAAAACAGTACACACTATGATCACAATATTGTATATATAAAATGTGTGTATATATATATACACATATACACTGAGTGTCTATATATATATAGTGAATGTGTGTATGTAGACACTCATTAAATAGAGAGACATGTAGATGGATAGGTTTGTACATGCCACTTTCAGTACCCTTACTTATATTAGATACAATATTTTTGGAAGGAAACACAACAAAAAGATAGCAATTGTTGGCTATGGGTAATGACCATACAGATAATTTTAAAATAAACTTCATATTACTTCTCTGTACCTTCTAAATATTCTATAATGTGTTTATTTATATAGTCAGATTTAAAATATTATTTAGTAATTGTGTTTTGAACAGTGTTTAGTGATGGGGAAAACCAAGTTATACATGGTTGTTGTTCTTTGGTACAATTACAGTTGAAAGCCATATATGTTATGTTGGAAGGTTTTACGATCTTTTTATTGCTGGTAACTGAGGGGAAAGAGATAAAAGTGTGTTAGAAGTTAAATCACAAAGGTAATAATGCTTGTCTCTAAGATGTACTTTTAGGGGGATTTTTTTTTTTTAATTCTAAAGCTTTTTGTTTGTCTTGATTTTCTACAAAAACACTTATTATTTTTACCATCAAACAAAATATTTCATTTTAAAGGGAGAAGGCCTAAGTTTTTATTTCAGGCCCAACAGCATTTGTATCTATGCTTCTCATAGGACTGTCATGAGTCAAATGAAATTATAAATGAGAAAACACTCTTTTACAAATGTAGAAATGTAGAAATTATTATATAATATGTTATTATAGCACATTAAGTTAATTTTTTTTACAGCTTTTCAAACTACAGAGGTTATTTTAAGCATTAAGAATATGAGGCTCTTTTTACAAATAAATCTTCAGGCTCTACTGATTCATCTTTCATGGGACTCATTTTTCATTGAATAGCCAGAGCATAACAAGCTTCATATATCATTAAGTGAAGAGCAGTAAGAATCCATAGCAGGGGAGAATTTTATTAAAGCTGTGCATGCCAGCGCTCTCTTTCTTTTCACACTCAGAGCCTAGAACAATATTAATTAATGGAAACACATCCAACATTAGGTAAACACGAAATTGGTAAGCAGAGGCAACTGTGAGGAACCTTTATATCCCATGGAGTATGTGACGGTTTACCTACCATCAGTTCTTTCCCTCTCTGTACCCACATGCCAGTCCTTGGTTGAGCCAAGGAGTCTATTCTTCCACCAGCTTGGATCTGGGCTGGCCTGATTGCTTGGGCCAGTAGAATACAATAGAAGTGTTAGAGGTGTTTGAACCAGATCGACTCCATCTTGAATAGGAACTGATTAAAATGAGGCCGAGACCCGCTGGGTTGCTTTCCCAGGAGGTTAAGCATTCTTACTCACAAGATTAGATAGGAGGTCAGTAAGACTGGTATCACAAGATACAGATTATAAAGACCCTGCTGGTAAAATAGGATGTAGTAAAGAAGCTGGCCAAAACCCACCAAAACCAAGATGACCACAAAAGTGACTTCTGGTCTTCTTAGCTGCTCATTACACGCTAATTATGATGCATTATTATGCTAAAACACACTCCCACCAGGGCCATGACAGTTCACAACTGCGATGGTAACATCCAGAAGTTACCCTTTATACTATAAAAAGGGGAGGAACCCTCAGTTCTGCAAATTCTTCACTCCTTTCCTGGAAATCTCATGAATAATCCACCCCTTATTTAGCAAATGATCAAAAAATAATCATAAAAGTAGCTTGCCAGCATCCCTTGGGGCTGCTCTGCTTATGGAGTAGCCATTTTTTGTTCCTTTACTTTTTTAATAAACTTGATTTCACTTTAATCTATGGACTTGCCCTGAATTATTTCTTGGATGAGAATCTAAGAACCCTTTCTTGGGGTCTGGATTGGGACCCCTTTCTGGTAACAGAAGTGATGTTGTGCTGATTTTGCTGCTATCCTTTCGCAGGACTGGCAACGCCTGCTTCCTCCTCTGAGCTGTCAAGTAGGAAGTCCGGGCTGCTCTGCTAGAAAGAGAAGTCATGTGCAGGAGCACTGAGGCATCCCAGGTGTGACACTCTTCCACCTAGAGCATTCCGTCTCTCATCCTCTGCCATGTGTAAGTCTTCTGCCTTAGCTGGAAAACTGTGAGGTCATCCTGCTATGTTAGTGACCAGGTTGGCAATTTTAATTTCTGTTTCCAGAGGAGCATTGAATGGAGTGGATGGATCAGGATGCTCCTTTGGCACTAGCTCTGAGCTGCATTCTCCTATCAGCTTTGTCAGTAATCGAGCCCTTGAATTCATTTATCTATGCTGTCTGATTTCTTAACCTAGAGATGGGAGTGGAGAAGAGGTTTGATTCATTATCATCCCCTCAAACATCAACACTTGAGGATTTTCCTTTATCTACGTAAATAGGAATATTGCCGGGATAAATTCTAGCGTGAATCTCTTGTCACTGATTTTATCTGCACTGTAGGAAGCCATTTCAATTACACACCCATGTCTCCAGGTCAGCTGAGCATTCTGATACAATTTGCCCCAGCCATACAAGTGTAATGGGCTCCGAAGCTTTAGCTTGTAGGCAAAACACACATACATTTTATCTTTAATATTAATGTAAAAACTGCTGTGCTTCTATTAATGAAAAAGAAAGTTCCAGCTTTCAGCTGTTAATATCAATGAGTATTGATAATTATACACTGTAGATAATTACAATCGCTATCATTGTGCATTAATATTTTTTAAATTTCCTGAAGTAATAGGGATTTTGACAATAGTGGTAATATTGGTGCTTGCCAATTTGTTCATTTTTATTTATTTACATATTTATGTATTTATTTTGGGGTCCGTGTAAGTTGCAAGTGGTGGTTGAAATGTATCAGGAAGCCAATTCTGTAATAAAATATTGTTATAGATAAAACTCTAACCCTACAAATTGAAAAATACATGAGCAATACTTTATGTGACATGGCCTTGAGCTGACTGCAACCAGCTTCAATGAGGTAAGTATAGAAAAAAGTCTGGCTCTGTATAGCAAAGGTGGGTGGTTTATAAATATGTGGGCATACTGTGTGAAAACTGATAAACAGAGTTACTCATATCTGTCCTCCCTAGCCATCAACTTTCTTATTGTTTAAATCTCTGTTCATTTCCTGAATACTGTCGGACACTACCCCATTTGTCTCTCCATCACTACCTGTAATCCCTGCTTTTCTGTGCTTGTTACATAAAGGTCATAGCTTCATGAGCTCTTTAGACAGATACTGATGATTATGTTGAAAGTACTTTGAGAACTAGTAATGTGCTACCCCAAATAGTCATTGTTTTGTGTGTGTTATCCCATAGCATGCATTAGGAATTGGTGTTTTAGAATGGGCATGCAAATTGTACAAGATGCTGCAGTTATTACTAAATGATACTGGAATGCAAAACTTTGTTTCTCTGATTCTGAAGGCCATGTTTTGAACCACTAGATTAGAGGGTCAAGCAATTTCTTGGAATTTTACTCTGAATTCTACGTAGACCATTTTCATGTGTATACCTCCTCTGAGTCACCCTCAGGTAGGGACATTTTGTTTTCCATTCAACTGATAGAAATTCTAATAGGCTTAATAGATGTTTTTTCTTTTCTCTTCTGCAGACAGCATACATTCCTTGCTCCCATTATCCGTTTACATTTAATCTGCCCAACATAAATTACTTCCATTTTCACTTCCTCTTTTTCACTTCTCATCTTTATCATAAAAGAGGTTCCTGAGCCTGCCAACTGCTATTTCCCTCCTCTGTCCATAGCCTTCCCATTGCTTACTCTCCTCCCTGCATATTCCTTCCCAATGGCATGCAAACAATCCTCTGATACTCAAATCAAAAGCAAAAACAAGAACAAACAAATAAGCACAATAACTCCTTCTACCTATGTTTCCTCTGCCTGTTCTACTTCTCCTCCTTTCACAACCAACCCCCTGAAAAAGGTTTTGAAATATTCTGTCTCCATATCCTCATGCAACATCCACTCCTGAACCTATGGCAATGTGGGTTAGTCCCTGCTTCCCCTCTCTGGCCACCCCATGGACATGGCTCTCATTTGTTGAATCCCACAGGCACCTTTTTGTACATGGCTCATTTGGGCTTCAGCACTGACTCTATTTTCAACTCACTCTTGGAAAGACACTTTCCTTGTCCCCCTTCCTTGTGCAAAACATCCTTGTGGTTTCCTTATGCTTCTTTAGACTCATTTTCTAGTCTCCTTAGCAGGCTCTTTTGTCTCTCAAATGTTTACATACCCTCTTTCTTTAGTGCCTTTTCTCCTTTGCTTTCTCTGGACTTGTTTTGAATACACCCCCACTTTCTGTTTATATCACTAGGACCCTACATTCCAGTGACAGCATTCAACCTAGTCTTTGCTTTTGGTCTTGCCCTAGTGGTCATTCTGAATGCAAACCTTATCATGCCACTTTCCTCCTTAAAACCCTTTAAAGGTTTTCTTGTGCATGTGGATGAAATTCAAATTACTTTCCAGTGTTAAAACTTTTGAGCTTGGCCAAATTAATGTTGATATACAGAGTTGTAAACTAAAATTCCGGCAGGGTGGCAGGGTCCTGTGGAGAGGATTCCTTATTGGTGTTTTTTACGGATTGAACCTGTAATGCATGTTCCTATTGTTATGAATTTTAGGACGCTGGGCTTCTTTAACAAATTAATCCCAAGTGCAAGACATTTATTTCTTCTGTACCTAATGACCTGAGGTGGGTATTACTTTTTGACAGGAAGGTCTCCTTTATTTGGGATTCAGGGAGCCCCCGCCAAGGGCCTCATCATTTTTGGCATCCAACTGACAGAAAGTTTAAGGGAGCCTGGGGGAGGCACCCATGAATTCCACTTCCTACTCTTCGTGTAACTATTCACACGACTGTGATCATCTCTAGATGGAACGGGGTTGGAAAATGTCATTCCTGGGTGGAAAGCCACTTCCCATGGATAACCCTGCACTAACAAAGAGAAATCTGTCCACAGCAATCCTTCTCTGCTGAACCTGGTAGTGTCATCTTTAGAAGTGAAGACACAATTAACACATGGTCATTTCTTCATTATATCGTTGTTACTAAAAAAGAAAAAAGTTAAAAATAATTGCCGAGAGCTCGATATGTGTAACAGGTAGGTAAAGCAGTGATTAGGGTGGGCATGATTCTTACTCTTTTGGAGGTCTGGGCAGAATGCTGTGGAAATACGGTGAGGGCATAATGCATGCAGTGATAGCAAGGGACACGATGTGTGAGCTTATGTTTGATCACTTTCACTCTCAGGGGCGAGGCTATGTAATTTACTTTGTCATTCCGCACTCAACATCAAATAATATTTTGGCTGATCCTGCTGCTCCCATTTTATATTAGGTAATTGAAAGACTGAAACTTTTTCTTAAAGAGAAACATGTCATTCTCTAAACAGAGCTCATTCAGTATTGTCGATTGAGATTGTAGGAACCTTGTATACTCTGCTTTCTGAGGAATTTCACTGGAACTCTGACTCCAGCCAGCATGAAGCTCTCAAACCATGAAATAAGTCTAAACTCTACTGAGAATTTTCTCTCCTTCACAACAATTGCTTCTGAATAGAGATAAGCCTTCAAAATTTTCCTTGGATATATTTATCAACAGGGAACTGCCCCTAAAAATGTTTCTCCCACAATCTTGCATTCTGAGACAACGGAACATTAGTATTTAATAATTACCACTGGTAACCTGAAAATGCAAATTCACTTCTTACCACAAAATCAGAGTTAATCACTAAAATTATGCCTACCTCGGAAAACCATTTGAGCAGACACCTACACAGGAGATGCAAAAGGCTTGTGTGATGTTGGGCAGGTTACTTGCTATAGTTTGAATATTTGACCCTCCAGATCTCACGTTGAAATTTGATCCCCAGTGTTGGAGGAGGGGCCTAATTTTGGTCATGAGGGTGGCTCCCTCATGAATGTGTTGGTGCCATCCTTGAGGTAAGAATGAGTTCTTGCTCTGTTGGTTCTTGCAAGAAGTGGTTGTTAAAAGGAGCCTGGAACCTCTCCACCCCTCTCACTTCCCCCCATGCCATGTGATCTCTGTAAATGCTGGCTCCCCTTCACCTTCCGTCAGGATTAGAAGCAGCCGAGATCTTCACCAGATGCAGGTGCTGGTGCCATGCTTCTTGTGCAGCCTGCGGAACCATCCACCAAATAAACCTATTTTTAAAATAAATAACCCAGCCTTAGGTATTCCTTTATAGCAACACTAATGAAGTAAGACATTACTCAACCTCAGTGTGTGTATATATAAATTGGTGCTAATAATTGCTACATCACAAGCTTGTCATGAGGATTAACCAAGATATCCTCTAGGAAAGCACCTTGCACAGAAGAGATGCCCCAGTAAAGGTTAATTTCTTTCCTTCATTCCTTTTCTTTTTTCCTCACTCTCTCCTTTCTTTCTTCCCTTCCTCCCCTTTTCACTCTCACTTCCCCCCTCCTCCCATCCCTTAATGGTAGAGCTGGAGTCTGCAGGAGAGGACCATTGAGATTTAGAGAGGGGAAACTGACTCTGAAAAGTCAGAGGCCAGTGCAAAGGAGGACAATAGGGAGAGGAATGGGACTGAAAGCAAAAGGTAAATAATGAAAAAAAAATAGATTCTGCAGTAAGACAGTGTCATAGATTGCATACTTCCTACAATCAGCCAGAAACTCTTTCTGGCCAAGTCAGAAAGCATGTTAGTACCTAGAGAGAAAGAACAGAACAGGATCTCCCCGCTAGCCCATCCTCAGCTGCCTGTCATCCACCTTTTTCCACAGCCCTTTGTAAAGGCTTCTTGTTTGGAAAGTTCTTTATCTTCTACTTTGCGTGTGCCTCTCAACCTCCTATGTATTTTTCAATGCTCAGCTTAACGATGCCTTAGGTTGTGGGATTTATTTTTGCAAGTATCCCCCCCCAGCATCCTGCTAAACTTCTGATATGCATTTACTAGTTCAGTTCAGGTCCAAAAGAATTTGTTGTGTCTCCCATGTTCCACGTATGAGGCCAGGGGATGGGTGTGAAATAGTCTCACTCCCAAAGCTATGCCAGTAGGGGAAGAGGTTCCCAAAACCCAGTCCCTACTGGACATACTGCATCAGAATACCTGGGGAATGTTTGTTAAAATGTATATTTCTAGGCCCTACTCCCAAGAATTCAGATAAGGCTGAGGCTTAAGTATCTGTGATGTAAGAAGTTCTCCCAGCTAATTTTGATGGGCAGCAACGTTTAGGAACTTAAGTAGTAAAATCAAAATAAACAATTTGAGAATATTGTCTATGATGAGGTTTGGATTGATGGCATTCTGTGTTGCCAACTACGGACTGGTCCAACAATGTCTGAGGACAATTAGGTGAGTTTACATTTTATTCCATTGTCTTAAATCTTCCATTCCATTTAAGGCACTGACATTTCTTCTGGTGCAGGTTTGTCATGCAGAGAAGGCAGATGGGCAAGCCACTGTCATTTGACACGCATGCCAATAGCCTTGGTGAAAAGGACATGTGGACTTTCGACTTCTTTTGGCTTCTGCTCTGATGCCTGGAGTCTAGCTGGCTCACCACCATGACACAGGGGTTGCCACCGAAGACTCAAGCTGTAGGCGGCAGCCTTCTTCTGCGTTCTGTCTGTGGCAACTTTTCTGCTGCATGTGTCTCATTTTTCTTGTTCTCATTCTCTCTGTCTTGGAATCCCGGCTTCATACCCCAGGCCACGACTTCTGATGTTCCTCCCCTTCTTTCCCTGGCTCATCATTGTCCTTCGCTCACTCTGCCCTTGACTGTGTGCAGCCCTGTTCTGGGTGAGACTCCTTCTTCCAGGCAGGTAGACACAGTCTCCTGTGCAGACAAAACCCACTCCCATCACTACCAGAGGAGGGGGCTTTCTGCCCACCCAGCCCTTCCCTGTAATTCTGCAAAGGCAGTTCTGTCCTGAGTAACTTGTGGCTTTCATGGGAAGCTAAGAAGACGTGCCTTGAGGATCCTTTCGTGTCTCTGCAGAGAGCAGTATTCTTTAACGGGCTCCCTGAGGAGCACAGAGTACTTGCAAGCCAGTGAACAGGAATGAGAAAATTTCCAAGAGAATTGTCCATGGCTGCATTAAAAGTGATTTCTGTTCCTTTGGGGAGATAGATGCCACTCCAGATGAAGTGGGGTTGAAAACTCTGCTCTCTAAGATCCTGAAGTTGAAATACTTCTTCCTGGGGTAAATCTGAAAGTCTAAAGTTTCAGATTTATGAGAAGGTTTATGAAACAGAACAAATACAAAAGCAAAAACCATTTTCCTGAGAGATTTAATGGAAATTGTTTAAATAATAACTGGAAGAGAATACCAGGATCACAGAACATTAAAAAGAGAGCATCGTTAGAAGGTCAAGCATCTGCAGGAGGCAAAGACTGCCACATCTCTTTGAAACACACAGAGGAAGAAGGCTTTATAACCAGGGCTAGGTGGCCTTGGGTCATGCCCGTTGGACAATTCTAGAGCAACCACGATGGGTACGTGGGTTCAGCCCGACCTCTTATTTCTAGGGGGACTTGTCATCCCTTTCTTTCCATCTTATTGTCTGTGCTTCCAAGTCGTTCTGAGAGAGAAAGAATTTGAGAAAGAAAAACTGATAGAAACATTGGCAACTGTCTAAATTTTCTGGGGTTCCCATAACAAATTACCACAAACTGGGTGGCTTAAAACAGTATACATTTATTCTTTCCCAGTTTGGGATACCAGAAGTCCAAAATCAAAGTGTCAGCAGGATGGCACGGCCTCTGAAGGCTCTAGGGGAGAAGCATTCCTTTCCTCTTTCAGCTTGTGGGGGCTCCAGACATTCCTTGGCTTGTAGCAGCATCGTTCTCATACCTGTTTTCATCTTTGCATGACCTTCTCCATATGTTCTCTTCTTCCCTTCTAAGGATACTTGACATAGCATTTGGGGCTTGCTCTAACTTAAGATTATCTCATCTTGTGATCCTTAACTTAATTACATCTGCAAAGACCCTTTTTCCAAATCAGGCCACATTCACATGTTGTAGAGGACGTGTCTTTTGGAGAACTACCATTCAACCCACCACAGCAGGCTGTGAGAAAATGCCCTCTATGATAACATTTAAATGAAACCCGAGCTCTGTTTCTTGAATGGTGCAGCTCAGAAGTTGACTCCGAGTACCATTGCTGGTCTGAGTTGTCTTCTGTCATTGATTCAAGGGTCACTTGCCCCCTTCCTCACAGCTGTTCAAGCACACTGGCCCTCTCTCAGGTCCCTGAATTCACCAAATCCCTTACCTTGAAGTCTTTGCACTTTCCTCAAGGAAATCCCTGAACAGCACCCTTTTTGCACAGCTCACTTCTCACCCTGGAGTTCTCATCTGTAATGATTACCTCTTCCCAGACAGAACTTCCCTGACCAAGCTGGTATTATTATTGTTTTTAATCATAAGCGGTTTTCTTTAAAGCACTGACTCCAATTTTTCAATTATTTAGATGATCAGTCTCCCCCATGCCCAATAATTTGAAGTGTCAAGTGGACAAGGAACGAGTTTACCCTGTTTACCGGGCACATCTAACACCAGGCACGGTATCAGGTTCTCGAAAAATGATAGCCAAAAAGTAATGGACTTAAGGTAATGAGTGAATGAGCACATAATGTTTGTGACATCATTTCCCTTTCCTGTTTGCACTTCTTTCATCTTTTCCTGGACTTGGCTTTTCCAAGTGACTATCTAAAACCTTATTCCTATCTTCATCTAATCATTGTTAGGATGATAACTGATGAGGCCCTCATGCTTGTGCTCCTAAATAGTTTACGGTTGTATCTCTCTTCTATTGTAATTGAGATTGAAACAACTAAGCAGGTATTTCTGTTGCACCAAGTATGTTGGCTGTAGTGTTTTGTCGTCATGACAGTTCTCTCCAAGGATGGGCATCAGGAATCAGAGGGAGAGGGGGTCATGGCCCCAAGGGCAAATGCCAAGCCTGTGAGGTATAGCAGTGAACGTGGTAAGCAGCCAGCCTCATGCTTCTAATTGGCTTCTGAATTTTCCCTGCTTAAATGATAGCACCCAAGGTAGCCTTAAGCTCTTATACATTTCTCCAGCTTTGGTGAATATTCCTTTATTAGAACTTTCTTTATTGTCTTTATAGAAATGATATATTCTCATTGTAAAAATCCAAGCATTAAAAAAGTATGAAGATGAGAATTTTTAAAAAATTCACCCAAACCCCATCACTGAGAAATATAATGGACATTAGATAAGCATGATTTTAGGCAATTCTCTGGTACCACATAGAGATATACCTTCCTTAGCATATATATGTAAGGAAGGTATATATACATAAGGTCTCTCTAGGTATATATATGTATATATATAAGGAAGGGTGCATGATTAGGTAAATAGGCTGAGAAGTCATCTTCATAACAATAGATCATACTTTACATAAAATAATATTTTTGATAAGGTATGAAATTTATCTTTTCATGAATTAAACAGAGGAAAATGAAATTGATTTGAAACAAGTATTTGCTGAATTTCAGGGCTTTTTTTTAATGATAGAAATATGAGATTCCAGATGATCCAAAATCAAGAGAAAAATGTATTTAAAATGACATTTAAGATTATTTACTGTTCAGTCTATATTTTAAAAGAATCTATAATCCCCAGCAGTCCTTTTTACCCCCAATGTCTTCATTCTGGATTTCTTTATTTGGGCATATAGGGACTGTGTTCCTTAAAGTCTTATAAGATTAATTGCCTTAATTTTTTCATACACAATTAATATTTATCATCTTCTTAGGTTGTTCTAAATCACATGTCTCAAGAATCTACCCTTTTTCCAGACACCCACTTATTGGGATTCTCGCTATCCTCCAGTCTGTATTGCTTATATGCTTCCGTAAAACTATTACTTTGGAAATTTGCTTTTATTGCTTTCCCATTTTGGATTTATATTTTTTAGATACTAAGTCTTTCTCTTTCTTAATGATTTTTAATTGGTAGAGCATATTTTCAATTAACTCCTCACCATGAAGATAGGAAAGAAAAACATTTCGAAGTCATTTCATATATAAAAGAGCCTTTATTTATTTAAAAGATAGTTTGGCTGAGGTTAGAACCTATTTTTCTAGGTTCTCAGTGGACTTTTTCACATAAAGGCACTATCTAAAGGCATTTCTTGTTGAGAAATTTTTTTGTATTATTATTATTTGGAAATTAGGCGGTTTTTCTTCATTTATTTCAATTGATGTCTAATTCATATATGGTGAAACATTCAGAGTTTTATAGTTTGGTGAGTTTTAACAATTGAGTATACCAATGCAATACTACCCAAAACAAGATATAGAATATGTATGTCCATCAGTCTCCAAATTCCTAGAGTCAACTCCTGCCCCACTCTGACTAGCTGTAGCCACTTTTCTGATTTCTAACACCATAGATGAATTTTGCCTGTTCTAGTACCTCATATAAGTGGAATTGTCCTGTATGTGCTCTTCTGCCTAGCTTCTTTTGCTCAGCATAAATTTGAGATTCATTCATGTATTGTATATTTTAGAAGTGCATTCCAGTTTGTTGCTGAGTAATATTTCATTGTATGACCATACAACAAGCTGTTTGCTGAATATGTATTGACAGATATTTGGATTGTTTCCAGTTCCAGAGTATTGTAAATTAAAACTGCTATGAACACTCTTGTAAAAGACTTTCACAAATGTTTTTATTTATTTGAAGTAAATACCTAGGAGTGAAATTGCTGTCATAAGGTAGGTATAGGATTAACTTTGTTAGAAGTTTCCAAATAATTTTGTAAAATTATTACTATTTTACATTCCCACCAGCAATATGTGAGATTTCTAGTACCTCCATCCTTATCTTTGCCAACGTAGGATTGTTGGTGTTTTAACTGTAGTCATTGTAGTAGGCATATAGTCCTATCCATTACAGTTTTAATTTGCATTTCCATGATGATATAAATTTTGAGCATCATTCTATGAGTTTACATACATCTTCATTTGTGAACTATCTGTTTAAATATTTTGCCCATTAAAAAACATTACATGTATGGTGTTTATGTACATGTTTTGATAAATTTTAAATTTTATAATAGATTTGCATATACTTTATGGTAGTAAATGACAAAATACAGTAGCATCTACACATATTTTATGCATTCATGACATACCTAACTTTTTGTTAATTTTTTGGATGTTTCTAGGCTTTATAGTTTGTCAGTTTTTCAAATTGTTACGAACCTCAAATATGTTTATTGAATAAAACACCCAAATATAGGTGGTCCTGCACAGTTCAAACCAATGTTATACAAGGATCAACTGTGCTAGATGTAGCTTTATCTACTTGACCCTATCTGCTACCCCTCCTGTATTCAGTTTCTTTCTTCCCAAAATTTGTTAGTATTTCTTTCCTCAGATGATGACTCTCAATTCCACGCCTTTATTCAATACCAATTCATAATTTTAAATTTCTTTGCTTTTATTTAAATGTGGTCTTTGAAGGAGTTGGCAAATTGCATTTTCCAGGAGGATCACAACAATATCTTCTAGCCTGCATGCTCTTCTACAGTGTTAATTTGTCATTCTCCCATTAAGAGCTGGCATCTAGAGCTTGCAATTGTCTCAAGAGGTGGACTGGATTTAGTGATTTACTTGTAACCAAAATAATTTGGCAGGGGAGAAACGGTGAAATCTTCAAGTCTAGTTCAGAAGAAGTAATGCCACTTTTGCTTTGACTTCTTGAAGTGCCCACTCTCTGAATGTCCCCTCTCAGGATTGTCTCTCTCAGAATCTATTCACCATGCAGTGAGAAGCTGCATAGAGAGGCTGTATGGAGGTTCCCACTCAGCCTAGTCTTCAAGTTACCTCAGCCTCAGTCTCGTAGTAGACACATTAAGGAGGAAGTCCTCCAATAATTACAACCTCCAGCCATTTTACTATTTAACAGCAGTTCTTCGCTGCTAGCTCCAAGTATATTGTGGATCAGAAAAAAATTACCCCTTGCTGCTCCTGTCTAAATTTCTGACTCATAGAATCCAGAATATACTTCAATAAAAGTATAATTGTTAAATGTCATTTCTTTTGGCATAGCAACCTCTATATTTTGTTTATTTTTAAACTTTTAGGTTCAGAAGTTACATGTGCAGTTTTGTTATATAGGTAAACCCATGTCATGGGGGTTTGATGTACAGATTATTTCCTCAACCAGATACTGAGCCTAGTAGCCGATAGTTACTTTTTCTGCTCCTCTCCCTCTTCCCAACCTCCACCTTCTGATAGGCCCCAGTGTCTGTTGTTCGCCTTTTTGTGTCCATGTGTTCTCATCATTTAGCTCCCACTTATGAGTGAGAGCATGTGGTATTTGTTTTTCTGTTCCTGCATTAGTTTGCTAAGGATAATGGCCTCCACTTCCATCCAGGTTTCTGCAAAAAATATGATCTCATTATTTTTTTTATGGCTGCATGGCATCCCATGCTATATATTTACCACATTTTCTTTATCCAGTCTTCCGCTGATGGGCAATTAGGTTGATTCCATGTCTTTGCTATTGTGAATAGTGCTGCTATGAGTATACACGTAGACGTGTCTTTATGACAGAATGACTTACATTCCTTTAAGTATATACCCAGTAATGGAATTGCTGAATCAAATGGTAGTTCTATTTTTAGCTCTTTGAGGAATTGCTACACTGATTTCCACAATACTTGAACTAATTTACAGTCCCCCACCAACAGCATATAAGCGTTCCCTTTTCTCTGCAACCTCACCAGCATCTGTTATTTTTTGACTTGTTAATAATAGCCATTCTGATTAGTGTGAGGTGATATCTCACTGTGGTTTTGAATTGCATTTCTCTAATGATCAGTGATGTTGAGCTTTCATTCATATGCTCGTTAGTTGCATGTATGTCTTCTTTTGAAAAGTGTCTGTTTCTGTCCTTTGCCCACTTTTTAATGAGGTTGTTTTTATCTTATAAATTTGTTTAAGCCCCTCACAGATGTTAGATATTAGACCTTTGTCAGATGCATAGTTTGCAAATATTTTCTCCCATTCTGTAGATTGTCTCTTTGTTGATAGATTCTTTTGCTGTTCAGAAGCTCTTCAGTTTAATTAGATCCTGTTTGTCAATTTTTGCTTTTGTGTGATTGCTTGGAATCTTTGTCATGAAAGCTTTGCCAGTTCCTATGTCCATAATGGTATTGCATAGGCTGTCTTCTAGGGTTTTTATTGCTTTTGGTTTTTCGTGTCAGTTCTCTTGAGTTGATTTTTATATATGGTGTAAGGAAGGGGTTCAGTTTTAATTTTCTGCATATGGCTAGCCAGTTATCCTAACCCGATTTATTGAATAGGGAGTCCTTTCCCCATTGCTTGTTTTTGTCAGCTTTGCCAAAGATCAGATGGTTGTATATGTACAGCCTTATTTCTGAGCTCTCTACTCTGTTCTGTTGGTCTATGTGTTTGTTGTTATACCACTGCCATTCTGTTTTGATTACTGTAGCCTTGTAATATAGTTTGAAGTTGGGTAGTGGGATGACTCTTTCTTTGTTCTTTTTGCTTAGAATTACCTTGGGTATTCAGGCTCTTTTTTGTTTTCATATGAATCTTAAAATAGGTTTTTCTAGTTCTATGAAGGGTGTCATTAGTAGTTTGATAGGAATAGCATTGAATCTGTAAATTGCTTTGGGCAGTATGAACATTTTAATGATATTGATTCTTCCTCTCCAAGAGCATGGGATGCTTTTCCACTTGGTTGTGTTATCTCTGAGTTCTTTGATCAGCGTCTGTAATTTTGATTGCAGAGATCTTTCACCTCCTGATTAGCTTTATTCCTAAGCATTTTATTCTTTTTGTGGCAATTGTGGATGGAATTGAGTTCCTGATTTGCTCTTGGCCTGGCTAGTGTTAATGTATAGGAATGCTAGTGATATTTGTACATTTATTTTGTATCACAAAACTTTGCTGAAGTTATTTATCAGCTTAAGGATTTTTTGGTCCAAGACTATGGGGTTTTCTAGATATAGAATCATGTCATCTGCAAACAAGAATATTTTGACTTCTTTTCTTCTTATTTGGTTCCCCTTTCTTTCTTTCTTTTGCCTGATTGCTCTGACCAGGATTTCCAATACTATGTTCAATAGGACTGGTAAGAGAGAGCGTCCTTTTCTTGTGCTGGTTTTCAAGGGGAATGCTTCCAGCTTTTGTCCATTCAATATGATGTTGACTGTGGGTTTGTCACAGATGGCTCTCATTATTTTGAGGTATGCTCTTTTAATACCTAGTTTGTAGAGACACTTAACATTAGGGGATGTTGAATTGTATTGAAAGCCTTTTCTGCATCTATCGAGATGATCGTGCAGTTTTTGCCTTTAGTTCTGTTTATATGATGAAACACATTTATTTATTTGCATATGTTGAACGAATCTTTCATCCCAGGGGTAAAGCCTACTTGATCGTGGTGGATTAACTTTTTGATATGTTTCTGGATTTTGTTTGTTAGTTTTTGTTGAAGATTTTTGCATCAATGTTCATCAAGGATATTGGCCTGAAGTTTCCTTTTTTTGTTGTGTCTGTGACAGGTTTTGTTCACAGTATGATGCTGTCCTCATAGAATGAGTTGGGTAGGAGTCCCTCCTACTCAATTTTTTTTGAATCGTTTTAGTAGGAATGATGCCATCACTTCTTTGTACGTCTGGTGCAATTCAGCTATGAATCCATCTGTTCCTGAGCTTTTTTCGTTGATAGGCTATTTATTACTAATTCAATTTCAGAGCTCATGATTGGTCTGTTCAGAAATTCAGTTTGTTCCTGGTTCAGTCTTGTGAGGCTGTATGTGTCTAGGAAGTTATCCATTTGTTCTAGATTTTCTAGTTGGTGTGCCTAGAGGTGTTTATAATAGTCTGGTAGTTATTTGTATTTCTGTAGGGTCAGTGGTAACAACTCCTTTGTCATTCCTAATTATGCACATTTGGATCTTCTCTCTTTTCTTCTTTACTAGTTTAGTTAGTGGTCTGTCTATCTTTCAAATGTTTTTTGAAAAACCAGCTCCTGGATTTGTTGATTTTCGGAATGGTTTTCCATGTCTCAATCTCCTTTAGTTCAACTCTGATTTTGATTATTCGTTTTCTTCTACTCACTTTGGGGTTGGTTTGCTCTTGCTTCTTTAGTTCTTCTAGTTGTTATGTGAGATCTTTCTAACTTTTTTATGTGGGCATTTAGTTCTAAAAATGTCCCTAATAATACAGCCATAGCTGTGTCCCAGAGATTCTGCTATGTTTTATCTTTGTTCTTATTAGTTTCAAAGAACTTCTTGATTTACACCTTAATTTCATTATTTACCCAAAAGTAATTCAGCAGCATGTTGTTTAATCTCCATGCAAATTTATGTGTGTGTGATTTTCTTCATTTTGAATTCTATTTTATTTCACTGTGGTCTGAGAGTCTGGATGGTATAATTTCAGTTTTTAAAAATTTGCTGGAGATTATTTTATGTCTGAGTGTATGGTTAATTTTATAGTATGTGCCATGTGCAGTTGAGAAGAATGTATATTCTGTTGTTTTGGGGTGGAGAGATCTGTAGATGGCTATCAGATCTATTTGGTCCAGTGTTGAGTTAGGTCCTGAATATCTTTGTTAATGTTCTGTCTCAATTATCTGTCTTATACTATTAGTGGGGTGTTGAAGTCTCTTACTATTATTGTGTGCGAGTCAAAGTTTGTTTGTAGGTCTCTAAGAATTCGCTTCATAAATTTGGGTGCTCCTGTGTTGGATGCATACATATTTGGGACACTTACATCTTAGTGTTGAATTGAACCTTTTACCATTATTTAATGCCCTTCTTTGTCTTTTTTGATCTTTGATGGTTTAAAGTATGTTTTATTTGAAATTAGGATTATAATTCCTACTTTTTTTCTGTTTTCCATTTGGCTGATAGGTTTTTCTCCATCCCTGTATTCCGAGCCTATGAGTGTCATTAAATGTAAGATAGGTCTCTTGAAGACAGCATACAATTGGGTCTTGCTTCCTTATCTAGTTTGCTACTCTGTGCCTTTTAATTGGAGCATTCAGCATGTTTACATTCAAGGTTAGTATTGATATCTGTCAATTTAATTCTCCCATCAGGTTGTTAGCTGTTTATTATGACAACTTGTTTATGTGGTTGCTTTATAGGGTTACTGGTCTGTGTACTTAAGTGTGTTTTTGTAGTGGCGGGTAATGGTCTTTCCTTTTCACGTTTACTGCATCTTTCAGGAGCTCTTGTAAAGTAGGTGATGTGATAGTGAATTTCCTCAGTCTTTGCTTGTCTGTAAAGGATCTTATTTCTCTTTCACTTATGAAGCTTAGTTTGACTGGGTATGAAGTTCTAGGTTGGAATTTCTTTTATTTAAGAATGTTGAATATAGGCCTCCAATCTCTTCTGGCTTATGGAGTTCTTCTGAGAGGTCTACTGTTAATCTGATGGGCTTCCCTTTGTAGGTGACCTTTCCTTTCTTTCTATCTGACTTTAACATTTTTTCTTTCATTTTAACCTTGGAGAATCTTATGATTATATGTATTGGAGATGACATTCTCATGAAGTATTCTGCAGTGGTTCTATGCATTTTCTGAATTTGAATATTGGCCTCTCTAGCTCGTTTGTTCTAGAGAACTAGGAAGTTCTCATGAATGATGTTCTGAAATATGTTTTCCAAGTTGCTTTCATTCTCCTCATCTCTTTGAGGGATGTCAGTGAGTCATAGATTCAGTCTCTCTCTATATAATCCCATATTTCTCAGAGGTTTTGTTGATTCCTTTTCATTCTTTCTTCTTTATTTTTGTCTGACTGTCTTATTTCAGATAGCCAGTCTTCAAGCTCTGAGATTCTTTCTTCAGCTTGGTCTATACTTCTGTTAATACTTATGGTTGCATTATGAAATTCTTATAGTGTTTTTCAGCTCTATCAGGTCAGTTAAATTCTTTTCTATACTGACTACATTCTCCTGAATCTTGATGATCTTTATTCCTCTCCATATTCTTAATTCTATTTCTGTTATTTCAGCCATATCAGTCTAGTTAAGAACTAGTTCCCCTTACTGGAGAAGTAGCATGGTCATTTGGATAAAAGACTGGTTTTTTGAGTTGACAGAAGTTCTTGCACTGGTTCTTTCTCATCTTTGTGGGCTGATGTTTCTTCAGTGCTTGAAGTTTCTACCCTTTGGGTTTTTTTTAATTCTATTTGATGACCCTAGGGATTTGATTGTGGTATAAGGTGGGTTCAGTCAACTGGCTTCATTACTAGATTTTAGGAGGCCAAAGCTCAGCTCAGGACTCCTGGACTGTGTGCTCTAACTCTCAGGGACTGGTATCTGGCCTGGCTTTGATCTCTGGCTCCTCAAGTTTAGGAACCTGTAGTGTTGGAGGGGCCAAGGTGCTCCCAGACCACTGGTCACAACACTCCAATGGGTGGTGCCAGCCAAAATGCTTCATAGGCTGGTGGTAGTGGGTTCTATCCTGGTTTCCATGTGCCAGCAGCAGGAGGAGCAGCAACGCACAGTGTACAAACTGGTCAGCTACAGCAGGGTGCTACAGGTGCTGGGGTGCCAGTCTCCTCGTGGGCTTTCACAGCAGCAGTGGTGGCAGTATGGATCGAGGGTTGAGGGTCCCCACCAGAGACTGTGTGAACATTCTCATTGGTGGTGGTGTTAGCATGGGGGCGGGGCGCTGGTGAGTGCAGGACTGTGTGCAACCTCTGTTTATGTTCATGTTGGTGGCAGTGGCTGCTCAGGGCTGGGGGTGAGTCTGCTATTTTCCATGCCTACTTTCATGCTGGTGACCCTGGTGCAGGGGTGAGATGCTGGAGGGATGGGGCTGGCAAGCTCTGTGCCTGCCAGTACTTTCATGACAGTGGTGATGCAGCAGGGGGAGGGAGGAGCCATGATGTACTCACATCAGCAGTAGTGGCATGGCAGGGTGCACACGCACATGCATTCTAGCGGGGAAGGGAAGGCTTGGCCTGCCTGTACACACACATGCTGGCAAAGCGATGTGGGTTGGCTGTGGATGAGTACCTGCAGGCAAGGCAGCATTGTGGAGGCTGCACTATGGGGAGGGCACAGGCGGGCTGGTACATGTCCATGAGCAGGGGGACGGTGCTCTGCTGGAACCTCTCTGCTGGAGCACTCTGCCAGTCAGGCACAGTCTGCCAGTGCAGGAGATATGATGCAACCCCCAGGAGGTAAATTGGGGCTGCAAGTAGGTGCAGCCAGACTTGGTCCCTGGGAGAGGCCAGCCTACTCAGAGGTGCTCAGGCCTTACAGGCCCTGTCTCATGGTCAAGACTGCCTTGCCTTGCAGAATTCAGGTCTGACAGTTCCCCTAAGCCTAAAGTCTCTTATGGGAGCAAGTCGAGCCTAGTGGGATGGGCATCCCTGATCATGCTCCACTACAGATGATTCGTCTCCAAACCCTTTGGGCTCTACCCTGGCTGCAGTTCTGTCCCTACTGCTTCCCTAAGCAGCTTTCCCTGCCAACTCAAGTGTCCATAGTGGTCACAGAGTCTCCTCTTGCCAGAATTCCAGAGTCCTACAGTGAAGGCAGGTTATTCCTTGCCTGTTCAACTCATGCTATCCACAGGAGTCATTGGGGGTCAAGAAGGAGTCCTGGTGCATGGTAGTCCCATGCAGGGTTCCAAGCTTCCTCACTCTTCAGCCCAGCATCTGTGTCTTCCCTACAACTACTTTCAATACCTTCCCTCTGAAGTTCTGCTAAGAGTGTGCCAGTCTTCTTGATGTCCCAGTTCCTCAGTAGGAGATGTTCCTCCTGGTTGCATCCAGTCAGCCGTCATAGCAGGAATCCCTCAATGCCATCATTTTTGAAGTGGTTTATAATGTAGCAATTAATCACTAGAACAAAAGGAGAAAAGACTATAGGTGTTCACTTTGCTATTTTGACCCAGGAGTCTCATAGATTCCTTCCAGTCATGACTGTTCCTCTAAGCAAGATATTTTGGAAGTGGGAAGGCAGCAGATTTCCATGAAATGGGGAACATATTGAGAATATTTATCTGGTTTTAATTCTGATTCTAGCTTGCAGTTGAACTTGAGCAAGTCAGTTCATCCTTGGGACTCAATGTTTTCATCTAAAAATTTAGACAACTGGGTCATGTGTTGTATATTTTCATTGCCTTTTATAGGTACACCTTCACCCTTCTGTATCTAGCTCTATCTGGGAGGTTGATCTGTAAAAATAGCATCCATAGGTCCCTTGACTTTCTGATTTCCAATTGAGTTTGGCCTATGGGCAGCTCTGGCGGTAGATTGGAGAAAAGGAGGAGATTGATGTTGAATATCTATTTCCTCAGCTCTTTCTCTGGGTTACTGTTGAGCTGGCCATGTCCCTCAACTGAGTTAACAACTCCTCTCCAGTTGGTACTCTTTATATGACTCTCTCCAGGCAGGTAACCACGTCCTCCCCTTACTCCTTCAGGCTTAAGGGTGGTGGCTGCCTCTCACTATTACTAAGTCTGGGGTACTGCATTTATCCTTCATCATTTCCCTACATGCTTCCCATCTCTTTGTAATTAGTGCCTTTTAAAAACTCTCCTGGAAGTATCCTATTTTAGACATGCCATCTGTTTCCCGTAATGAACCTAACTGGTACATTTCAGATCACCTCTAGTATTCCTACATTTAATATTGTATAATTCTATGAAGGAGACTTTTACCAGGCTTTATTTTTTTTTATCAATGCAGAAACCAGTGTTGAAAAGTTTCAATAATCCTGGCAAGACATATAGAACACATTTTTGTTAGCCAGTGCCTACACAGCTTGTAAGTACATCAATAGCCATCCATTTTCACCATTCACTTGATGATGATGATAATGATTATTATTATTTTTTTTTTGAGATAGAGTCTCGCTCTTTTGCCCAGGCTGGAGTGCAGTAGTGCCGTCTCGGCTCACTGCAAGCTCCGCCTCCCAGGTTCACGCCGTTCTCCTGCCTCAGCCTCCCTAGTAGCTGGGACTACAGGCACCTGCCACCATGCCTGGCTAATTTTTTTGTATTTTTAGTAGAGACGGGGGGTTTTGCCGTGTTAGCCAGGATGGTCTCAATCTCCTGACCCGGTTATCCACCCACCTCCGCCTCCCAATTATTTTTAAAAGAATCTAGAATTGGCTTTTTCTGTTGCTTCCACTAATGTTTAGTTTTTTGACAAAGAAAATTCACATAATGAACAAAGGTAGAATTGATTGTATTAGTGGCTGTCATTTTCAAAGAAAATGCCCTGTGAATGGTAGTGTGGCTAGAACGAATGACATGAACCGTCTGTCCTTTCTCTGTCATCCATACAAAAAATTGTTTTGTTTGCTTTGCAACTGCAATATATTTCCATTTATAGTTCTGCCCTCTTCTTAAAATCTCTGTTAAGAGAAATTGATCATTTATACAAATGCATAAATTCTCAGGACCATCAATTTTAAGATTTTCCTTGTGTTGGGATTTTTAGTGTTTACCTGAAGTAAATTAATAATATGTTAGGATATAGAAATTTTTTTTATGTAAATATATAGTTGGATTGTAACAAAATATGGACAAAATGTGGAATACATAGGATAGAATATAATTATCATGAAAGCAGTGTTCTCAATATTTGAGGCATCTGACAATTTACTTTCATGGTAAAGTACTGCTTATTCTTACTGAGATTAATTTCCTAAGGAAGCAGGTATTTAATCTAATAATTTACATAGCAAGGAATCTTCAATTGTCTTCAAAAATTAAACTGATAAAATAGCAATTAGAATGGAAAAATTTAAAAGTCATTTTCCAGGGTATGGAAGGTCAAATAGGAAATACTAAGTAAGAGTATTCTAAATTGTAAGGCTTTATTTAGTGTATTTATATCAAATATTTTATAAGTAGAAAATGAATTCTATTAATCTTGCCATGGGTCACAAAAAAAACCTTTAATAATTTTTTCAAAGTGGAAAAGGATACAAGTTTCATCTGACACAATGCAATTAAACCAGTATTTTAATCATCCAGAGAATTTAAAGATGCTTTTCTTAATGAATGATGACACAATATAAAAAAAGTCATCAAAAATATTTAATACCTTTTAATGATGATAAAATTTGAATTAGATATAAAAATAAATGAGCTTTTTTAACACAAGAAACTTAAAACTAATTACCAATTAAATTTAAGAAAAGAGAAAGAAAATAATATTATAAAGAATATTAATAAATTAAAAACAAAAACTAAGAGTAGATATGGTAAATGCATATAGCAGTTTATTATGGAAAATTGTGCAACAAAAATACTTAGAAATCTTAGTGATGGTTAAGCTAAGAGAAGATAAAACAGTAATAGACCATCTTGGGGATTTTAAAAAGGAATAAATACATCATCAAGCACAGAGTTTTAAAAGTTGATAGGAGGCTATTACAAATAAATCCCTATAGAAAATTTGAAAATCTAAATGAAAGTATTAATATTTTTTGAAAACACAAATTACTAAAATTTATTTTATAAGTAAAAATCCAGAGGAGAATAAAAATTACGAGAGGAATTTCAAATATTGTTAAGCACCCATAAAACTTTCTAGATATACACAATGTATAGGAGTACACACACACACCACTCATACACAAATCTGGCAATTATCCATGGAGATACTCTGGTAGTATGATGGAAAGTTAACTTTCAGTTAGTTTTGCCCTAGAAGAAAACCTAGGCAATACCCTTCAGGACATAGGCATGGCTAAAGACTTTATGACTAAAACACCAAAAGCAACGGCAACAAAAGCCAAAATAGACAAATGGGATCTAATTAAACTAAAGAATTGCACAGCAAAAGAAAATATCATCAGAGTGAACAGGCAACATACAGAATGGGAGAAAATTTTTGCAATCTACCCATCTGACAAAGGGCTAATATCCAGAATCTACAAAGAGTGGGCAAAGGATATGAACAGACACTTCTCAAAAGATGACATTTATGCAGCCAACAGACATATGAAAAAATGTTCGTCATCACTGGTCATCAGAGAAATGCAAATAAAAACCACAATGAGATACCATCTCACACCAGTTAGAATGGCAATCATTAAAAAGTCAGGAAACAACAGATGCTGGAGAGGATGTGGAGAAATAGGAAAGCTTTTACACTGTTGGTGGGAGTGTAAATTAGTTCAACCATTGTGGAAGATAGTGTGGCAATTCCTCATGGATCTAGAACCAGAAATACCATTTGACCCAGCAATCCCATTACTGGGTATATACCCAAAGGATAATAAATCATGCTACTATAAAGACACATGCACACATATGTTTATTGTGACACTATTCACAATAGCAAAGACTTGGAACCACTCCAGATGTCCATCAATGATAGACTGGATTAAGAAAATGTGGCACATATACACCATGGAATACTATGCAGCCATAAAAAATGATGAGATCATGTCCTTTGCAGGGACATGGATGAAGTTGGAAACCATCATTCTAAGCAAACTATCACGAGGACAGAAAACCAAACATCGCATGTTCTCACTCATAGGTGGGAGTTGAACAATGAGATCACATGGACACAGGGTGGGGAATATCACACACCAGGGCCTGTCATGGGGTGGGGGGCAGGGGAAGGGATAGCATTAGGAGAAATACCTAATGTAAATGACGAGTTGATGGGTGCAGCAAATCAACATGGCACATGTATAACCATGTAACAAACCTGTACGCTGTGCACATGTACCCTAGAACTTAAACTATAATAAAATAAAAAAAGTTAACTTTCAGTTTTGTATTGTGTGAATATTTCCAATGTATAAGTATTTCTATAAATAAATCTGTACAATAGGATTTTCTCAAATTGGGGCTCTTGGATCCCAGGGAATCCTTAGATGTATCTTTGTGGATTTAATTAGTTGTTTATGATATTTCTTTTAATGCATTTATTAATTTTTTTGAATAGGGGCAATTTTCACATCATCTAAATTGTTAAAGTTCATATAACAGTGAATAATGGAAAAGTGTTTTATCTGCACATTTTCCCCCATTTTAACATGTATTTCCAATGGCTACAATTTTTATTTTAGAGTTTTATTATCTACATACAAATTACTACCAATAGAGATTCTTATTCTTTCCTTCCTTTTTATATACATATTCCATGCATTGTATTCCACCTGGCTTTCTTCATGAAATTAATCTGGAAACATTTTCCATATTAGTACACAGAGAATGCCATCTTTCTTTTACAAACCTGAATAGTGTGGTAATGCATGATGATATAATAATTTTAAGAGTAGTGCCTGGTGTAGAAACATCTGGATTGTTTCCATTCATTTGTTATTTCAAACAATGCTGCAAAATGTAATCTTACATGTATACATGTCAATAATTTTGAGTGTCTGAGTTTCACTCCCACCAGTGGAATTTGGAGACCAAAGGATATTTGCAATTTAAAATTTAATGACTATAGTAAAATTGTTCTCCATGGAGATTTTTAGCAATTAACACTTTTACCAACAATATATGAAAGTGTCTGTTTCATCACAGTGGAAAAAGGCGCTCAGATTGCAGCAAGCTTGTTGGGCAGAGGAAACAAATATTGGAGTCAAGGACTACTGTGTTGACCAATGTTTGCAGGGGAGTATACTGAAGAGGAGGTGACAAAGAGAGGACCTCCAGAAAATCACATAGTGATCCTTTTGTGTCTTTGGTCAAATACTCAGCTGTGTGCAATAAGAGACTCCCCAAGACATGACAGAATGATGGTATTCAAGGGCTGTGAGATGCATAGATATTCCAAAGTCCACATAATGGTGGAAAATAATGGAGTTTTGACCAGCCAAAGTAGTGACATTGCACCGAACACCTGGGCATTAAGTTAAGAAACAAAAACATTACTCCTAGAAGTAATGCTAATTAAGCCCTGTCATAAAATCTATTCTAGACACAGCATAATGCAGTCCCAAAATAATTCTTGATAAGATGAAAGACCACAAAATCCAGACTTTTAACAATGTTGTATCAGCAACGTTTAGAATTAAGCTAAATAATATATTAGACATATGAAGACACAGGAACAGGCATCCCATAACCAGAAGAAAAATGTTAATAGAAAAAGAAGAAAGCTGACGTAGATGTTGCATCAACATAATGGCCACTACAGAAAAAAAACCAGTGGCTTAAAGACTGATCCAAATGCACTTTCAACAATAAACAGATCATCCAGACATAAAATCAATAAGGAAACAGTGGATTTGAACTATACTTAAGACCAAATGGACCTCACAGACATATAAAAGATATTCCATCCAATAACAGCAGAATACATATTCTTCTCAAGCGCACATCACCATTCTCTAGGATAGATTATGTTAGGCCACAAAAGAAGTCTTAACCAATTTAAGACCATTGAAATCATGTCAAGTAGAGTTTTTGACCACAAGGGTGTAAATCTAGAAATCAGTAACAGGAAGGAATTCAGAAAAGTTACAAATAAAAATTAGACAACCAATGGGCCAAATAATAAAAAGAGAAATTTAAAAATATCTTGAGACAAATGAAAATGGAAATACAATAGACCAAAACTTATAGAATGGGGCAAAAACAGTTCTAAAAGGGAAGTTGATAGCAATAAATGCCTACCTCAATAAAGAAGAAAGATCTCAAATAAACAACCTAATATTACACCTAGAGAAACTAGCAAAAAAGAAACTAAGCCCCAAAATAGTAGAAGAAGGAAATCATAAAGATCAGAGCAGAAATACATAAAATAGAGATGAAAAAAACAATCAAAAGTTAAGAGTTGGCTTTTTGAAAAGATAAAATGGACAAATATTTAGCTAGACTTAATGAAAAAGGAGACATTACAACTGATACCACAGAAATGCAAAGAAGCATAAAAAAACTGAACAATTACACCCCCCAAAATTGGATAACCTAGAAGAAATGGACAAATCTCTAGAAATATACAATCTACCATTACTGAATCATGATGAAATATAATCTGAACTGACTAATAATAAGTACAAAGATTTAATGAGTAATAAAATGTTGTTCATCAGTGAAAAGCCCAGGAACTGATAGTTTCACTAATTCTATCGATTTTTATTCTTATTCTTTCTTTTTTGTTCACATGAGGTCTTGCTCTGTCACCCAGGCTAAAGCACAGTGGCATGATCTTAGCTTACTGCAACCTCTGCCTCCCAGGCTCAAGTGATTTCCCTGCCTCAGCCTACCAAGAAGCTGGAACTACAGGTGCACACCATCAGACCTTGTTATTATTAAATAATAATAATAAATAAATAATAAATTTTTTGAGATGGGGTCTCACTATATTGCCCAGGCTGGTCTCAAACTCCTAGCCTCAAGTGATCCTCTTGTCTCAGCATCCCAAAGTGCTGGGATTATAGGCATGAGACACCATGCCTGGCCTACCAAATGTTTAAAGAATAATTAATGCCAATACTTTTAAACTCTCCCAAAAAATTGAAGAGGAAGGAACACTTCCAAACTCAGTTTAGGAGACAAGAATTACCCTGATACTGACACGTGAAAATTTCCCCCTAACCCCCTCGCAGGGTGTGAGATGGGGGTGTGGCTCGCTTCTTCAGTGCCCCACTGCTCAAACACCTAGGAGAACATACAGACGGGCAGGCTGTGGGGCTCCAGTCCCACAGCAGTGCCTAGGGGTGAATGTTATGGCTCCTGAAGCCCCAATGGGCGTGTATTACAGGATGCCCTTTTAGTTTGCCATCTATAGGTGGCTTGTGTTAGTCAGCTCAATTAGACTCCCTACCTTCTTGCAAGGACAGAGGGCTTTCTGTATCCCGCGGTTTCTTGCCTTGGTGTATTGGAAGAATCAGATCACACGTGGGCTTAGAGAATGAATGCCAGGTTTTATGGAGTGGAAGTAGCTCTCAGCAGATGGGGGAACCAGAAGGGAGATGTTTTTCCCTTGGAGTTTGGCCGGGTGCCTGACTCTTCCTCTACCGCTCCAGCCAAACTCCACGTCATTCCACCAGTTGATGGCCTGCCGGCCTGCCAGTGCCTGTTGGTATGCTCTTCTGCCGGCGTGCTCTCAATGACCAGCCACTTGTATCTTCTTCCACCGATGCGCTCTTCATGACGTCCAGCCACTTGTGTATCTGCCTGCTAGGGTCTCCGGGGGTTTACAGGCACAGGATGGGGGCATGGTGGGCCAGGGAGGTCTTGGAAAATGCAACATTTGGGCAAGAAGGCAGGAATGCCTATCCTCACCTAGGTCCATGGGGGTGAGCCCTAGCCAGGGACCACACCCTCCCTCTACCCAGCACTTCTCTTCCCTCTTTCCACATCATTTAAAGGGGCCATGCTCTTACCTTCCCAGCACTCCCATATCAATACTAAAAACAGACAAGGAAGCTACAAGAACAGAAAATTACTGGCCAAAATTCCTAATTAACATATATATAAAAGTTATCTACAAAATATTAGGAAAGTAAATTCAACAGTGTATGGAAAGGATAATACACTATTACCAAGTGGGATTTATTCTAAGATTCAAAATACTTTAATATACAAAAATTTATCAAGGTGCTACACCACATTACAGAACAGACAAGAACCATATGATTATTTCAATAAATACAAAAACAGCATTTGACAAAATTCAACACCACTTCATTATACAAACTCTCAACAAATTTACTTTAGAATAAATGTTTCTCAACACAATAAAGGCCATATATGACAAACCCAAAACTAATATCATACTCAATGGTGAAAAGTTGAAAGCTTTTCCTCTAAGATTAGGAACAAGAGAGAACGGCTACTATCACCACTTCTATTCAATATATTACTGGAAGTCCTAGCCAGAAAAATTAGGGAAGAGAAATAAATAGAAGGCATCCAAATTGGAAAGGAAGAAATTAAATTGCCTCCATTTTTAGATGACATAATTTCATATATTAAAAACCCTGAAGATTCCCTCAAAACTTTTAGAGCTAGAAAGTGGATTTAATAAAGTCGCAAGATACAAAATCAACATACAAAAATTAGTGACATTTCTATACACTAACAACAAACTATCCAAAATGGAAATCAAGAACACAATCTCATTTATAATAGTATCAAAATAGAAAAATAAATTTAACCTAGGAGATGACAGATCTGTCTGTACACTGCAAACTATAAAACATTAATGAAAGAAATTGAGGTAACACAAATAAATGGAAAGTTATTTTATGTTCATGACTTGGAAGAATTAACATTGTAAAGATGTCCGTAATATCCAAATTGATCCACCGATTCAATGCAATCCCTCTCAAAATTCCAACATTTTTCAAGTAAATAAAAAGCAATCCTAAAATTTCTATGAAACTGGAAAAGATTCCAAATAGCCAAAGCAATCTTGAGCAAAAAGAACAAAGCTAAAGGCAACACACTGCTTGGTTTCAACGTCTACTTCAAAGCTACAGAAATCAAAACAGTGTGGTGCTGGCCTAAATACAGACATATAGACCAATGGAACTGAATAGAGGGCCCAGAAATAAGTCTACACATTTACAGTCAATTGATCTTCAGCAAGTTGTTAAGATCACACAATGAAGAAAGAGCAATCTTTTTAACAAATGGTGTTGTGAAAACTAAATATTCACATGCAGAACAATGAAATTGGGCCCCTATTTCACCTTATTTCACTCTTATAATCCAATTTCACAATATCCAGTGTATATGAAAAGGTGTTCAACATCCTAATAATCAGAGAAATGTAAATTAAAATCTCAATGAGATTATCACCTCACACCTGTGAGAATGACTTTTATTAAGAAAGACAAAAAGCAGCAAGCATTGTCAAGAATCTGGTGAAAAGGGAACCCTTGTACACTGTTGGTGAAAATGTAAATTTGTACATTCATTATGGAAAACAGTATGGAGTTTCTAAAAAAGTTAAAAATAGAACTATCATGTGATCTAGCAATCCCACTTCTGGGTATATATCCAAAGGATATGAAAGTAGTATGTTGAATAAATATCTATACTCTCGTGTTTATTGCAGCATTATTTGCAATGGCCAAGATATGGAATCAACCTGGATGTCCATCACCAGATAAACAAATTTTTAAAAATGTAGCATATACACAGTGAAATAGTAGTCACATTACACAATGAAATAGTAGCCAGAAAAGAGAGAAATACTGTTATCTGTGACAAAGCAGATGAAAATGGTGGGCATTATGCTTAATGAAATAAGCCAGATACAGAAAGACAAATACTGCTTGATCTCACTTATATGTAGAATCTTAAAATAAAACAATTGAATTAATAGAAGTAGAGGGCAGAATGATGGTTACCAGAGGCTTCAAAAAGGGAGGTGTTTAGGGGAATAAAGAGATGTTGTTTAAGGGTACAGTTTCAGTTACACAGGAGAAATGAGTTCTGGAGATCTGTTGTACAGCATAGTGACTATAGTTAATAGTAATAGATTGTATACTTAGAAATTGCTAGGAGAGTAGATTTTAAATGTTTTCATCACAATAAAAGAGGGACTCCTCCCTAACTCATTTTATGAGGCCAGCATCATGCTGATACCAAAACCTGGCAGAGACACACACACACACACACACAAAAAAAAAAAAAAAAAAAGAAAAAAAGAAAACCTCAGGCCAATATGCCTGATGAACATTGATGTGAAAATCCTCAGTAAAATACTGGCAAACTGAATCCAGCAGCTCATCAAAAAGCTTATCCACTACAATCAAGTCAGCTTCATCCCTGAGATGCAAGGCTGGTTCAACATAAGCAAATCGATAAATGTAATCCGTCACATAAACAGAAGCCACATGATTATCTCAATAGATGTGGAAAAGGCCTGCAATAGCATTCAACATCTCTTCATGTTAAAAACTCTCAATAAATTAGGTATTGATGGAACATATTTCAAAATAATAAGAGCTATTTATTACAAACCCACAACCAATATCATATGAATTGGCAAAAGCTGGAAGCATTCCCTTTGAAAATCTGCACAAGACAAGAGTGCCCTCTCTCATCACTCCTATCTAACATATTATTGGAAGTTCTGGTCAGAGCAATCAGGCAAGAGAAAGAAATAAAGCATATTCAAATAGGAAGAGAGGAAGTCAAATTGTCTCTATTTGCAGATGACCTGATCCTATATTTAGTAAACCCCATCATCTCAGCCCAAAAACTCCTTAAGCTGATAAACAAGTTCAGCAAAGTCTCAGGATACAAAAATCAATGTGCAAAAATCATAAGCATTCCTATACACCAATAATAGACAAGCGGAGAGCCAAACCATGAATGAACTCTGATTCACAATTGCTACAAAGAGAATAAAATATGTAGGAATACAGCTAACAAGGGAAGTGAAGGACCTCAAGGAGAACTACAAACCACTGCTCAAGGAAATAATAGAGGACAACAAACAAATGTAAAAACATTCTATCCTCATGGATAGGAAGGCTCAATATTGTGAAAATGGCCATACTGCCCAAAGTAATTTATAGATTCAATGCTATTCCCATCTAACTACCATTACATTCTACACAGAATAAGAAAAAAAATACTTTAAAATTCATATGGAACCAAAAAAGAGCACACATAGCCAAAACAATCCTAAGCATAAAGAACAAAGCTGGAGGCAACATGCTACCTGACTTCAAACTATACTACAAGTTTATAGTAACCAAAACAGCATGGTGCTGGTACAGACATATAGACCAATGGAACAGAAGAGATACCTCAGAAGTAGGTCTATATATTGGTCTATAGAGACCAATGGAACAGAATGGAGACCACACACCTACAATCATCTGATCTTTGACAAATCTTTGAAAAACAAGCAATGGGGAAAGGATTCCCTATTTAATAAATGGTGCTGGGAAAACTGGCTAGGCATATGCAGAAAATTGAAACTGGACCCCTTTCTTATACCTTATACAAAAATTAGCTCAAGATGGATTAAAGACTTATATGTAAATCCTAAACCATAAAAACCCTAGAAGAGAACCTCAGCAATACCATTCGGGACATAGGCATGGACAAAGATTTTATGATAAAATTGCTAAAAGCAATAGCAACAAAAGCTAAAATTGACAAAGTGGATCTAATCAAACTAAAGGGTTTCTGCACAGCAAAAGAAACTATCATCAGAGAGGACAGGCAACCTACAGAATGGTAGAAAAATTCTGCCACCCACCCATTTGACAGTTGTCTAATATCCAGAATTTACAAGGAACTTAACTTTACAAGGAAAAAACAAACAACCGCATCAAAAAATGGGTGAAGAATATGAACAGACACTTCTCAAAAGAAGACATTTATGCAGCCAACAAACATATGAAAAAAGCTCAGCATCACTGATCATTAGAGAAATGCAAATCAAAACCATAATGAGATACCACTTCATGCCAGTCAGAATAGCGATTATTAAAAAGTCAAGAAACAACAGATGCTGGCGAGGCTCTGAAGAAATAACAATGCTTTTTTTGGGGGAATGTAAATTCTTTAAATCATTGTGGAAGATAGTGTGGTGATTCCTCAAAGATCTAGAACCAGAAATAACATTTGACTCAGCAATCCCATTACTGGGTGTATACCCAAAGGAATATAAAGCATTCTGTTATAAAGATACATGTACACGTATGTTTATTGCAGCACTATTCACAGTAGCAAAGACATGGGACCAATCAAAATGTCCATCAATGATAGACTGGATAAAGAAAATGTGGTACATATACACCATAGAATACTATCCAGCCACAAAAGGAATGAGACCATGTCCCTTGCAGGGACATGAATGAAGCTGGAAGCCATCATTCTCAGCAAACTAACACAGGAACAGAAAACCAAACATGGCATGTTCTCACTCATAAGTGAGATTTGAACACATGGGAATACATGGACACAGGGAGGGGAACAACACACACCAGGGCTTATTGGAGGGCAGGGTGGGTGGAGGGAAGGGAGAGCATCAGGACAAATAGCTAATGGCTGTGGGGCTTAAAACCTAGGTGACGGGTTGATAGGTGCAGGAAACCATGTATACCCTTGTAACAACACTGCATATTCTGCACAGGTAACCCAGAACTTAAAGTAAAAAAAGAAAAAATGGGATTTACCAGAAAAAAAGAAAAAGAAAAGCCTCATCATCCAAATCAAAGTACAGGAAAAAAAGCCATAAGAAAATAAAAACTAAAACTAAAAAACAGAGCCTAAATTATTGGAGGAAAGCATCAGGTGAACATATGTGAAATGGGAGTTTCTGAAGAAAAGGAGAAAGAGAAAGAGGCAGAAAAATATTTGAAGAGATAAGTGCTTCAATTTTTCAAAATTTGATGACAAATGCCATCCTATATGCCCAATATTCTAATATATGTCAAATAGGATACACACACACAATCACAAATAGTTATTTATCTCTCTGTTTGTCTTTTTCTTTCTCTCACTTCCCATCTAGCCACATGATAGTCAACTTGTTTAAAATAAAAGATAAATAACAGATTCTTAAAATAAAGAGAAAATAATATCTTAAAAATAACTTGAGGAAAAAATATGCTACATACAGGGGCACAATGCTAAGAATTACTGCTGACTTTTTAATAAAAACAATGTAAGCCAGTAAATAATGGAATGACATCTTCAAAGTACTGAAAGAGAAGAAAAAAAATTTCTACGTAGACTTCTGTATCCAGGAAAATATCTTTCAAAAAGTACAGGAGAAGAAAAAAATTGTGTACTTACAATTCTGAATCCAGAAAAATATATTTCAAAAAGTAGAGGAGAAATAAATACATTTTAGATAAACAAAATCTAAAATCATTCATCACCATTAGACCTGTGCTAAAATAAATTCTAAAGGAAATCCTGAGGCTGAAAGGAAATGCCACGACATGAAAACTGAGATCTACATTAAAAAAAAATCAAAAGCATTGGAAATGAAAAATAAGTAGAGAGATTTGGCTTTTTCTTGTTAAAATATTTTCTAAAAGACAATTGTTTATTTAAAGCAAAATTTATAGCAATGCTGTTGGAGGTTTATTGCATACATAGGAGTAAGATACATGACAACTATAAACCAAAGGAAGAAAGGAAGTAAATGAAAATATAATGTTGTCCAATTTCCTAAATTATACATGAAGTAGTATTGTTAAAAGGTTGAAGATACTTATTATAACTTCTAGAACAACCACTAAAAAACAAAACATAAACTAAAAATGAATAGCCAAAAAGCCATGGAGGAGAAAAAATGCAATATAAGAAATATTCAGTTAATTGTTTAACAGCAGAGAATATAAAATAATAGAAAAAAAACAGGATTTAAATAAAAAACAAGTAGTACAATGATAGACTTAAACCCAATCTTATAAAAAAATTGCATAACATGTAGAGTAAATAATTAATTAAAGGGCAAAGATTTCCAGATTGAATACAAAAGAGTGATGGGTTAAAACTAAAAGAATTAAATAAAATGCTAAAAAGTCATGCAAACCCTAAAAGGTAAACTGGAGATGTTATGTTAATATTATAAAGATGTACTTCAAGAAGTGTGTTTCTTGAGATAAAGAGGGAATTTCATAATGATTAAAAAGTTCATCATTCAAGAAGAAATAAAAGCTATGAATGTTTGTGTACCTAATTACAGAGCTTCATGATACATAATATAAAACTAAAGGAGAACGAGACTAATATACAATTATATTTGGAGATTTTTAACCATTTTCTCAAAGATTTAGGATAAATGTGACAATGGAAGGGTGTCACTCACCAGTAGTGTGCAAATTAGTGTTCCCACTGTGGTGTCAAAATCATTTCCCTCCTAACCCAGGGGAAGCACACATCCTCATATATATCTGTGGCTGACTGTGTTATCAGTGTTTAATCATAATGGCAGGACAATCACTTGTCATATGTTCATCAAGTGCTGAACTTGACATGCATCCCTTTAGATCTAGGCAAACACATCCTCTATGTGCCCTGTGCTCTTTTCTATGGAACAATCAAATTGATAAACTTGGAGGCCTAACAACTCTATCCTTACCTCACTTCTTTAGAGAGGGGAAATATACCCAGAAGGGCAGCTAGGAGAATTCGGAGACATACTTTTAAGGACACAATGTCTACAAATCTTCCATAAAGGAAGTAATGAAAAGGCAGACTCATACATAAAAAGGAAATATCTTCTTTTAAACCACACTACTCATGATAGTCAAAGAAATAGTCATAAAATGTGTATACTGAGCTAGAAATAAACCTTAATAGAAATATTTTGGAGAAATGTTATATTTAGCCTGCTTCCTGTAAAACACCATTATTGTGAGCTTAGGGAGTAGGCAGAGGGACTTCTGCTCAGCTGGGAATGCAAGCATCCCAAAGGCAACTTTGTGGCTGAAAGCACAGCTGGCATGTGTTCACCACTAAAAGCCATTCTGGGAGAATTCCCAATGTTTTATTCAAATCTCTGTCAAAGAGAAAAACAGTCAGACCTGAAACAATGGACAGTTCTACCTGGAAAGCTGAGCTCTCGAACAAAAACACTACGAGTGTGTTCCTGACATTTATTTTATTAAGTGAGGGAGTGAAGTTATGGGCAGAGAGCAAAAATAAAAATAATTATTAAGTAAATATACATTTGACTGGTAAGAAAATCAGTACTTCTGCACGTCTCAAATTACTACTTTTGTCTCATTTTATAATTATAATGTTACACATTGTAAGAAATCAAATAGAGAACTATAAAATGGAAAGTTTAGAAAACTCTGCATTTATATACATACCATCCTTTCTATTTTTCTTTTAATTTCCCTTTGTTGTTAGGCGGCCTCAATATAAATTTTGGTTTCGCTATTTAACAGATGAATGATGTTGGGAAAGCTAATCAAGTCCTCTAAGCTTGATTTCTCTCATCTGTAATAATGTTGATGGGACCTTGCTGATAAGGTTGTTTGGCAGATTAATAAAGACAATACATGGAAAGTGCTCAATAACTGTTGGTTATTATGGTACATTCAATATTACACATATTATTATATGTGTAGGTTTATTTATATATTCCATTTTATAATTTCTTCTATCACTCACAATATCCAAATAAACTTCTTAGAGGTCACCACAAGTTCGCTGGAGAAACGGGGAAACAAAGATGCCAGTGGAAATCTTCCATTTAGTTTTAGCCTTTATTTGTTAACATTCTTCTGTCACAAGGTCTTCTCACCCTTGCCAATTATAGAAAGCCATTAATTTGAAACCCATTAAAAGCCACCTTATGATCAAGAAAGGATCAAGCTGAATTAAATTTTCCAGCCCAGGAATATTGATATAACTGAAACACAAGATGGAAAATCTGGACTTGAAGATCCCAACTAGCCTGCGTGTTCTCAAAGCCATGTGCTGAGAAAAGACCCCACCCTGTTCATTTTAAGCCTTGTACTTGTACTTTCCTTTGAAAACATTGAACTTTAGATTTATTTGACTGAAAAACAGATCTTAAATTTTCCCCTCAAAGATTTTTAATTAGGATATTTCCAACTAATTCCTTTTATTTTAGGAATGGAAGTAAAAGCAAATGTATACTAATTCTGTCATTGCTTGTTTAGAAGAGAATGAGTAGATGCTTATCTACATCAATAGAAAATTAAGTAACGATATAAAATTATAAACACAGCTACTAGAAAAACACAAACGTCCCAAATAATCAGAAAGAAACACACATACGACAAAGAAGACCACTTATTGAAAGATAAAACAATGAAATACATACTAAAAGCAAAAAAAAAATGAAATAAGGCATGTGTGAAAATAAGACTGAATCACACAGCAACACCTGAAGTTGTGCCGGACATAAGAGAAACACCTAATGAAATGACTATGAAAGGAAAAAAAAATGAATGAATAGGCAAAGACATGAGGGGCAAATGCAGAGGAAAAGGAATCTCTGATCTTAACACATCATAGGCCTGAATTCAAACCAGAATAATTAAATGAGAAAAAGAAGGGCACTTTATAATGGTAAAAGTTAAAATCAGTAATAAAATCTATCATTTGCAAATATCCATGTACCAAAGAACAACACATCAACCATCATAAAGCAAAATATATAAGAAATACACAGAGCAATGGGCAGAAACACATCATTAGATAGAAATTTCAATTCACTGCTCTCAGACTACAATAGTTCAAGTGGGTTAAAACTATATAAAGATAAACAAGCCTATATTAGTTAAGTAATAAATTACTTCTACCTTATATTGTAAATTTAATAAATACGTCTATTTAATGTTGAATCCTGAGCTAGGAAACAGAGTCCGTGAAACAGTCGCAAAAGTTGACCGCACATTAGACCACAGATAAAACATCAATTTCATCCCTAAGCAGAAATGTACAGATACTAACTAGAAATTAAGTACAAAAATAGAGAAAGTAAAAACAAGAATCTCTAACACCTGGTATTTTAAAATTTCTCTTAAAGGACTTTTTGTTAAAATAAAACATTTTAAAAATGTTAATTAAACCACCAGCTTAAAAATTATGGATACAGTTAAAACTATTGTCAGAGAAAAAAAGTATGGTACTAAATACTTATATCAATAAGTAAGAAAGAATGAAAATATGTGAATGTAGCCAGAAATAAGAAGTCAAAGAAAATATTAAAATATATGGAAAGCTTAAATACTGAATTTAATTAAGTATAAAAATAAATAATACATTATAAAACATAAAAGGGTAGAATACATAAATCCTAGAGCTAGTTGTGAAAAAGAACCAAATGATAAAACAAAATATAAACATGTAAAATATAAAAAATATAAAATACAAAATATAAGAAATTCACAGTGCAAAAATTAAAAAATATAAAAGACAGTAGAAAAATATTTTAAAATATGGAAAAAACTAAAATAATAAGAAACTTAATTTATGCAATGAATTTGAGAACCTACATAAAAGAGATACATTTCTAGCAAAATATAAATTTTAAATAATTTTAAAATAGAAATTGTCCTGAACAGACTAATTGCTACAGAAGATATTTTAAAAGTCACAATGGAACTACTTCTAAACAAAAAACAGCAGGTTTAAATAGTTTCCTAAGGTAATACTGCCAAAACATGAAGGAACAGATGATTTTAAGCCATGTAAAATATTTTAATCTAGAACATAAAAAAAAATTATTAATTTTTCAGCTTGTGTAAATATTGTTTCAAAAATCCTACAAAGATTAAAAAATAAGTGAATCACAATATCAATGTAAAAAGTTAATAAGCAAATTAATAGCAAAGAAATGTAGTAGTACTTTAAAGAAATTCATACAGCAAGAACAAGTGGACACAATTCTAGAAATAAGATAATTGATCAATATTAAAATACCTATTAATAATCTAAAGGGGAAAATGGTCATAATATTATCCTTGTAAGTTCTGAAAATGCACTTGATAAAATTCAACATCTTTTCTTGAATAATATTACCACTATACATTATCCATTTGTCCCTCCGCCTGATGCCTCTACCATCCCATTCTGAAACGTATTCTTTGACTAACCATTTTCACCGTTTCCAGTGCTAACAGTTCACCTCTCCATCTTCAGTTTCTTGGTCTATTGCTATAATCTCTTTCCTAGTCTTTTGAATATCTCTTTCCTCTGGGATCCCTTATGATATATCTTACTCCTCAGCTTAAAATTCTTTAATGGCTTTCCTTTATACTTAGCACAGGATTCATGCCCTTAACATGGTCTGTGAACCCTATATGACCTTATGTGACACCACTTCCACATAACTCCCTGTGCTCCCAGCCATCATGATCACCTTTCTCATCCTGGAACTTCTCAGGCTCATTTCTGCTTTAAGATTTTTCAATTCAACATTTCTTACTGAAAGCCTTTTCCCTGAATTATTTTTGTCATTCAAGTTTCTACTCAAATGTCGTTTTACATAATTTTTTTCTAACTGCTTTCTCAACAAGCTTCCTTCTCCTGCCAAAGTCCCCCTTTGTATTCTGTTACATTCTTCATAGAACTTTATCTAAAATTACCCAATTATTTGTTATTGTCTTTCTCCTCCAATTAGAGTGGAAAGCTCAATGTAAGTAGCATCATTCATTTTGCGGCCTGAAGCCAGGGCAGTGGCATCCTGCATCTGTCAGGGACAAGAGGATGGGGTCTTTCAGTCTTTTCGCTGGGTTGAGGCAAGCTTAGGACCTCTTCAGGAAGTGGCTGCCTTTGCAGAGGATGAGGCTTGTTTGGGGCAAGTAATGGATAAACATGAATAACACAATTGTCAAACAATAGTCCTGATTTCAAAATCACAGTATTTAAAATTGAGTATAGTAAACATATTTAAAATAAATACAAATCTTGGCCGGGCGCAGTGGCTCACGCCTATAATCCCAGAACTTTGGGAGGCCGAGGCGGGTGGATCACAAGGTCAGGAGATTGAGACCATCTTGGCTAACAAGGTGAAACCTTTAGTCTCTACTAAAAAAAATACAAAAAATTAGCTGGGCATGGTGGTGGGCGCCTGTAGTCCCAGCTACTCGAGAGGCTGAGGCCGGAGAATGGCATGAACCCGGGAGGCGGAGCCTGCAGTGAGCCGAGATCGCGCCACTGCACTCCAGCCTGGGCGACAGAGCGAGACTCTGTCTCATAAATAAATAAATAAATAAATAAATAAATAAATAAATAAATGCAAATCTGAAGGAGTATAACCGGTAAATATTAAAAATAAGTTTAAATCCAAAACCTCAACACTCAAAAATGTTTCAGTAAGCAACAAAAGCTTTAATGAGGGAAAAAAACAAACCTTGTTGGTAGGTAACAAGTGTTATCTGTATGCACATCATTTCTCTTTGTTCATAAAGACCATCCTTTTATTATTTATGCACAAAAATCCACTCCATGTTTTCCTTCCCCACTTACTTTTTTTTTCTCTTTCCTTTGTTATTTTTTCTCTTTGGCTTCTTTACATAAATTGATGATTAGATTAACATCTCTGGAAAACAGGGCTAAGATGCTATGGTTCTGAACTCGTAACTATTCCATCAGATCTGACATGTGGTAATGTTTTTCTGTGGGAAGGCATTTCTATAAATGCACTGGATTTTAAATAAACCAGCTACAAGACAGGAATATTTGTATGTATATGTGTGTGTGTGGCAGGTATAGAAAAACATTGGCTGTTCTCTTTTTCGTTTTCAAATTTCTCTACTCCCCATGAAATTCCTCTGGGGTATATTAAATAATGAAAAAAAATCACAATAGCTATAATTTAGTAAGCTCTTCTGTCAGAATATGCACTCTTTTGTCATCACAACAATCCCATGAAGGAGACATGAAACTGATTAAATGATGTGCTCCAGGTGACATAGCTGACATTAATAAGTAGATAAAGCAAAATAATCAGTGATAACCCCACAGCCAAAGTGCCTGGGCTCTGAGTTGGAAGACCTTAGCAAAGTAGCTTCCAGTGATATAAATATACGGGCCTTTGGATATATCTCTTGTTCTTCAAAATGCTTTTCCTACTAATTTGCAGATGCTTGAAATTTTTAATAGACTTTATCTTATAGAACAGCTTTAGAATCATGTATATATTGAGCAGAAAGTATAAAGCGCATCTTAGTACAGGATGCTATAACAAATTACCATAGTCTGGGTTGCTTAAACAAACATATTTCTCATTTTTCTGGAGACAGGGAAGTCCAAGATCAAGGTGTTGGCAGATTCAGTCTCTGGTGAGGGTATTTCTCCTGGTTTGTATGCTTCTGTCTTCTCATACCCCACATTGCAGGAAGAGAGTGAGAGAGCTCTCTGGGGTCTCTTTTATAAGAGCACTAATCCCATTTATGTGGGCTCTACCCTCATGACCTAATTACCTTCCAAAGACCACACCTCCTAATGTCACCATATTGAAGACTAGGATTTCAATATTTGAATTTTAAGGAGACACCAAACAATTGATAATAGAAAGTTTCCACATAACCCTTTCCACCATACACACAGAGCCCTATGAATATCCCAAACCAGAGTGGTACATTTATGACAATTGATAAACTTATATTGACATACCATTTTTACCCAAAGTATATAGTTTACATTAAGGTTTACTTTTGGTGTTGGACACTCTGTGGGTTTTGACAAATGTATACTGACATATATTTACCACTACAGTATCATACAAAATAGTTTCGTGCTGTAAAACTCTTCTCTGCTCCACCTATTCACCCCTCCATACCCCCTCACCTCCAGCAACCACTGATCTTTTTACTGTCTTCATTTTATCTCTTCCAGAATGTTGTATAATTGGAATCATGTGGTGTGTAACCCCTTTAGAATGGATTCTTTCACTTAATAATATGCATTTAAGATTCCTTCATGTATTGTCATGGCTTGATAGCTGATTTCTTTTTAGTGCTGAATAGTGTCCCATTGTATGGATGTACCACAGTTTACTTGACCATTCACCTACTGAAGGACATCTTGGTTGCTTCCAAGTCTTGGCAATTATGAATAAAGCTGCTATAAACATTCATGTGCAGGTTTTCATATGGACATGTTTTCAATTCAGGAAATATCTCCTGCTCTTCAAAATACTTTCTATACTTACTTGCTTGTGCTTGAAATTTTTCTAAGGAGTTACAGGAGCTTCCATTTTGAAATAATTGAGAATTACAGTGCAAAGTCTGTGGCAGAGGTGATGCTCTGGGTCCACACTGACATATATATGACTACATCTGAAACTTTCCTAAGAGTAGATGTTAGGACAGCTGTGTATCAAAAATAAAATTACAAAAGCAATTTCCAGAAATTGCAAAAATGTAAAAAATAAGTGAATCAACTTATATTACACAATTTTTATCCTGTATGTTATTTAATTTGTTGCTGAGGCCAATTTTTTTTAATTCTCCTCTTGCCTTATCCTTGTGACTCTGTCTCTAGATGTCTTCCTTTGGAACTGGGCAATTCATAAACTTAGCTTCTGGCTTCCAAGCTCTTCCTGACCAAATGATGCAGCAGAGTTTTGTCTTTTGTTGATACAAAGATAGAGAATATTCACATCCATATTCCACCCCTCAGGAAACACTAACCTTTTTTTTACATTTAAAGGAAAAAACCTCAACATCATTTTAAATCCTTTTATTTTAAAAAGATCGGTGTGATTTATGTATTTGAAAAGGCAGAACAGCAACACTGCTGCAGATACAGCATTGCTCACCAAATATTACTTGTACATCTCTATATTTCCCAGGTTCACTGGCAGCTAAATTAAGGACACATGACTAATACTATTCAATTGGCTATGAATCAAAGTAAGATGACACTTCCAATCCAAGAAAGGTAAGAGTGGATGGGAGTTCTTCATATACTGTCTTTTTTGCAGAAACCTGGAAGCCAAATGTAGAAATGGCTGAAGAGCCTGTCTGCTGAGTCATTGCATAGAGGATAGCTACTCTGCTGGGTATTACACCTGCATCAGACTTCTCAACTTGTTACTGCATCATAGCCTAGCCTAAGCTGAATAATATAAACTCATCCAAAATCCCAAGGTGGAAGTCTTCCTCTCAACACTGTCTCTCAGTTTTCCTTCTAGAAGGGAAACAATGTTACCACTTTCTTAAATATTATTCCAAAGATATTCTATGCATTTGCCAGGAAATATATTACTTCTCTCTCTCAAAAAAAAAAAAAAATAGCATACATAGTATTCTGCACCTTGTTTTTTCCCCTTTACAATATTTCTTAAGGATTATTTCATAGCAGTGAAACAGAGCTTACTGACTCTACTGATTATATTTTGTATCTTCCTACTGTTTCATTTTATCAATTTAACAATTTATTTAATATTGTAGGTACAGACATTCAAATTATTTCCATTTTTATTACAAACGTACAAACATTGGCACACTGCATAATCTGTTCTTCAATCATTTCATACGTGATACAAATGTGTAGATCATGTAGATCTATAGACTAAAGTCCTAAAAGTGTAATTGGTGGGTCAAAGGGATATGTATATATATATAAAATTTTGGTGGCTACTGCCAAAATTTTCTCCATAGAAATTGTACCAATTTACGCTCCCAGTAACATCATATGAGAGCGTCTCTTTCCATTCAACCTTACTGATGACATTAATCCTTCCAATCCATGAGCATGGAATGTTTTTCCGTTTGTTTGTGTCATCTCTTCTTTCTTTCAGCAGTATTTTGTAGTTCTCCTAGTAGAGATATTTTAGCTCCTTAGTTAGATGTATGCCTAGGTGTTTTGTTTTGTTTTGTTTTGTTTTTGAGATGGAGTCTCTGTCTGTTACCCATGCTGGAGTGCAGTGGCATGATCTTGGCTCACTGCAACCTCTGCCTCCCGGGTTCAAGCGATTCTCCTGCCTCAGCCTCCTGAGTAGCTGGGACTACAGGCACACACCACCACACCCAGCTAATTTTTGTATTTTTAGTAGAGACAGGGTTTCACCATGTCAGCCAGGCTGGTCTGGAACTCCTGACCTCAGGTGATTGATCTGCCTTGGCCCCCCAAAGTGCTGGGATTACAGGTGTAAGTCACTGCACCCAGCTGGAATTACATTCTTGATTTGGCTCTCAGCTTGAACATTATTAGTGCATAGAAATGCTACTGATGTTGTACATTTATTTTGTATCCTGAAATTTTACTGCAGTCATTTGTCAGATCTAGGGTCCTTTTGGCAGAGTCATTAGGGTTTTCTAGGTATAGATTCATATAATCAGTGAAGAAAGATAGTTTTACTTCTTCTTTTCCTACACAGTCAATGCTATTCTTACCGAACTACCAATGTCATTTTTCACAGAATAAGAAAAAGCTATTCTAAAATTCATATGGAACTTCAAAAGAGCCTGAATAGCCAAATCAATCCTAAGCAAAAAGAACAAAGCTGCAGGTATCACAGTACCCCACTTCAAACTACTCTAAAAGGGTATGGTAACTAAAACAGCATGGTATTGACACAAAAACAGACACATAGGTTGACAGAACAGAATACAGAACCCAGAAATAAAGTCACAGACTTACAACCACCTGATCTGCAACAAAGTTGGCAAAAATAAGCAATGAGGAAAGATGTATCTATTGAATAAATGGTGCTGGAAAAACTGGCTATCTAAATGCAGAATAATGAAACTACCTATTACCATACACAAAAATTAACTCAAGATGGATTAAAGACTCAAAATGTAAGATCTCCAGCTATAGAAAACATAGAATATATCCTTTAAACATCAGTTTTGGCAAAGAATTTATGGCTAAGTCCTCAAAACCAATTGCAACAAGAACAAAAATTGGTAAGTGGGGCCTAATTAAATTAAAGAGCTTCTGCACAGCAAAAGAAACTATCAGTAGTGGAAACAGCCAACCTATAGAATGGGAGAAAATATTTACAGACTATACATCAGATGAAGATCTAATATCCAGGGTCTAGAATAAATTTATATTAACAAGCAAAAAAAACCCCATTAAAAACTGGACAAAGGACATGAACAGACACTTCTCAAAAGAAGACATATAAGTGGCCAGCAAACATATGAAAACATGCTCAACATCACTAATCAGAGAAATGCAAATCAAAACCAAAATGAGATATCATTTAAAATCAGCCAGAATGTCTATTACTAAAAAGTCTAAAAATAACAGATATTGGTGGGGCTACAGAGAAAAGGGAATGTTTATACACTGTTGGTGGGAATGTATATTAGTTGAGCCACTTTGGAAAGCAGTTTGGAGATTTATCAAAGAACTAAAATAGAATTACCATTTGACCCAGCAATCCCATTACTAGGTATATACACCCAAAGGTAAATAAATTTTTCTACCAAAAGGACACATGCAACCATATGGTCACTGCAGCACTATTCACAACAGCAAAGATATGGAATCAATCTAGGTGCCCATCAACACTGGCTTGCATAAAGAAAATGTGGTAGTATGTACATAGAATACTACACAGTCATAAAAAAGAGAGTCATGTCCTTTTGAGCAACATGGATAAGGCTGGAAGCCATTATAAAGTAGAAAATGTAAATCAAATACTGCATATTCTTACTTATGAGTGGAATATATTAATAAATAGTGGGTACACATGGACATAAACATGGAAACAATAGACATTGGGGATTATAAGAGGGTGTCAGGAGGGAGGGAGCAAGGCTTGAGAAACTACTTATTGGGTACTGTGCTCACTACCTGAGTGACAGGTTGAATTGTACCTCAAATCTCAGCATTATCCAATATACATTTGTAAGAAACCTGCACACATATTCACTGAATGTAAAATAAAAGTTGATCTGGAAGCAGACTTTTCAGTGGAAACCTTACAGGCTAGGAGAGAGTGGCACCATGACATATTTAAAGTGATGAAGAAAAAAAAAATCCTTAAATAGTATACCTAGTGAAAATGCCCTTCAAACATGAAGGAGAAATACAGATTTTCCCAGACAAAACAAAAGCTGAAGGATTTCATGAACACCAAACATTTCCTACAAGAATCCTAAAGGAAGTTCTTCAATCTGAAAGACAAGGGTGTAAATGAGCAATAAAAAATCATCTGAATGGGTAAAACTCACTGGTAATAGTAAGTACACAGAAAAACACAGAATAATATAACACTGTAATTGTCGTTTATAAACTATTCATATTTTGAGTAAAAAGACTAAAAAAACAATAAAAAACAATAACTACAGTAACATTTCAAAAAATAGAATGTGCAATTAGATATAAATGAAAACAACAAAAAGCTAAAAAGCATGGGGACAAACTTCAAGTGTAGAGTTTTTATTAGTTTTCTCTTTAATTATTTGTTAGTTTATGTAATCAATGTTTAATTGTCAGTAGTTTAAAATAATGGATTATAAGATATTATTTGCATGCCTCGAGGTAACCTCTAACTAAAAACTGTACAACATACACATAAAAAATAAAAAGCAAGAAATGAAAGCATACCGATAGAGAAAATCACCTTCACTAAAAGGAAGATGGGAAGGAAGGAAAGAGGGAAAAGAGGACCACAAAACAACCAGAAAACAAGCAACTAAATGGCAGGAGTAAGTCCTTACTTATCAATAATAATATTAATGTAAATAGACTAAACTCTCCAATTAAAAGACACGGAGTAGCTGAATGGATGGGGAAAAAAAAGACCCAATGATCTGTTGCCTACAAGAAACACTCTTCACCTATAAATACACACATAGACTGAAAATAAAGGGATGGAAAAAGCTATTCCATGCCAATGGAAACCAAAAAAGAGCAGAAATAGCTATACAAGTATCAGATAAAATAGATTTTAAGACAAAACTATAAAAAGACACATAGGAGATCATTGTATAATGATAGGGTGAATTAAGCAAGAGGATATAACAACTGTAAATATATATGCACCCAACACTGGAGCACCCAGATATATAACACAAATATTATTAGAGCAATAGAATGAGATAGACTCCAATACAATAATAGCTGGAGACTTCAATACCACACTTTCAGCACTGGGCAGATCATCCAGACAGAAAATCAACAAAGAAACATTGGACTTAATATGCACTTGAGACCAAATGTACCTAATGGATACTTACAGAACATTTCATGAAATGGCTGCAGAATACACATTCTTCTCCTCAGCACATGGACTACTCTTAGGGCTAGGCCATATGCTAGGCTACAAAACAAATCTTAAAACATTCAAAAAAAATTGAAATTGTATCAAGTATATTTTTTGACCATAATTTTCTGAAGTAAACTAGAAATCAATAACAGGAATTTTAAAAACTATACAAACACATGGAAATTAAACAATGTGCTCCTAAGTGACCAGTGGACCTATGAAGAAATTAAGAAATAAATTAAAACATTTCTTGCAACAAGGCAGGGCGTGGTGGCTCATGCCTGTAATCCCAATACTTTGGGAGGCTGAGGTGGGAGGATCACAGGTCAGGAGTCTGGAACAGAACTTGAACTTGGCCAACATGATGAAACTTTGTCTGTATTAAAAATACAAAAATTAGCCAGGCATGGTGGCACACGCCTGTAGTCCCAGCCACTTGGGAGGAGGCAGGAGAATCACTTGAACCCAGGAGGCAGCGGTTGCAGTGAGTCGAGATCGCACCATTGCACTCCAGCTTGGGTGACAGAGCAAGACTTCATCTAAAAAAAAAATTCTTGCAACAAATGATAACACAACACATGAAAACATATGGGATATAGTGAAAGCAGTACTAAGAGAAAAGTGTACAGCTCTAAGTGTATAGCTCTAAGTGCCTGCATCAGAAAAGAAGAAAAACTTCAAATAAACTGCCTAGTGATGCATCTTCAAGAACTAAAACTGCAAGAACAAATGAACCCCAAAATTAGTAGAATAAAAGAAATAATAAAGATCAGAGAAGAAATAGATAAAATTGAAATGAAACTAAAAGCAATCATTCAGGAAACTCTCAAAGACAGGAGTGGGCAAAGATTTCTTGAGTAATACCCCACAGGTATGGGCAACCAAAGCAAAAAGAGACAAATAGGATCACAACAAGTTAAAAAAGCTTTTGCACAACAAAGATAACAATCAACTAAGTGAAGAGACAGCCCATGGAATGGGAGAAAATACTTGCAAACTACCCATCTGACAAGGGATTAATAACAAGTATATACAAAGAGCTCACACAACTCTTTGGGAAAAAAATCTAATAATCTAATTTTTAAAATGGGCCAAAGATCTGAATAGATGTTTCTCAAAAGAAGACATAAAAATAGCAAACCGGCATATAAAAAGGTGCTCAACATCATTGATCACTATAGAAATGCAAATCAAAACTGCAATGAGATATCATCTCACCCCAGTTAAAATGGCTTTTATACAAAAGACAAGTGATAACAAATGCTAGCAAGGACGTGGAGAAAAGGGAATCCTCATATGCTATGGATGGGAATGTAAATTAGTACAACCACTATGGAGATCAGTTTGGAGGTTCTTCAAAAAAACTAAAAATAGAGTTACCATATGATCCAGCAATCCCGCTGCTGGGTATGTACCCAAAAGAAAGGAAATCAGCATGTCGAAGAGATATCTCCACTCCCATGTTTATTGCTTTACTATTCACAATAGCCAAGATTTGGAAGCAACCTAAGTGTCCATCAACAGAAGGATGGATAAAGAAAATGTGATACATATATACAATGGGTTATTATTCAGCCATAAAAAAAGAATAAACGTCTGTCATTTGCAACAACACGGATGAAGCCGGGGATCATTATGTTAAGTGAAATAAGCCAGGTACAGAAAGACAAACATTGCATATTCTTACTTAATTATGGGAGCTAAAAATTAAAACCATTGAACTAATGAACATAGAGAGTAGAAGGATGTTTACTAGAGGCTGGGAAGGGCAGTGGGGAGGATGCTGCGGGGATGGCTAATGGATATAAAAATATAGTTAGATAGAATGAGTAATATCTAGTATTTGATAGCACAACAGGTTGACTGCAGACAATAATTATTTTACATTTTAAAATAAAAGTATAGGTGGATTATCTGGAACACAAAGAAAGGTTAAATGCTTGAGGTAATGGATACCTCATTTACCCTCATGTGATTATGACATATTGTATGTGTGATCAACAACATCTCTTGGACCCCATAAACATATACATCTATGATATACTCACAAAGTTAAAAATTAAAAATTAAATAAAACTTGGAAAAAATATACAAAAATACCCTTACCAATGCACTGTCATCACATATTTTTAAATTAAACATTTTATTTTAAAATATTGTAGATTCACATGCTGTTTTAAGAAATAATACAGAGATCCCATATGTTCTTTACTTTGTTTCCAATTGTAACATCTTACAAAGCTATAGTACACTATCACAACCAGAGTATCCATATAGATGCAGTCAGGATACATGGTACTTTCCATCACTCCAGTATCTCTAATACTATAGTGTCATAACCACATCCACTTCCTTCCCATCCCAATCCCCTCTGTAATGCCTGGCAGCCACTCATCCGTTTCTACAATCTTGACAATTCAAGAATGGCATATTAATGGAATCATGCAACATGTGACATTTTGTGGTCGACTTTTTTTTCTTGGCACAATTCTCTAGAGATTCATTCAGATGTTTGTATGTGTTAATCATTTGTTTCTTTGTATTGCTCAGTAGTACTCCATGGTATGAGTGGAGTACTACTTAACTCCACATTTAAGATTTATACATTAGAGGATAACTGGACTGTTTTTCATTGGGGGCTCTTACAAACAATGCTGCTACAAACATTCATGCACAGGTTTAAGTGTAGACGTAATTTTTATTTTTCTGGTGTAAATGCGAAGGAATGCAATTGCTGAGTCATCTGTAGTTGCATGTTTATTTTAGAAAATTGTTTTCAGTGGGCTGTACCATCTTACATTCTGCAAGAAATGTATGAGTGATTCAGTTTTTCTGCATGTTTCCCAGCATTTGTTGTTGTAGCTACTTTTTATTTTAGTGGTTCTGACACGTGTGTATGATATCTCATTGTCATTTTTAATTTGCATTTCCCTAATTGGCAAGGGTGTTGAACATGTGTTTATTTTTTATCTGTGTATCTTTTTTGGTGAAGTGTTTCTTCATGTTTTTTTCTCCAATTTTTTAATTGGATTGGATTTTCTTTGTATTTTTTAGACCAGTTACTCTTATTATTAACATCTTATACTAGCATGACACACTTGTCACAATTAATAAACTAATATTGATACATTGTGTCAACTAAAGTTTATATGTTCACATGTTATTCAGATTCCCTTAGTTTCTACCTAACATCCTTTTTCTGTTCCAAAATTCTACTCATGACACCACATTACATTTACAATAGTCCCCTCTCATCTGTGGGACACACTTTCCAAGACCCCCAGTGGATGCCTGAAACTGTGAATAGTGTCAACCCCATATACACTATTTTTTCCCTATACATACATAACTATGATAAATTATAATTTATAAATTGGACACAGATTAACACTAAGAATAAAAATTGCTTGTTTTTGTCAGGTTGTTGAAGATCAGGTGGTTGTAGATATGTGTTCTTTTTTTTTTTTTTTTTTTTTTTTGAGACAGAGTCTTGCTCTGTCACCCAGGCTGGAGTGCAGTGGTGCCATCTCGGCTCACTGCAAGCTCCGCCTCCCGGGTTCACGCCATTCTCCTACCTCAGCCTCCTGAGTAGCTGGGACTACAGGCGCCCGCCACCACGCCTGGCTAATTTTTTGTATTTTTAGTAGAGACAGGGTTTCACTGTGTTAGCCAGGATGGTCTCAATCTCCTGAACTCGTGATCCCCCCGCCTCGGCCTCCCAAAGTGCTGGGATTACAGGCGTGAGCCACCGCACCCCACCCAATGAGTGGTCTTATTTCTGAGTTCTCTATTCTGCTCCATTGGTCTATGTGAAAAAATATTAGAAAATTTTAAAGAGTAATTGAGTATAATAAAATCAGAACATAAAAATGATTAATAAATTTGATTCTATACAATTTAAAAAATATTCCTTATTATAAAAACTAGCATAAGTAAAGTCAAAAGTAAACACAAAGCTGTAAAGAAATATTTTATAAATTAAATCAGAAACAAAAGTGTAGTTGACAAAATAGTTTCTAAAAATCCATAACGAAAGACTAACAATCATAGAAAATTAGCAAAGAATATGAATTGAGGATGTATAGAAAAGGAAAAGGAAATATAAATGGTTCTTTTTAGAAAAATATAAATTTTTCTAAACTTAACTGATTTTCTTCAGTAATATCTAAATTTTCCTACTAGAGTAGGAAGCCAAAACAAGGGCTAAGTCATGGCAGTGGTGGTGATAATACTGAGAAAGAGTGTGATAGCTATCCATAGTTAGGAACCAGGAAAAGTAAAGACAGATCCTGCTGTGCAAGGGCACAGTAATTCACATCACTCACAAGACAACAGTAAGGATGATAGATGACAGCTCAGGAGCATAGGAGGAGCAAAGGCACCAGGTCTCCTAGATAGGGCTGGCTTCATGGGCTTGTGTATTCATTCTCACGCTGCTATCAGGAAATGTGTGAGTGGGGTAATTTATAAAGAAAAGAGGTTTAATTGGCTCCTGGTTCTGCAGGCTGTACAGGAATCATGGCTAGGGAGGCCTCAGGGAACTTTTACTCAAGGCAGAAGGCAAAGCTGAAGCAGGCATCTTCATATGGCCTGGAACAGGAAGGGGTGGTGGGAGGTGCCACAGACTTTGAAACAACCAGATCTTGCAGGCACTCACTCGCTATCAAGAGACCAGCACTGAGGGGGAAATCTGCCCCCATGATTTAATCACTTCCCACTAGGCCCCACCTCCAACAATGGAGATGACAATTCCGCATGAGATTTGGGTGGGGACACAGACCAAAATCATGTCAGCATGCAACCAGCGCAGTTGCTCAGGGTCCCACTCAGAAGATTCCCACACTTAGTGTGTGGCCACCACATTGAGATTCTTAATCATTTTTTTTTAATAATTTGTGGTTTGTAAGTGAAGGCAAATGGGACCATGGGGCATACACCAAGGGGTTCAAGTTTAGACTTGTGTGCAGTGTGGATTCTTACCACCTCCCCACTCTCCTCTTCCCCACCTCCCACTTCCCCCATATTGATTCTCAGACTCCCATCCCTCCAAACCTTGGCACCCTAATTATACCTGGCTTTCTCCTCCTTGCCCTGACTGCTGCCATCCTCCTTCCCCTCTTGGGCTCTAGGCACTTGTATAAAAATGGCTGGGGTCAGCTGTGTGCGCCCCATGACATCTCAGTGTGGGCACGGAGGTGCTGTCCCTGCTCCCACTTGCCCCGTGGTGTGTCTGGCCAGCCAGAGGTCATGTCTTGGCTAAAGTCCCCTCTCACCTATCCTTAATCCAAACACCAAGCACATCCTAGCATGGAGATCTTTGGGTTTTGCCAATCTTCTATGGATTGGTGTGGCATGTTGTGGGAAGGAGAGAGACCTGGATGTACGTCCCTAGACCCCACCATAGGCCAAGGCATGACACACTGGTCCAGCTGTAGGCAAGAGGGGGAATCTGGGAGCCATCAGACCTGAGTGAGGGCACAGGTGTCCCACATTATGTGGTGGGGCTCACAGGCAACTGGGAGGGACTGTATACACCCTGGGAGAAACCTTGTGCTCAGTGGCACCCCCTTGACAGCCTCCATACCTAGGAGACACTTTCTTCCTATTTCCAACCTCCTTAAGCCTGGCCTGTGTTTGTCTTTTCTGGCCAGTTTAAAGCATCTTCCAGTGACAAGCCAGGATAGCATTATTTGGGACTATTTTTGTAGTTCCACTTATGAGTTAATGTGTAAATATTTACATTTAAAATGGGCATCATACAATATAAAGATGTATACTTAAATTCATGTTAATAATTAAAAATTCTGACTTTCTTTTGCTTAAATGACTTTAAATAGCATTTAGAAACACCATGATGGGCTCCAGAAGAAAGAAAAATGCTTCATTTATACCTTTAATGACACTTTACTCACCCTGATATTTGAACAGAAGGCCTTACATTTTCATTTTGCCCGAAATCCTAAAAATTATGCAGCCATCCCTGTCCCAGGCTCTTGATAAATCCACAGACAGACTTGCCTGGATGGAAGGGGCTGGACATGAGGCAAGAGCACCCTAGAATAGAAAATCCTGTCCCAGCCTCTTTACATATTTATCAGCCACCCAAGGGGAGCAGGAACAACTTTTTAAATGTATGTAACAGGAATGTAACATGAGGCTTTTAACCCACAAGGCAGTCTCAATGGCTAACAGTTCATGGCCAAGAGTTTTCATCTTCTCAATGCCAAGAGCCCTCAGATATGAACAAAACTGTATATAGTTCATTCTCAGATCCAAATTAGTAGAGTCAAAGGAGACATGGGAATTTTGATAAAATCTGACTGGTCCAGAATAGTTCCCAACAATTGTTTGTATGGGCTCTGATATAATTTGGCTGTGTCCCCACCCAAATCTCATCTTGAATTGTAGCTCTCATAATTCCCACGTGTTGTGGGAGGGACCCAGTGGGAGGTAATTGAATCATGGGGGCAGGTCTTTCCCGTGCTGTTCTTGTGATAGTGAATAAGTCTCACAAGATCTGATGGTTTTATAAATGGGAGTTCCCCTGCACAAGCTCTCTGGCCTGCCGCCATGTAAGATGTGACTTTCTCCTTTGTCTTCTGCCATAATTGTGAAACCTCCCAGCCATGTGGAATTGAGGGTCCATTAAATCCTTTTTTTCTTTATGAATTACCCAGTCTCGAGTATGTGTTTTTTTTTTGTTTGTCTTGTTTTTTTTTGTTTTTTTTTTTACACTTAAATGCTCTAAGTTTAATAAAGACTTTTTTAAGGTGGGGCGTTCTGAAGGACAGCCATAAAAACCATTAAAGGTTTGGGCAATATATGCACTAATCATTCTAACAGCGATTTCTCAGGCTCTGTTCCTTTCTTTTTTTTTTTTCTTTTATTATTATTATACTTTTAAGTTTTAGGGTACATGTGCACATTGTGCCAGGTTAGTTACATATGTATACATGTGACATGCTGGTGCGCTGCACCCACTAACTCGTCATCTAGCATTAGGTATATCTCCCAGTACTATCACTCCCCCCTCCCCCCACCCCACAACAGTACCCAGAGTGTGATATTCCCCTTCCTATGTCCATGTGATCTCATTGTTCAATTCCCACCTATGAGTGAGAATATGTGGTGTTTGGTTTTTTGTTCTTGCGATAGTTTACTGAGAATGATGATTTCCAATTTCATCCATGTCCCTACAAAGGACATGAACTCATCATTTTTTATGGCTGCATAGTATTCCATGGTGTATATGTGCCACATTTTCTTAATCCAGTCTATCATTGTTGGACATTTGAGTTGGTTCCAAGTCTTTGCTATTGTGAATAATGCCACAATAAACATACATGTGCATGTGTCTCTATAGCAGCATGATTTATAGTCATTTGGGTATATACCCAGTAATGGGATGGCTGGGTCAAATGGTATTTCCAGTTCTAGATCCCTGAGGAATCGCCACACTGACTTCCACAATGGTTGAACTAGTTTACAGTCCCACCAACAGTGTAAAAGTGTTCCTATTTCTCCACATCCTCTCCAGCACCTGTTGTTTCCTGACTTTTTAATGATTGCCACTCTAACTGGTGTGAGATGGTATCTCATTGTGGTTTTGATTTGCATTTCTCTGATGGCCAGTGATGATGAGCATTTTTTCATGTGTTTTTTGGCTGCATAAATGTCTTCTTTTGAGAAGTGTCTGTTCATGTCCTTCACCCACTTTTTGATGGGGTTGTTTGTTTTTTTCTTGTAAATTTGTTTGAGTTCATTGTAGATTCTGGATATTAGCCCTTTGTCAGATGAGTAGGTTGCAAAAATTTTCTCCCATTTTGTAGGTTGCCTGTTCACTCTGATGGTAGTTTCTTTTGCTGTGCAGAAGCTCTTTAGTTTAATTAGATCCCATTTGTCAATTTTGGCTTTTGTTGCCATTGCTTTTGGTGTTTTAGACATGAAGTCCTTGCCCATGCCTATGTCCTGAATGGTATTGCCTAGGTTTTCTTCTAGGGTTTTTATGGTTTTAGGTCTAACGTTTAAGTCTTTAATCCATCTTGAATTGATTTTTGTATAAGGTGTAAGGAAGGGATCCAGTTTCAGCTTTCTACATATAGCTAGCCAGTTTTCCCAGCACCATTTATTAAATAGGGAATCCTTTCCCCATTGCTTGTTTTTCTCAGGTTTGTCAAAGATCAGATAGTTGTAGATATGCGGCGTTATTTCTGAGGGCTCTGTTCTGTTCCATTGATCTATATCTCTGTTTTGGTACCAGTACCATGCTGTTTTGGTTACTGTAGCCTTGTAGTATAGTTTGAAGTCAGGTAGTGTGATGCCTCCAGCTTTGTTCTTTTGGCTTAGGATTGACTTGGTGATGCGGGCTCTTTTTTGGTTCCATATGAACTTTAAAGTAGTTTTTTCCAATTCTGTGAAGAAAGGCATTGGTAGCTTGATGGGGATGGCATTGAAACTGTAAATTACCTTGGGCAGTATGGCCATTTTCACGATATTGATTCTTCCTACCCATGAGCATGGAATGTTCTTCCATTTCTTTGTATCCTCTTTTATTTCCTTGAGCAGTGGTTTGTAGTTCTCCTTGAAGAGGTCCTTCACATCCCTTGTAAGTTGGATTCCTAGGTATTTTATTCTCTTTGAAGCAATTGTGAATGGGAGTTCACTCATGATTTGGCTCTCTGTTTGTCTGTTGTTGGTGTATAAGAATCCTTGTGATTTTTGCACATTGATTTTGTATCCTGAGACTTTGCTGAAGTTGCTTATCAGCTTAAGGAGATTTTGGGCTGAGACAATGGGGTTTTCTAGATATACAGTCATGTCATCTGCAAACAGGGACAATTTGACTTCCTCTTTTCCTAATTGAATACCCTTTATTTCCTTCTCCTGCCTAATTGCCCTGGCCAGAACTTCCAACACTATGTTGAATAGGAGTGGTGAGAGAGGGCATCCCTGTCTTGTGCCAGTTTTCAAAGGGAATGCTTCCAGTTTTTGCCCATTCAGTATGATATTAGCTGTGGGTTTGTCATAGATAGCTCTTATTATTTTGAAATACATCCCATCAATACCTAACTTATTGAGAGTTTTTAGCATGAAGGGTTGTTGAATTATGTCAAAGGCTTTTTCTGCATCTGTTGAGATAATCATGTGGTTTTTGTCTTTGGCTCTGTTTATATGCTGGATTACATTTATTGATTTGTGTATATTGACCCAGCCTTGCATCCCAGGGATGAAGCCCACTTGATCATGGTGGATAAGCTTTTTGATGTGCTGCTGGATTCGTTTTGCCAGTATTTTACTGAGGATTTTTGCATCAATGTTCATCAAGGATATTGGTCTAAAATTCTCTTTTTTTGTTGTGTCTCTGCCTGGCTTTGGTATCAGAATGATGCTGGCCTCATAAAATGAGTTAGAGAGGATTCCCTCTTTTTCTATTGATTGGAATAGTTTCAGAAGGAATGGTACCAGTTCCTCCTTGTACCTCTGGTAGAATTCGGCTGTGAATCCATCTGGTCCTGGACTCTTTTGGTTGGTAAGCTATTGATTATTGCCACAATTTCAGAGCCTGTTATTGGTGTATTCAGAGATTCAACTTCTTCCTGGTTTAGTCTTGGGAGGGTGTATGTGTCGAGGAATTTATCCATTTCTTCTAGATTTTCTAGTTTATTTGCGTAGAGGTGTTTGTAGTATTCCCTGATGGTAGTTTGTATTTCTGTGGGATCGGTGGTGATATCCCCTTTATCATTTTTTATTGCGTCTATTTGATTCTTCTCTCTTTTTTTCTTTATTATTCTTGCTAGCGGTCTATCAATTTTGTTGATCCCTTCAAAAAACCAGCTCCTGGATTCATTAATTTTTTGAAGGGTTTTTTGTGTCTCTATTTCCTTCAGTTCTGCTCTGATTTTAGTTATTTCTTGCCTTCTGCTAGCTTTTGAATGTGTTTGCTCTTGCTTTTCTAGTTCTTTTAATTGTGATGTTAGGGTGTCAATTTTGGATCTTTCCTGTTTTCTCTTGTGGGCATTTAGTGCTATAAATTTCCCTCTACACACTGCTTTGAATGCGTCCCAGATATTCTGGTATGTTGTGTCTTTGTTCTCGTTGGTTTCAAAGAACATCTTTATTTCTGCCTTCATTTCGTTATGTACCCAGTAGTCATTCAGGAGCAGGTTGTTCAGTTTCCATGTAGTTGAGCGGTTTTGAGTGAGATTCTTAATCCTGAGTTCTAGTTTGATTGCACTGTGGTCTGAGAGATAGTTTGTTATAATTTCTGTTCTTTTACATTTGCTGAGGAGAGCTTTACTTCCAAGTATGTGGTCAATTTTGGAATAGGTGTGGTGTGGTGCTGAAAAAAATGTATATTCTGTTGATTTGGAGTGGAGAGTTCTGTAGATGTCTATTAGGTCTGCTTGGTGCAGAGCTGAGTTCAATTCCTGGGTATCCTTGTTGATTTTTTGTCTTGTTGATCTGTCTAATGTTGACAGTGGGGTGTTAAAGTCTCCCATTATTAATGTGTGGGAGTCTAAGTCTCTTTGTAGGTCACTCAGGACTTGCTTTATGAATCTTGGTGCTCCTTTTATTTTGAGCCTATGTGTGTTTCTGCACGTGAGATGGGTTTCCTGAATACAGCACACTGATGGGTCTTGACTCTTTATCCAATTTGCCAGTCTGTGTCTTTTAATTGGAGCATTTAGTCCATTTACATTTAAAGTTAATAGTGTTATGTGTGAGTTTGATCCTGTCATTATGATGTTAGCTGGTTATTTTGCTCATTAGTTGATGCAGTTTCTTCCTAGTCTCGATGGTCTTTACATTTTGGCATGATTTTGCAGCAGCTGGTACCGGTTGTTCCCTTCCATATTTAGTGCTTCCTTCAGGAGCTCTTTTAGGCAGGCCTGGTGGTGACAAAATCTCTCAGCATTTGCTTGTCTGTAAAGTATTTTATTTCTCCTTCACTTATGAAGCTTAGTTTGGCTGGATATGAAATTCTGGATTGAAAATTCTTTTCTTTAAGAATGTTGAATATTGGCCCCCACTCTCTTCTGGCTTGTAGGGTTTCTGCCGAGAGATCCGCTGTTAGTCTGATGGGCTTCCCTTTGAGGGTAACCTGACCTTTCTCTCTGGCTGCCCTTAACATTTTTTCCTTCATTTCAACTTTGGTGAATCTGACAATTATGTGTCTTGGAGTTGCTCTTCTCGAGGAGTATCTTTGTGGCGTTCTCTGTATTTCCTGAATCTGAACGTTGGCCTGCCTTGCTAGATTGGGGAAGTTCTCCTGGATAATATCCTGCAGAGTGTTTTCCAACTTGGTTCCGTTCTCCCTATCACTTTCAGGTATATCAATCAGATGTAGATTTGGTCTTTTCACATAGTCCCATATTTCTTGGAGGCTTTGCTCATTTCTTTTTATTCTTTTTTCTCTAAACTTCCCTTCTCACTTCATTTCATTCATTTCATCTTCCATTGCTGATACCCTTTCTTCCAGTTGATCACATCGGCTCCTGAGGCTTCTGCATTCTTCATGTAGTTCTCGAGCCTTGGTTTTCAGCTCCATCAGCTCCTTTAAGCACTTCTCTATATCAGTTATTCTAGTTATACATTCTTCTAAATTTTTTTCAAAGTTTTCAACTTCTTTGCCTTTGGTTTGAATGTCCTCCCGTAGCTCAGAGTAATTTGATCGTCTGAAGCCTTCTTCTCTCAGCTCATCAAAGTCATTCTCCATCCAGCTTTGTTCCGTTGCTGGTGAGGAGCTGTGTTCCTTTGGAGGAGGAGAGGCCCTCTGCTTTTTAGAGTTTCCAGTTTTTCTGTTCTGTTTTTTTCCCATCTTTGTGGTTTTATCTACTTTTGGTCTTTGATGATGGTGATGTACAGATGGGTTTTCGGTGTGGATGTCCTTTCTGTTTGTTAGTTTTCCTTCTAACAGACAGGACCCTCAGCTGCAGGTCTGTTGGAATACCCAGCCGTGTGAGGTGTCAGTGTGCCCCTGCTGGGGGTGCCTCCCAGTTAGGCTGCTCAGGGGTCAGGGGTCAGAGGCCCACTTGAGGAGGCAGTCTGCCCGTTCTCAGATCTCCAGCTGCGTACTGGGAGAACCACTGCTCTCTTCAAAGCTGTCAGACAGAGACATTTAAGTCTGCAGAAGTTACTGCTGTCTTTTTGTTTGTCTGTGCCCTGCCCCCAGAGGTGGAGCCTACAGAGGCAGGCAGGTCTCCTTGAGCTGTGGTGGGCTCCACCCAGCTTGAGCTTCCTGGCTGCTTTGTTTACCTAATCAAGCCTGGGCAATGGCAGGCGCCCCTCCCCCAGCCTCGCTGCCGCCTTGCAGTTTGATCTCAGACTGCTGTGCTAGCAATCAGCGAGACTCCTTGGGCATAGGACCCTCCGAGCCAGGTGCGGGATATAATCTCGTGGTGCGCCGTTTTTTAAGCCCGTCGGAAAAGCGCAGTATTCGGGTGGGAGTGACCCGATTTTCCAGGTGCTGTCCGTCACCCCTTTCTTTGACTAGGAAAGGGAACTCCCTGACCCCTTGCGCTTCCCAAGTGAGGCAATGCCTCGCCCTGCTTTGGCTTGCGCACGGTGCACGCACCCACTGACCTGCGCCCACTGTCTGGCACTCCCTTGTGAGATGAACCCGGTACCTCAGATGGAAACGCAGAAATCACCTGTCTTCTGCGTTGCTCAAGCTGGGAGGTAGACCGGAGCTGTTCCTATTCAGCCATCTTGGCTCCTCCCCGCCTCCAGTATGTCTTTATTAGCAGCATGAGAACTGATTAATACAGGCTCCTTGAAAAAGTTTGATGCTGGGACATCAAAAAGTTTGGCTTTATTCCAAACCATGGTTATCAAAGACACAAGCCACTCATTGGTTTACTGACCGGTTAGACCCTCAGTAAGTCAGACCATAACTATTTTAATGATTCAAGGTCATCATTATTAAATCAAATATGTGAAGTGAGAAGCTACATGAGATAGAAATTTATAACTTTTCTCAAAGAGAAAGAACATTTAATAGTAAATCCTATATATTTAGAATAAGTCTCTAGGATGACCCTGAGGCAGGCCCAGGGCTCTCACTCTTGGGTAGTTGGGGCAGAAGACCACTGTGTTTTACTAAGGGATACTAGGGAGGAGTATCTTCAAAGAAGGGAGGGCTAAAGATCTTTATTTTCAAGCTCCGAGTTAGTTAAACACATCCATTGGACTGAGTGATCCTGACTGAGGCCAACCAGAAGAAGGCACTGGGGTCTCCAAAAGGAAATAGACCGTTAAGTGGGGGACACCTTGATTTGGGGCTCCAGGCTCTATACTAAGATCAGATCTACTGTAGGAAAAGCTGGTTTGGGACCTGCCTTTGGCTCAGATCATGTCCCTTCCGAATCTAGCTGCCTGGATGCTGTGAATTTGCCTGGAAGAATACCCACATGTCCACAGGCTGAAAGAGCTGTATCACTGCAGAACTGGAGCACTGGGAACCCAGGTTTACCCTGTCATGAAGCACCCCTAGCTGAGAGTAATGCTCAGGAGCCAGACATTTTCTCCTGTATCCTGAGGAAACACTGTTACTTTGGATGGTGGCCATGACCCTCTGTGTTTCTGCAGTTGACTAGATCTTGATTTGAGGCTCTGGACTTCCTATTATTGCTGCATGAATGTGTGGCCGTAACAGTAGCAGCAGCTGTGGATAATGTTCCCTTTAAGCAAACTGACCAGACATTCTAGTGTCTTCGGCAGGAGTGTTAGTGACAAGATCTGATGCTTTTAGACTAAGTAATCACTGACTCTGGGATTCTTTGCCCTGATATGGAAAAAGGAGATTGAAAGAGAAAAATAGATTTTCATAATCAGCAAGACAGGGAACTGGAATTATTATAATATGAACTTGAAATGTGAATTTTTCATTATAAATTGGTGAATCAAGATGTGCCACTTAAATATAATGTTGTATTGTATTAGTTTCCTCTTGCTGTTGTAACAAATCAATATACATTTAGTGGCTTAAAGTAACACCAATTAATTTGTTCATGGTTTTGAAGTTCAGAGTCCTGAAATCAAGGTGTTGTTCGGGGGGCAATCTTTCTGAAGGCTGTAGGGCAGAAGCCATTTCCATGCCTTTTTACAGCTTCTAGAGGCCACCTGCATTCCTTGGCTTGTGGCTTCTTCCTTAATACTCAAAGCCAGCAGTGTAGCATCTTCAAATCTCTCTTTTTCATCCTCACTTCTCCTTCTCTAACTCTTCTGCCTCCCTCTTGGTGAAGACCCCTGTGATTTCTTTGGGCCCACCAAGCTAATCCAAAATATTATCCTCATCTCAAAATCTTTAATCACATCTTCAAAGTATTTTTTCCATGTAAGGTAACATATTCAGAAATTCTGGAAATTTAGACGTGGACATCTTTTGGGGACCATTCTTCAACTTACCACAAAATGATGACACTCTTTATTCCACCTGTAAGTGAGGGACTGAGCATTTGCCTCACACTAAATGCCCCGAGGTTGCTCTGCTGTGAGAGCATCTGTGCCTCCTATTCATTTTTCATTCTGCTTTTACTGCTTAGCATACCTCTCTCCCTTTAAGGCTGTTGATGTTTATTTCTTGTTGCTTCTAGCTATGTCATTCCTAAATTGCTGCTGCTTGAGAAATCAGAGAGGAAAGCTTTTTGGTTGCATGACTATAATAAATGAAAATAGATTTTTTAATTCAGGCCTGAAAGACATACCTGTCAACCAAGAGGGGCACATCTTGTCTGTGTAGCTTACTTGATATGGAGTATTCAAATGGAAAATAGCAAAATTCCTGAACTACTGTAATTAAGGGATGTTTAAAAGTATACAAATTGATAACAAGACATTTTCCCAATTTATAGCTTTTGTCATATTGCCTTGATGATTTTTCTGGCATCTTTTAAATATCTATTTACTAGCAATTATGTAATTAGCATTTTGATGTTTCTGTTTCAATAGGAAATCAAGTTCTCTTAGCCCTTTTTCCATATTGTGATTGGTAATAGTGTCTATTAACGTCCACTATGCAAGCTGCAAATTGTAAGATGTGTCTACATTTTATTTTTTACGTCCTTCTCCTAGTTATCACAATTGGGATAAATGAGGATTTTAGATCCAGATTGCCCTTATTAATAATGGCAATAATTACATGTATTAGTTTTCAAAAATTTTTTGACATTTTGCCAGCCTTTATGCTGTATTAGAGCTATTAAAAAGAGAACATAGCTACTTAGTCTAGATTGTGGTGGTAGAAACAGAGAATGCACACTGAAGTATTTTGTTTTGTTAGTCTGTTTGCTTGCTTTAAAGTAATATACTATTTTTAATTTTTTTTAATATCTTAGTTTTAAATAAGTCAACTAAGCCATGCTTCTTATGGAGGAAAACATATTAATAACAGTTATTGCACATTGCTATGGTTTGAATGTCCCCTCCAAAACTCATGTTGAAATTTAAGTATCATCCTAATGTTATTAAGAGGTAGGATCTTTCAGAGGTAATCAGGTAATAAGGGCTCTGCCTTTATAAATGGATTAACATTGTTATTATAGGAATGGGTTAGTTATCATGGGAGTTCAGCCACCTTTTTCTCTCTGTCTCATGTGCTTGCTTCCACAATCCACCTTTCTGCCATGGAATAACCTCACCAGATGCTGGCACCATGTTCTTGAACTCCCCAGCCTCCAGAACCATGAGCCAAATAAACTTCTGGCTTTTAATTAATTACCAAGTGTCTAGTGTTCTTTTGTAGCAGCAGAAAACAGACTAAGACAGACATTAAATATAGGTTTAAGCAGTTTCATCATTTTATATCTATATGTTTATAGCACATCTTCACTTTTCCTGAGTTAATTATTTTATCTATTTATTTATTTCAGTTGGCTCAATTACCTGTCTCACTGGAGAACATTTTATAAAGTTCTTGCATATCTCAGAATATCTTAATGATCTCATAAATCAGTTATAGCTTGGCTGAGTATAGATTTTTTTTCCCCTTAAAAGGTATGTATGCAAGACTTGCCTTAAAAATCTCATAGACCAACAATGATAGACTGGATTAAGAAAATGTGGCACATATACACCATGGAATACTATGCAGCCATAAAAAATGATGAGTTCATGTCCTTTGTAGGGACATGGATGAAATTGGAAATCATCACTCTCAGTAAACCATCACAAGAACAAAAAACCCAACACCGCGTATTCTCACTCATAGGTGGGAATTGAACAGTGAGAACACATGGACACAGGAAGGGGAACATCACACTCTGGGGACTGTTGTGGGGTGGGGGGAGGGGGAGGGATAGCATTAGGAGATATACCTAATGCTAAATGACGAGTTAATGGGTGCAGCACACCAGCATGGCACAAGTATACATATGTAACTAACCTGCACATTGTGCACATGTACCCTAAAACTTAAAGTATAATAATAATAAAATAAAATAAAAATCTCATAGAAAAGTTTCATTTGTATTTAGTATTCAGTGTGGTAAAGAACAAAGTTTTGGTTCTATCTTGATTTTTTTTCTCTATAGGTGATTTTATTATTATTATTATTATTATCATCTGATAGTTGATGTCCTTTTCCTGGTAAGATTCAATTTTTTTTTCATCTTGGACAACTTCTACTCAATTATTTATTTTATTTTGCTTCTCTTTGTCCTCAATATTATCCTCCTGCACTACCTATATCATGTATGCTGGATCTCCTAGATCATTTTTCCTAGTCTCTTGTCATTTTGCTTATCATTATATTGTTATCTTTATCTTTTTCCTCTTAGTTCTGAGACAATGTTTTTAGTGCAATTTTTGCCATTTTTTGAGTTTCTTTCATTATTCAACTTACTAGTCATTACTTGCATAGTATTTTTTTAAAGTTATCGATGAAGTGTATTGTCTGAAACAATTTTTGTGAATATTGAATATTTATTTTCCAACATTTTCTGCCTACAGTCAGTCATCTGGGATCTAATTGAAAACATTAACTAAAAAAATTGACATTTATTGTAATTTCTTAACTTTATTCCTTTTCTTTTGAACTGCTGAATCTTTTTACCTGCTGGGTTTTGTTTATTCATACATACAAGAGGGTCAATGAAATGTTGCAGCCATGCCAAAGAACCTTCGTCATTTATGTGCAATCTAGAGGTCACTGATGCAGACCCCCTCACCCACACTTCCTGTCCACTATGACAGGAAAGCATCCAGGCCAAGTATAACTTTGGAGTGAGATCCACAGCCTTCACTCTGGTACACTTCTTGAATCAAGGTCAATGTTTTTCACTCTTACAGCCACTCTTTCATCCAGTCCACACCTTTTTAAGGTAGAACTCTGGTAGGGATTTACATCCACTTATTTCTCAGGTGCATTTTCTCTTTGTGTATGGTAAGATGTAGGGGCTTGCCATTTTCTTAACCCAATTGCCTACTCTCCAGCCTTTTGAAAGTCTGAATAGCTCTCTTTTGGGGATCCACAGATCTTTATTACATCTTCTTGATTACTTCAATGGATGAGTCAGAGAGAAAAGAACCATAAGGGTGATCAAATTATCATTGCAAATGAAATCCCCAGGGCTTCTTGTACTAGAGTGGCTCTGATAACAAATTAGATATGTCACAAAATTATAAACTCTTGCTAATCAAACACTATCCTTCATGGGCCACATTTCTGGGATTCTATGTGGAGGTTATCTGTACTATAATAAGTCTCTAAGATGATGTGACGCTATTTCATTTTATCACTCTCTTTGCATCATCCAAGTTTTATTTTTTTTGTCCTCCATGTGTATTTGTCCATCAGCTTCTTGCTACCAATTTGTTGACAACTAAAATGAGAACTATATTTTCTTGCTGATTTCCAAGTTGCTTAGAAAAGATGCCAGTCTCCTGCCTAGACCCTTGTTTTATAATTAGTTTAGGGTTATGCACATCATAGATGTCACTACTCACTGACTACCTCCTCCTTAATTGCTGTCATCATTGCCTGATAGACCATCTTCAGCATGGCATAAGTCGTATTTGACAATTTTCTCTGCTGTTGAATCATCCTGTTAAAAGTATTTGGAAATCTCATCCTTAAACCAGAACTACCACCTTCCCCAACTCTAACTCAGCAAGGTCTTTTAAGCAAAATCACTTCACTTTCTATTTTCTTCTCTTTTCTTCTCTCCCTCAGGGAAGTTATGAGTCAGACAGACCTGAACTTAGAGAAAGAGGTTGGCTGAGGTTGGGGCCTTTCATCTTCTAGAGAGAATGAACTGTAGAGAAGGGGAAAGGGGAGGGACAATGTGGGAAGGGAGAAGGATAAAAGTGATGGGTTTCTAGTGTTTTGAGGCTCGACTTCTGTAGTGTGGTATCATCATTTAATTAGACATGTTGGAAGTTTTTAGATGGTCAGACTTTCTCACAATCAAATGCAAATAAGAGAACCTTCGAAGCCAAATTAAAATGCTGTTTTGGACAGAAGTACGTTTGGTTTATTTGTGCTGTGGTGCCCTGTTGAAAACACTGCCCGACTTATTGAATTTATATACAAAAAGAATTGTAAGGAAAGAAGGACACTGGCATTCACTGGGTGTCTTCTACCAGTCAGACATTTAACATGCCCTCTTACTTGATCATTTTCAATCCAATGCAATAGGATTTTCTTTACACAATTTTGCAGATGAGGCCCAGGGGGTTAAGTAATTTGTCAAAGGTCACAAACCTAGTAAGTGCCAGATGCAGGGTCTGAATTTCCCAATTTTATGAGCCCGTATCATTTCTCTCAATCTTCCTTCACCACATTGGAGCTGAGGTCAGCAAATTACGACACATGGGCCAAATACAGCCTGCTACTTATTATTGTAAACACATCTAAACCCACCCATTTACATATTGTCAATCACTGCTTTTGTGCTATAAAGGTAGAACGAGTAGTTGTGACAGAGACAGCATGACCCATAAAGCCTAAAAGTTTGTCAGTCTCTGTATTACGGCAGGTAGTATGGCCCAGTGCTTCTCAGATTTTAATTTTCTCAGGTTTTAATTTAATTTTAATTTAAAACACCTGGAGACCTTATTGCCATTCAGATTTTGGTTTAGGAGATCTGAGGTGGGGTCTGAGATTCAGATCCATGTAACTGCACCATGGATCATACTTTGAGTAGAAAGGATGTATTCAGTAACAGAATAGCCTAAATGTAATTACTCACTTTTCTCTGAGATTCCCTGGGTTGAGAAGAGAAAAATACCTCTTGTGGTTCCCTTCCAGGTGAAATAGTTATTAACTAATTGGGTTCTGCCTCATTCAGAGAAGAATTACTGTCAGCAGGAAAGAAAGCCTGTGTTGGCCCCACCACGCGTCAGCTGTGGGACCTTGAGAAAGCCCGTGTAGCCCCAGGCTTCCTCTGATGACATGTAGGTACTAATCTTCCAGGTGTATACCTGTGGTTCTCACCCGTGGCTGCACAACACGCTTCCCTGGAGAGCCTTGAAAACATTCCAGTGCCCACCCTCAGAAAACATGACATCATCAATCTAACACAGAGATTCTCCTCCTTGGCTTCAGTCACATGGAGGGCTTTTAAAAAATTCTAATGCGGCCAGGCATGGTGGCTCACACCTGTAATCCCAGCACTTTGGGAGGCCAAGGTGGGCGGATCACAAGGTCAGGAGATCGAGACCATCCTGGCTAACACAGTGAAACCCTGTCTCTACTAAAAAATAGAAAATAAAATAATAATAATAATAAAAATTAGCCAGGCGTGGTGGCGGGCACTTGTAGTCCCAGCTACTCGGGAAGCTGAGGCAGGAGAATGGCATGATCCTGGGAGGCGGAGCTTGCAGTGAGCTGAGATCGCACCCCTGCACTCCAGCCTGGGCGACAGAACGAGACTCCGTCTCAAAAAAAAAAAAAAATCCTAATGCCTAGGCCAACCCAAATGAAATATGTCAGAATCTCTGAATGTGGGAACAAGACATCGGCACTTAAAAAATCTTTCTATCTGATTGCAATGTACAGCCAAGTTTGGAGATCACCAATCTAGGGTGAAGGCTGGACATTCAAGATTACAGTCGTTACTGTCGTATAATTCCAAGATGATTCTAATGTGCAAAAAGGATTGAATGCCACTGATCCATACTCTCACACGGTATTGTGAGGAGCAGGAGAAATCACGTAGTAAACAAAGTTAACACCTCAATCGTGAGGCAAACTAATATCCTGTGCTTCCCACTGTGATGCTCGGACAAGTATGCAATATCATTTCTGTGATCATCCTGCCCGCAAGGGCATTGCCATTAGCAGGAAAACTGAAACTGAGAAACATTTTCAGAAATGTACCATGTACTGTAACTTCTGAAAACGCCAACGTCATTTATGAAAGACAAAGAAAGATAAATGAGCAATTCCTGATTAAAGGTGGCTAAAAAGATATGGCAAATAAAGGCAGCATATGAAAACTAACCAAGAAAAAAATGTTATAAAGGACATCATTAGGCTAACAGGCCAAATTTGAATATGGACTGTGGATTAGACAATAACTTTGTGTCAATTTTAACTTTCTTGATATCGTACCATACTGTAATTATGTAAGAGAATATTTTGTTATTAGGAAATACACACAGTAAAGGTTACGAGTAAAAAGGCACGGTGCCTGCTGCTTACTCTCAAATGGTTTAGGGATAAATCATATATGTATATATTATATATATTACATATATAGAAGGAGATTACATATGAGACAGTGAGTTATGTAGCAAGTGTGGCAAAATGTTAGCAGGTGGTGAACCTGAGTGAAAGGCGTGTAGGAGTTCTTTACATATTCTTGCTTCTTGCAACTAAGTCTGGGTGAAGTGAGCATGTGAGTATATTATATTATTTTCTAAATCATTTTATTATTTTTATTTTTGTGGGCACATAGTAGATGTATATATTTATGGGGTACGTGAGAGGTTTTGATACAGGCATGGAATTTTATAACTTTTCTGTAGATTTTGAATTATTTTAGCAACAAAAGTTAAAAAATACAAAGTAATACTTTTTTTTTAAAGAAACCATTTGGAAATAGCCTAGATGTATGGTTATTAACTATGCAAGTATAAGGCACAGCCATAGGGAAGAGAATAATCCATGGCTATTCACAGATACTGTTCCAAGTTCCTTTCTCAGTTATACATCTGGTTTACTGCTGGTTGGGTTTATGTGAAGGACACTGAACCTCTATGCCTCTGCCACCCAGGCACAGAGTACAGGTGCTGAGGACAATGTGCCATAGACATGGAGGGAGACTGGTGGTGTCTTAGCCCAGCACAAACACAGGAAGCACGAGTGCGCGACAGTGCCACCTCCCATGGAGGGAAGAATTACTTTTGCTCATTTCTGCTCATTTCAATTCTGCTACTTTCAGAAAGGCATCACTCACAATGCCTTTCTTCTTCCTGGGTTCAGGTGAAAGGGTGCTTGCGTGAATGCCATGGTCAGAGCAGTGAGAGTGTCATTGCCAGAATCCTTGGCATGAAAGCAAAAGGAAGAACATACAGAAGAATTGGAGGGCTTTGTGTAGCTTCCCCACCTTTGTAGCCCTTGGAATGCACCTTGAAATAGTGTTACAAAGAAAGCGCCATGCACCTGAACTCCTTCATATAGTCCTCTTTTTATTATCATGGAATTTGAGGCAATTGTTTTAGATGCTGTTACTTCTCAGAGTCTGAGAATTGGCTTCTTTTTCTCCCCCTTTGTCTTGGTGATTTGGTTACAATGTGAAGAGTCACTGCACCAGCTTGCCAAAACTTCTGCAGCTGGCTGGAGATTGGGCTCTCAGTTCCTGCCAATTTATCTATAACAGTGAACAGTTCTTGATACCCAGGCTCCTAATACCATTAGTGTTCCGGCCTTGAAATACCATGGTGCCTTGAGTCTTATTCCGCAGGCTCTTACGAAGTTTCTCATTTTTGATTCTTTGCTTTGTCTTTTCCTTTTATTTCTAATGTGATTTGGGTCTATTTCCCCACCCAGATCTCATAGCAAAATGTAATCCCCAGTGTTGGAGGTGGGGCCTGGTAGAACGTGATTGAATCATGGGGGTGGATTTCTCATGAATGGTTTAGCACCATCGTTATGGTGCTGTTCGTTTGATAGTGAGACTTCTTGTGAGATCTGGCTGTTTAAAGGTGTGTGGCACCTCCCTCCTCTTGCTCCTGCTCCAGCCATGTGACGTGCCTGCTTCTCCTTCACCTTCTGCCATGATTGTAAGTTGCCTGAGGGATCCCCAGAAGCTAAGCAGATGCCAGCATCATGCATCCCATGCAGCCTGCAGAACCACAAGCCAATTAAACCTCTTTTCTTTATAAATGACTCAGTCTCAGATATTTCTTTATGGCAATGCAAGAACAGACGAATACAATCTCCATGCTAACTCCTTGGAAACTGAACAACTGTTAGTTTAATTTCCCTAACTTCATTCAGAGGAGAAGAATGAAGTTTACAGTGATTAAATAATTTATTAAGGTCATGCAACTAGTAAGTGAGGCAGTCAGGATTGAACCCAGCCCTAGCTGACTCCAGATCTGTGACCTTGCTACTATATTATTTTTCTTAAAGCAGAAATTCCCTCTTCTACTTGTACTCAGAGGGATAATGATATGGTTTGGATGTGTGTCCCTTCCAAATCTTGTGTTGAGGTGTGACCCCCAATGTTGGAGGTAGGGCCTAGTGGGACATTTTGGGTCATGGAGGAGGATTCTTCTTGAATGGCTTGGTGCCCTCCCTGCAATAATGAGTGAAAATGAGGTCATGCTAGACTTGGCTGTTGAAAAGATTGTAGCACTTTCGCTCTTTCTCTTGCTCCAACTCTGGCCATCTGATACAACAGCTCTCCCTTTGCCCTCCACCATAATTGTAAGCTTCCTGAAGCCTCGCCAGAAGCCAAGCAAATGCTGGCACCATGCTTCCTGGATAGGCCTGCAGAACTGTGAGCCAATTTATAGATGTATTTTCTTTATAAATTACCTAGCCTCAAGTATTTCTTTATAGCAATGCAAAAACAGATTAACACAGATGATACCCAAAAAATATATCTAAGACTTATCTTCCAATTCACAAATTAGGGAGCCAGGGCTGGGTTTGTGTTTGATAAAGTTACTAAACCTAAATGAAAACCTGCCAGAAGTGAGATGAAGGCTGGGTATGTCTTCTTCCCTTCACTGAAGCTGACTATTCCTTTGGGGTGGATAGAAAAGATAGTGATGTGATTCCAATGAAAATGTAATTTCCTTACAAATACAGTAGGAGGTGATTTGAATAGGAAGCCTCATAAAAGATAGTATTGCAACCTTTAAGCAAGGTCTCCTCTGCAGTAGATTCTGCTTTTCTCAAGTCTGGACACTAGGTCTGGTTGAAAGTCACTCACCTGCAGAGACATACAGAGACAGCTGAATGCAGCCTGCTGCTTTCAAGCTAATCCTTGCTTTGGTTGCCAGAAAGCTCTTTTCTAGCTTATTTTATGTCAGTATCTGACTTCCAGTTATGAACGCTGAAAGAACCTTTTCAAAACCTGTGCTACCCAACTCATGCTTTCAAAAGGCTGAACCTGCTCTTCCACAGATGGTCCCCACCCTGCCTCCCTGCAATAATTCCCCATGGCCACAATGGGTCTGAAACTCTAACCCTCTGCCTCTAGCTTGGAACACTTTTCTCATTCTCTTTCATCTGACATTGCCCACTCTCTTGAGAAGTGGTCACTGCATTTGAACCAGTCTCTTGTAGATAAAGATATTAAAGCCCAAGGGCAGGATGGACTTGTTTGAGGTCAGACAGCTAGTAGATGATATTGATAGAATTAAAAGCTCAGATCTTGACTTCGTGAGAGTGCCTTTTCCCACTACCTTATGTCTTTGAACCAGATGGTTTCAAAAAAGGGGCAGCCTGGTGGGTCTAGACTCTGGAGTCAAGAAGACATGAATTAAAGCTCCAGCTCCACCACTTGCTAGTGGTGGGACATTGAGCAAATAGATGAAACTTTCTCTGTCTTCATCTCTGTAATCCCTATGAGAATGGAAGGATTAAAGGAGACAATGTATACAAGTGCCGATAAATACAGTTTCTCAATAAATGTAAATATCCATCCTCTAGCCTTCTTCATAAATGCCTTACAGTGGTCGATCTTCCCTCCTCTTTAGTATGCTTGAACCTCCACAAGGACAAGTGTGAAGTGACAGCCTCACCCGTGTGAGTGTGTACATGATTCTGAACACCTGATGTATTATTTCCTAGAACTTTAAATAGTACATAGGTAAATTGCAACTATGCGAGCAGGGAAAGGCATTTTTAAAGGCCACATAGAGGTTTAAAAAGTTAGTGTTTACTTCATTTTTTTAAAGTGAGTAATAGGACCCAATATCCTTTCCTTGATTAGAAAAGGAACCAGCTAAATATTTTGCCCAATCCACAGTGCTAATTGGCATCAGAACCAAGAAAAAAATTCACGTCTTTTGATCTTCAGGCCTTACAGCTTTTTAGGCACCATATAGGCTAGAACCTATTATTAGAGAAAAGCATTTGTATTTTAAGAAAGTTATTTTACTTAAAAGCTAACCAAATTGGGAGCATAATGAGTTGCTCTGTGATGGACTTTTATTGTTATTATTATTTATTTAACTCTCAGAGTAAGGTTGTATGTCTTTGCAAATACTCTTGTCATTCTTTTATTTGTTAATTTCCTGCTAGCCTCCATTAATTTATTGCTTTTCTTATTCAATCTAGGACTTTTTTTCTATAGACTTGCCAGCAACAAGCATGTTTCACAGTTGGTAGAAGCAAAAACTCCTACCAATCCTGCCAGCTTCGTTGCTATGGTGACAAATGGTTTAAGTAAGTCTCATTTATTTGAAAATATATTTAGAAATAATTGAGCCCTCTGAGAGCAAATTGTCCTGAATTCCTTCTATGGTAGTGCTTGGTATGTTTCCTTCAGGGGACCAACAGCCTTTGAAGGAAAATTCTCTTAATCATGGTAACTTGGTTGCATATATATGAGATTCCACATTCCTTGATTAAACCTTGGGCTGGCAGGACACGTCCCAGGCTCAGCAAATACCCGCCTCAATCACACACCACTGGGTATCAGGAGAAGTTTTGCTTGGTGGATGTTTTTCTCTGTACTAATTATAAATTGGAATTTGATGTTAATTAGACAAAATGTGATTAGAACAAAAGTGAATGCTAGAAGCCTGACAAAGCAGACTTTAGAGAGAAAAACGGGATAAGTACTTTCTACTTGGCCAAAAGAGAAGGGGCAAGGCAGTCTGCATAATCCTGTAATCACCCGCCCATTCTACAGATAATCCTTTCTCTTGTGGATTCCTTAAACTGGTGCCTACTAACGCCCCATTAACTCCTATGTAAATAGGAGTATTAGGCCCATTTGGCACTATGGATAATAATTTATTGGGGGCATGCTGTGTTCCAGGACTCTACTTACAGCCATTATCACTTTTAACTTCCATAAACCTGTGTGGAAAATACGATTTTTGTGCTTATTTTACAGATGAGAAACCTAAGTTTCAAAATGGCTGTGTGACTTGCCCAGCATGCTGGGCACTAATACTTGGAGTGGGATTCAAATATTTGCCATTGGGTGCTAGCTCCCTGCACTGCCTTAACATGAGCTTGGAGGCTGAAGCCAGGTTCTCCCAATTTGTGTCTTCCTGGGATAAGCAGACTCTTGCACTTCACAGTCTGAGGAAGGAGGTTAGCTATCTCTGCAAGGAATAGACAGAGGTAGGAGAAACTTTGAAGCCTTGAGGCTCCTCAGGTTATTTCACTTGGACTTTTGGCACTGAGATTACGTGTGTTTCCCATCTGACTTAACAGTAATACTCAACCTATATTTTTTACCCTCCTTTTCCAAAGTGCTGTTATCTCATATGTTGAGAACAGAAAAGAATAACTGTCCTTCTCAGGCATCAGTGGCGGCAGCATAGCTCAGGGTTTGAAAGCCTGTGCTCTAGAGTCATGCTGAGGACCTTCAAATCCCAGCTCCCACTTCTCATTAGCTGTGTCATACCTCCTCATGCCTTGGTTTCCCTATTGATAAACTGGGAATGTTAATACCGCCATCCTCATGGGATGCTTCCGATGGTTAAAGGGTATGCATAAAGTCATTAGAACGTGAAGTTCATAAAGCCAGAACCTTTTGTTTATTACCTCTTTATTTCCAGTATTCAGCACATTTCTGTCACTCAGTAAATACATATTGAATAAATAAATTAAAATGTTTAGGACAATACTGTCTCGGTGTTCTTGGCTTCCTCAGTTATGCACTAACTGGAGCATTATTCTTAGATATTCACTTGTTTACTTAATATTCCTACTTAAATTTATCATAACCATTACATGTTTAATGTTCAAAATTATACTTCTGATGTTTTCTAATCTCTAGGCTTCTACTGATCTTTCCCCATTGCAGAGGAACAACACCGTTACCTCTCTGGCTACTCAAGTCAGAAACCTGGAAGTCGTCTTTCATTCCCCTCCCCTCCTTTACCCACTGTATGAGCAAATCCTATTGATTTAATTTCCAAATTTGTGCAAGAAACTATCTTTCATTTAGAGTACACTGACATCACCTTTTACCTGACCATTATCATAATATCATAATTCTTTTTCTATCTCTTCTTTTGCTTCATTTTCACCCAATTCATCTTCAAACAACAGTGAGAGTGATCTTTTAAAAGCATAAATTAGTTAAGAGTCATTCAGCTCCTCATAGCATTTCAAATAAAATTTGTCTCTCCTACCTTTGCCTGCAAGACCTCTACATGTTCTGGCCCTTGTCTGCTTTTCCAGTCTCTGTTTGTGCCATTGACTTCCTTGGCCACAAGGTGCAGCCACATAGACATTGACTTATCAATCAATGTCAGCCTTTAGTATTATGAGAGTACCAGAACTTCATTTTTGCAGTAATTTTTAGAACTCTTCCCTCCCTACTCAATCCCTTCAAGGCACCCCTTAGAGAACTTGCACCTGACTGCCCATGTTCAGGCCATGGCCTTCACATTCCTGCCTCTTCCACGTCAACAGGGATTTGTGCACAGTCATAGACTCTGTATTGGTTGGAAGAAGAGCCTCTTGCTGCTGAAGTATCTGTGCCTTCACCATTTTATTTAACGCAAACAGCTTCTGCTCTGCGCTATGGACAAAGGCCAGGCAATCCCTCCTCCTCCAAATGGCCAACCTATTCATTTACTTTCCCTTGAATGCCAGCAGGATTTTCTTTCCAGACACTAAGCTTTTTGATCTATGTGGTATCCATTACTAATTTTTGCTAATATCCAGTTCTCCTTCACCTTCAGGTACATGGAGAATTCCTGCATGCTTGAATATAGGGGTGGCCCTGTAACAAGGTCTTTGAACTAAATGTGGTTGGAAATAACATGCATCACTTCTGGGTAGAATAATTTATGAGCTGGTCCAAGGCACATCATGTTATTGTCCTCTACTGAGTTCATCAGGGAAATATATTTTAAGATGGAGGCTGTATAAGTTGGAGTTCCTGAGCTAGGAGTCACTGTCAACCTGCTTTGGCCATCTAATATGAAGAAAAACTAGAACTTTATTTTCTACTTTTATTTTAGGCCATTGAGTTTTGGGGGTTGTTTGTTACTGCAGCACAGACTAGACTGTTTAGACAAATAGAATCTGAAAATGTTACCCACTGCAGCCCTAGGCCATTTCAATGGGTTGTGTACCCTGCTGGGCACAGAAGTCTGAACATCAAACACTGTTTCCCTTTTTCCTCTCAGACACTGATCCTGAATCCTTGCCTGAGAGCTCTTCCTCCCCTCATGTCTAGTCTGACTCTTTCCCAAAGGATTTAGTAACTAATTGCATGGAAACCTTATATTTCTAGAAAAAGTTTTCACTAGCCCACTCTGGATCGTCTCTGGATTTACATACAGTTAAGGATAAAAACTTTATTTTTTCTTTTCTGCTCATAATTTAGGTCATAGAAGCAAGAGCAGAAGCTGAGAGGACCATTGGGGATTATAATCCCAATGTTCTTTGAACATTTCCAAATTTGTATTGAAATGTGGCCAAATCTGTTACTACTTGGCTTGAGAGAAGTGATAACTCTGCATGATAAATGAAAAAAAAATTAGGTACCTAATTGCCAACACTATGAACTACCCATGTTTGCAAGAAGATGTCAATTATTTTTCTTGGCCAGAGCCCTTGGAAGAAGTTTTCAAACGTGGAGCAGTTTGTGGTAACATCTGATCCTCTATTTAGTTGAACATGGAGCTTTCTGTAAACACTTCCCTATGGTTTTGGTTGTCTGCCTCTTCTGGATCATGTTTTCTAAACCTTTCCCCAACAAACTATATTCCTGGGGTGTCTAACAAATTAACGTAATGAACCAATTGGAAATTGATCTGTCTATCACTGTTTTCCTATGCAATTTAAAGAAAGCCATTTCTTCCAAGTCTTTCTGGAAGTTTCTTTTAGATTTACCTTCAGATTTAAGATAAAAATACAAACCACCACATGTTCTCACTCATAAGTGGGAGTTGAACAATGAACACGTGGACACAGGGAGGGGCACATCACACACAGGGTCCTGTTGGGAGGTGGGGGTGAGGGGAGGGAGAGCATTAGGACAAATACCTAATGCATGCGGGGCTTAAAACCTAAATGACAGGTTGATAGGTGCAGCAAACCACCATGGCACATGTATACCTATGTAACAAACCTGCACATTCTGCACATGTATCCTGGAACTTAAAGTACAATTAGAAAAAATAATAATAATAACAAACAAACCACTGTGGGGATACTGTAGTATTTTCCAGCCCCTGGTGGTGGGTTTTGGTGAAGCAGCCACAAGCTCATCCTCAGCCACATTCAGGCCAGTGTGGCAGTTCAGGTTGTGACTATGAAAGTGGAAGGCCTTCCAAGAGGACCTCTTTAGCTTCTTCTGTGACTCACCGAACGGGTTTGTACCATCACTGTGGAGCCAAGGGGCAAAGCCATAGAACCACAGACAGAGGCAGTGATTTCCATTTTAACTTCACTTCAGAGGCACCAAAATGCTTCTGAAAGTGCCACAGAGTTCAGGATTCCACATTAGACTTAAAGAACCTCAGTTTCCAGGTATGACACCAGGAATCTCTATTTTAAAAGATTCTAGGTCGTTCTTATAGACAGGTTGGCTCTGCTCATAAACAGAAGATTATTGGAAGTAGCACCAGACTTGGAGGTAAATTGGTTTCAAATTTTGGTTCCATCACTTTGGAGCTATGTGTTTTGAGGAAAATTATATTCTTGATATAACAATATAATTAATACATTAATTCTGGATACATTTAAATTGTCTGAATAACTTTTCATTGGTACAATGCTATCTGTTTCATTAAGCTGTTGTCAGAACATAATTTTAAAAATAGAGCATATGTGACAGCAAATAGCATGTTCCCTGGCACATCATGGTTGAATAATAATATAAATCTAAACCTTTATTCACTTGTTTAGCAATTTTATTGAATACTACCAATAATATCATCATCATGATCATCATTATCAGAAGTGATAGCAGTAGATAGTAGTAACAGTAGTATTTACTCTGTGCCAACCCTTGTTCTAAATGCTGTAAACATATTTCTTTTACTTAATCTTCATACTACCCCAATAAGGTTACATTTGATCGTTCTCATTTTACAGATGTGGAAACTATGACATTGAGATGATAAAAACCTTACTCAATTTCTACAGGGAGTAAATGCTAAAGCTAAGATTTGACTGTAAATTGTTAGACCCTACTTACTGCCACTGTGCTCAGAGCTGAGTGTACTGTGCAGGCATGTGTACCAGTGTGGGAGACCTACAGTAAGCAATGAACAGGCACGTGATTGGAAGGAGGAAAAAGCTAAGAATGAAACAAACACGGAATCAGAATGGTGAATAATGAGGTGGGTGTGATACTGATTTAAAGAGAAAGGAGTTGTCATGGCCCAAAGAGGTTATATTTACTCTGGAACCTGAAAACTGAGAGGGGGGTGCCATGCTGCAGGGGTTGGGAAAAGCATTTCAGACCAAGAGTATAACAGTGTGCAGTCGTTGGGTTGCACCAAGCTTGGTGTGTTTGAAGATCAGTGTGGCTGTAGCTTGTGCCCAAGAATGGCACAAACTGATTAGAAAAGTGGACAGGGGCCAGAACATGTAAGAGGCCTTACAGGGCAAGGTAGGAAATACAAATTTTATTTGAAATAAAATAAACGAGGAGCTAAATGACTCTAAACCAATTTATTCTTTTCAAAGATCACTCTCACTGCCGTTTGAAGAATAGATTGGGTGAAAATGGGGCAAAAGAAGAAGCAGAGGAAACAATGCAATATGATGTCAGTGGTCAGGTAAAAGGTGATGGTGATTTACTCTAAATGAGAATAGATTCTAGTCCTATTCTAGAAGTTAAATCAATAGGATTATCTAATAATAATATTCTAAGAGGGGCATAAATGTGGAAGTCAAGAATATAGGTATGGTAGGGGGAAGTCAAGGGGAACAAATGCAGTCTCCTAGAGAATGGGGAGAGAGACAGATTGAAAAATATGAGAACGTGCAAACTATACCTGTGATCCAAGGAGATTTTAGTTTCTCCAACATTCAAGGGATAGAAACAGTTAGAAGACTCAGAAAAAAAGAAAAATCAGCCATAGAGATCTGAGAAAAATTGGGAATATGCGCCATAAACCAAGAGAGAATGTGTTGAAGCCCTAGAGAGTTGTCCCTGGTGTGCAATCCTGCTGGGAGGTGAAGGAGGATGGAAACTGGGAAACATGCATTTAATTTGGAGAGTCCCACTGATCTTTCATATACAGTATCAGTGTGGTCAGGAGCAAAATTCAGAATAGGGCTATTTCACAACTGAATGGAAGGAGGTATCAAGATGAGGTTTCAAGACCTTTGGCGATAAAAGGGATGAGAGAAATGCGGCAATAGGTGAAGCTTCTGTTGAGCCACAGATATTTCTTTTTCTTTCTTTCTTTCTTTCTTTCTTTCTTTTCTTTCTTTCTTTCTTTCTTTCTTTCTTTTTTTCTTCTTTGTTTCTAAGATGGGAAATATTAAAGGCTATCTCAGTACTGCAGAACATGATCCAGTAGGGTAATCATAAAGATACAGTGGAGAGGTATAAGGAAAAAGAAGGAGGCATTAAAAGAGAGAAGGACTTGTTCAGGTGACGGGGCAGGGGTCTAGATCTCAAATGCGGCATGCGGGCCTTCAAGAAAGGAAGAACTGTTTATCTGTAGAAACTGTGGAGAAAAGAAAAACTGCCAGAAGATGTTGATAGATCTTCAGAATTGGTCGTGTTACCATGAAGAAGAGCTCTTTTGAAGATTTCAGGTTTTTTCAGTAGAAAGAAGTACATGTTGCAAGCTCAAAATACAGTAGCAAGAGGAAGGTTGGGGGTTTGAAGAGGAAGAGAGGTGAAATAGTTGCAGATGAATGAGGCAGATCACCTAGAACTGAATAGAACATATGGTATGGTAGAAAGCCCATTTGGAGCTGGTGATGGTTAGTGTGGAGAGACTTCAGCCTGCCCAGGTAATTTTTTTCCAGTAATACTGGCCTGTGAGTACAGACCCAATGGTGGCAGTTTTTAAATTCATCCAGATTTTTGGATTTGTAAAAGCACATATGAGGGGGGAGAATGGATAGGGAGCTCAGAGTAGTGTTATCCAAATTGGATATAGAAGAAAATGAAGAGAGAAAAGACTTTATGTTAGAAGACAATGGTTTCAGGAATGAATACGATAAATTGCCTTCATACTTTGTAAACAGGTCTTTTTTCTCTAAGTTAAAACATTTTGGGCATTCTTCTTTTTTTTTTTTTTTTTTTTTTTGAGACAGAGTCCCACTCTGCTGCCCAGGCTGGAGTACAGTGGCACAATCTTGGCTCACTGCAACCTCTGGCTTCGGGGTTCAAGTGATTCTCCTGCCTCAGTCTCCTGAGTATCTGGGATTACGGGTGCCCACCACCACACCTGGCTAGTTTTTGTATTTTTAGTAGAGACAGGGTTTCACCATGTTGGCCAGGCTGGTCTCAAACTCCTGACCTCAGGTGATCCACCCACCTCAGCCTCCCAAAGTGCTGGGATTACAGGCATGAGCCATACCGCGCCCAGCTGAGAACATTTTCTTCTACAGCTCCTAAGCTCCATGTACTTTGGAGATCAATATAAAGGGTGTAGGTGAAGACTGAGTACAGTGTTATTTACGCAATTGAGCCAGAAGGCTACAAGGTTGTGATTAGAGAGTGGGGTAAGGCATTTGTAATTCCAGCAGTGGCTTCGATCCAGAGTGTGACCTTGAAATTGTTACAAGTTAAAGTGAAGGATGGAAAGTTATTTGAAACAAGAAGATAAAGAAATTAAGAACACAGAGGCTTAACTGGGTCATCCACACAGACACTGAAGTTCCTAAAAATGAATACAGGAGTTGAGATGGAAGGTAAGACTGTACCTTACCTACCAATGTCATTACCAAAGGAAGGGGAAGAACCGGAAAATCAACTGATGAAAGCAATAAGGAGAAGAGATGGTAAAAAGATTGTCCACAACAGATATAGACCCAATTGTTGAAATACAAATGACAGTTCATTCTGCAGGGAATTTTAGGATGTTTGATGAGGGAGGGCTGCAGTATTGACTATAAGCCAAAGGTGACTTTAGTAGGCAGAAAAACTTGAGGCTACTCAAGGTTGGAATCACTGGACACATAGGCCGGAGGAGATCCTACATTTGCCTGCCACATCAAGAAAGGATTCATAGAGAAGCTAATATTGCACTTGACTTGATATGGGGAGAAAGACAAAGTGTCAGTCATATAGACAAGGAGAGGGAAGGCACTAAGGGGAGGACTCAGCATGTGTAGACATTGGGACAAGAAAGAATATGGTATATATTCAGTATTGCTTAGTGTAGATTATTAGGGAGTAGAGTTGGGGAGGGGTAAGGAGAGGCCAGATCATGGAGAGAATTGCATATCATTTTCAGAGAGCTGAGATTTATCCCGTATCTAATGGGGACCCACAGAAACATTCTGAGCTGCAGCGGATTATAGTCAGACTTGAACCTAGATGCAATGTTGAGGTCTGATTGAATGGAGTTAGGCTGAAAGAAAAGGAATCAGACAGGAAGCTCTAAAATAGTTTTGGCAAGACCTGAAGGGGCCCAAAAGAGGAAAAATAAAGTGTAGATTTAAAAAAATAAGGTGAGAAATTATAGTAATGTTTAGGAATAAAAAATGGCAAGTTATTGTCTGAATTGTTACGGGGTCAGAAAGAGGGAAGCCTGTGGTAACCAGAAGGTTCCAGGTGCACGAGTGGTCTGAGTGCTGTCCATGAATCCAGGAAAGATGGGGGAGAAGCAAAGTAGAAAGTAGTGACTTCTGCTTGGTAGGTGTTGAGTTTGAGGTGCCTGGAAGAGCTCCAGGTGGTTACCTAAGAGGGATGGGATTCTAGAGGAAGAGAGCCCATCTTTTCCATTTGCTCTCCCAGAAGAGCTAACAAATTTCAATCACTTCTGGAGCCTTCTAGAAGCAAATGTCTCCCCCTGTCTTGTTGACCTGAATTGAACTATCTGCCCTTCCAGAATCCAACATGGTGGCTGGATATGGAATGCATTGATTTTTTTTTTTTTTTTTTTTTTAAAGACAACTGGTTATCCCTGGAACTGAGAGTGGTTAAGTTTTAATCAGATCATATGGCTGACCTTGGGGAAAAGGCAGTTTCCTAAAGGAAACTCCATTAAACGTCGAGTACATGGACCCTACACCATTGCGAGGCACAGGAAAAAGTAATAAATAAATCTCTACCCCATCTTCCAAGGGTCACATAGACCATGGCATCACACAGAAGGGAATTCTACCCCTTTCTAGGGGCGCTGAGAAAGCCTCGATAGAAGAGATAATGATTGACTTGGGTTCTTCAAGACTGTGAAGAGGTTTCCCAAACAAAGAAAGGGGATGAACAAGAGTATTTTGATGAAGTGCTAAAAAGCCAGAGGCCCAGACAATAAGGCCTGATTGAGCTTGTGTAGGGAATTTCCCTCACCTGTGATTCAGGTACCTTCCGGTTTTGGCAACAAAGTGTCTTGTTTCTGTGCAGAGAATGATATAGCATTGTCTTAAACCATTTCATTTATTTTTATTTATTTATTTATTTATTTTGAGACTGAGTCTCACTCTGTTGCCCAGGCTGGAGTGCAGTGGTGTGAGCTTGGCTCACTGCAACCTCTGCCTCCTGGGTTCAAGTGATTCAGCCTCCCAGGTAGCTAGGATTACAGACATGTACCACCATGCCCAGCTAATTTTTGTATTTTTAGTAGAAATAGGGTTTCACCATGTTGGCCAAGCTGGTCTCGAGCTCCTGACCTCAGGTGATCCACCCGCCTCGGCCTCCCAAAGTGCTAAGATTGCAGGTGTGAGCCACCGTGCCGGGCCACTTCATTTAATTTTTATTATGACTTCTAATTTTAATTTCATCTACTTTTGACAGTGGAAAAAGGAAAGGGATTGTGTGTTACATGAGGTTATTGAATATAACTGCTGTCATTGTAGGTTTTGCCCAGAATGACTCAAATTTGGACCCAAAGGGTAACATGACAGTTGTTTGATAGTAGCTTTGGGAACTTGAAACACTTAATCTCTCTGTACCTCAATTTTCTCCTCTAGGAAGTGAGAGATAATAATCTTTCCTTCAGGCTCATTGTTAGATTTACATACTGTAGCATATGCAAAGTATCCTGTGGATTGTATCTTTCTACTCAAATTGGAACAACCACTATTATTATCATTATAACTATTATTATTATTGAGGACCAGGGAAAGATGAACCAAGAGGAGCAGTTATAAGACCTTTTTTGGAAACAAGGTTATAGTGACCAGACTACAGGCTGATGAAGCATCAGATGCCGGCCTTCGGAGCAGGCTGACCACATTGCCTCTCAGTCTTTTGGTTACATAAGAGATAATTCATCAACTGATTCCATCAAGGACACATGTGCCATAGCCACACACACACAAACACACACACACACACACACACACACACAAAGAAAGCAGAAAATTGTCTTTATGAGTGGCACAAACTGCATTTGCTTTATGGAGCTAACAATAACTGAGTTTCTACTCTGTGCAGAGGACTCTGTGCTACGCATTTTCATGTTATTTAATTTAGGCTTCAAAACAATCATGTGTTGGTTCCATTTACAGAACAAGAAACTGAGGCCTAGAATGTACAAAGTTACACCAGTAGTAAGTGGCACAACCAGGATGAAAGCTCTGAGTCCAAACCCAGGCTGTTTCTATTTTATTATTGTGCATCTTCTGCAGTGGTTCTCCTAGTGTGGTCCTGAGAAGAGCAGCATGAACATCCCCTGGGAACTCACTAGAAATGCACATTTCTACACCTATGGAATCAGAAACCTGGAGGTGGGACTAGCAATGTGTTTTAACAAGCATCCTGGAAACAGGATATGGGAAAGGTGAAATCAGAGTGTAATGGAAGCAGACAGAAGAGTGGAGGGTGAATAGTGAGGAAAAGCAGCTTTGACTTAGGTGGGTAGGCCTTGGGCAGGTGGAGGAATACAAGATTGGAGAATCTTTCCAAATGGGACAAGTGTGATCAGAAGTATAGAGGCAGGAAAGAAGGGCTGTGTTTGGGAAATGGTGAGACAAGGATATTGGTGCCTTCAGCTTGTAAGGAAAGAGTGGGAGATGGATTAGCAGAGAGGGCCAATGTGTGTAAGGAGTTTCTGTTTTATTCTGTAGCCACTGGAAGTGGTCAAGGGTTTTAAACCTGTGCCTTTGCATTCAGAGCACTGGCAGAACCCAGTGTGTCCCCAAAACCGAGGCTTACAGTTTACACAGGTTTGTCTCCACCCAGGAGCACCAAGAATATCTGGAAGTGAATGTCACTTCTTGAACACCTAAGATGTGGTAGCCATCTTGTTAGATGTGCAAAGGAAAATAAAAATATCAGGACCCCCCACATTCTTAGGCAAAAGGGAAGCTCAAGCCAGGAGGCTGATTCATTGCAACACCCTCTTCCAAATGAATAGCTGTTACTAACATCAGCCAGACCCCATGGAAAGATAAAAGCCCTCAGGCTGCCCTCACAGATTATTCATAGGTAAATTCTTTGCTGGCCTCCCCTAGGCAAGGACATGTCAATAGCAACTTTAGATCTACAATCTAAGTCTAGCTTCTAAAACTGCACACTGGTAATGCCCATTACAAGCTTAGCTTCTCAGGTGCCGAAAAAAGACATGATGAGACCAAACATTCTCACCTACCCAGAGGCAGCTACATATTGACTCTTCTTTACTCATTTTTTCCCTTCAGATGGTCTTCTTATGAAAAATGTAGATTTACTGGACACTAACTAAAATCTCACAGAAATGTAACTATGCACCTTACTGTCTACCTATCTGTCTTCCTACTTACCGCCCCATATACCCACCCCCCTGCTTTAAGGGAATGTATATAATACTAAACCTCTGAAAATCTCTTCTGTAGAGCCCCCACAGATGTGTCTGTGGCTTGTGTTTTTCTCAGATGTGCCCTAACGCTGGTTTAATAAACACAAAATGATTGAAACTTATGTCCCAGTCGTGGTGCAGAAGAAGGAAGCGAGGCTCAGAGAAGTCCATGCAGGAAATGCTTTGAAACAACAGAGTCTGAGATGCACTAAATAGTCAGGACAGGTTGTGTAGGCTTTCCATCCATCTATCCTGTTATCTCGCCGTCAGTTCATCTGTCCATCCTGGGCTCAGCTTCATGAAGGATTGGAAAAGGATCATTATGTATTTGCCTGAGTCCTCCATGCTTACCTTGGTGCCTTTCCCTCTTCTTATGGCATTGTAAGTCTGTCCTGTTTGCAAATCTCTAAAGTAAGTCACGCACACCAGTCAGCCTTTGAATCAACCACTCTAAATGCCAGTCCATCCTCCTCCCTTCCTTTCTCTATCTGCTCTTCACTCCTTGGCTTCCTACCACTTTTACTTCAATCTATGCCTGCCCTCCCAATCCCTGTCCCTGGGTCTGTGAACCTCCCGGACCTCTTCTTTGGTTCCTGTGGATTGTTTCCACTGCCTGCTCTCCTCATATTGGACCTTCATTTATTCTTAAAGCATTGCATTAGCTCTCTCAGGACCCCTGCCGCTGGCATTTCCTTAGGAAGAATCACTGAAGTCTCCTAAGTCCGGGCATCCCAATCTGCTCTAAGATACTGAACTAGCCACTCGTAGGACTAGCAAATTTTGACAGTGATAACCCCACTGCTTTATATCTCAGATTTGCTAATGGCAAGCTGCCATCTGCTATGCTTTCTGTTCTTAGTCTCATTTAAATTCCTCTTTGCCTGCTGTGTTGCTAGCATTAGGCCCTGACCCATCTTTTTCTTCCCGAGGTATAATTTGTCTTACTTCCTGAATTCTCCCTGGGGTACAACCTGATCTTGTTTCTTCTCTGCTTTTGGCTTCAATGCATCCATCTCAATACCTCTGAACTTGCCCCAATTCAAGTCCAAACTAGGACAAGGCCCTGGAAAAAAAAAATAGGCTGGAGGTGAACCTGAAGATGCAGAAACTTGTTTCTTTGCCCTCCCACAGCCTTTAAATCTCTGAAGAGGTAGAGGGCTAGGTCAGAGAGAGTATCCTGTGCTGAACTGAAGTTGGAGACACCATCGCAGACTTATTTTCTATCTAACGATGTCGAAAGAGAGTAAGTGCTCAATACATTTGAGATCTTCTTTCCTTCTCCTCTTAAGGAAATGATTGTAAGTAGAAAAGCACATTTTGACAACTATGGGAAAAGGAGCTATTTCAGGGCAGCTTTACATTAATTAAAAATTGGAGACAGTCTATTGAATTCACTGTACTTCAGCAACCCATATCAAATGAATTATAATCTTTTAATATCAGGAACTTTAATAAAAAGGAGTGAGGCCTAATTAAGATACAAGGGTGAGGTGACAGCAATGTCAGTAATCATAATCATGATCATCATACTTGCTAACACTCATTCTGCATTTACTGTTTTACTCTGTTGCATTGCATTTACTATGTTACATTATCACTTTGCAACATAGTAAAACCCCACTCTAAGCTTCAGAAAGGGCTAGAGGTTCAGATGGAGAAAAGGTGGCACAGCATGAACATGGGGCTTAGGCCATGGAAAGTTGGCTGGCTACACAGAAAGACCCTTTCAGAGTGAAATCACCTTCCTACATTAACTGATGTTGAGGGCCTGGCCCCCTGCCACATAGGCTCATAAAAACACCCTTGTGCCTGTATCAAAGTTAATTGGATTTAGAAATGCTGATTTAGGCTGAGAAAAAATAAAGTACTGAAGACTAATGAGTAAGTCAGAATCACAATTTATTCATTTCCAGTAAGGAATAGCTGTCAAACAAAATAGATATTCATGTCAGCCTGACCAGCCTGACCAGCACATTCCCTCCCTGAAGGGAAATCCGAAGGAAAGCTACCTGATCATTAGGAGGAGCATTGGTGAGCCAAGGGAGTTGGGTGTGATTTCACTGTTGATTAGTATCTGGCCGGGTTAGCCCAACACAGCAATTTGTTTAGTTTTTCCATTGTTTCGTTTCCCATTTTTTTATGCAGATAAGGATGTAGAGACTATTGTTGATAAAATAAGCAATACAAGCACTAGGTGTGGGATAAACTGGAGACTCCACATCTAGTTTAAAGGGAACAGATGCTACTGAGATTCAGCCAAAAGTTGCCAAGTGGGAATTTAGGAGTTTTCAGGTCTTCAGGTTTCCCAAGGGAAGTCACAGAACTGGATTTTTTTTTTTTTTTTTTTTTTTTTTTTTTTTTGGAGACGGAGTCTCGCTCTGTCACCCAGGCTAGAGTGTAGTGGCGCAATCTTGGCTCACTGCAAGCTCCGCCTCCCGGGTTCACGCCATTCTCCTGCCTCAGCCTCCCGAGTAGCTGGGACTACAGGCGCCCGCCACTATGCCCGGCTAACTTTTTTTTTGTATTTTTAGTAGAGACGGGGCTTCACCGTGGTCTCGATCTCCTGACCTCGTGATCCGCCCGCCTCGGCCTCCCAAAGTGCTGGGATTACAGGCGTGAGCCACCGCGCCCGGCCAGAACTGGATTTTTTTCCCCCACAAAATTGTCTAAATCTTAACTATTGTGTGGGCAGAAAACACCTCTCTATAGGTTGAACAGGGCCTGTGGGCTGCCAGGCTGTTACCTCTGGGCTACAGCTGGCAGCCAACACCTCCTCTGCAAACCACGTTACTCTGTGCTGGTGTCTGCAGGGTGACAGGTCTCCATCAATATAAGCAGGATCTTTTGTTCTCTTCAGAGGCTTCTAAGGATAGAGGCAATAAGAATCACATATGAGGCTGTAATTATCCAAATGGCCCTTTTACCACTAAATTCCATCTTAATAGATGTATCTAACAGGCTTTTGATCTCCCTCAGGGTACTGCCTCCTGATTAAAAGCCCTTTATGCCTTTTAAAATTCCTCAGCCAGTTTTGATGTTCTATGCCAGCTCATTTGGCTGCCTTTCTCCACGTCTTTCTCATGCCCACTGGGAGTACGCCAAACTCAGCAACAATGGGCTCCAATGGGCTCACTCCCATTAGCATTCTCCCTTTTCTAGATGCCTGCATTCCCACCAGGTGCTTGATGCAACCTGTCCTGTAAACACAAATGCAGTCGCACTCCCTGTCTGTTTGGAAGCCTCGTAACAAACCCAAGTGTTCAGTTCTTCCCCTCAATGACTCAAACATTTTTCAACAAAAGTAATAAACCAGTTTGAGCCAGAAGAAATATATTTTTAAAGCTATTGAACCAGAATTCAAAATACCTTTAAAACTGAACCTGAACCCAGCCAAAGTTTTATTCTGTTTGGGACTCTGATTCAGAATTTTGAGAGAGGACCTTAAGTCAACAACTCCAGCAGAGCAATCTAGAAGCCTCTTTGTCTGATTCTCTCCTCTGGTCCCCAGACAAGAGCTCATTTCCCTTTAGGTTATGACTGAGATACACTGGAGGGTCATAAGCATTTTATCCTCTCACTCTCATGAGATTGCATGTTCCTTCTTGACATCTGGGGACACAACTCACTCAGCTTGATGCCAAGTGTAGAATAGGACAAATGTTGACAAAATAAATTGTGATGAATTCCAAGAACCTGAACCAAGAATTCTGCATGGTTCTGGTATTTACTGCACTTACGCTTGCCATCTGTACCCTAAGATTAAATCATAAAAGACCTGAATTCCCCTAATAAGATCATGTTTGTGTTAATAACTAGCCTTTTTTAGAGAATGAGGGAAATCTCTTGAACTAACTAACTAGTCATTTCTTCTTATAACCTGGATTTCTAAAACATAAAAACATTTTCTAAACACATGAAGATAAACCAGATGGAAAAATTAAGCTGAATTTAAACCTCAAGTTGTTTCTTAAAATGAAACTTTTGCAGCATATGTAAAAGGTACAAAAATAATTTCAGAAAAAGAAAACACATTATCCTTGGATTCTCAGACTATGGCAACTGTCACATAGACCACCAAAGGCCAAAGGTGGTAGCCAGGACATGAAAAATGTTACAACAGATATATGATGGTCTGAATATACGAGGGGAGAGATGGAAAAATGTTAAGTGCCAACGTGCATTTTGAAGTATATGTTTCTGGAACTAGACCTCATTCAATATCCAGGCTCTGGAGTCACCAGCAGAAAGTTCTCAGCCCAGCATGCCTTGCAAAACCTAGAAGATATTTTGACCACATGGTTCCTGCTTTCAAAATGGAAGCAGGATACAAAGCTGATCTAACTTAGCTCAAAAGACTTGGGTGGACAAATATCTCAAGTCCAGAGTGTTCGCCCGGTGCATCTGGCTTACCCTCCACAACTCCACTCACACCCCGACCCTCACAGGAGCCTAAGCCTCAGGCTGAGCAATGAGAGTATTAACAGGGAGAAAGAATATTCTTCATCTCAGTGGGTGATGCCTTTCTCCAACAACTTGCACAAACTGCAAAACTGAAAGTCATTTTTTGACACCTTCTTATCCCCAATCATTTATTTTTAATTTAATTTTTTATTTTTAATTTTTTAAAATTTTTGTCAGTACATAGTAGGTATATATATTTATGAAATACATGAGCTGTTTTGATACAGGCATGCAAAGTGAAATAAGCAAATCAGAGAGAATACGGTATCCATCCCTTCCAGCATTTATCTTTTGAGTTACAAATAATCCAGTTACATTCTTTAAGTTATTTTAAATTATACCATTAAGTTATTACTGACTATAGTCATCCTGTTGTGCTATCAACTAGTAGGTCTTATTCATTTTTTCTATTTTTTTTTTGTAGCCATTAACAATCCCCACCTCTCCCGCAACCCCCCACTACTCTTCCCAGCCTCTGGTAACTATCCTTCTACTATGTCCATGAGTTCAGTTGATTTGATTTTCAGATCCCACAAATAAGTGAGAACACATGATGTTTGTCTTTTGGTGCCTGGCTGATTTCTTTTAACATAATGGTCTCCAGTTCCATCCATGTTGCTGCAAGTGACTGGATCTCATTCTTTTTTATGGCTGAATAGTACTCCATTGTGTATATACACCACATGTTTTTAAATTCAGTCATCTGTCAATGGACACTTTGGTTGCTTCCAAATCTTAGCCAATCACTTATATCCACTTCAATCTCTCCAGAGTTCATTCACTTCCCTGCAGTAGTACTAGCTGCAGTGGTAGTTGAGTGGGTTTGTATAGGAGCTAATAACATGAACTAGACCAGATTGTCTGGTCTGTGTTTGAGTCTTTGTCTTATTAGCCATATGAATTTGCAAAAGTCACTTACCTTTTCAGTGTCTCTGTTTCCATATCTATAAAATGGGAAAGATATATAAATAACTACATCATAGAATTTTGAGAAGTAAATAAGTGAATACATGAACAACATGCCATAGTGTTTGTGAGACTTGCTTCTCAAGACAAGGCAGCTTCTTCAAACGCTGAAACTGGCTTGAGAACTCACGGGACTTAACCTTTGCAGGGTCTTCAGAGATGGAACATCAAGGATTTATCAAAATATGACAGATCAGTGTTTGCACATTTAATTGTGTCACTGTTGGCCTCCAGGTTCTCAGAGGGAACGGAACAAAGATTTATCACCAACATTTTATTGGATCATGTGTCAGGCCACTTTTGCTTCTTCATTAAACTAAATTAATCCCACTGAGTTACAGCATGTGCCTGGTTAAAAAAAAAAAAAAAAAAAAAAAAAAAAGCAGACCAAATTCCCTTTACTCAAAAATCAAGCCTGGCCTATCCTATCTTTCCAACATAATTTTCCATGACACCTGGATGAAGTTTGCTTATGGGATCTCCAACTCTTGCTCACCTATGGGCAGCACGTCAGTTGAGTCCCCAAATCTAGGATTTGGTTTTTATATTTTAGCCTCAGACTGGATACGTATCAGCTCTTCCAGTGATGGTCACTTCCCGTAATAGATTTATTTTGACCAGATACCCATGAAACCAAAGAGTAAATTGGATTATGTTGATTTACTATACCATCATAGGAACGTTTGGTGTTTTTGTTGCAGAGCCTCCTCTTGTCAGCATTAGTAGTAACAATAATGCAAATAGCTCTTCCTTATTGAGCATTTACTGTGTGTGGAGTGTTTCCTATGTATAATCTAGTTTAAAACTCAATAGCACCATTAGCTATGTCTTTTAACCCCATAGAAAATGAAAATGAAGCAATAATAGCTTAAATAATTGTCCTGAGGTCATAATACTAGTTAAGATTCTTTCAGTGTCTAGAGATAGGAAATCAACCCTTGCTTAGGAAAAGAGGGACTTAGGAGCCAGGGTGGAATTGGCTCATCAACCTGGGGAAGATCCTGTAGAGCTAGTCAAAGGAACTCCTGGGCCAGGAAAAAAGTCAACATAGAATTTGAAGTCTCTCTTTTAGTCCCTCTATATCCTATAGAGACATTCTCAAAGAAATGCTGCAGGGATCAAGAGACCCAGGGACAGAACCTAAGTACTCTCCATGCTACTAGGGGATGATAGCTCCTTCCCTCGGTTCCTCATTCACCCCTGCCTGTCCCTCTAAGGACCTTTTTTTGCAGATAGACTCTCAGATGTGATAGGCTGCTGTACCCTCGCCTCTAATTAGAAACTTCCAGGGAAGAGCTCTGATGGGCATGTGGTGATTCACGCATCTTTTCCTTGGACCTGTCCAGGAAGATATTGTACAATGAGGAGGTGGGGAAGAGGTTGATCAGAGGAAAGGAGACACTCTGTTACGAAAGGATATGGCAATAGGAGATGGGAAAATGAATGCAGCAACAAAAAAGAGCGGTTTTAGCATGCACGACATTTGGACCCTAATGAAACAACATTAGCACTACAAATCCACCTGTTCTTATTCAAAAGCCGGCTGCTGTTTTATCTGCCCTGTGCCCTTTCATTTCCCCAAGGGCCTGGCATGGAATAGGCTCTTAATGAACGTTTGTCAAACGGCCTTAGTTTTGATGTAAATTCACAGGCACATCCTGGGCATAAATGAATCCAGAGATATTGATTTACACCAGGCCTTGGAAGGCCAGATCATAAAACAGTTGGTTAAAATTTCAGATTCCCTTTTGTTTTTATTAGTTCTCTATTTTTGAATTATTTTCCTGTGCAAAGAGAAGGGTTGAAACCCTGAAGTTGAACTTGAAGCTCACAATGCTTCCAGTCACAGTACCCTCTTTTTTCTTCCCAGAAGCAGGCTTTTCTGGCCTGGGGCCGCTATCTACTATTATTTCCATCATCTGAACTTCAAGTACCATCACAGAAATGAGTATCTGAATTCTGAAAAGCCCTTCATGCTCAGCGCTCAGTCTTTTCTGATGAGAAATCAGAAAAGACTGCTAATGTGTTTATCCCAAGGGAATAAAAATATCTGTGAAATGAGGGACTTCAAATTCTATGTTGACCTTTTCCTTGGCCCAACAGTTCCTTTGATTGAATATTATTTGCTGTCAAACTTGACCTGAATGGAGGCTAGAAAAAAATCCTCTATGGAAACCACTTTCAGTTAGATGAGAGTTACTTTGAATACGTGGAACTAAAATCTCAGAAATCACCTCACCTAATTACCTACACCAGGCCAGGCCTGGCGCTAATTTTCTAGGCAAGCCATGTCTTTAGAGATGGATTGGATAAGTGGCCTTTTTGTGCAGCGAGCTTCATCTGTTGGACAAAGGGGAGCAGTCAATAAATATTGGGCCAATTTGAGATAACTGATTGGAGAATTACTGAACTAGTGAGTTTACTTAGAAAGAAAAAGATAGTGCTATCCCTGAGTATTTTGTTGTGTGAAAATGTTTTAAAACAAAAACTCTGATTAGGTTACTCGTAAGGGCTAATCTAGCTACAGTTTACTTATGCCCCAAGCTTCTGTGCTCAGGACCTGAGGCTTGGTGTTTAGTGCAGTGTGCAGCTTGCTGCCTGTGATTCTTTGCAATGAATATAACCTTTGGGAAAGACAAATGGGCTTAGAAAATAAATACAAGCACTGCTTCAGATGCTAGGTGTCTTCATCATCTTCAAGGAAATCTTGGTTTTGACACTGATGACTCCGAGTTTGTGCCATGATAGGGCACTGTGGAAAAGTGAACTAACATTACCCAGTGTCCTCCTGACACCCAAGAGATAATAAGGACTTTCTTTCAGTAGCAGCTTTGCCAGTACCACTTTGTCCTTTTTCAGGTATCTTTTACTAGTACCACTTTTTCCCTTATTTTTTTCTTGTTATGAAGTGTTGTGTCAAGTCTTTATGGCTTCCATCGGTGGTATGCCACTTGCTAACATTTCACCTTAAGAAATAAACTCTTCAAGCTGCAGTTTCCTCATTTATAAAAAACAGGATCATAGTAGTGACCTCATAGAGTTGTTGGTGAGGAGTAAATAAGTTTCGGTGGGCACAGGCACCTGGCAATTAGTATGCACCTAATAAATAATAGCTATTATTACCGTTCAGTATTAAAAAGCCAAAGATAGACACTGTGATCTGAAAGGAAAAGCGCAGGCACATTGTAATGTTAAAAAATAAATAAATAAATAAATTAATTAATTAATTAAAAAAGCACTCCTGTAGGCCGGGCCGGGCTTGGTGGCTCACGTCTGTAATCCCAGCACTTAGGGAGGCCAAGGTGGGCAGATCACTTGAGGCCAGGAGTTTGAGACCAGCCTGGCCAACATGGCAAAACCCCATCTCTACTAAAAATACAAAGACTTAGTATGGGCATGGTGGTGCACACCTGCAATCCCAGCTGCTTGGGAGGCTGAAGCAGAAGAATCGCGTGAACCCGGGAGGCAGAAGTTGCAGTGAGCCAAGATCACGCCACTGCACTCCAGCCTGGGTGACACAACGAGATTCTGTCTAAAAAACAAAATAAAAATAAAGAAATGCTCCTGTGAATTTATACATTCAAGATCTTACAATAAAGGGTTTTATGTAAATCATAAACAGATAACATATTCAGTGACCTATTTGCATGGGGCTTAACATGATGACTGGTCCATTATTGTTATTATTAGGAAGTTTTATCCCCTTGTATTCCCATGTATTTCCATCCTTAATGCAATCTGCTTATGTTAGCATTCACACACACACACACACCTTTACTTACGTGGGTTGGTAAGCACATTGAGGGGACAGCCTGTCTGGGCTTAGATAACTGGAGGTTAGCAAGATGTGTTTTAATTTGGAGTGGCTCAATTGTTGCCTCTGTATACATCAAAATGTCTTTCACAAAGTCCAAGAAACTCACCCATACTTTCCTGTTTATTCCTTGTTTTCTTTATCTATTAATATCTGACAGAATGATGAATAGTTTTGGAGAGGTGAAGACCCACCTGATCTAAATGTGGTCCCACAACTTCAGTCTATCTCTGACCTCTTTGGAAGACACTTATTATTTATTCCTTTGATTTATTATTATTCCATTGATTCTTAAGCTAGGCTTTCCTTCGGGCAGTCATATACACAGGAAAATTAGGTTTCCAGTCACTCTCTTTATAAACCCGGTGTTCCTTAGTTTCTTTCACAATTTTCTTATTAGCATGGTTAGTTCAGTATAAGTCTCATCCCCCATTACTAAATTGTACTTCATGCAGTAAGAAAGTAGGTAGTAAACGAATGAGTCCATCTTTTTCTGAGTTTCTTGTGTACCTCACTAGTTCTTCACTTCTTTGGGTTGCTTTGCCCATGAAGATTTCAATAAAATTGTCTCTTTCAATAAAATTGTCTCCAATTGCCATAACGATATAGTGGGAAACAAAGCAGTATATAGTATTTTCTCCAGTTTCCCCTGACTCCAATTGCTAGCTTCTATTAAAATGTTTCTGATTTGTCTTTCTTTTCCTATATAAAAGAAGACAAGTCTATTCTTGTCCTACATTTTTGTATAATCCCTCACCACTCAAAATGAATAGCCCCCAATTATTTAGCTCCTCAAAGTATCTTAGACTCAAACTTATTTTTAACACATTTTGCTAAAGGTTCATGATAATTGTACAGCAAATTACTTAAAATTGTATATTAGACATCCCTGGGCTTAAAAGAGCTCGACTCATTCTTGTCACCAGTGTTAATCTCCCACCAATATCCGGGGCTGTTCTCTCTCTGAATCTTTATCCCCCTTTGTGTAGCTCACTCATCTTCAACATCCTGGTAAATGTCTTGGGCAAAGCATTTTTATTACCTATGAGCATTATCCCCGCAGCCTCATCTTTATGACCTAGTGCTGGTGTTCCTGTCACAGACACCAAGTTCTCCCTGAGAGGAATTGTATGATTGGCTCTTAAGGAAACCATCTTTTTCTCTTTAAGCACTTGGAAAAGGTTTCCTATTCTATTTGCGGTTGTTGTTTTCAGCTAGAGTTTTCTTCTTTATTTCATGCAATCTGTTTTAATATTTGTTCCATATGGCTGAAATCACAGCTACTGAGTTGATCTTCATCTGTTTCAATAAAGGAGAGATAATTCTTGTCTTCATTCCGTTCTTCTTCTACGTGGAGCGTAGCTGAATGATACCTTGCGTGCTCTGGCCAATGAAGAAGTTTTACTCTTTCTGAATTTCCTTTTGGGCTGGTTATGGTGGCTCATGCCTGTAATCCCAGCATTTTAGGAGGCCGAGGTGGGAGTATTGCTTAAGGCCAGGAGTTTGAGACCAGGCTGGGAAACATAACGAGACCCTGTCTCTACAAGAAATTAGCCATGTGTAGTGGTGCACACTTGTGTTTCTAGTTACTTAGGAAGCTGGGGCAGGAGGATCATCTGAGCCCAGGCGTTCGAGGCTGCAGTGAGCTATGATAGAGCCACTGCACTCTAACCTGAGTGACAGAGAGAGAGAGAGACTCTGCCTCTAAAAAAGAAAAAATAATATTTTCCCTTTAGGTTCAGACAAAAAATGCTCTCCCAGGATAACTGCTGCAGGAGTTACTTATGTGGGTGTCCCATCCTCCTCAGTTCCCTTGGACATTTAGCCAAGGATAAGTCTAACTAGTGTCTTTTCTAGCTTTTTCTAAATTGACTTCATTCTTCCTCTTGCTAATCCCCAGTTCTCCCTGACTTTCTTTACTTTTTTTCCCCTGACATAGCTAATGTTTTTTCCATATACCATTCGCATTAGTTCATTATTGTCCCTCACCATATCGTATGGCACCTTCTTAGCTTAACCATACATCTTTATTCATTAATGGATGTCAAAGCTCCACTTTTATACTTTACATCCAGCCGATAGTTCTTGTCAATAGACCAAAGAAACATAATTATAATACACAAACAACAAGAATAGGATTGTATAGTTAATTCATTTAACAAACATTTATCATGAACTACAGTGTGTGACACATTTTGGTAAGCCCTGCATGAGATACATGACAAAATTGATATAAATACTGCCTCCAGTAAGTTTATAGTTCAGTAGGAGGAAAAATAAAACATACATGATGGGAAAACCATAACAGAAATTAGACAGTGGCAAGGGCGTTAAATTGGTACACATAAAGTACAGTCCTGTGTTGCTTAACGATGGGGATACATTCTGTGAAATGCATCTGTGGGTAATTTTTTCTTTGTGGGAACAACACAGAGTGCACTTACACAAACATAGATGGTAGAGCCTACTACACGCCTGGGCTATGTGGTATGGCCTAGTGGTCCCGGGCTACAAACCTGTATAGCATGTTATTGTACTGAATACTGTAGGCAACTGTAACACAATAGTAAGTATCTATGTATCTAAACAGAGCTAAACATAGAAAAGTTACCTTAAAATTATGGTATTATACTCTTACGAAACCACCGTCATGTTTGTGGTTTATCATTGATCAAAACATCATTATGTGGCATATGACTGCTGAAGAAACAAAAGTTTGTGAATCTTCTAAATGACCTCCCCCTGCTGTGGATGTTTATTCAGAACGTAATACTTGGACGGCTAATTTCTTGCTAGGGTGTCTGGATCTAACGAGGCAATTAAGAAAAGGGATCCCTCATGTTGATGTTTCTGAATGCCTCTGTTTTTCTGACCGTCAAAGGAATTGTATCTTCTTCAGAGATTTCGTCAGCATAGAAGATGGAAAAGACATTTGACTTGGCTTAAAAAAATCCCTGCGTGCAAATTCTGTTTGCTACCGAATAGAATCATGACTAATATAGCCACATGCTAATTATCTTATTTAACTCCTCTGAAAGCCATCTGTATAATTGGGAGAACAGCAGAATTGTTGTGATCAAACAAATTAAGTGAAAATGTTTCAAAACGTATAAAGCACTTGGAATTAGGTGTATTGTTAATATAACTAAACGAAAAATCTGTAAATATACATGAGAGAATAGAACTCCAGCTTTAAGCAACAAAGAACTGTGAAAATATGAGTGGGAGAGTCATCATTCTGCCCATTTTGAATGACTTCCTTTAGATTTGCTTACATCTATCCTCATGGACAATTTTTTTGCTGTACATACGATTTTTCCTGTTTTGTTTGCGCTACATGCAACATTTATCCTTCCAAGAGTATTCAGGGTGCATAGTGATTTGTTCATTTTTAGGCTATGCATGAAGACTCATTTAACTCAGATATAGAGTTGCTTTTATGAAAGGCATGAAATATAGTAGCTAGGCCAACATGAGGTCCTCAGTAGATAATATAAGTAGTGATATAATAAGGCTTTGCCTATACAAATTTTTTTCATCATAAAGCCCATATTATGACTATAAAATACACTCTAGTGATCTTAAGTAGCTAAAAAAATTCTAATACAGAATGTGCTTTTTATGTTCATCAATTGATTAATATAAACAAAATTTGCTGAGAGAAGGTAAGAAAGAATTATAATCACCATCATAGTCGCACCTTGTATATTAGAAGTAATTCTAAGTAATTATTGATGTACACCTCTCCAAAATCTTATCATAATTTATAGCCTAATTATTGTCCTTTACACCTGGAAATAGCATCAAGCATTTGGCACGTTCATCTTAATTTGATTTCAATCCTCCAAGCCACGATGTTATTTTGTCTACTTCTACTACACTGACAGAAAAGAGTTTTATAACTTCTTCCTCTGGCCTGTTCAAATATTTAACAAAGAAACTTTCTCTTCATTGTTAATTTTACTTTTGATCATTTCTTTTATGTTAAAATCAAAACTGAAGACAGTAATGGACTATCATTATCTTTAAATTAACATGTAATACATCCTCAGATAACTAAATTATTAATTGTTTTTATTCTTCATATCCTCCTTTACTCTTCTCTCAAGTGCAGGATGAAACTCACCCTTAATGTGACTTACCCTTGTCTACTCTTTCCCCTTACCAGATGTATATAAAACCTGTGGTTATGCACTGAAAGCTCCCAGTTCCAATACTTCTCTAGCCACAGCCATGCTCTTTGACAAGGCTAAGGCAGATACAATCTGGCACTTAGCATCATTCTATTACGTGTGTACATGTGTACATGTGTATGTGTATATACACAACTCTTTCCTGCTTCACAAAAATGAACAAATGGTGCTACTTCTGGTAGTGGTAGTGTGGTGTGGGATGATTCTCTTCTCAAGACAATGAGTATAAGCTGGAAAAAAAATTAAATAAAATTTAAGGGCACAGGTAATAGACTAAAGGGAGGCAACAACTTGAAATTGTTTAGTCAGGAATCATGGATTCTTCATTGGTTAAGAATGATTTGTGGACTTACACTGTGGCCATTTCTATACCTTCCACAAGTAGACAACTAAAATCCACAGCTTTAGTAAGCATAGAGGGTAGAGTCAGTTTGGAGTTGGTTTCAGAGCAGTGAAAAGTTTAACAGGGAGATTTTGGAAATGAGAGCTAAGAGATTTATAGAAGTACAGATAAGAAGTGCTTCATGTATGCCTGTCTGACTGATAAACAACACACATCTAAGTGAGACTCCAGGGAACCTAGCAAGCTTGAAGAGCCATACAAACATGTTGTTTGCCTTTGAATATATTCTTCACATTTAGGATAGCTAAAACTAAAAAGACTTACAATGTCAAGTGTTGGCAAGTTGTGGAGCAACTGAAACCCTCATATGCTGTTAGTGGGAATTTAAAACAATGCAGCCACTTTGAAAATTATGTTGGCAGTTTCTCAAAAAGTCAAAAATAAACTTACCATATGACCCAATGATTCTATTATCCAGTAGATATAAAAACCTGTATCCACTAATCAAATGTATGCTGATGTTTATCATTGCATTATTCATAATAACCCCAAACTGAAAAGAACACAGGTCCATGAGTTGCTGAATGGATAAACAAAATGTAAGTTATCTACACAATGAACTGCTGCTCAGCAGTAGAGAAAGAACAAGCTATTGAAACACGAATAATATAGAGAAAACTAAGAAACATCATGCTAGGTGAAAGAAGCCAGGTACAAAAGCCTACGTGCTCTATGATTCCATTTATATGATGTTCTGGAAGAGGTAAAACTGTAATGACTCAAAGCAGATCAGTGGTTCCAAGTTGAATGCTGGTGGCCTGTATTGATTGTCAAGGGGTATCAGGGAATTTTTCTGGGTGATAGAAATGTGATTAAACTTGATAATCATGGTAGTTGCATGACTATATGCATTTACCAAGTCTTCAAACTACAAATTTAAAACGAGCAGGTTTTTATTGTACGAAAATTATATCTCTATTATCTCTGTAAGCTTTAAAAAATGGATTAAAGAGCTTTATCTTATTTCCTAATAATTTCTGTAAGTGAACTGTGGTGTCTAGAGGCCTCTAATTTTTTTATTTTAAAGTCTTACTTTATGATTTATAAATTGCTATTCATTACTACTCATGCAGTTCTTTCTATTTTCTCCTTATTTATCTCAAAATCTGTTTCAGTCTCTGGGAAAACCATAAAAATGCTTGTATAGAGCTATATAAATAAAATTAAAATCTGAGATCCAGATTTATTTATATTATATATTTATAATATATATTATAAATTTAATTTATTAAAGACAATTATTGATGACATAATCTGTTTATGATCTACTATGATTTCTTATACTTTTTCTTCTGTATTTTTCAAGCATTCTTTACCTCATAAGATCTACTTATAAGATCTACTTGTAAGAAGACATCTTAAATTTGTGTTGAAATGCAATTTTTTGGCCATTATAGCATTAAGACAGCCATTTTATGTTTAATTTTTCCCAATTCCCAATGGAATACCTGTGGGAATTCAGAAAATGATGATAATTTGTAACTACATCTTAAACTAGGTCTGACAGTCAACATATTGCCAGACCATAGGGAGCATTTTCACTAATTAAAAATGTATGAAACATAAATGAGAATTAGAATGTGAAAGAGAGATTGGCATATGGTTTTCACCTGAGGTAAAGTAAATATTCTTTCCTGAAGAATAAAGAATATAAAATTTCTCGCATAACATCTTTGCCTGTGAATCAGAAACTCAAGCCTTTTCAGCCTCAAACGGGAAACCCATTTCTCTGCTGCCATAACTTATTATTTTGAAGTAGTGAGACACTGCCCCTTACCCACTCCAAAATTTCTCTTAGTCAAGTAGCTTCAGAGATTGCAACCCTCAGAAAACAATGAGTTAGACAAAGCAAGTGAAACTTGTGATGCTTTGTGATGCTTTGATGCTTTGTGTATTGTTCTGAGGAGGGAAATGCCACAAAGCATCCTGCATCAAATATTTTTGTATATTCTACCAATGGTTTATGTTTTCCAAAAAAAGAAGAAGTAAAAGTACTTTTTTAAATATATCACTAATTAGGTAAAGGGAAAGCCAAGCTACAAAACCTGACTGCCGTCAAACACTAAATCCATCTCCTTTTAAAGACTTGGAGAGAATCATACCACAAAAAAAATAATGATTTTACAAATAAATCAAGCTTTAAAAAAATGAGAACATGAAGCCATTACAAGAGAAGAGATTAAAGAAAAACAGAAATGTTAAGGGAGATGAATGCTATAAGGAAACTAGACAAAAAAATCCAGCACCTGAATTTAAAAACCTCCATTAGAAGACAGAATTTGAAATTCAGAATCTTGAATCAGGGATATAAAGGTCAAATTTGAGAAGCTGCCTTATGATGCGGGGGGAAAATAACAAAAAATTGGAGGGAAGTTAAAGATCATAGTAATAGGAGGATGATGAATAAAAATACAATTTCAGAATTATGAATTCCTTGAGAAATAAATCAAAACAGTTGGAATAGAAGCAGAAACACTAATATATAACTAAATAACACTTGATTTGTTGAAAATATAACTGAGAATCTAGGTGTTAAAAAGAAAAGTTCTGAATTCCATACATACCTAGAAAAAATTAAATTGTGAAAAAATAAACATCTCAAACACATCTTTAAATATAAGGAAACAACACTAAGATATCACTACACACATATGAGAATAGTTAAAATGCAAAAGGAGAAAAAAGCCCTGATAATACCAAAATTGATAAAAATTCTGAGCAAAAGGAACACTCATTCATTGCTGGCAGAAAAGCAAAATAGTATAGCTACTGTGGAAGACAGTTTGGCAGTTTCTTACAAAGCTAAACATAGTTTTAACATGCAGTCCAGCCACTGCACTCTAAGTATTTACCCAACGGATTTGAAAACATTATGTCCATACAAAAACCTGCACATAAATGCATACAGCAGCTTTATTCATAATTATGAAACACTGGAGGAAACCAAGATGTCCTTTAGTAGGTGAATGTGTAAACAAACTGTAGTACATCCATACAATGGAATAGTATTCAGAAATTAAAAATAAATAAGATAATGTTGATGGCTCCAAAATGGCTGAGTAGAAGCATCTGGCACTCACCTCCTTCACAAAGAACAAAAACAGCAGTAGATAACCACACTTTGACAAGATCATCTAAGAGAGAACATTGGAATCCAACAGAGCAGCAACAAGTAACACCTAAGGCAAAGAAAGAGAGGGAAATGAAAGAGCCTGTCAGCCAGGATTGTCTAAAAGCCTGGAAAGTCTTCCCTATGTGGGGAATGAGTGAGAGACCCCCAGAATGTCACATATGTCACATTCAAATCATGGACTCCTGCCATCCTAGCCAAGAAAGAGCCCCTCAACTCTTGCAGACCCTGAGACTAACACAGGGAATTGCCTGGAGACCATACAACAGCACTGCTTCAGAGAGGGGGTTCAGCCTAGATCCCCCCCCAAACTCTTTGAATCCTAAGCAGCTGTAGCATGGTGCCATTTTAAAAGCCCAGACCCCACCAGACTGCATCCTGCCCTGGGGCCCAAGAGCCCCCGCACCCCCATATCCCTGGTGCCCCCATTGACATCCTCTGCCTGCAGCCACTGCCACTGCTGGCTGTTGCTGCCAGGACTAAAGCATGAGCCATTGGCAGCAACCCTGCCACTCTCAGCAGTGGGTCTGCCACACATTTTCACACTTCTTAAGGACAAGCTCCCATGCCTGAATCTGACACTACTGCACATTGTTGCCACTGAGTATCAAAGACAGCCCCAGTGGCAGTGACCCCAACCCCCCAGCAGAGGGGCCACCACACATTTGGACTTGCCATGAGGACAGGTTTTCCTGCCTGTAGCCACCAGTTGGGGTAGAAGCACATGTTCCCCAGCTGCCTGTCTATGACTGCTGCCACTCAAAGCAAACTTGCCCTCTCTAGCAGCAGGGCTACAATGCTGCCACTGCTGTTCCACCTAAGCCATCCACCAGAGGCCTGGTGATGACCCTGCCTACCACAGGTAGCATCCATATGCACCACTGGTGGACCTGAGGATAGGCCTTTCCAGCCAGATTCTCCTCCCTCAGTGCCTGTGCACGTTGTCCAGGAGCCTTGAGACTTCCCTGCCCATCCAATCACTGATGGCACCTGAGCACTGCTCCCAGGGGCCTGAGGACAGATCTACTTAATCCACTACTACCATCATAGATGGCACCCACCTGCATGTGCTGCCTATGGGCCTGAGGACTGGCATATCCAGCCTGATGCAGCCACCACCAACACCAGTGTGGACCACTTGGTGGGTGGAGGGTTATCCAACTACTACTACTGTCATTGCCCACACCATAACTGTTGCCCAGGGGCCTGAGGGCCTTTGCACCCACCTGGCCCACTACTACCATGGCCAACAACTGAGCAAGCAGCCTAGAGGCCCAGGAATCAGCCCACCTGGACCCACAAACATCAGTGCCAGCATATGCTACCCTGGGGCCCAAGGACAAACACGCTAGGCCTGCCCACTGCCACCACTGGGACCTGAGAACTGGCCTACCTGGCATTCTCATCCCTAGCAAAACTTCACTAAAGCCTTCATTAACAACCGCACACTGAGCCATTGAGGAAATCACAGATACCAATGATGATGTTTACAGCCAAAGAAATTATATGGAGACCACACTACTGCATGCACCTTGAATCAAAGCCAAAGTGCTGTACCTATCCAACACCACATACACATCTTCAGGAAAAAGTCTTGCCCTACAAAAGCAAATTCAAAAAAAAAAACAAAAACAAAAATGGAAAAAGTAACTGTTACAACAAGTACACCGATATCAATGTGAGGATATAACAAGCAAAAATATAAGGAAATATAATTCCTCCAAAGGAACACAATAATTCTCTGGCAACAGATTCCAAAGAAAAAGAAGTTTATGAAATGCTGGAAAAAGAATTCAAAATAGTACTATTAAAGAAGTCAATGAGATTCAAGAGAACAGAGATAAGCAATACAAGGAAATTAGAAAAATAACTCAGGATATAAATAAGAAATTTACCGAAGATATAGATATTACTAAAAAGAAACAAACAGAAATCCTGGAGCCAAAGAATTCATTGAATGAAATAAAAAACATATTCAACATCTTCAACAGACTAGATCAAGCAAAAGAAAGAATTTCAGAATATGAAGACAGGTCTTTTGAAATAACCTAGTCAGATGAAACTTTTTAAAAAATTAAAAAAAAAACAAAGTATATATAACATACAAGACACCATAAAGCCATCAAACATTCACACTTTTAGTATTCCAGAAGGCAAAGAGAAAACCAAATGTATAGAAATACTGTTTAACCAAAGAATAATAGCCAAAATCTCACCAAATCTAGCAAGAGTTTTAGCCATTCAAATACAGAAAGCTCAGGGATTTCCAAATAGATACAGTTCAAAAAGGTCTTTCTCACGGCACTTTATATGCAAGCTGTTAAAAGACAAACGGAGATTTCTAAAAATAGCAAGAGAAAAGCATCTAGTCACTTATAAGGGAACCTCATTAGACTAACAGTGGATTTCTCGGCAGAAACCTTACAGGCCAAGAGAGAATGGGATGATAAATAAAAAATGCTGAAAGAAAAAAACTGACAGACAGGGATACTATATCCAGCAAAGTTATCTTTCATAAATGAAGGAGAAATAAAGTCTTTCCCAGATAAGCAAAAGCTGAAGATTCCTTACCGCTAGACTGGCCTTAAAAGAAATGCTTAAGGAGTCCTACACGTGGAAACAAAAGAACAATGTCCACCATTATGAAATACATAAAAGTATAAAACCCACTGGTAGAGCAAACACACAAATATGGAAGAGAGGGCTGAAATATTTCCATTAAAGAAAACCACCAAATCACAATGAAAAACAGTAAGAGGGAAAGAAAGGAACAAAGAAAATACAAAACAACCAGAAATCAATTAATAAATTACAGGAATAAGACCTCACGTATCAATAATAACCTTGGATGTAAACAGATTAAACTTTTCACTTAAAAGACATAAATTGGGCCAGGCATGGTGGCTCACGCCTGTAATCCCAGCACTTTGGAAGGCTGAGGCAGGCGGATCACAAGGTCAGGAGATCGAGACCATCCTGGCTAACAAGGTGAAACCCCATCTCTACTAAAAATATAGCTGGGCGTGGTGGCGGGTGCCTGTAGTCCCAGCTACTTGGGAGGCTAAGGCAGGAGAATGGCGTGAACCTGGTAGGCGGAGCTTGCAATGAGCTGAGATTGCGCCACTGCATGCACTCCCAGCCTGGGCGCCAGAGCGAGACTTCATCTCAAAAAAAAAAAAGAAAAAAAAAAAAAGACATAAATTGGCTGTATAGATTTCTTTTTCAAAAAAAGCATGACCCAGTAAAATGCTGCCTACAGGAATTCATCATCTGTAAAGACACATATAGACTGTAAAAAGATGGAAAAAGATATTCTCTGAAAATGAAAACCAAAGCAGACAAGAGTAGCTATACTTGCGTTAGATAAGACAGACGACTCAAACACAGTAATAGGTGGCAACTTCAATACCTCATTTTCATCACTATACAGATCACTTACATAGAAAATAACCCAAATTGGATTTAAATTGCACGTTATGTTAAATAGACCTAACAGACATCTATAGGGCATTTTATCTAACAGCTACAGAATACACATTCTTCTCATCAACACATAGAACATTCTCCAGGATAGACCATGGTTGAACACAAAACAAATCTCAAGAAATTTTTAAAAATCAAATAATATGAAGTATCTTCTCAGACTATAATGAAATAAAGCTGGAAATCAATAACAAGAGAAACTTTGGAAATTGTACAACTACATATAAATTAAACAACATGCTCCTGAATTACCGTTAAGTCATGGAATAAATTAAGGAGAAAATTTCTAAAAATTGAAACCAATTAGAATTGAAGTGCAACATACGGAAACCTATGGGATATAGCAAAAGTAGCACTGGGAGAAAAGCTTATAGCAATAAATGTCTACATCTAAAAAGTAGAAAGATTTCATATAGACAAGCTAATGGTGCACTTTAAGAAAATGGAAAAGCAATAACAAACCAAACCCAAATTTAGTAGAAGGAAAGAAATAATAAAAGAGCAGAACTAAACAAAATAGAGACTAAAAAATATACAAAAAATTAATGAAACAGAAAGGTGGTGTTTTGAAAAGATAAACAAAACGAATAAACCACTGACTAGAATAACAAAGGAAAAAAGAGAGAAGACTCAAATAAACAAAATTAGAAATGAAAAAGGAGACATTACAGCTGATACCACAGAAACACAAAAGTTCATCAAAGACTATTATGAAAAGCAATATGCTAACAAACTGGAAAACCTAGAAGAAATAGACAAATTCCTGGACAGATACAACCTACAAAGATTGAATCAGGAAGAAGTTGAAAATCTGAAGAGACCAATAATGAGTGGAGATAAAATCAGCAATTAAAAATCTCCCATCAAAGAAAAGCCCCAGACAAGATAGCTTCACTGCCAAGTTCTACCAAACTTATAAAGAAGAAATAATGCAAGTTCTTGTCAAACTATTTCAAAAAATTGAAGAGAAGAGAATCCCCTTTAACTCACTCTCTGAGGCCAGCATTACCCTGTTACTGAGCCCAAGATACAACAAAAAAGAAAAATCACAGGCCAATATCCATGATGAACATGAATGTAAAAACCCTAAACAAGCTACTAGCAAACGAATCTAACAGCATATCAGAAAGATAATATACCACGATTAAGTGGGATTTATTCTCAGGATAAGGGGTGGTTTAACATATGCCAATCAATAAGTGTGATAAATCACATCAACAGAACGTAAGACAAAACTGTATGATTATCTCAACAAACACAGAAAGTGAATTTGGTAAAATTCAACATCTTTTCATGATAAAAACTGTCAACAAGCTAGGTATAGAAGGAACCTATTTCAACATAATAAAGCCTTTATCTGACAAATTCACTAACTTCATACTGAATAAGAAAAAGCTGAAAGCCTTTCGTCTAAGAACAGTAATAAGACAAGGATGCCCACTTTCACCACTCCTACTCAACATAGTACTGGAAGTCCTAGCCAGAACAATCAGGCAGGAAAAAAAGAAAATAAGGCCTCCAAATTGGAAAAGAGAAAGTCAAATTGTCCTTCTTTGCAGATAACATGATCTTATCTTATACTTAGAAAAACCTAGACTCTATCAAAAACTCTTTGATCTGATCAATAAATTCAATAAATAGCAGGATACAAAAATCAACATTAAAAAATTAGTAGCATTTTTATACACAAATAATGAACTAGTTCAGAAAAAAATCAGGAAGGCAATTCTATTTAAAATAGCTACCAAAAAACCCCACATCTAAATAAATTTAACTAAGGAAGTTAAAAAGCTCTGCAAGAAAAGCTACAAAATACTGATGAAAAGAAAAGGACATAAGCAAATGGAGAGACAATTTATGCTTATGAACAAGAAGAATTAATATTGTTAAAATAATCATATTAAAGCAATCTACAGATTCAATGCAATCCCTATTAAAATACCAATGTCATTTTTCACAGAAATAGAAAAAAAATCCTAAAATTCATATGGAACCAAGGAATAGCTCAAATAGCCAAAGCAATCCTGAGCAGTACAAATAAAGCTGGAGATATCACACTACCTGACTTCAAAATATATTACAAGGCTTTAGTAAGCAAAACTGTATGGTACCGGTATGAAAACATAGATGAATGGAACAGGATGAGAACCTAGAAATAAATCCACACATTTACAGCCAAATGATTTTTGATAAAGGTGCCAAGAGCATACCTTGGGGAAAGGACACCCTCTTCAATAAACAATGCTGGAAAATTGGATATGCATATGTAGAAGAATGAAATTTGACCCCTGTCTCTCAACACATAAAAAAATCAACTAAGTACGGATTAAAGACTTAAACATAAGACCAGAAACTATAAAACTACTAGAAAAAAACGTAGAGTAAACACTTTATGACATTGGTCTAGGCAAAGATATTATGGCTAGTACCTCAAAAGCACAGGCAACAAAAACGAAAGTATGCAAATGAGACTATATTAAACTAAACGGCTTCCACGCAGCAAAGGAAACAATCAACAGAGTGAAGAGACAATCTGTTGGATGGCAGAAAATATTTGCAAACTATTCATCTGACCGGGACTAATATTGAGAATACATAAGGAACTCAACTCAGTAGTAAAAACACAAATAATCCTTTTAAAAAGTGGGCAAAGCACATGAATAGACATTTTTCAAAAGTAGACATACAAATGGCCAATACATTTATAAAAAATACACAACATCACCAATCAGGGAACTGCAAATCCAAAACCACACTGAGATTCTATCTTACCTTAGTCAGAATGAGTATTATTTTAAAAATAACAGATGTTGATAATGATGTGGAGAAAGGGATCTCTTATACACCATTGGTAGGAATGTAAATTAGTGCAACCACCATGGAAAACAGTATGGAGATGTCTCAAAAAACTAAAAATAGAACTACCATACAATCCAGACATCCCACCAGTGAGTATTTATCCAAAGGGAAAAGAGTCAGCATATCAAAGGGATATCTGTACCCCCATGTTCATTGCAGCACTATTCCTAATAGCAGACATGAAATCAATCTAAGTGTATATCAATGGAAGAATGGAATAAATAAAATCTGGTATATCTATATTTACACAATGGAATACTATTCGGCCTAAGAAAGAATGAAATCATGTCATTTGTGCAACAAAGATGGACTGGAGGCCATTACATTAACTGTAATAAGCCAGGCACAGAAATAGAAACATTGCATGCTCTCACTCATATGTGAAAGACTGAAAAGTTGATGTCATGGAGGTAGAGAGTGCAATGATAGTTACCAGAGACCAGGAATGGTGTGTGGGTCAGAGGTGGGAGTGAAGAGGGGTTGGCAAATGGGTATAAATGTACTGTTAAGTAGAAAAAAGTTCTACTGTTTGATAGCCAAGTAGGGTGAATACAGTTAGCAACAATGCATTGTAGATTTCAAAATAGCTAGAAAAGAAAATTTGAAATGTTCCTAACTCATAGAACTGATAAATATTTGAAGTAATGGATATTCTAAATACCTTGACTGATCATTACACCTTCTATGCGTGTAACAAAATATTACATGCACTCAATAAATGTGTACAAATATTATGTATTAATAAAAACTAAATGAAATTATAATTTAAAAAGAAAGAAATTAGCTATCAAGCCACAAAAAGACAGGGATGATTCTTAAATGCATGTTGCTAAGTGAAAGAAGTCAGACTTACAAGTCTACATATGGTAGGATTCAAATTATGTGACATTCTGGAAAAAGTAAAACAATAGTGACAGTAAGATCAGTGGTTTCCAGAGTTGCAGAAGAAGGAAGTGTTGAATAGGTGAAGCACAGGAGATGTTTTGGGATGGTAACATTATTCTGTATTATATTGTAATGTATTATGCAATTATTAAAATCTGTAGAATTTTGTAGCACAAAGAATTAACACTAATGCATGCAATTAAAAAATCCTTTGGGAGGTCAGCATATCCCAAGATGAAATGCAAAATGTAACAAAACAATCTAACTGTATTACATATGTATGAAATAATCTCACTGAAAGAAGTGGGAATAAGAATTTCTGAACCAAGTAACTTTGAAAATGCTAGAATTTTAAGGTTAAATGCAAATGAACCTGCATACAGACACTGTAATTTAGTAGATAAATTTGATTCCTACAAAGCTACAGGTTAGCAATACTGATACCACCATATATATAAATAATTAAACAGCATATAAATAGATGCCAGGTAGTGGAAACCAGATTTTTCCCTGTTTGAGTGGAAAGTCACAGACAAACAACAGGAAGAAGCTAGAATGACAAATGTAGTAATGGATTTCAGTTAGAGACATCAATATGAACTCATGTTTAGCTTAATGTTGACGTAGATGGTTACAGATAGAAATATTTATAGATATACATACATGGTTTAGTATACACACATATGTTTCCTCACTCTGTCAGCTGAGAGAGCTTAGAAATAAGAGCATCTCAATATCAGTGAGCATACCTAGCACCCAGATCTTGATTTCTAATACAATTTTCCAGTAAAAGGAACTAGGGCTCTGGAGAGGAATGGCTGATTCTTTGACAAGGGCTAGAAATATGCAGACTGAGCCTGGGGCATTTTATAGTACCAGAAAGAAAGAAATGGTCACCAAAAAAATAAAAAGGAAGGAAGAAAGAAAAAAAGGAAGGAAGAAAGGAAGGGGAAAGGAGAAAAAGAAGGAAGAAAGAAAAAAAGACTCACATTGAAGGGAGTGTCAAAGGAACAGCATCCAAATGAAAGAACTCTCAATGGTCATGGTTGGAACAATCTAAACCACAAAATAAACAAAGTGGTATTGGATTATTACCCGATATGTAAAATCTATATCAATGAATCTGTACAGATATAAATAAATGAACAAATACATAAATACATTGAAGGAAAGAGGCAAATTTATAAAGATGAAATCCTAATGAATTATGTAGATACTCCTCCCTCAAGAAGATGGAACGTAACTCCCCACCCACTAAGTGTGGGCTGCACACAGTGAGTTCCTTCCAGAGTGCAGCATAGAAATGGGGGAAGTAAGAGTAACTCTTCAGTTGAGAAGCCTGACAAAAACTACCTCTGCCAGGTGATCCAGGTTACCATAAGCAGTGATGAGTCATGCTGAAAGAGTGTGCACCCTTGACATGATGTGATGAGAATGGCATTCTGTGTCTGTAGTCTTCCTTTCCAAACCCCATAACCCCAGGCTAATCATGAGAAAAGCATCAGACCAATCCCAATTCAGGGCTATTGTAAAAGCTATTTAACTAGTACTCCTTTATACCGTCAATGTTATAAGAAAAACAATAAGGAAAGTCTGAGAAACTGCCACAGCCTAGATCCTTGAACAACAGTTGATCCTTGAACAACACAAGGGTTAGGAGCACTGACGCCCTGTGCAGTGGAAAATCCACTTATAATTTTTTTTTACTAAGATAAAAATATAACGAATTTATTCAACCAAAGTTTTACATGACACAGTAGATGTTAGAAATGAAGACCCAAAGACCCAGGGAAAACTGTATATTTTTATGAACAATCATGCAAAACTGTGACTGGAGGAAAAAGGCATATGATCCTGTGGTAAAATAAACTCATTAGGAAGGACTGTTTGTTCAGACTCTTCTTGGACTCTAGGTACAAGACAGGACTGGTCTAAATGAGGGTCATAAGATCTACTTTCCAGGAAAGTAACTATGAGAATTCTTTAATGGCCATACTTCATGGGAGAAAGGGAGAAGATTGGTAAACAATATTGCTACTTCTGTGGATATTAAGTAAATGATGTGGACAATCACATCCAAAAATAAATTATGAATAGATTAAGGACTTTCGGGTGGGGAAAACTTTATCATATAAAACATTTTTTATTATACTTTAAGTTCTGGGGTATATGTGCAGAACATGCAGGTTTACTACATAGGTATACACATGCCATGGTGGTTTGCTGCATCCATCAGCCCATCATCCACATTAGGTACTTCTCCTAATGCAATCCCTCGCCTAGCCCCCCACCCCCCACAGGCCCCAGGGAGTGATGTTCCCCTCCCTGTGTCAATGTGGTTTCATTGATCAACTCCCACTTATGAGTGAGAACACGCAGTGTTTGGTTTTCCGTTCTTGTGTTAGTTTGCTGAGAATGGTGGTTTCCAGCATCAACCATGTCCCTGCAAAGGAAATGAACTCATCCTTTTTTATGGCTGCATAGTATTCTGTAGTGTATATGTGCCACATTTTCTTTATCCAGTCTATCATTGATGGACATTTGGGTTGGTTCCAAGTCTTTGCTATTGTGAACAGTGCCACAATAAACACACGTGTGCATGTGTCTTTATAGTAGCATGATTTCTAATCCTTTTGGTATATACCCAGTAATGGGATCACTGAGTCAAATGGTATTTCTGGTTCTAGATCCTTGAGGAATCGCCACACTGTCTTCCACAATGGTTGAACTAATTTACACTCCCACCAACAGTGTAAAAGCTTTCCTATTTCTCCACATCCTTTCCAGCATCTGTTGTTTCCTGACTTTCTAATGATTGCCATTCTAACTGGCGTGAGATGGTATCTCATTGTGGTTTTGATTTGCATTTCTCTAATGACCAGTGATGATGAGCTTTTATTCATATGTTTGATGGCTGCATAAATGTCTTCTTTTGAGAACTGTCTGTTGGTTTCCTTTGCCCACTTTTTGATGGGGTTGTTTGTTTTTTGTTGTAAATTTGTTTAAGTTCTTTGTAGATTGTGGATATTAGCCCTTTGTCAGATGGATAGGTTGCAAAAAATTTTCTCCCATTCTGTATGTTACCTGTTCACTCTGATGATAGTTTATTTTGCTGTGCAGAAGCTCTTTAGTCAAATTCATTTGTCAATTTTGACTTTTGTTGCCATTGCTTTTGGTGTTTTAGTCATGAAGTCTTTGCCCATGCCTATGTCCTGAATGGTATTGCCTAGGTTTACTTCTAGGATGTTTATGGTTTTAGATCTTATGTTTAAGTCTTTATCTATCTTGAGTTAATTTTTGTATAAGGTGTAAGGAAGAGATCCAGTTTCAGTTTTCTGCATATGGCTACCCAGTTTTCCCAACACCATTTATTAAATAGGGAATCCTTTTCGCATTGCTTGTTTTTGTCAGGTTTGTCAAAGATCAGATGGTTGTAGATGTGTGGTGTTATTTCTGAGGGCTCTGTTCTGTTCCATTAGTCTGTATCTCAGTTTTGGTACCAGTACCATGCGGTTTTTGTTGCTGTAGCCTTGTAGTGTAGTTTGAAGTCAGGTAGCATGAGGCCTCCAGCTTTTTTCTTTCTGCTTAGGATTGTCATGGGTATGTGGGCTCTTTTTTGGTTTCATATGAAATTTAATGTAGCTTTTTCTAATTCTGTGAAGAAAGTCAGTGGTAGCTTGATGGGGACAGCATTGAATCTATAAATGACTTTGGGCAGTATGGTCATTTTCATGATATTGAGTCTTCCTATCCATGGGCATGGAATGTTGTTCCATGTGTTTGTGTCCCCTCTTATTTCCTTGAGCAGTGGTTTGTAGTTCTTCTTGAAAAAGTCCTTCACATCTCTTGTAAGTTGGATTCCTAGGTATTTTATTCTCTTTGTAGCGATTGTGAATGGGAGTTCACTCATGATTTGGCTCTCTGTTTGTCTGTTACGGTGTATAGGAATGCTTGGGATTTTTGCACATTGATTTTATATCCTGAGACTTTGCTGCAGTTGCTTATCAGCTTAAGGAGATTTTGGGCTGAGACATTGGGGTTTTCTAAATATACAATCATGTCATCTGCAAACAGGGACAATTTGACTTCCTCTCTTCCGATTTGAATACCCTTTACTTCTTTCTCCTGCCTGATTGCCCTGGCCAGAACTTCCAATATATGTTGAATAGGAGTGGTGAGAGAGGGCATCCTTGTCTTGTGCTGGTTTTCAAAGGGAATGCTTCCAGTTTTTGCCCATTCAGTATGATATTGGCTGTTGGTTTGTAATAAATAGCTCTTACCATTTTGAGATATGTTCCATCAATGCCTAGTTTATTGAGAGTTTTTAGCATGAAGGGTTGTTGAATTTTGTTGAAGGTCTTTTCTGTATCTATCAAGATAATCATGTGGTTTTTGTCATTGGTTCTGTTTATGTCATGGATTATGTTTATTGATTTGCATATGTTGAACCAGCCTTGCATCTCAGGAATGAAGCCTACTTGATCATGGTGGATAAGCTTTTTGATGTGCTGCTGGATTCGGTTTGCCAGTATTTTATTGAGGATTTTCACATCGATGATCATCAGGGATATTGGCCTGAAATTTTCTTCTTTTGTTGTGTCTCTGCCAGGTTTTGGTATCAGGATGATGCTGGCCTCATAAAGTGAGTTACGGAGGATTCCCTCTTTTTCTATTGATTGAAATAGTTTCAAAAGGAATGGTACCAGCTCCTCTTTGTACCTCTGGTAGAATTTGGCTGTGAATCCATCTGGTCCTGGACTTTTTTTGGTTGGTAGACTATTAATTGCTGCCTCAATATCAGAACTTGTTATTGGTCTATTCAGGGATTAGACTTATTCTTGATTTAGTCTTGGGAGGGTGCATGTGTTAAGGAATTTATCTATTTCTTCTAGATTTTCTAGTTTATTTGCATAGAGTTGTTTATAGTATCCTCAGATGGTAGCTCGTATTTCTGTGGGATTGGTGGTGATATCCCCTTTATCATCTTTTATTGCATCTATTTGATTCTTCTCTCTTTTTTTCTTTATTAGTCTTACTAGCAGTCAATCAATTTTGTTAATCTTTTCAAAAAACCAGCTCCTGGATTCATTTATTTAAGGGTTTTTCGTGTCCCTATTTCCTTCAGTTCTGCTGTGATCTTATTTATTGTCTTCTGCTAGCTTTTGAATTTGTTTGCTTTTGCTTCTCTAGTTCTATTAATTGTGATGTTAGGGTGTCAATTTTAGATCTTTCCTGCTTTCTCTTGTGGGGATTTAGTGCTGTAAATTTCCCTCTACACACTGCTTTAAATGTGGCCCAGAGATTCTGGTACATTGTGTCTTTGTTCTCATTGGTTTCAAAGAACATCTTTATTCTGCCTTCATTTCGTTATTTACCCAGTAGTCATTCAGGAGTAGGTTGTTCAGTTTCCATGTAGTTGTGAAATTTTGAGTGAGTTTCTTAATCTTGAGTTCTAATTTGATTGTACTGTGGCCTGAGAGACTGTTTGTTATGATTTTCGTTCTTTTGCATTTGCTGAGGAGTGTTTTACTTCCAATTATGTGGTCAGTTTTAGAATAATTGCAATGTGGTGCTGAGAAGAGTGTATATTCTGTTGATTTGGGGTGGAGAGTTCTGTAGATGTCTATTAGTTCTGCTTGGTCCAGAGCCGAGTTCAAGTCCTGGATATCCTTGTTAAATTTCTGTCTCATTGATCAGTTTAATATTGACAGTGGGGTGTTAAAGTCTCCCACTATTATTGTGTGGGAGTCTAAGTCTCTTTGTAGGTCTCTAAGGACTTGCTTTATGAATCTGGGTGCTCCTGTATTGGGTGCATATATATTTAGGATAGTTAGCTCTTCTTGTTGAATTGATCCCTTTACCATTGTCTAATGACCCTCTTTGTCTCTTTTGATCTTTGTTGGTTTAAAGTCTGTTTTATCAGAGACTAGAATTGTAACCCCTGCTCTTTTTTTGCTTTCCATTTGCTTGGTAAATATTCCTCCATCCCTTTATTTTTAGCCTATATGTGTCTTTGCATGTGAGATGGGTCTCCTGAATACAGCACACTGATGGGTTTTGACTCTTTATCCAGTTTGCCAGGAGATATTTAGCTTGTTTTCATTTAAGGTTAATATTGTTACGTGTGAATTTGATCCTGCCATTATGATGCTAGCTGGTTATTTTGCCCGTTAGTTGATACAGTTTCTTCCTAGCATTGATGGTTTTTACGATTTGGTATGTTTTTATAGTGGCTGGCACTGGTTGTTCCTTTCCATGTTTCGTGCTTCTTTCTGGAGCTCTTGTAGGGCAGGCCTGGTGGTGACAAAATTTCTCAGTATTTCCTTGTCTGTAAAGGATTTTATTTCTCCTTCACTTATGAAGCTTAGTTTGGCTGGATATGAAATTCTGGGATGAAAATTCTTTTCTTTAAGAATGTTGAATATTGACCCCCACTCTCTTCTGGCTTGTAGGGTTTCTACTGAGAGATCTGCTGTTGGTCTGATGGTAACCCTTTGTTCATAACCCGACCTTTTTCTCTGGCTGTCCTTAACATTTTTTCCTTCATTTCAACCTTGGTGAATCTTAAGATTATGTGTCTTGGGGTTACTCTTCTCGTGGAGTATGTTTGTGGTCTTCTCTGTATTTCCTGAATTTGAATGTTGGCCTGCCTTGCTAGGTTGGGGAAGTTCTCCTGGATAATATCCTGAAGTGTTTTCCAACTCATTTCCATTCTCCCTATCACTTTCAGGTACACCAATCAAATGTAGATTTGGTTTTTTTCACATAGTCCCATATTTCTTGGAGGCTTTGTTCATTTGTTTTCACTCTTTTTTTCTCTAATCTTATCCTCTTGCTTAATTTAATTGACTTGATCTTCCATCTCTGATATCCTTTCTTCTGCTTGATTGATTCAGCTATTGATACTTGTATATGCTTCACGAAGTTCCCATGCTGTGTTTCTCAGCTCCATCAGGTCATTTATGTTCTTCTCTAGACTGGTTATTCTAGTTAGCAATTCATCTAACATCTTTTCATGGTTCTTAGCTTCCTTGTATTGGATTAGAACATGCTCCTTTAGCATGGAGGAGTTTGTTATTACCCACTGTCTGAAGCCTACCTCTGTCAATTCATCAAACTCATTCTCTGTCCAGTTTTGTTCCCTTGCTGGTGAGGAGTTGTGATCCTTTGGAGGAGAAGAGGCATTCTAGTTTTTGGAATTTTCAGCCTTTTTGCTCTGGTTTCTCCCCATCATTGTGGATTTATCTACCTTTGGTCTGTGAGGTTGGTGACCTTCAGATGGGGGTCTCTGAGTGGATGTCCTTTTTGTTGATGTCAATAGTATTCCTTTCTGTTTATTAGTTTTCCTTCTAACAGTCAGGCCCCTCTGCTGCAGTTTGCTGGAGGTCCACTCTAGACCCTGTTTGCCTGGGTATCACTGGTGGAGGCTGAAGAACAACAAAGATTGCTACCTGTTCCTTCCTCTGGAAGCTTCATCCCAGAGGGGTACCCGCCAGATGCCAGGCAGAGGTCTCCTGTATGAGGTTTTTATCGGCCCCTACTGGGAGATATCTTCCAGTCAGGATACACGGGGGTCAGGAACCCACTTGAAGAGGCAGTCTGTCCCTTATCAGAGCTCGAACTCTATGCTGGGAGATCCACTGCTCTCTTCAGAGCTGCCTGGTAGGGACGTTTAAGTCTGCTGAAGCCATGCCCACAACTGCCCCTTACCCCAGGTGCTCTGTCCCAGGGAGGTGGGGGTTTTATCTATAAGTCCCTGACTGGGACTGCTGCCTTTCTTTCAGAGATACTCTGCCCAGAGAGGAAGGAATCTAGAGAGGCAGTCTGGCCTCAGTGGCCTTGCTGAGCTGTGGTGGGCTCCGCCCAGTTGAAACTTTCAGGCGGCTTTGTTTACACTGTGAGGGTAAAACCACCTACTCAAGCCTCAGCAATGGCGGACGCCCCTCCCCCCACCAAGCTTAGTGTCCCAGGTCGGGCTCCAATTGCTGTGCTGGCACAAGAATTTCAAGCAAGTGGATCTTAGCTTGTCGGGCTCCGTGGGGGTGGGACCCACCAAGCCAGACCACTTGGCTCCCTGGCTTTAGCCCCTTTTCCAGGGGAGTGAATGGTTCTGTCTCACTGGCATTCCAAGTGCAACTGGATTATGAAAAAAAACTACTCAGTGTCTGCCCAAATGGCTGCCCAGTTTTGTGTTGGAAACCCAGGACCCTGGTGGTGTAGGCACTGGAGGGAATCTCCTGATCTGCGGGTTGTGAAGACAGTGGGAAAAGCTCAGTATCTGGGCCAGAGTGCATGGTACAGTCCCTAATGACTTCCCTTGGCTAGGAGAGGGAGTTCCCTGACGCCTTGCACTTCCTGGGTGAGGTAACACCCTACCCTGTTTTGGCTCACCCTCCTTGGGCTGCATCCACTGTCCAACCAGTCCCAGTGAGATGAACCAGGTACCTCAGTTGGAAATGCAGAAATTACCCACCTTCTGCATTGATCTCACTGGGAGCTGCAGACCAGAGCTCTTCCTATTTGGCCATCTTGGAGACTCTCTCCATCTATAACTTTTAACTTCCCCAAAACCTAACTACTAGTATACTAGTTGACCAGAGCCATACCGAGAACATAAACAGTATATAAACATATATTTTGTTATATTTATTATATACAGTATTCTTTCAATAAAGTAAGCTAGAGAAAAAGTTACTAAGAAAATTATAAGGAAGAGAAAATATATTTACTATTCATTAAGTGGAGGTGGATCATCAAAAAGATTATCATCCTCATCATCTTCATATTGAGTAAGCTAAAAAGGAAGAGGAAGAGGAGGAGTTGGTCTTGCTGTCTTAGGGGTGGCAGAAGCAGGAGAAAATTTACATATATGTGGACCCTCTCAGTTCAAACTTGTGTTATTCAAGGGTTAACTGTATATCATGGAAGATGTTAATAATAGGGGTAGCTGGGTGTAAAGTATGTAGTTATTCTGTATTGTTTTCACAATTTTGCTGTAAATCTAAAAATGCTCTAAAACTTTTAAAATTAAAAATGTTTTTTAATTAATTATTTAAGAAAGAATTAGTATTGGTTTAGGATTCAACTTTGTATAAAAAAGTTACAAAAAAAGGAGCAAAATTAATGCAATTTTGAAAGGAAAAAACATTGGTTCCCAATTTTTATAGCAGACATTGTGTCACTTCTGTGTAATAGCAAATAACTTTTTCATTTAAATCTAAAAAAAAAATTATGTTTTTTTTCAAAATATTACCAAACATATTTTGGTTAATAGAATAAAAGAATTAATGTAAAGAATCCAAAATTAGGAAAATATTTATTAAAAATTGGGAAGTTTAAAAAAATCATTTAAATTCATTCTTGAAACAAAATATTGTCAAGATAATTATAAAACATTAAAAATGTGACAAATTATTCTTAAGAGTGTAGGAATGTAATACAAATAATAATTGAATGTCTGAAATCCCTGTTTAAATGTTAAATTGTAATCACAGACTCTGTAATATGTTGGAAAAGTTCTGATCAAAATTTTTTTTCAAAAGTTGCTGATTTTCTTTCCCTATATAACAGCATTTGAATGGGTGCTATTCCCTTCACAATATTTTCAATCACAATTTATTTGCTCTTTTTCTTTTTGAGATAGGGTCTTGCTCTGTCTCTCAGGCTGGATTGCAGTGGTGTGATCATAGCTCACTGTAGCCTCAAACTCCTGGGCTAAAGTGATCCTCCCACCTTGGCCTCCTGAAGTGCTGAGATTACAGGTGTGCAACACAGGGCCTAGCCTCTCAATCATGAGTATTATATACTGGACTTTTATTAAAGGTAAAGTTAACACACATAGGGATTATAGCTTTCAAAACACTAGTGGTAGGAGAACAGATGTTTCATATGTAGGACAAAAAGAAATGAGCAAGAAATTAAAACAGAAATATAAATTCACAAAAATATAACCAAACACATTGTGTGACATTAATGGTAGGTGGTTAAAAATTCCCTAATAGATGACAAAAAGTCGTATTTTTAAAAAAATCTAAATGTAAGCAACATATAGGTAACACAAAATGGCACAAAAATATTAAAGAAAAAAATCATTAAGTGACCACAGAGAAAACCTGGGACAATATTACTACTAGCAAAAAGACAACTCAAGTCAAATATTACTAACTGAATAGAGTTTAATTTGCATTGATAAGGGGAAAACAAAATTTATATATATACTTTCTGAAACATATAAAGCAACATCTGAGAATATGGATAAATCAGGAAAAATGAACTTTTTTTATTAAAGGAAAACTTTACCCCATCATTTACAATTTTTAAGTGATTAAGACAGCAAACAGGAAAAAGAATGACTATTTGCGCATTTGCTTTGCACCAGGGCTTATGCGTAGTGCTTTACTTCATCATCTTAGCTAAAGATAACAACCATGCATTGCTTGAGAACAGAGATACTTTCTGAAAAACATGTCAATAGGTGATTTCGTTGTCTTGCAAAAATCATAGAGTATACTTGCACAAACCTAGATGATATAGCCTATCATTCACTTGGGCTATATGGTATGGCCTATTGCTCCTGGGCTACAAATCTGTACCGCATGTTACTGTGCTGAAAACTGTAGGCAATTGTAACATAATGGCAAGGGTTTGTGTTCCTAAATGCATTTACTATAAAAAAGGTCCAGTAAAAATATGGTAGCATAATCTTATGAGACCGCTGTCATATACGCAACTGATTGTTGAGCAAACATCATTATGTAGCACATGATTGTATATGTATAATTAACCCCATCTTACAAATGATAATACTGAGAGGTGTTTAGTAAACATGAGTGAAGGTCCATAGCAAGAGAGTGGGAGGGCCTCGGTGCAAAGGTGATCAGCCAGGCTTTAAAGCCTGCCATTTGACTCCAATGCTCTGTTTACATAATACAAACAATAGTAACAGCATGTGTGTTCCTAATGAGGTATGTTTCAAACAAATTTCTGAGTCTATGTGAAATTGCAAACTATGTAATGCAATTGCTATTCAATGATTATATGAAACGCATTTCTGTAACACAATAGAAAAAGCATTCTTAAAGTTTATTAAAAATTAAGTAAATAAAATTAATCAACCCAAGAGGAAATATTTATAAAATATATTCCACATTTTGAGGGCAAATGTAAAATCAAAAGACATATCGTGAAAACAAGTCATATAAAAAAATTACATATTGTGGTCAATTGGTAGTTAAAAATAAAATTCCTGGTTTTAAATGTTTCCATTATTACTTAAAAAGAAGCAATGCAAATCCATTGCAATTTAACTCAAAATTTAAAAATAATGGTAAAATCAAATTAAACTGGAAGAAGAAAAATTATTATGAGAAATAATATCTTGAAAATATAAAATTACAATTTACAGATCTAAGGGTGTTTCACTAGAAAAAGGACAAAAAATGGCATAATTGCAAGTTTATACAAGAAAAAAGACATAAATACACCAAATTAGAAATGAATAATTAGATAAGTTATTAGGAGGATATTGAAAGCATTTATGAGTCTGTAGTGGTCAATGTTTTGATAATATATTCACAAAATTTTGATGAGATGAATTATTTTCTAGGAAAATGTGAATTCTAAAAATTGAGTAAATTAGAAACATAAAAAAGATCAAAAACTGAGGAAGAAGTTAAAAACACTCTCAAGGAAAAGTACCCAAATTTCCAAGCTGTTTAAGTGAATTTAATCTTCTCCAAAGCAAATATTTTGTTATAAACTGCCCCATGTAAAAACAAATATAATGTTTCAAATTCATTTAAAGACATAAAATTAATTAATAATTTTGTTCCCAAATGGAAAAACTATAGAGTTCTTTCATCTGTTAAAAAAGTCATAAATAAAGTAATCACAACTTGCTTTCTGTAATATTTTAAATAAGTAATTCAGTATGCCTCAGCTGGCTTCATTCCAAAAACATAGGATTGAATACTAGAAAATCTACAAATATCTCCTCATTTGGTCAAAAAAGACAATTATTTAGTTGGTTACATGAGTAAAAAAGTAACAGTATTTATAAAACCAATTAAGAAAACCTTAGTCCAATAGCCAGCAATCACCGTTTAAAATGCAACAGAGATATTTCCTTAGAATCCAGAAACAGGAATAAGATGAATTCTCTCAGCATGAGTCATTTAGTGTTGTTTCTGCATTTCCAACCAAAACTACATGAAAATAATCAGAAATAAGAGGCATATCTGGTGACAAATAGGCAAAATTATCATCATTCGCAGGTTATATTATATTTAGCCCTAGAATTCTCCTTCCAAAAAACCTCCAGGAATCACATGATAAATGAGATTATAATTTTAAAATATGAAAAATTAATATCTCCCATACTTCGGGTAAATGGAATGGGAATTTTAACAAGAAAAATCCAATTATAGTAGCAATAATGTATGTAAAAACTAGAAATAATTTTTAAAAGGAATATATATGACATATATAACTGCAAAATTTACTGAGGGACACGAAAGGAAATGAATACATGGAGAGACTATCACACTCTTGAGTACTGAAAATATATTGATTATTTTTGTAAGCTAATAGGTTTAATGTCCGTTTCTTCAGAGTCTCAATAAGTCTTCTAAAATTGAACAAGTAATTCTAAATTTGAAAAACAGTAATTAACTCAAAATGGGTTCCAACACTTCTTATATGCGTATATTTCTTTAAATTCTGCTCTAAAATGTATTATATTAATTCAGACTTTCGAACTGATTCTTAAGCTACTTGTTTTGCTTGCTACTAAATTAATTTCCTAGTCTGAAACTTCTCATACTAGACTAAGCATCAATTAAAGAAAAAAATCTGGCAACAACACACTACTTATAGGAAAGGGTCAAAACAATGAACAATGTAATAGGCACGCCAAGAAACAAATGCGTAGCTCTACGGATGGGCAAATTATGTCATCTCTCTTAAATTCAGTTTCTTAGCCTGTAAATCGGGGATGATACCTACCCAACTGGATCTACGCGATGATTAAATTAGATAGCATCTATAAAATATATACCATAGAGTATACCTATAGTTCATACTTAATAAATTTTATTCTCTTCTCTTTTCCATTTCAATTTTTCTCTCCCCCGGTCCAATCAACCAGTCTCTTTCACTCACTTCCTTTATTGCAGGGAAGCTATAAGTCTCGTAGCTCAGTAGCAGTGATAATAATAGTTAGGCAATCCAAATTGGACCCAGCAGAAAACATGACGCTCAGTTGGCCTTTGATTCTGACTCACACCCTCTTACTAAGTGTCTGGGCTCAAGTATCTTATGTGTAAAATATAAGTTAGTTCTATAAAGTCAACAGAGTCTATACTAGATCATCTGTAAAGCTTCCTTTTAACTCTATGATTTATTATGGGCAGAAGATGTGGTAATGACCTGCTCCTGTCCTTTTCTCTGGGTTCTTGCTCACGCTGACTAGGTAATGGGCTTAGATTCTTGACCCAATGTAGACCACTGGAGTCTTTAAGAAAATTATTGAGTCTGACTTGTGTCCTGTGTAATCATCCTGTGAACTTCCTTTTACATTTTATGCTTTTTTTTCTTGACCTTCAGTCAGATCCTTGGCATGAGAATCTGCATTGGATTTGATAAGATGTAATCAAGTATCAAATAAATAAATAAAACCCAAGTGATTCTGTCCCAAGAAAAGCAGAAAAAATATCAAGCTGTGGGAGAGAACAGGACATGCATCTTAGCTTACCGTTTCCAATACTGGCATATACATAACATGAGTCTTTACATCTCCAAAATAAATATCAAAGCAACTGCTGAAAGCCAAGGTTAGGAAGGAAGGGCAACTGCACATATATTTGGATAAAGTGTTTGTTATTTAAAATGAAAGAGAGCTTCAGAATTAGCAAGAGCTGATGCTCTACAATTGTTTAAAGTAAGTCTGTGTTTTGCCTATGTTCAGTTGAAGCCATAATTGTGGAAATGGATAAAAAGTCAGGAAACCTGAGTTCCAATCACCGGTCTGTCACCAGTGCAGTCAGAGAGTTAGACCAAGAAGTGGGACAACTGGTCAGTTACTGAGGTCAGCAGTATACATGGGGCACTGAAATACTGCAGCTCTAGACTGTCTTGGAAAAGTAATGAAATGGAACAAAATGTGTTGACCAGAACTCCTTTCAGGGAGATTACTGGATGTGCTCAAAGGGAATATTTGATAGGCTTCTTGGGGTGGAAGATGAATATATTCAGTTCTCAAATAAATGTTGAATAAGCAGCTCATTTTTAACATGATCAAAATAGAATCTTTATTTCTATCATTACTATCTTTTCTCCCAGTCTTTCCTACCTGAATAACTAGTTCCAGTTTCTTTTTTTTTCTTTCTTTTTTTTTTTTTTTTTTTTTTTTTTGAGACGGAGTCTCGCTCTGTCACCCAGGCTGGAGTGCAGTGGCGCGATCTTGTCTCACTGCAGGCTCCGCCCCCCGGGTTCACGCCATTCTCCTGCCTCAGCCTCCGGACTAGCTGGGACTACAGGGGCCCGTCACCTCGCCCGGCTAATTTTTTGTATTTTTAGTAGAGACGGGGTTTCACCGTGTTAGCCAGGGTGGTCTCGATCTCCTGACCGCATGATCTGCCCAACTCGACCTCCCAAAGTGCTGGGATTACAGGCGTGAGCCACTGCGCCCGACCCAACTAGTTCCAGTTTCTTAAGCCCAAAATCTAGTTGATGTCCTGGTACCTCTCTATAGTACCTAACCATATCCAATCCATCAGCAAATCCTGCTTCTTAGTCATTCATTTTCTAAAGTGTTAATTCTTACCAGGCTAGTCATTTATTTCTTTTTCATACCCATGTGGTAGGTCATTTTTGTTTCTTACTTTATTGTTAATTTCTAGTTTTATTGCATAATTATCAGAGAATGCTGTGTATGTATGTGTGTGCACATATACATATATGTGCACATATACATATATGCACATATATACATATATGCACAAATATGCATATATATACATACACATATAAAATTTGGAATTTACTGATGTTTTATTTGAGGCCTATTCATTAATCAGTTTCATAATTGGTTCACATGTGATTGAAAATAAGTTTCTTATTCATTATATATTTATATCCTTATGGATTTTTTTGGTCTTTGAACTGTGAGAGTACTCTGAAAATATGGTTAAAGTTCTGTGTTTTCAGTGTGTTTATTGTATTTCTTCTTTTCCTATAGTTTTTGCTTTATGCAAGTTGATGCTTTGTTACTAAGTGCATAACTCTTAATAACTATTCCATCTTCATCATAAATTTTAGCCTTTAGAAGTGTAAAGTGCCTCTCTTCTGTCTTATTTAATGTTCTTTGATCTGAATTCTATTTTTGTCTAATATAAAAATTATGACCTCCACTTTCTTTTTCCTTAAATGTTTCTGGTACAGTTTTTAGCATCCTTTTGTATTTAACCTTTCTGAATCATTCATTTTAGATACGTTTCAGGAGTAATATAAAGCATTGGGTTTTGCTTAGTCTGCAAATCTTGTTATTTAATATCTGAGATAATATAATGTATGTTTATTTATACAATAAAAATCTTTCACTGTGTGTTTGTTTTCCTTGCTCTTCTGTCAGGAGGGGTATTTGTATGTGATCTGTGTGTGTGTGGTGTGTGTGTGTGTGTGTGTGTGTGTGTAGAAAGTAGAAAGTGTTGTAATTTTACAAGAAAGTGAAAGATCTCTGCAAGAAGAACTACAGAACACTGCTAAAAGAAATCATAGATGACACAAAATAATAAAAAAATCATTCCATGCTCATAGATTGGAAGAATCAATACCCTTAAAATGGCCATGCTGCCTAAAGCAATCTACAGATTCACTACTCTTTCTCTCAAATACCAATGTCATTTTTCAAAGAATTAGAAAGAAAAACTATTCTAAAATTTATACAGAACCAAAAAAGAGCTTGAATAGCCAAAGCAATTCTAAGCAAAAAAGAACAAAGCCAGAAGCATCATATTACCTGACTTCAAACTATACTACAAGGCTACAATAACCAAAACATCATGGTACTAATATAAAAACAGACATATAGATCAATGGGACAGAATGGAAAACCCAGAAATAAAGCCACACATTTACAACAACTGATCTTTGACAAAGTTGATAAAAATAAATAATGGGTAAAAAAAATACCGTATTCAGTAAATTGTGCTGAGATATTTGGCTATCCATATCCAGAAGAATGGAACTAAACTGCTACCTGTGACCATATACAAAAAATTAACTCAAGGTGAATAAAAACTTAAATGTAAGATTTAAAACTATAAAAATCCTAGAAGAAAACCTAGGAAATACCCTTCTGGACATTGGCCTTGGCAAATAATTTATGATTAAGTCCTCAAAAGTAATTGCAACAAAAACAAAAATTAAAGGGGAACCTAATTAAACTAAAGAGCTTCTGCACAGCAAAAGAATCTATTAACAGAGTAAACAGGCAAACTATAGAATGACAAAAAATATTTGCAAACTATGCATCTGACAAAGATCTACTATCCAGAATCTATGAGAAACTTAAACAAATCAACAAACAAAAGCAACCCCATTAAAATTGGCAAAAGTCATGAATGGATACTTTTCACAAGAAGTTATACAGGCAGCAAACACATATGAAAAAATGCCGAGCATCACTAATCATCAGAGAAATGCAAATCAAAACCACAATGAGACATCATCTCACACCAGTCAGAATGGCTATTATTAAAAAGTCAAAAAATAACAGATGTTGGCAAGGCCATAAAGAAAAGGGAATGCTTATACACTGCTGGTGGGAATGCAAATTAGTTCAGCCACTGTGGAAAGCAATCTGGAGATTTCTCAAAGAACTTAAATCTGAGGACCATTTGACTCAGCAATCCTATTACTGGGTATATACTCAAAGGAAAATAAATCGTTCTACCAAAAAGACACATGCACTCATATGTTCATTGCAGCATCACTCACAATAGCAGAGACATGGAATTAACCTAGGTGCCATCAACAGTGGATTGGATAAAGAAAAGTGGTAGAAATACACCATGAAATACTATGCAGCCATAAACAGGAATAAAATTATGTCCTCTGCAGCAACATGGATGCAGCTGGAGGTTATCCTAAGCAAATTAATGCAAGAACAGAAAACCAAATACCACGTGTTCTCACATATATTTTTGTTTTTGTTTTTACTGTTCTCACATATAAATTGGAGCTAAACATTGGGTACACATGGATATACAAATGAGAGCAATAGACATTGGCAACTGCAAGCGGGGGAGAGAAGGGCCAAAGGTTAAAACTCCTTTCAGAACTCTTTGATGAAGTCCTGTGATCACTACCTGGGTGAGGGGTTCAACTGTAATCCAAACCTCAGCGTCACACAATATACTCGTGTAACAAACTGCATATGTACTCCTTGAATCTAAAATAAAAGTTCAACTAAAAAAGAAAATGTAATTTTATTCTAATTGTTACTAACACCTTTACAGAATATACTTTGTCCTCTTTCTTTAGATAAACTCACAGATTCCCATTTCCCCATTATGACCAGTAGTGAAATTACTGTAATTTTTTTCTCCCTTCCTTCCTTCTCCCTCACTATACTGTTTTAGTCACCTAGTATTGCCTTAGTGTTATCAAGAGTGCTTTTAAACATATTTAACTTCTATAACTAGGTGTTGAGTTTCAAAGGCTTTTCTTTTACTCCCAGCTAATACACATAACACAATCAATAAGTTCTTACATTTCACTTAACCTTCCCCTCACGTCCTACATTTTTGCTAATTTTATTATCTCTATATTGTTAGAGCACAAAATGTTTACCTATTTTTGTTACCAGATACCTGTGTTTTAGTTGAGTTCCATAGTTAAATTTATTAAATGATCACTCCCAGACTTTATATTGAAGCTTCTCCAGTCACATGAGTTTGTCTAATGCTCATTCTCTAACAGATTCTTCAGGAAAGGTTCATTAGATCAGTCTTCACAGGATCTTTCCATATTCATAAGTATTTGTATGGGGCCTTTATAATTAAAGGATATTTTTAATGACAATAAAAATTCTGTTTCATATTTTTCAATAAATACCTTAAACATGTTTTTTTCATTGTTTTGTATTTTTGAAATTTCTATTAAAAAAAGACTGTCAGGATATCATCCAAATATCATTTCCTTTTCTTTTTAAATAGCATAGCTCTTTGCCTCGATTCTCAGTTCTTTTCTTAAAACCGTTTAGTTTTACTAGGGTACATCTCTCTGTTCTGTGTTTGGGGTTGTGTTTCCAAGATGTATGATGTGCCCTTTGAATATAAAATTTCAATTCTTTTATTTTAGGGAAAAATTGAGTTTTCTTAAGATTTATTCTCTTCCACAGCTCTGCTTCAGTATCACCAATTATATGAATATTTGATCTTCTTTCCTTTTTTTTTTATTATACTTTAAGTTCTGGGATACATGTGCAGAATGTGCAGGATGGTCACATAGGTATACACTTGCCATGGCAGTTTGCTACACCCATCAACCCGCCATCTACATTAGGTATTTCTCCCTAATGCTATCCCTCCGCTAGCCCCTCACCCCTGACAGACCCCCATGTGTGATGTGCCCCTCCCTGTGTCCGTGTGTTCTCATTATTCAACTCCCACTTATGAGTGAGGACATGCGGTGTTTGGTTTTCTCTTCTTGTATTAGTTTGCAGAGAATGTTGACTTCCAGCTTCATCCATGTCCCTGCAAAGGACATGAACTCATTCTTTTTTATGGCTTCATAGTATTCCATGGTGTATATGTGCCACATTTTCTTTAACCAGTCTATCATTGATAGGCATTTTGGTTGGTTCCAAGTCTTTGCTATTGGGAACAGTGCTGCAATAAACATAAATGTGCATGTGTCTTTATAGTAGAGTGATTTATATGTCTTTGGGCATATACCCAGTAATGGGATTGCTGGGTCAAATGGTATTTCTGGTTCTAGACCCTCGAGGAATTGCCACACTGTCTTCCCCAATGGTTGAAACTAATAGACTTTTTTTATGCATAACTTGCCCTCAAATCCATTTTATTTCTTCTGAAAAAAATTCCCTTTATCCTTTACTTCCCAATTTTCACCTTTTTCCTTTATTTCCCATGTTGCCCTTATGTTTTCCATGATGTCTATCTTATATACCTTCTTATTTGTGTTTTATTTCAGAATTTCATTCCTTTTCTGTGTATGTCAGTCCCTCATTTCATATTTGTTGCCTAACTGTATCATTTCATTTGTATTGCCTAATCATATTATTTCTAAGTTGTTCTGGTTCTGATATGTGCCCTTCTTTCAAAGCCACATTTTTAAAATGTCTTTTGAATCATTAGGAATATGGTTACATGTTTTGTCTGCTTTGTGGTCCTGTTTCTGGTATGCTTTCATTATCTATCAGAATGTCATCTGGTATGTTTATATCTACTTTTCTTTTTGTGATTCTGTACAGGGTCTTATCATATTCCTTCTTGGTTTCCATGTTTCAACAACTAGATTTTTCTGTGAGAGAAAGGGGATGGGCCGTGGTGGTTTCACAACTTCATAGCTCAAGAGCTTCTTAACTACTACCGAAAGGACTGGAACATGGTCTCACTGCCTTGCCAGCCTTCTCTCTCTCTCTCTCTCTCTCAGAGCTGGATCTGGGTCAAGAATGTTTTCTGTGTTTGGAGTCCTATGTTTTCTAGAGCTCCAATGGCCTTGCCGTCCTGGGAAATGCTCTCATCTTTAGATAGAATGATTTTCTTGCTCAGTATTTACCAGGATCTCTTTCTTTTAGGCGTCTCTCTCCCTTAATCGCATCATTGTCTTGCTCCATTTTGATTCTGTATCCATGAGGTGAGGTTTAGACCCGTTGGGAGGAAGTTTTTGCCAGATAATTTTGAGAGCAAAGATAAGCCCTTTAGACTATCACAGCACTGACCTGTCTATATCCGTGTGCAGTGTTTTTTTTTTCCCCTTTTCCGCAACTTGGAGCCCATAAAGATATTAAACAATCTTTGCCCATCATTTTGCTGAAAATATAGTCTATAGGATTTTTTCCCTTTGCTGTCCTAGATGATCCACTTGGTTGAAGATGACTGGGGAGGATTTAAAGCTTGCATTATTATGATCCCACTGCTCTAGTGTGATATGTCAAAACTTAAAATAGGTCTTAAATTCCAGTTTAAAAGTTTCCACCATCCTCAAGATGGAACCCACATTCTGTACTGCAATTTACAAACTTTTACTCAATCAGGCTGCTACTAACCTCTGTGACCTATTTCAGATCGTTCTCTCCCATTCCCTACACTCCAGAGCCACTAGCCTTCTTTCTGCTCCTCAAACACAGAAACTCATTCCTTGTTAATATCTGTCCTTGGAGCGACATCCTCTTCTCAGAGCAATCTGCCCTGCCTTGCAATCTAAAGCAGTCATGCAATCACCCTCTCTTATTATACTAGCTTAATTATCTTCGTATTGTATATCACAATCTGATCCTTTTCTTCTTTATACATCTGTTCATGTTCAGTCTCCTCCATTAAAATGTATGTTCTATGAGAGCAAGGACTTTGTCTGGTTCATTGCTCCACCCCTCATGCCTAGAACAGTACCTGGCACACTGGCAGTCAGGAAATATTTATGGAGTGAAAGAAGGAAGAATGAGAGGAACAGGGGAAAACAAAGGCAGAGTTATATAAAGATGATTTTGCTTTGAATTCAGAAAAATATGAACTTCTATTGCACTTCAGTCATCTATTAGCATAATAACCTTGTAAATCTCTAAAAGAGTCATTTCCCTAAAACATAAAATAGAGGGCAAATGACATCATTTTACACTATTTGGGTGCACATTAAATAAGATGATATACACAAAAGCATCTAGCAGAGGAATTAATATAAAGAGGTTTTCTTTCTTTTCTTTTTCTCTCACTCTCTCATCCTTCCTTCCTTCCCCAGTGTATCCTCCTGTTACTTATACAAAGACAAAGTTAACTGAGAAATGCACATCTTAATGACTTTTTCAAATATGAATTTTTTTCTTCAAGAAGATCTCAGGCTAAATCTTCGGACACAATGAATTCCTTTTGCTGAATCAGGCGCGTACAATTCTTTTTTTTTTTTTTTTTTTTTTTTTTTTTGAGACGGAGTCTCACTCTGTTGCCCAGGCTGGAATGCAGTGGCACAGTCTCGGCTCACTGCAACCTCCGCCTCCCATGTTCGAGCGATTCTCCTGCCTCAGCCTCCCGAGTAGCTGGGATTACAGGCGCTTACCACCACGCCTGGCTAATTTTTATATTTTTAGTAGAGACGGGGTTTCACCATGCTGGTCAAGCTGGCCTCGATCTCCTGACCTCGTGATCCACCTGCCTCGGCCTCCCAAAGTGCTGGGATTACAGACGGTACAATATTTTTGACTCTGCATTGGATCATGTGCCTCACGTCTATATTTGACATTGCTTCTGCCTTCTGTAATTTATAACTACACTTAGATAGATTTGATCTGGTTGTCATTTCAATCCTGGATAGTTCAACTAGTATATGAAAAGGTTCATTTGACTCTTTGCTATCTTACAAGACAAGTAGAGAAAAAAAAATTGCAGAGAGGAAAAGGCTTTCTTCTGAATCCCTTCTTCCTTTTGACTTAGAAGCCTTTGCATACTAGTTTAATTAATTGCAAATACCCCCAAACATGTCATCATTCATACATTCTTTGATCTAAAGAGTCATTCCTTCCTGGGCAGTAGTAGCACATCTGATAATGTCTTACTAGAAAAGGCTGAGAACCATAAGTGCTATTAGAGAAAATGTTGCTCATGCCATTGCTGTGGTGGTTTGAGGAATAAAGACATAAAGTAAAAATTATTAGAAGATCAGATTGGCATTTCAGAACTAAATTTTCTCCGACACCCCCATTTGCAACTTTAAAAACAGAACTGAAATATTTTGGTAACAATCTTGTGTCCTATTTTTATTTATGTTGCTGTTCTTTCCTCTAGTGTTTTGAGCTGAAAATTTAATTTATTTATTTGTCTTCTCTCATTTTTATTGAAAAATGTGTTTAGAGCAAGGAATTTTCATAAATCTGTCATTTCAGTTTGTGTTTTCCCTTTCATCCAGGAGATTTGTTTGTTTGTTTGTTTGTTTTTGAGGCAGAGTCTCACTCTGTCCCCCAGGTTGGAATGCAGTGGCCTGATCTCAGCTCACTGCAACCTCTACCTCCTGGGTTCAAGCAATTCTCATGGCTCAGCCTCCTGAGTAGCTAGGATTACAGGCATGTGCCACCACATCCGCCTAATTTTTGTATTTGTTTTAGTAGAGACAGGGTTTCACCATGTTAGCCAGTCTGATCTCGAACTCCTGGTCTTGGCCTCCTAAAGTGCTGGAATTACAGGTGTGAGCCACCATGCCTGGTCTACATCCAGGAGCTTTTAATAGAATTTTTTTTTTTAAGTTCTGGGATACATGTGCAGGTTTGTTACATAGGTATACACTTGCCATGGTGGTTTGCTGCACTCATCAACCCATCATCGACATTAGGTATTTCTCGTAATGCTATCTCCCTCCCCTAACCCCCCACCCCTCGACAGGCCCTGGTGTGTGATGTTCCTCTACCTGTGTCCATGTGTTCTCATTGTTCAGCTTCCACTTACGAGTAAGAATATGCGGTATTTGGTTTTATTTTTTTATTTTTTTTATTTATTTGAGACAAAGTTTCGCTCTTGTTGCCCAGGTTGGACTGCAATGGCAAGATCTCAGCTCACTGCAACCTCGGTCTCCCAGGTTCAAGTGATTCTCCTGCCTCAGCCTCCCAAGTAGCTGGGATTATAGGCATGCACCACCATGCCCGGATAATTTTTTTATTTTTGGTAGAGACGAGGTTTCTCCATGTTGGTCAGGCTGGTCTCAAACTCCTGACCTCAGATGATCCACCTGCCTCAGCTTCCCAAAGTGTTGGGATTACAGGCATGAGCCACGGCACCCGGCCGGTGTTTGGTTTTCTGTTCCTGTGTTAGTTTGCTGAGAATGATGGTTTCCAGCTTCATCCATGTCCCTGCAAAGGACATGAACTCATCCTTTTTTTATGGCTGCATAGTATTCCATGGTACATATGTGCTGCATTTTCTTTATCCAGTCTATGATTGATGGGCATTTGGGTTGGTTCCAAGTTTTTGCTATTGTGAACAGTGCTGCAATAAACATTGAGTGTGATGATTCCTCAAGGATCCAGAACCAAAAATACCATTTGACCCAGCAATCCCATTACTGGATATATACCCAAAGGATTATAAATCATTCTACTATAATAGGAATTGTTTTAAGGTCTAGATAGAAGAGACTTTCCTTTTGTTGCTACTTTTGTTTTTGTAGCAAATTATAGTTTTGTTGCCTTGTGACCAGAAGGTGTGCCTTACAATATTTCTGGTTTTTAAGAGTTACTGACATGTTCTTCATTTCCTAACACGTGATCCATGTCATGTGCACCTGAGAAGAATACATATACTCTATTATCATGTTGTACGGTTTGATGTACATCCACAAGATCTGCTCAATCGATTATGTTGTTTAAATTGTCTATCTCATTTTTTTGTCAACTTTATCTATCTTATACTGTGAGAGGTATATTAAAGTCTCCTATTATTAGTGTATTTCTAAGTAAGTCTCCTTGTCCTCCCTGTAGTTTTGTTTCATAAAGATGATTGCTATTTTATTTGTGCATATAGATAGCCACAGGTATTTTATCTTCACTGTGAACTGTAGCCTTTAGTGTTAGAAAAAAAAAAACACCTTCTTTGTCACATCTAATGTCTTTGGGATTTAATTATTTTTCTGACATTAGGATTGCTAACCTGCTCTTTTTGTTTCCATTTGCCTGGTATAAATGAGTCTGTTTCTTTATTTTTAGCTTTTCTGAATTACTTTGTGTCTCTTGAATACACCACAGAGTTGGGGTACATTTTGTGAACTAAATTGAGCATCTTATTCTTGTAATAGATAAGTTGATTTATTATGACCAATATGTGTCATCTTCACTATCAAAATATTTTATGATTATATGTATTTTATTTTGTATGCTTCTCTCTATATGTGTATTCTTTATAGACATGTGAATATAGATAGATGATGTAAATATATACTTTCCATATATTTCCTTTTTAATATAAATATTGTATATTTATGTGCTTATGTATTTTAGATATATATTCCAGTTTTTGGCATTTAGGAATATTTGTAATTTTGTTTTATTAACTAGTTTTGCATTTATAGTTTTTTACATGTCCTAATCCCCCCCTTATTTTTCTTATTTAACCTTTACTATTTGATATATCACGGTTTTTTTGTTTTGGTGTTTGGAATCTGTAAATACCACCGATTAACATATAACAATAACTTCATCTATTTCTTAGTTCCCTCTCCCTTCTATTTTTATTTATTATTTATTTATTTATTTATTTATTATTTTTTGAGACGGAGTCTTTCTCTGTCGCCTAGGCTGAAGTGCAGTGGCACGATCTCGGCTCACTGCAGGCTCTGCCCCCAGGTTAACACCATTCTCCTGCCTCAGCCTCCTGAGTAGCTGGGACTACAGGCACCCGTCACCATGCCCGGCTAATTTTTTTGTATTTTTAGTAGAGAAGGGGTTTCACCGTGTTAGCCAGGATGGTCTCGATCATCTGACCTCGTGATCTGCCCGCCTCGGCCTCCCAAAGTGCTGGGACTACAGGCATGAGCCACCGCGCCCGGCTCCCTCTCCCTTCTATTTTTAATGAATGCTTTATTTCTACTTTGTCATAATATATAACATTTGGATATTGTTTTTCTATACTTATTCCAAACTTTATTTTATTTATATATTTTATAATGCTTTATCTTATTTATATATTTTATAATGCTCACTGATATATAAACATGTATATACTTTATATATTATATATATTATAATATATATATATATATTTTATAATGCTCATATCAATGCTTTGTCTGAATTTTCCCCAGTCATCACTCTGTTGGATGAAGCTCATCTCTCCAGTAGATTAGGAAGGTCTACTTAGGAAGGAATGATTGTCTCAGTATTTCCTAAATTCTTGTATGTTAAAAACTATATATTGGTTGATGCGTGAAGGACAGTTTGGCTGTACATAAAATCCCCGGTTCACATTTTCTTTCACTGAGTTTTCTGAAAGTGCTGCTCCATTGTCTCCTTGCTTTACAAGTGGATGTTAAAAGGAATTAGTCTAATTCCTTTGTCTTTGTAAATTATCCATTTCCCGGAGGAAATGGATATTGAGGAAATTATCTGTATTTTTGGTAATTTGTCTAGAAGATGTCCAGAAGTTGGTCATTCAGCTTTAATCTTCTCAGGTACACAAGGAACCATTTCACTGTGTATGGAAAGTTTTTGTGAATAATAACTTCAGTTACTAGATAACTTCTCTTCCATTATTTTTCTTCTTTATGTATTCTGATAATATGAATATTACTGCTTCTCTAGCAGTTGTCCATTTCTATGACTTTCTCTTTGACTTTTTTCTAAAACTCTCTTCTCTATGTTATGTCTTTTTCCTTGATTGCCTTTCACCTTTCTTCAATACCTTTTATTAAATTTTCCTTTATGATATATAGAGAGAGTGACATGTCTCACTATGTTGCCCAGGCTGATCTTGAAACTTTAGGCTCAAGCAATCCACGTTCCTAGGCCTCTCAAAGTGCTAAGATTCAAGTCATGAGCCACCACACCTGGCCATTCAAATCTATTATCTCTTGGCTACTTGCAATTTATTTCTTCATTTCTCAGAAAATTGTCTTTTTCTTCCACTTCTTTCCTGAGTTAGTCAACTCTTTTATATTTCTCTCTTCTTCTTTGTCCATTTCTGCTTTTAGATTTAATCTTTCTTTCTTTCTTTTTTTTTTTTTTTTTTTGAGATGGAGTCTTGCTCTATCACCCAGGTGGAGTACAGTGATGCGATCTCGGCTCACTGCAACCTCTGCCTCCCGGGTTCAAGCAATTCTCCTGCCTCAGCCTCCCAAGTAGCTGGGATTACAGGTGTGCACAACCAAGCCCAGCCAGTTTTTGTACTTTTTTTTTTTTTTCAGTAGAGATAGGATTTCACCATGTTGGTCAGGCTGGTCTTGAACTCCTGACCTCACCTACCTCAGCCTCCCGAAGTCCTGGGATTAAAGGCATGAGCCACTGCACCCAGCCTAGAATTTCTGATTCAAGGTGATCTTTTATTTTCACTAATGACTCATTATATTTGATTCTATTTGATCATCAACTTAGAGTTACAGTCTGTTTTATGATTATTATTTTGCTTGTATTTTCATTACTTGATATGTGTAAAATTTTGCTTCCTGATTTTTTTTGCATTAGTTCTCCATGTGCTTTCATGTCTGATATAAATTTATAGTTTTCTTCTATTTCTTTCCTGAGCTCAATTAACTTCCCTTTTATTTATTCTTGTTGTCTTTCCATTCCTGTTCTTAGTTCTTGTTTTTCTGAGTCTAAGTAATTTTTCCCATACACAAACTTTTTTGTGCAGTTTGGAGTGTTATACCTTTTTGTCAGCTTCATGAATGCTTTTATGAAAAGGCTTTTAATCAGCAGAGACTTCTATTTACTGATTTTTTGTAGTAGTTTTACATGAGTGCAGTCTGATTTTTTTTCTATTCCTACTCATATTTTTGACAGTGTGGAATGTTTAAAATCACATTATTCTGTCACTTATGCTCCCCTCTGTGTAGTTTCTTTAATGGATGGAAGGGACAGTGAGCAGAAGACCAGTCAGGTGTCTTGTTTTGCTTTCATTTTCTCAAGTTCCTTAATTTTCACCTCTTGTTTCATTCGTTCCTTTCACTGTATTGTCTCTCAAACATACTACACCTTCGCCACGTATCTAGTTCTTCCTCAGAAGCAATGCTTCTCTGAGGCTTCTCTTCTTCAATCCCACACCAAAGAGCCCAGGGAGTGGATGATAAGGGAAAGAATCACCAAAGGTCTGTGGCTAGGATTAGCATGTAAAAAGTCTGTGGATAATGCTGTGCCAGTAGTGTTAGCAGAAGACACATTATGTTAGAGGCTTCTCAGAGATGATCACAGGAATTGATAAAAAGGAAATTGTTGGAAATTGATACTAGAACTTTGCAACATGCCTAACGCTATTCTGCTATACATGAAAGCTACTACCCAACACATTCATATGCTGCACTGCGTTTGCCTAGGATTTGAGATCATGTTTTTCTTTAACATCTCATATTCTAAAACAGTTTGTTTGATGTCTTTGCTCTATAAGCATGTAATATGGGTTAAATGTATCCCAATGAATAGAAATCTGAATAGTTCCAGCTCCACCAAACATGCAGGTATGGGTAATTCAAAATTAGATGCAGTAAAGAATCCCAAATATATTATTATTTCTATATTGCTATTTAGAAAAATTCACCTTTTCTTTAACTTAGAATAAAAAAAAGAGCTACTATGGGACTTGAAAAAGTGAAATATTGAATTGTGAGAGTCATTCCTTTTTTTCTTTTTCTTTTTTTTTTTTTTTTTGAGACAGAGTCTTGCTCTGTCACCCAGGCTGGAGTGCAGTGGCATGAACTCAGCTCACCGTAACCTCCGCCTCCCAGGTTCAAGTGATTCTCCTGCCTCAGCCTCCTGAGTAGCTAGGACTACAGACATGCACCACCACCCCTGGTTAATTTTTTGTATTTTTAGTAGAGATGGGATTTCACCATGTTGGCCAGGCTGGTCTTGAACTCCTGACCTCAAGCGGTCCACCTGCCTCGGCCTCCCAAAGTGCTGGGATTATAGGCATGAGCCACCATGCCCGGCTGAGTCATTCTTTCATTAATAAATATTCTTGAGTTTTGCACAGCAGGCATTGTATCAAGAACTGCATGAACAGTGGTGAATATAGCAAACACAGCAGAAAACAGAGGTATCTGGCTTAGGAAACATTGCTATTGAAGCTGTGCATTAATTTTCTTTTTTTTTCTTTTTTTTTTAATTATGCTTTTAAGTCCTAGGGTATATGTGCACAAAGTGCAGGTTTGTTGCATAGGTATACATGTGCCATGTTGGTTTGCTGCACCCATTAACTCATCATTTACATTAGGTACTTCTCCTAATGCTATCCCTTCCCCTGCCCTCCCACAACCCAATGACAGGCCCCAGGGTGTGATGTTCCCCGCTCTGTGTCCAAGTGTTCTCATTGTTCAATTCTCACCTATGAGTGAGAACATGCGGTGTTTGGTTTTCTGTCCTTGTGATAGTTTGCTCAGAATGTGGTTTCCAGCGCATCCATGTCCCTGCAAAGGACATGAACTCATCCTTTTTTATGGCTGCATAGTATTCCATGATGTATATGTTCCATGTTTTCTTAATACAGTCTATCATTGATGGACATTTGGGTTGGTTCCAAGTCTCTGCTATTGTGAATAGTGCTGCAATAAACATACATGTGCATGTGTCTTTATAGTAGCATGATTTATAATCCTTTGGGTATATACCAGTAATAAGATTGCTGGGTCAAATAGTATTTCTAGTTCTAGATCCTTGAGGAATCGCCACACTGTGTTCCACAATGGTTGAACTAATGTACACTCCCACCAACAGTGTAAAAGTGTTCCTATTTCTCCACATCCTCTCCAGCATCTGTTTCCTGACTTTTTAATTATCACCATTCTAACTGGTGTGAGATGGTATCTCATTGTGGTTTTGATTTACATTTCTCTGATGATCAGTGATGATGAGCATTTTTTCTTGTGTCTATTGGCTGCATAAATGTCTTCTTTTGAGAAGTGTCTGTTGGTTTCCTTTGCCCATTTTTGGGGGGGTTGTTTTTTTTCTTGTAAATTTGTTTGAGTTCTTTGTAGATTCTAGATATTAGCCCTTTGTCACATGGGTAGATTGCAAAAACTTTCTCCCATTCTGTAGGTTGCCTGTTCACTCTGATGGTAGTTTCTTTTGTTGTGCAGAAGCTCTTTAGTTTAATTAGATCCCATTTGTCTATTTTGCCTTTTGTTGCCATTGCTTTTGGTGTTATAGTCATAAAGTCTTTGCCCATGCCTGTGTCCTGAAAGGTATTGCCTAGGTTTTCTTCTAGGGTTTTTATGGCTTTAGGTCTAACATTTAAGTCTTAATCCATCTTGAATTAATTTTTGTATAAGGTGTAAGGAAGGGATCCAGTTTCAGCTTTCTACATATGGCTAGCCAGTTTTCCCAGCACCATTTATTAAATAGAGAATCCTTTCCCCATTGCTTGTTTTTGTCAGGTTTGTCAAAGATCAGATGGTTGTAGATGTGTGGTGTTATTTCTGAGGCCTCTGTTCTGTTCCATTGGTCTATATCTCTGTTTTGGTACCAGTACCATGCTGTTTTGATTACTGTAGCCTTGTAGTATAGTTTGAAGTCGGGTAGCGTGATGCCTCCAGCTTTGTTCTTTTTGCTTAGGATTGTCTTGGATATGGGGGCTCTTTTTTGGTTCCATATGAAATTTAAAGTAGTTTTTTCCAATTCTGTGAAGAAAGTCATTGGTAGCTTGATGGGGATGGCATTGAATCCATAAATTACCTTGGGCAGTATGGCCATTTCACAATATTGATTCTTCCAATCCATGAGAACGGAATGTTCTTCCATTTGTTTGTGTCCTCTTTTTTTTCATTAGGCAGTGGTTTGTAGTTCTCCTTGAAGAGGTCCTTCACATCCCTTGTAAGTTGGATTCCTAGGTATTTTATTCTCTTTGAAGCAATTGTGAATGGGAATTCACTCATGATTTGGCTTTCTGGTTGTCTGTTATTGGTGTATAGGAATGCTTGTGATTTTTGTGCATTGATTTTGTATCCTGAGACTTTGCTGAAGTTGCTTATCAGCTTAAGGAGATTTTGGGCTGAGACGATATACAATCATGTCATCTGCAAACAGGGACAATTTGACTTCCTCATTTCCTCATTGAATACCCTTTATTTCTTTCTCTTGCCCAATTGCCCTGGCCAGAATTTACAACACTATGTTGAATAGGAGTGGTGAGAGGGCATCCCTGTCTTGTGCCAGTTTTCAAAGGGAATGCTTCCAGTTTTTGCCCATTCAGTATTGGTTGTGGGTTTGTCATAAATAGCTCTTATTATTTTGAGATATGTTCCATCAGTACCTATTTTATTGAGAGTTTTTAGCATGAAGTGTTGTTGAATTTTGTCAAAGGCCTTTTCTGCATGTATTGAGATAATCATGTGGTTTTTGTTGTTGGTTCTGTTTATATACTGGATTACGTTTATTGATTTACGTGTTTTGAACCAGCCTTGCATCCCAGGGATGAAGCCCACTTGATCATGGTGGATAAGCTTTTTGATGTGCTGCTGGATTCGGTTTGCCAGGATTTTATTGAGGATTTTTGCATCAATGTTCATCAGGGATATTGGTCTAAAATTCTCTTTTTTTGTTGTGTCTCTGCCAGGCTTTGGTGTCAGGATGATGCTGGCCTCATAAAATGAGTTAGGGAGGATTCCCTCTTTTTCTATTGATTGGAATAGTTTCAGAAGGAATTGTACCAGCTCCTCCTTGTACCTCTGGTAGAATTCGGCTGTGAATCCTTCTGGTCCTGGACTTTTTTTGGTTGGTAAACTATTAATTAAATTATTGCCTCAATTTCAGAGCCTGTTATTGGTCTATTCAGAGATTCAACTTCTTCTTTGTTTAGTCTTGGGAGGGTGTATGTGTTGAGGAATTTATCCATTTCTTCTAGATTTTCTAGTTTATTTGCGTAGAGGAGTTTATAGTATTCTCTGATGGTAGTTTGTATTTCTGTGGGATCCATGGTCATATCCCCTTTATCATTTTTTATTGCGTCTATTTGATTCTTCTCTCTTTTCTTCTTTGTTAGTCTTGCTAATGGTCTGTCCATTTTGTTGATCTTTTCAAAAAACCAGCTCCTGGATTCATTGATTTCTTTAAGGGTTTTTCGTGTCTCTATCTCCTTCAGTTCTGCTCTGATCTTAGTTATTTCTTGCCTTCTGCTAGCTTTTGAATGTGTTTGCTCTTGCTTGTCTAGTTCTTTTAATTGTGATGTTAGTGTGTCGATTTTAGATCTTTCCTGCTATCTCTTGTGGGCATTTAGTGCTATAAATTTTCCTCTACACACTGCTTTAAATGTGTCCCAGAGATTCTGGTACGTTGTGTCTTCATTCTCATTGGTTTCAAAGAACATCTTTATTTCTGCCTTTATTTTGTTATTTACCCAGTAGTCACTCAGGAGCAGGTTGTTCAGTTTCCATGTAGTTGTGTGGTTTTGAGTGAGTTTCTTAATCCTGAGTTCTAATTTGATTACACTGTGGTCTGAGAAACTGTTTGCTGTCATTGCTGTTCTTTTACATTTGCTGAGGAGTGCTTTACTTCCAACTATGTGGTCAATTTTGGAATAAGTGCGATATGGTGATGAGAAGAATGTATATTCTGTTGATTTTGGGTGGAGAGTTCTGTAGATGTCTATTAGGTCAGTTTGGTCCAGAGCTGAGTTCAAGTCCTGGATATCCTCGTTAAACTTCTGTCTCGTTGATCTGTCTGATATTGACAGTGGGGTGTTAAAGTCTCCCATTATTATTGTGCGGGAGTCTAAGTCTCTTTGTAGGTCTCTAAGGACTTGCTTTATGAATCTGGGTGCTCCTGTATTGGGTGCATATATGTTTAGGATAGTTAGCTCTTCTTGTTGAATTGATCCCTTTACCGTTATGCAATGGCCCCCTTTGTCTCTTTTGATCTTTCCTGGTTTAAAGTCTGTTTTATCAGAGACTAGAATTGCCTTTTTTGCTTTCCATTTGCTTGGTAGATCTTCCTCCATCCCTTTCTTTTTAGCCTATGTGTGTCTTTGCACTTGAGTTGGTCTCCTGAATACAGCTCACTGATCGGTCTTGACTCTATCCAATTTGCCAGCCTGTGTCTTTTAATTGGGGCATTTAGCCCATTTACATTTAAGGTTATTATTTTTATGTGTGAATTTGATGCTGTCATTATGATGGTAGTTGGTTATTTTGCCCATTAGTTGATGCAGTTTCTTCCTAGCATCGATGGTCTTTACAATTTGGCATGTTTTTGCAGTGGCTGGTACCGGTTATTCCTTTCCATGTTTAGTGCTTCCTTCAGGAGCTCTTGCAAGGCAGGCCTGGTGGTGACAAAATCTCTCAGCATTTGCTTGTCTGTAAAGGATTTTATTTCTCCTTCACTTATGGAGCTTAGTTTGGCTGGAATGAAATTCTTGGTTGAAAATTATTTTCTTTAAGAATGTTGAATATTGGCCCCCACTCTCTTCTGGCTTGTAGGGTTTCTGCAGAGAAATCCACTGTTAGTCTGATGGGCTTCCCTTTTTGGGTAACCCGACCTTTCTCTCTGGCTGCCTTTAACATTTTTTCCTTCATTTCAACGTTGGTGAACTTGACGATTATGTGTCTTGGGGTTGCTCTTCTCAAGGAGTATCTTTGTGGTGTTCTCTGTATTTCCTGTATTTGAATGTTTGCCTGCCTTGCTAGGTTGGGGAAGTTCTTCTGGATAATACCCTGAAGAGTGTTTTCCAACTTGGTTCCATTCTCCCCGTCACTTTCAGGTACACCAATCAAATGTAGATTTAGTCTTTTCACATAGTCCCATATTCCCATATTTCTTGGAGGCTTTGTTTGTTTTTTTTTCTGTTTTTTCTCTAAACTTCTCTTCTCTCTTTATTTCATTCATTTGATCTTCAATCAGTGATACCCTTTCTTCCATTTGATGGAATTGGCTATTGAAGCTTGTGCATGCGTCACACAGTTCTCGTGCCATGGTTTTCAGCTCCATCAGGTCATTTCAGGTCTTTTCTACACTGTTTATTCTTGTTAGCCATTCATCTCATCTTTTTTCAAGGTTTTTAGCTTCCCTGCGATAGGTTCGAACATCCTCCTTTAGCTCAGAGAAGTTTGTTAAACTTCAGAAGTTTGTCTGAAGCCTACTTCTGTTAGCTTGTCAAAGTCATTCTCCATCCAGCTTTGTTCTGTTGCTGGCGGGGAGCTGTGATCCTTTGGAGGAGTAGAGGTGCTCTGGTTTTTAGAATTTTCAGTTTTTCTGCTCTGGTTTCTCCCCATCTTTGCGGTTTTATCTACCTTTGGTCATTGATGTTGGTGACCTAGAGATAGGGTTTTGATGTGGATGTGCTTTTTGTTGATGTTGATGTTATTCCTTTCTGTTTGTTAGTTTTCCTTCTAACTGTCAGATCCCTCAGCTGCAGGTCTGTTGGAGTTTGCTGCAGGTCTACTCCAGACCCTGTTTGCCTAGGTACCACCAGTGGAGGTTGTAGAACAGCAAATATTGCTGCCTGCTCCTTCCTCTGGAAGCTTTGTCCCAGAGGGGCACCCACCTGTATGAGGTGTCAGTTGGCCCCTACTGGGAGGTGTCTCCCAGTTAGGCTACACGGGGGTCAGGGACCCACCTGAGGAGGCAGTCTTTCCATTCTCTCAGATCAAACACCATGCTGGGAGAACCACTGCTCTCTTCAGAGCTGTTAGACAGGGACTTTCACGTCTGCAGAAGTTTCTGCTGCCTTTTATTCAGCTATGCCCTGCCCCCAGATGTGGAGACTATGGAGGCAGCCAGCCTTACTGAGCTGCGGTGGGCTCCGCCCAGTTTGAGCTTCCCTGGCCACTTTGTTTACCTACTGAAGCCTCAGCAATGGTGGACACCCCTTCCCCTGCCAGGCTGCTGCCTCACAGGTCAATATCAGACTGCTGCACTAGCAGTGAGCAAGGCTCCTTGGGCATGGGATCCGCCGAGCCATGTGCAGGATATAATCTCCTGGTGTGCCATTTGCTAAGACCATTGGAAAAGCACAGTATTTGGGTGGGAGTGTCCCATATTTCCAGGTACCATCTGTCACAGCTTCCCTTGGCTAGGAAAGGGAAATACCCCAACCCCTTGCACTTCCCAGGTGAGGCGATGCCCCGCCCTGCTTCGGCTTGCCTTCTGTGGGCTGCACCCACTGTCCAACCAGTCCCAGTGAGATGAACCAGGTACCTCAGTTGGAAATGCAGAAATCACCCATCTTCTGCATCGTTCACACTGGGAGCTGCAGACTAGCGCTGTTCCTCTTCAGCCATCTTGGAACAGAATCCCCGAAGCTGTGCATTAATTTTCAAATTTATAACACAAACATGATACTACAGAACTCTTCATCTTCCCTATTCTGATTCTTAATGGCTGTCAAGGAAGTTTCCTTAATGCCCTTTAGGACTCGTAAATACTGCTCTTAAAAAGGACTGCAATAGTCCACAGATGAACCACAACCCTCGTGTGCATTCTTTCCCACAAACTACCATTTGTAGTTCTTCAATTTTGTTCATATGCTGAGAGGATCTAAAACCACACTTAGATTGCAGTCCCTATGTGCACCTCTGTATTCTACCTTTGGTCCCACCACTTTTTTTTCCTTTGTGCCATCATTTATTCTCTTCAAATCACAGTGCTGTCTTCTCAGAAAAACGGGTTTGGACCATGGCATCTCTCATGCTCCTTCTAGGGCATTTACCCCTGGGCAAAGTGCCCTGACTCCTTCCTGGGAGCATCACACTTTGTGTAGCCTGAGCCCTCAACCATCATCATTATATTCCTCACCGGGGCAGAATAGCTTGGCAAAGGGAAATGTTTCATCTAAGATTGCACAATGCTCGTTCAGTAACTTGGCAGTGTCTCAACATGGAAGGTTCCCAGGCATCTTAAGAGAGCATTTCTCTCAGCTCAAATATTTGAGATTTCTGGTGTTATCTCTTTCTGATTGTTTCTTCCCTTAGAGTCATTTTCTTCTGTGCTGCTTTCCCTCTGTCCATCAAGAGTAAGAGAAATACAAGAGACAGTTCTGTCTTCCCGCAGTGTCCCTGGCTGAGTAGCACCTCCCTCCAGCAGGGGGTGCCTCTGTGTAATTTTTGTAACACCTGATGACTGATGTACAATTGTTCATGTTATCGTTGCTTCTGGAAGGCATAAGAAAAAAGTTCCTTTCTAGAGCATTGGTTTCCTCCCTAGGTTTTCTTCTGCTCTCAATCACAAGACCCAGTCATCCTTGGAAGTAAAACAGATAAAATTCCTGCATTACAGAACATTTTAAATGGGTATATATTAGGAGTCATTTTCTTTCATTTTAGGGCTGATATTTCTAAAGAAATCACTGGTTTTTCTAATAATCATTCCCATTCCATTGCTTTTTGCCACCAGGCACATAAAGCCTTGACAATACAGGTGTGTTTTAATATAACTTATAAATAATAAATAGAGACTCCCAAATCTCTGTCCAATTCTATTAATAAAACATATGACTAGTTCTCAGAAAGTTGCACATTTAATGAGGGGTCCACACACTTTATTCTCAAAAGTCTTTTTTCTAGATTTGAACAACCATTCTTCTCCTGCAATTTTGGTGAGCAGGAAATTACAGCCAAACCTCTCTGTCTTCATCCATTTGTGCTTCTAAGAAAAAACACCACAGACTAAGTAATTTATAAGAATAAAAATTTATTCTTAATGGCTCTGGAGTCTGAGAATTCCAAGATCAGGGTGCCAGTAGGACGGGTGTCTGATTAGGGCTGCCCTCTGTTTCCAACATGGTGCTTTGTTGCTGATCCTCCAGAGAGGACCAACACTGTGTCGTCACGTGGCAGAGAGGGCAGAATGGCCAAAGAGTTTCCTTTAAACTCAACCCCTTTTGTAATGGGGTGAAGCCCTCATGACTTAATCACCACCTGAGGCCACCTCTTAATACTGTTGCATTGAGATTCAGTTTCAATGTGCATTTTGGAGGGGATACCATCATTCAAATCATAGCACTCCCATTCTGCTGATGATATATTTAAAAGCATTTTGCTGTTTGGGGAGTAAGGCACTATTTCTGAGGACTCCTAGGAGTCTTTATGTTCTAATGGAGGGTTTAGGTCTCCTTCTAGCCAGATTCTATCCATTGTAAAATCATCAATACAGCAGAACACCCAAATGCAGATAAAAGCATCATCATTCATGAAGACCCAGTAGCTCCTAAACATATGGTTTCTTGGGTAATATTCAAATGGAGAACACCCAGGAACATGAAGGATATTTCCTACATTCTTCTCCTAAGTTTAGACCAGACACAGAACTTTGTGCAAACATGAAGAAAAGCTTGAGTATAAACAGACGCAGAGTCCACTTATTCAGTTAGGTGTGCTGAGGATCACAGTCTGTGCTAAAATATCAGGACCCAGCAGAATGGAGAGGGCCAAAAAAAAGAGAGCTCTATGTTATCTTTTTTATATCATGAACCAGCCCTCAGGTAAGCCTGGCCAAATGGATGTCAAAGTCTCATTAACTTCATGCATCAGATAAGTCATTCCTACCTTGGAGAAGAGCAAATGTGGATAGCTCAGTATTTTAGAAGCATCACCTTTAAAATTCTCCATGTTTAAGGGGAAGAGAAAAACACATCTTATAAAGATAAAAAGATTAAATGTTTCCCACTAATATGCTTCTGTGAGTTGCTTAAGGTGAGTACAAAGCATGAACATTGAATGCTCAGAACCATAGGTATAAATTGGAACTTCTTGAAATAAATCAGTTGCAGAGTGGCATCACAGCAAACCTTAAACCAACAGCAAAACACAGAAAAATAATCAAATATTTAGCTCTGCTCTTGAGAATTGTATTAGGGTTCTCTAAAGGGACAGAATTCATAGGATAAATGAATATATTGTGGGGGGAGTTTATTAGGAGAATTGACCACACGGTCACAAGGTGAAGTCCCACAATAGGCTATCTGCAAGCTGAGTTGCTGGGAAGCCAGTCTGAGCCCCAGAAACCTCAAAAGTAAGGAAGCCGATAGTGCAGCCTTCAGGCTGTGACCAAAGACCCAAGAGTCCCTGGCAAACCACTGGTGTAGGTACAAGAGTCCAAAAGCTGAAGAACTTGGAGTCTGATGTTCAAGGGCAGGAAGAATCCAGCACAGGAGAAAGATGCAGGCCACAAGACTCAGTTAGTCTAGTCCTTCCACATTCCTTTGCCTGGTTTTATCATAGCTGTGCTGGCAGCTGATTAGATGGTACCCACGCAGACCAAGTGTGGGTCTGCCTCTCCTAGTCCACTGACTCAAATGTTAGTCTCCTTTGGCAACACCCTCACAGGCACACCCAGGAACAATACTTTGCATCCTTCAATCCAATCAAGTTGACACTTAGGATTAAACATCAAGTTGACACTTAGTGTTAAGGAGTATCCACGGATGGACTACTTGCGTTGTATTGTATGCCCCAGACCCCCCAACCCCTGACCCCCACCATGGGAAGAGGGAACAGACACAGTTCCTATTCCTCTAAACCACATTAAGTTTGGTTCACCTATGGGGCATATTTTGTTTTGTTTTCTTTTAAAATATCCTTTGGACAACTTTATGCTTCCATCTATCACCCTGAATCCTAGGTGAGCAGACAACCCTCAACAGGATCACGCCTCCTCCTCACTTAAATCCCAGGCTAATGTGTGTGTGTGTATATATATATATATATATATATATATATACATATATATATATATATATATACACACACACATATATATATATATATATATGTATCTTGAGTAACTATCTTACTTTATGTCCCTTGAATACCTGTAAATAAATACATCATCTAGAATTAGAAGGACCCAGTTAGACTTCTAAGTCTATGGCTTTGCTAATTCAGAGTGTTTGTCTCTGACTACTGCAAGGGCAATGGCGGAACACTTCTTTTAGATGAATCAGAACTACTTTTTCCTTTTTCTAATTAAGACTCATAGAAGTGTAGACATACATAGGCAGTCACCAACATTAACAGGTTAACCTGAAAAGAAGCCATACCAAGACCCATCTGAAACAGAAAGGAATCCTTTAAATATTTAAAATAAATATTTATATATGTGAATATTTAAAGACCATGTTGCCCCCAAATTAGGAGCAAATGGTGAATTACTAACATACTGACTTTCAATTCTATTGAAGCTACTTTTCCAATGAAATGTTTAAAGGGTACTGTTGGAGTGTTAGAAATAGCTATTCTGATTGGCATGTGTTTGCCCACACGATGGCCTTTCCCATGTGCCAGTATTGGCTGGAGACAGAGGTTGGCTGCAGCAGGCTGGATTCCCCCTCCGCCCTCATTCCAAGCCAAAATAAAATTTATATATATACCCATATACATACATACATATATAAAAATATTTATTTATTTATATTTATGTGTTGTCATGGTAACCAGATTTGGAGGACTCTACAGTGGAGGGCAGAAGGCTAAAACATGCCAAACAAAGAAGAAAATGTATCCATAACAACAAGGGTGATTCCAGAGATAATCATGTGGGGGCTCAAATAAAATCTGATTCAGGTATGAGTGCATTTTCATTTGATCTTATTCCTGCTATTGCCTGCCCCAGGAATTCCTTTACCAGCATCAAGGCTCTGAAAAGCTAAGAAAATTGGTCTTGACTCCCACTTGCTAACCTTTGTCCTGGGGGCCCATAGCTCAGTTGTAAAGCACCTGATTCCTTTATCAAGCAAGTTGTCTGCATCGAAATTCTGAACTAGATTGACCCTGGCTGGAGTCTTCAAGACCTTTCAAACATTTCTACTCAGGACATTTCAAGTATTTGTACAGAAATGAAAACACAGATAATTTGATTCAGAAGTTTGAGCTTTTAAGTCACATGTATGCTAAACATTTCCAAATGGGAAAGTGTAGCTGGTGACTATACTGGCTTATTTGATCCAAAAATGTTTATGAAAAAATAAAGAACTTAAATTTAAAACATCAATAATTATAGGACTCTTCCTCTAGTTTTCCTTGTTAACTGATGGGCTAATTAGCAGAAATGGCCATCCACTGCAGGATAAATCTGTATTTGCTCAGAATACCATGCACGTTTATTTCTGCATCTCCTCTTTCCCCTTGAGTTGCAAGTTTCATTGAGACCCAAGAGAAGAGACCACTGGACAAGTGTTAGCAAAGTCTAGAATTCTATCAATCTACAAATATTTGCTCATCACTTACTATGCATAAGACTGATGCTAGGTAGGCAGCTGGGGATAGAGATGTGAGGAATCTCAATCTTTTCCTATTGTAAGGATGCATCTTATTTACCACCTAAATTTTCCTAAAAAGTACTTACACTTTTGGCTCAAAGATTCTGCAAAAACAGTACAACAGAGACCCTATTCTTCCCCGTTGCAACATTGACCCCAGAGTTTAGGAAATGAGGAAAGAACAAAGAAGGAGGGTCAAGGCTGAAGATAAAATTCCTTATGCTCAATCAACATACTGAAAAATAGGTTCTTTGCTTTTTTTCCCTGTTCTCCATCTTGCAAAATGAATCCCCAGTGACATTTCAAGCCTTCAATTACAATTAAAGTTCTTGAAAACAAAATTCTGACAAAGTCAATGAGAATAAAACATCTCCCTCTGTGTCCCTCTCTCTCTCTTTTTTTTCCACTTAAATTTCCTATCAGAGTGTCCACTTCAAAGGTTTTGTCAGTGTAAATTAAAAAGACTGCTGTGTGCTATGAGCTTTAGTTCTGGAACTACGCAATACCAACAAAAGGAAATGAATTAATCAGAGCACTATGCTATGGGAGTCTGAGCTGGATACTTCAAATTTATTTCCCAGTCCTTGTTCAGCTGTGGGGAAAAACAGAAGGACTGTTTACTTTTTGCCAAAGTTGTCTTGATAGTTTGTTTTGGCAAGTATTAGGAAACTGCAAAAGTTCCTTAGGAAATTACAATTAGGAAATTGCAAAAATTACATTAACATGTAAGAGATAAAAAATTGCCAAGTCTCAAACATGTGCATATGAAAGTGCCTGAGTCAAGACACTACACCCTAGAAGCCTAACCCGACCTGTGCCTGTGATTTTGTGGCGTGAACCAGATCAATTGCAAGCCCATCCCAAAGGAGACCCAGGGTCCTCTCCTTGACCAATTGAATAATGCCCTTCAGAATGCTGCCTTATTGGAGGGAAACTTCCTTTGTTTACCCTGTGTCTAGCCCTTCCACTTTTAATCAGAGTGACTCACTGACCTTACTCTAGAGTGAACACTCTCTCCATTTCCAGGTGTTACAGGCTGAATTGTACTCTCCCCTACCCCCAGATAAAACCATGTGTTGAAATCCTAACCCCCCATATCCCAGAATGTGACTGTATTTGGAGAGAGGATCTTTAAAGAGACAACTAAGTGAGAATGAGGCACAGAGGGAAGACCATGTGAAGATACACGGATAAGATAGCTATCTACAAGCTAAGAAGAGAGACACGAGAAGAAACTGATCCTACCTGAATCTTGGACTCCCAGCCTCCTGAATGTGAGAAAATAAAATTCTGGTGTTTCAGCCACCCAGTCTATGGTACTTTGTTTAGGAGCCCTACAAAACTAATATACCAGGCAAGCAATAAACTCAACTCTTTGTTGTTGTTTTATACTTTTCAGCTCTGTTGTTCTTTGTATTTTGATCGACAAATGTTACATTATATTTTGTTACAGACAGTACTAATATATAGGACTAACATTTATGAAACATTTATAGAATTTTTGAATAAATTAAAAGCATAGGGATGAAATATATGTGTCAAAACTTGATTCATGGCAAAGTATTAATATTGTGATGAGAAATAATAATGCAATGGTTATATCAGAAATAGAAACACTGACATGTTAAATGTAGGGAGAAGACGAACATAAGTATTAGTAAAAATCATCATCCTAAAACAAGTCACTATTTTAGTAGGGTTGAGAATAAGCATTGCCATAGGTTTTCCTTTTTAATATTATTTTATTTTGGATAACAACCTAACAAAGCAACATTTTTCAGTATATGTGTTGTTATACTTATTGCACATAGAAACACATGTGGGTATAAGGGTGAATGTGAACATTTGGTAAAGAGGAAAGGAATTAAAATCCAAAATTATATCATCCCAGAAATAAAATACATAACTTCTCAAAAACACACAAAGCAGAAGTTTTTAGCTTAAACTGTTTGGGTGAGTCTGTGGTTCTATGAAAAATGAATGCATATGTACATGAATGCAGATGAATGCAGATGACATATTTCTGAGGGAAGGATATAAATATTTTTGCAGCCTCTTAAATAAGAGCTGTTTCTGAAGAAGAGAAAGAATAATACACCTAGTAATTCTGACATTTACCAAATTCTATTTGTATTAAATACAAATATTTGTTAAATATTACATCACTAGATCTGGCTTGGGAAGCCCTGTATTTGTTGGAGGTCCAGGTGTGTATTTGTTTATCTACGTTTGTAGGATAAACTGTCATCTATCTGAGGTGTGGCCTTACCTAATGTTTCTGGGCATCTGTCAGATAACAAAATTATAACTTAAAGGCCATAATGCTATGAAATGTCATCTCATCCTATTATTAAAATTTTCAAAGGAGAAAAAGGGAGGATCGGAAAATGGGAGTGTTCAGGATAACACAACTGGAATGGCCATACTCCTACTTTCTCAATGTCTAGTAAAAGGCATTTTACCCCATGGCATTAAAGGGTTGAACAGCCTCCTTTTCTGCCTTCAGAGAATAAAGTGTGCTTTCACCCGACTCCCAAGGTGTGGTTACCACCTACAATCAAGCCCCCGTTCTCCCACTTGACATTTCTGAGGTCCCAGGCAAAGTGATTAACTTTCCTAAATAACCTATCTTCTCATATGTAAAATAAGGACAATCGTAATGTCTATCTTATAAGAGTTGTTCTGAGAATTCCAGGAGCTAGCAAACATAAAGCCTTGAGAAGACACCCTGCCCATAGTATGCGTTGTGAAAATGTGAGCTCACTCTTTCTCTTATTTCTACCTAGGTAAAGTCCCCACTGAAGTTGTCTTGAAGAGTGAAAGTAACCTTTACAAAGATTACATGAGCAGGACTTTGCCTGCTCTCTCCCATAATTCTGTTCCCTTCCCAAAACAATTCTATGATTGACACATGATCAAGGGACCCAACAGAGAGACTTTTATCAGGGAAGACCAAAGACACTGGTTGGCACATTTGCTATTTTTCCTGTGAGTTTTCTCTTCTTACCATTCTCAGTAGCCTTCCAATTTGACATAAAATGGAAACCTCATGTGACCTCTGTGAAATGGCATACTGAGCTGGATTATTACTGTTCACTTTGGACTTGGGAGAAATGATGGGAGTATGCTTTTCGTGATTTGGCTTGAAAAGAGACATTCTTTCATATGTTAAGACAATATTCTTAGATTCCTATTTTATTAAGAGTTTTTAAAAATTTTTGGAATGAATAATGAATTTTACCTAGTCTTTTTTTTTTTTAGTATCTACTAAGTTGATTGATAATTCAGGCTGTCACCTTTGATCCACTGATGGGATATCTAGGATAATGGATTTTCTAAAGTTTTAATCATGCTTGCATTACTTAACAAACCCTGAATTAGTCACTGATTTTTTTTCCTTTTTGTATACAGCTGAATTTAATGTACTAGTATTTTATTCCAAAATGTGGCATATATATTCATAAGCGAGATGGATCTTTGCCTGGGTTGTATTTCTCAGGTTTTGGGATGGGAGTTACGCTACAGATGCAAAATAAAACTATATTTTCCTGTGTTCTGGGCGGTTAAGTATCATGGAGATAATACATCCCTTAAAAATGTGAAAGTTCATCTGAAAAATGGTCTAAGTCTGGCATCTCTTTGGAAATAGTCCGTGAGCAACTTTTAAAATTGTATTACTAGCTTATTGATTGATAGAAGCTTCCTGCTCCTTCTTGAGTCAATTCTAGTCATTTCTATTCTCCCAGGAATTTATTCATTCATCCAGATTCCCAAAAACTTTAGCATAGAATTGGCACATGAAAACTTAATCTCCTCCAAATCTTAGGTTTATCTAATTTCTCATTTTCACGGCGATTATTTTTCTTTAAATTGCTATGCCACAGTTTTGTAAAAAAACAAAACAAAAGAAAAAAATTGATGAATTCAATTATTGATCCGTCTCTCATTTAAGGTAGAAATAATAATAACATGTATAGTTTGGCAGACATTAGACTGTATTAAAATTGTAATAATTTATGTAATTATGTATTCTGACTACATATACATATATGTACATATATATATAAAATCTTATATAAGAACCCATAAAATAATTTTGAAGATTTCAGGAGTAAATTTCAGGGAAAAACAAAATAAAAGGGAGGCAATAAAAATTGTGCTATAAGCAAATGTTATATGTTAGGGAAAATTTGAGATGTAAACATGCATTTATTGAATATTTATCATGTTTTGAAAACTTTCTAGGCACTTTCTGACATAAATATTTAAACATTGTTATGCTTTACCCACCATAGTGCTTTGCACATGTGCATTTAAAAAATAAAGTAAATTAATGAATGAAAAAACAAAAAGAGGGAAAGAATAGAATAGCCCTGCTAAGCACTGTAAGTACTTAAAGCTTTTCTCTCATGGAAAGCATTAATTCAGCAGCCAGACAAAAACATAAATCTTCCTTCTCAGGGTATATCTTAATTATTCTAAAATTTACAATTCAAGAATTTTTGCTGATGAAAAGAACACAGGATGAATTACTGCAAAAATATCTGTTATAATTTCAAAGCAACGTTTGTTACAGAAGTAAGTCTGGTAAAAATAGGATCCTGACATAAGTAGCTCTTGAGAAATATTCAGAAGCCTCTCTTCTGAATATGCACCAGCAGAAATGAACTGCACTGGAACTACCCTAGGTAAAGCCCTCCACACAAAATGAGGAAGCCACCAGTGATGCCAGACTCTTCCTTCCATGACCTGTGTTTTCACTTTAATTCCACATAGCTGTGAAGTCCATGATAGCAGAGAATATCAGAACTCCACTGGTAACTACTTGTAACCATGGATAAGCCATTATTCCCTCCTATAGCTCTGTTTCATTATTAAAAATTATAGGGGTTATACTATTCTGCCTATAATTTTCTTTCCAGTTCTAACATCAAATGAGTTTTTGAATCAAATTGCACATAACATTTCAGCTCTAATGCAGTGAGAGGTCTCTGTCAGGAAAATCCTCCAAGAAGCATTCCCCAAAACCCCCATTCAAAAATAACCTTGATATCCTCTGTCTTTCCATCATAATTATCATAATTATAACCCAGCAGCACTAAAGAGGTGGTGGGATGTTTCAAGCTTAATTGTAAGGAGTAAATACTTAAAAGATTTATACTGATTAAACTTGTCTCTAATTTGAAACATCTTTTCTAATCCCTTCCTTATCAAGGTATCTCCTATAGCCATAAGAACTCACTACCCACAGTTAGCAGTGGGAGCCTTTATCAAAAGAGGCTCAAGAGGAATGAAAAAAAAGCAAAATGAAATAGACCAAAGTAAAACAAAACAAATTCCTTAATTGAACAACCTCATTCAACAATCTATTCTGCTTCTTGTCGCCCTGAGAACCCTATGACATCTGGTACTTATGCTGGAGGTCTTGAATCATTTCTGGATGAACATGAATATCCTAAGCTATTTAGCAAGTGTGTGCATCCATGTGCACACCTGCACTCACACCCACAATACAGCTTAGTTCAACTTACATCCTCTCCTAGAGCCTCTATGCACATATCTTATACGCACACAAAGCATATAACAAAATGCCATCAACTTACATATCTGGGCTCAGTAATAGATGAACATTCTAACCTCTTATCATATGCTAAAGGAGAAAGAAGAACGTAAGACACATGGGTTTGAAACATCCATAAATCCAAACTTTTTTGCAACAAAATGGGGCATCTGTTAGAGTTCAGTCTATTTCTGTTTGAGCAGCCTCTTTTAGTCTTCTGTAGCAATTCTGAGTTGGGCTTTAGATGGACTCTATGTGGTATGGCCCAACAAAACAAACTTTCCTATTAACTTATTACCTACTTTTGCATATGATATTACTAAATTCTTCTCATAGATTTCTCATAAGTGCCTCTGATATATACAGCCCATGACTGATCCCCTCATGTGATTTTTTACTCTAATAGTGCCTGGCACCTAGTTCATATTCAAATAATGTTACTTGACTAGAATGAATACACTTTAACTTGTGACATTCATTGTTTCTTAATAATTTAGTAGATGCATTTTTCCTTCTCATTTATAAGTTTCCCCCCCAGCAAGTTAGTAACATATTACCTAAACATATTTTAGGTAGTATGTTGTTGAGAAGGTGGAAGTTCTTGCGGTAAATCCGTTTTCAATAGAAGTTATCCTTTGTAAAATGAATGTATGATTTATTCTACAATTTTGTATTTTTACATCTTTGGATTCTTTAACATGAGAGTATATAACCATAGCTGAAGTTACCTGTCACATAAACAGATTTGTGTTGCTCCATTGTCATCCCAGCGTCTACATGTTGAATGTAAGGGATGCCAGTAAAGTGGGTAGCTGGGAATCAGCCACATGCATTACGTTGTCTCCTGAAAGGTCGAGCAGCACCATTTAAATTTCAGTGAGCAATTTTCACCTTATCTATGGAAGTATGCTGAGATGGTGTATTAGTCTGTTTCCACACTGCTGATAAAGACATAACCAAGACTGGGTAATTTATAAAGAAAAAGAATTTTAATGGACTCACACGTGGCTGGGGAGGCCTCACAATCATGGCAGAAGGCAAGGGAAGAACAAAGGCACGTCTTATATGGCAGCAGGCACAAAGAGAATGAGAGCCAAGTGAAAAGGGAAACCCCTTACAAACATCATCAGGTCTTGTGAGACTCACTCACTACCACGAGAACAGTATGGGGGAAACTGCCCCCATGATTCAATTATCTCCCACCAGGTCCCTCCCATAACACATGGGAATTATGGGAGCTACAATTCAAGACAAGATTTGGGTGGGGACACAGCCAAACCATATCAGACAGTAATTTGGTGGGACTAAAGTCACAATCATTATTGCCTTTAAGTAATGAATAATATATAATACATTTCAGCCTTCCAAGATGTTAGAGCATTTTATTTTTATTTTAATCAGTGCAGAGTGCAGTTAGAAAATCTGTCAAAATTATTTTATTGACTATGATTATATAGTGAACAACTCAAATTATTGCAGCATTTAGAAAGAAAAAACAGGAGGTATAAAGGGATGAATAGCAGTTTATAAAACATAGAAGGGCAGCATGACCTCAGCAAGTACATGCAAATGTTTTCAATCCTGCATTTTATACCAGGAAATCAAGAGTTATGCATTATGTTTTTATATATTGTGTATTATGTTTTATGTATTAATTCTTTGAACAAAACCAATGATTTGCCTAAAAACTAAAACTGGCTTTCCAAATTCAATTGTAGAGTGTGTTGCTTTTCTTTGTGTTAGACCAGAGACTTAAAACTAAAACTGTCTTACTAAGAGAAAGGGTGAAATGTGATAAAAAACTGCGTATTTGTTCCTACCTCACTCACTCACTCACGCATTCATTCATTCATTCATTCAAGTCACAGGATCATCTCCAATGTGCAGGGCCCTGGGTTAAATGCCAGGGATAGAAGGTAAGAAAAAGGAGCGTGTGGCTACGCTCATGGAGGGAGCCAGAAAATAAGCACTTACATAAATAAACAAAATTTTGTCAGCTTGTGATAAAAGCTACAAAGAAACTAAGCAGTGTGGGGTGATAGATACAGTGATCTACTTAGATACTGTGGCACAGGAGGACTTTCTGAGGAGGTGACGTTTGTCCTGGAGGAGGAGAAGGGGAGTTGTGAGCACCCTTTCTGGATATCTCATCAAATGATCTGAGGATCTCATTGGCCATCACAGACAGTAGATCATACATGACAAACATGGATATGTAAAGATATATCATAACCGTTTAACATCCTCACCACCAAAACAATAAGCTGGTGGGGTGGATGAATATATTAATTAGCCTGATTGAATCTTTTCTATAGTGTGTACATAGATCAAAACATTACATTGTACTTCATACATATACATAATTATTATATGATAGTTTTTAAAAATTAGTAAAAAAAAAAAAAGAGTCCATCTGGAATATGTAACAACCCCAAATACAGAAAGGACACTAGAAAGTGCACTCAGATGAAACAGAGTGCAGGATGTTAACTGGTAGCATTGGTTATTGATAAAGCAATCCAAGCTTTTAAAAAATGGTACTTGCTGGCAGAGACAGATAGGAGCAAAGGATGCCAGAGGGAAGCACTGATTCTCTGCACTTCCCCCTGACAACTCAGCAAGGCCACACAGCATGGCTCCTTCCAATTACAGTTAAGATAGCCAGTTAAAGGTTTGTAGCGGACTTTTGCTGTTTTTTGCAACTCTGTTTCCCCTCATTTTCATTTCAGTAATTGCACTCCTTTTACCTTTTAGGAAACCTTCTTTTCCCTGTGGTGTGCCAGATTGGTGAGGATGTGAATCACTGTGCCCTGCCTGACCTTTCCAAGCCAGGCTAAGGCTCTGATGTGGGGGTTTGAATCTTGAGCAGAATAATCTGAGATGAAAAGTCATAGCTGGAGTTGCTTCCTTCCAGCACCAGCACCGTGATGTGACTGTTACCAATTCCTGGTGCACGTAGCTAGAGAGTAGCCCTGGTTTCTACCTTGTTTCTGACCTAATCTTCATTGCAGGATTCCTGTCAGTACTATTAACCATTGAAATCCTGCCAATAAATTGCTCTTTTGTTTAAATTATTGGGAGTTGGCCTCTATTGCCTGCAACCAAAATCTCTCATTCTTATACTTCTCAACAGAGCAAACTGCTATGCATCCTTCAGCTGCAAGGGATTGAATGCTATCAACAACCATACAAGTGGAGAAGCAGATGCTTCCCTAGCTGAGCCTCAGGTAAGAACCCAGACCTGGCCAACACATTAATGGCAGCTTTGTGAAACCCTGAGTTGATCTCTCTAGGTCATGCCTGGACTTCTGATCCACAGAAAGAGTGAGATAATAAATGTGTGTTGTTTTGAGCTGTTGAGTTTGTGGTAATTTGTTATATAAACAGAGACAGAGGAACGAGTTAACAATACTATGATCATACAATGAACCAATTATGGAATGTAGAATTTTCCATGCTATAAATAACTTTGTATCTGCAAAATATCAATGGCTTCACAAAAGGAAACAAGGGCATCATTAAAAGAAAAAAGAGAGAGAAAGAGAGAATTAGAATTATAACCCAATGCATTGTGTCAAATTTGTATGGATGCTGATTCAAACAAACCAATTGTAAAAGAGATATTTTGAGAGAATTGGAGAATTTAAATATGTACTTTATGGAATTTAAATATTAAGTGATATAAAAGTAGTATTGCTTCTTTTATTAGGTATAATATGATATGGTAATTATGGTAAAAATAATCTCTATTACCAACACATACTGAAGTAATTCTGGGTACAATAATATGTAGAGATTTGCTTTAAAATGATTCAGAAAAATACAGTGATAATTGATGATGTTGGGTGATGAGTACCTGGGAGTTCATCATACTATCCTCTCTACTTTTCTGTATGGTTGGAAGTTTCCATTTCAAAAGTTAAAAAAATAAAACACAGGAACATTTCTTGAACAGTGTAACAGAGTAAATAAAATAAATGAAAGAAATCAAAAATGAAAGAATTATACCTGAAAGAAGACTGAGAGTAGACAATATATCCACTTAAATATGTATAGATGAGTGCAATTGTCTTATCGAAATTGATTGATCTTTTATATTTTTAAAGCAATGATCTATATCGTAAAATGAAGGAAGGAAAAGGAAAACGAAAAGAAAAAAGGAAGGAAGGAAGGATGCAGAGAGAAAGAAGAAAGAAAGGAGATCAATGACTGATATTTTAAAATTTCTTCTAAAATTTAAAAAGCAGAGATTCTTGAGGTTGAACACAGAGCCTATGTCTTCCATAAAATAAAAACAAAGGACAGTTACTTTATTATTGATTGTGAGCTCTATATTTAGCTATAGGTGTGTTTATATTTAAGTTAAAGTGTATATGTGTGTTATGTGTGTGTTTACATATAAATTTACAAGAGGTGAAACTAAATGGCCAATACCCTTTAATATTGTCAAGGCCATGAAAGGAAAGAAACACTGAGGAACTCTTCCAGACTAGAGAAGAAATGAAAACTAAATGAAATGTGGGATCCTAGACTGGATCCTGGAAAAGAGCAGTAGTGGGACAATACTAAGTTTTTACAATTGGAAAAATTTGAAAAAAGTCTGTAGATTAATGAATAGTAACATATCAAAGCTAACTTCCTGGTTTCGATAATTGTACTGTGATTATGAGAAATTTGTTATCATTTAGGTAAGCAGGGTGAAGGGTATATAGGAACTATTCATAATATTTTGGCAACTTTTGTAACCTAAATTGTATAAAAATGAAAACACAACAAAAAAAGAATTTGAAAATTTGAAAGATTGGTTTAAAGAGAGACAAGAGAATAATATTAAAAAAGATTTACCAATGAACAAATCCAAATGGCCAAATGTAGGGTACTGAAATTCAACACACAACACCGATTAAGATAGTATTGGCTTAGAAAAATAAAATACTTCAGCGTGAATTTTTTGTTTTGTTTTCGTTTCTGTTTTGAGATGGAGTCTCACTCTATCTCCCAGACTGGAGTGCAGTGGTGCAATCTTAGCTCACTGCAATCTCTGCCTCCCCGGTTCAAGAGATTCTCCTGCCTCGGCTTCCCAAGTAGCTGAGATTACAGGTGCCCACCACCATGCCCAGCTAATTTTTGCATTTTTAGTACAGACGGAGTTTCACCATGTTGGCCAGCTGGTCGCGAACTCCCGACCTTTAGTGATCTGCCCATCTTGGCCTCCTAAAGTGCTGGGATTACAGGCGTGAGCCACTGCACCCGGCCAACTTAGGTGTAAATTTAATAAAATATGTGCAAGGCTTATACTCTAAAAACCACCAAATGTTGATGAAATAAATATAAATGTATGTAAATAAATGAGGAGATGAAAATGCCCATGAATTGGAAGATTTGATGGAGTGAAGATGTCAATTGCCCCCAAAATGATGTACATATTTCCTATGCAAATCTCAACAAAAGTTTGTTTAAGTATAGACAAGATTATTATAAAATGTATGTGAAAAGGCAAAGGAACATGTATAGCTAAAATAATTTTTGAAAAGGGAGAAAAAAGTAGGAGAAATTAGTCTATCCAATTTCAAGATGTATTATATTAATATAACTATAGTAACTACAGTAACCAACGCTGTATGCTGTGGGCAAAGGGATAGACACATAGGACAATGGAGCACAACACAGAACTCAGAAATTGATCCACACAAATATTTCCAACTGATTTTTTACAAAGGTGCAAAGGCAATTCAATGGAGGAAGGATAACTTTTTAAACAAATAATGCTGGAGCAATTGGACAACCATAAGTGAAAAAATTGAACTTCGACCTAAACTTCACACCTTGTGCAAAAAATTAACTCAAATGGATCATAGATCTAAATGGAAAATGTAAAACAATACAAATTTATTTAAAACAGGTAACATTTTCAGGATTTAGTGCTAGGCAGACTTTTTAGATTTGACACCAAAGGTACGACCCATAAGAGGTGAAATTGATAAACTGGATTTCATCAACATTAAAATCTTTTGCTCAGTAAAAGGCCCTGTTAAGTAGATGAAAAGACAAGCTACAGGGTGGGAGGAAATATTTGCAAACCATATATATGTTAAAGAAATAGTATCTAGAATTCTAAAAAACTCAACAGTTAAAAAACAGAAAAGGAGCATAAGACCCGAAGGGACATTTCACTGAAGAGGATATGCAAACGACGATAAGCACAAGAAAAGATGTTCCATGTCATTAGCCATTTAGGGCAATTCACACTAAAATTATAAGAGATAGCACTAAACATTTATCAGACTGGCTAAAATAAAAAATAATGACAACAACAAATGCTGGCAAGGAGAAATTAGATCACTTGTACATTGCTGATGAGAGTTTCAAATGGTACAACTACTCCTGAAAATAGTTTTGCAGTTTCTTAATAAACTAAATATGTAACTACCATACAACCCAGCAATTGCATTCTGGGGCATTTATTCTCCAAAAATAAAAATGTACATTCTTGCAAAAATCTGTACACAAATACTCATAACAGCTTTATTCTTTTTTGTTTGTTTTTGAGACGGAGTCTTGCTCTGTCTGGAGTGCAGTGGTGTGATCTCGGTTCACTGCAAGCTCCGCCTCCCAGTTTCATGCCATTGTCCTGCCTCAGCCTCCCGAGTAGCTGGGACTACAGGCGCCCGCCACCCACACCTGGCTAATTTTTTTTTTTTTTTTGTATTTTTAGTAGAGACGTGGTTTCACCATGTTAGCCAGGATGGTCTCGATCTTCTGACCTTGCGATCTGCCCGCCTCGGCCTCCCATAGTGCTGGGATTACAGACGTGAGACTCTGCATCCAGCCAACAGCTTTATTCTTAACAGCCAAAAACCATAAGCAACTCAGATGTCCTTTGGTAGGCAAATGTTTACCAAACTGTGGTGCCTCCCTACCAAGAAACACAACTCAGCAATAAAAAGCAACAAATTATCAACAAGCACAATTACTTGGAAGAATCTCTAGAGAGTTATGCTGAGTAAAAAGGACCAACCTCGAGAAGTTGCATACTCATTTATATAACATTCTTGAAATGAAAAAATTATTGAAATGGGGAACAGAGTAGTGGTTGCCAAGGTTTAAGGAGGGAGAAGTGGGAGGGAAGTAGGTGTGACTACAAATGGACAGCACGAGGAACATTTTCTGTGATGGAGTGTTCTGAATCTTGACTGCATTAATGTCAACATCTGGGTTGTAATGTTGTACTATAGTTTTGCAATATGTTGCCATTGGTGGAAACTGGGTTAACAGTACCTGTGATTTGTCTGTATTATTTCTTACAACTGCATGTGAATCTACAATTATCTCAAAATTAAAAGTTTAATTAAAAATGGCAACAAAATTACTGTGCACACATTCCCAATGCATCACTTGCGCTCCCAGGTATATACTAAAGAGAAGTGAATGGTAATATCCAACATGAAAAACATACAAGGATGTTCATAACACCTTTATTCATAAGAGCACCAAAATGGAAGCCCTCAATGCCCATCAACAGAAGACACGAGAAACAAATTGTGACATTTCCTAACAATGTGATATTATACAGCAATGAAAAAGAACAAACTACTGCTAAATGTGCCAAAATAAATTAATATCCCTAAGATAATGGTGAATTGTAAGTGCCAAACACAACTGAGTACATACTACATGAGTCCACTTTAGAAAAGCTCAAGAACAGGCAAACTGATTGTAGAAAGAAGTCAGAACACTGGTTACTGCTAGAAAGAGAGCTATTGATTGGGAAGAGGCACAAAGCCTATATCTTCACCTGAGTAGTGGTGAAACATGTGTATATAAACATAAAAATGTTTTTATGTTTAATATCTTTGCCTTTGTTTATGTTGAATATCTTTGCCTTTCATGCATTTAAACTAATTAAAAGAAAAATACCAAATCTTTAAGAATAAAATGAAACAGATCAAAAATACTGTGCTAGCCAAATAACAAACTTTGACAGCCTGTAGCCTAACTCTGTAACCTGCAGTCTAGAAAAACTTTTCAACTCAGTTTAGAAATATCACAAAATAGGAGAATCAGTTGGATATCAGAAATTAAATTAGAAACATGGCCATCAAGCTTCCATCCAGCTGTACATCTCGGGGAAGCATGAAACCAGCACCTCAGTGAACAGCTGTTGGGGCTAAGAACAATTACCGTCTCTGCAGTAAGCTCTACCATGAAATAAATAATGGCACCTATGGAGAAACAACAAAACAAAAATAAAAACAGAGCACTAAAAGGAAAAGCAGAATTCATTCATGCTAAAGACTTAAGAGAAAGTCTCTGAATGTGATTCCTTTTTTTTTTTTTTAACTTTTGTTTTAAGTTCAGGGGTACAAGTGCAGATTTGTTACATAGGTCAACTTGCGTCATGGGAATTGGTTGTATGGATTATTTCATCACCGAGGTATTAAGCCTAGTACCCACGAGTTGTCTTCCTGATCCTCTCCCTCCTCCCACCCTCCACCCTCCACCCTCCAAAAGGCCCCAGCATGTGTTGTTTCCCTCTGTATGTCCATGTGTTCTCATCATTTACATGATTCTTTACTTGAACTAGAATGGAAAAAAAAACAAAAAAGCTTCCTGAATAGCATCAGAAAACCTTGACTTCTGTGAAAGAACAGAACGTCTAAAGAAAGACAACAAAGTTAAAAAGCAGTGAAAAACATTGAAAAAAAATCAAGCTGGATCCTGTAAGAAATTAATCCCAGAAAAGTAAATATGTAAGAGGAAGCCATAAATACATCATTAGCACTGATAGAGTATAAATGATGCTAAGGTCACTGCAATCATTGATACAGAAGACAATTTTAACTGCTCTCCCAGAATTCAGAGAAAGGACAAAGCAAATGAAATGGTAAGACAAAAAAATGGAGGACAAAAGAAACAAAAGCAACAGCAACCAACAAAAAGTATGGACTCAATGTATAATTATAGTTTGTATTAAGGAAGAAACCAGGGCATTGTAAAGAAGCAACAAACACGTAATTGCAGAGAGTACATCAAGAAAAATAAATGAACCAAAAAAGTCCAATTCTGTTTTATGCAGACAGAAAGTATTATACTTGTACCAGACAGAATTGAGAAACATAGATGCACACCTAAATATATACTCACAGAATATTTGAATAAGATGGATTTGTTTAAAAAAAATAAAACTCTTTTTCTTAAGAACTGCCAGAAAGAAATTATAGGCTATCTAAAAAGGAAGCCAATTCCACTAGAAGACAAGGCTGCAACAGCTGCAGGATTCTGAAGGGAAAAGGTTGTGTCTCAAGAATTTTATGCATAGCTAAGTTTCTTTCCATATGTGAAGACAACAGAATGATATTATTAGATATATGAGGGCTTACCTTGAAAAAACTATTCTTGGAGACATATCTTCACTGACAAAAAAAAAAAAAAAAATTAATGAAAACCCAACACAAGGATCTTGCTGGAATGGTAGAAGCCAGCACCTATCCTGAGGGGTGGTCAAGAGACCCACTCCCAATGTACCAGTAAAGTCTGAGAAGATAAATCACCCTAAAGTCCCAGAACCAATTGAATTGGCTGTGTCTATTCCACTCAAAATTGGTGAGGATACATACCCCCTGGCCTAGTGATAGACTTTTATTTTTTTCTTGAGATGGGGTCTTGCTCTGTTGCCCCAACTGGAGTGCATCACATAGCTCACTGTATCCCACCTCAGCACCCACTTCAAGTAGCTGGGACTACAGGCCAGCACCACCATGCCTGGCTACTTTTTTGTGGGTTTTTTTTTCTTTTGTAGAGATGGGTCTTGCTGTGTTGCACAGGCTGGTCTGAAACTCCTGGCCTCAAGTCACCCTCCTGCCTAAGCTTCCCAAAGTGCTGAGACTACAAATATGTGCCACCATGCCTGGCTAAGGCTTTAAAATAGACAGTTTCATTATGAATTATTATTTCTCATTATCATAATAATTCTATGGTTGAACAAAAAATAGCCCTTAAATTAAGCCTTTTCCTCAGATCCAGAGGTTAATTAAGTATGATTATAAATGTACCCAAAGCAGAATCTAATCCTATACACAGGAATGAAATTTAGTAAAATGTTAATCTAGTTATGATTACTTCACAGAAACAAAATAACATTGCTTTACAAATATTACATATTTATTGTAGAAAAATCAAGGAATATAGATAAGAATAATAATCTAACCAGAACTCCAACTCTCAAAGATTATAACAGTTTCAGCTTGAAAGTATTCTTCCAGATTTTTGCCTCTGTAGGTCTGTATGTAAATATTCAGAAAAAAAAAATTTTTTTTTTTTGAGACAAGAGTTTTGCTCTTGTTGCCCAGGCTGGAGTGCGATCATGCAGTCTTGGCTCACTGCAACCTCCGCCTCCCGGGTTCAAGTGATTCTCCTGCCTCAGCCTCCCGAGTAGCTGGATTACAGGCATGCACCACCACGTCCAGCTAATTTTTGTATTTTTAGTAGACACGGGGTTTCTTCATGTTTGTCAGGCTGATCTCGAACTCCCGACCTCAGGTGATCTGCCCACCTTGGCCTCCTAAAGTGCTGGGATTACAGGCGTGAGCTACCACGCCTGGCCAGAAATAAATGTTTTAAAACATAGGCTTATACATATAGGCATACATACATACACATATAAAAACTGCATTTGTCCCTAACAATACAATTTAAACAACCTTATGTATCAATACATACACTTCTGTAACATTATCTTTGCAACATAGTATTACATTGGGCAGTGGTAACATAATTGCTAAGTTAAAATCTAAGTTGTTTTTTTTTCCAATTTACACTACTATAAATAATGCCATAATAAATAACCTTACAACCCTGTGCATATCTCTGAAATAGACCCTAGTATACATTAATAAGAACTTAATCATATGGTAAAGAAAGATCATAAATCACTGAAGAAGCAAATTTTTATGAGACAAATATGTGGAAAAATAACTACTTGGGGGAAAAAGCCTCTGAAGATTCTTGCTGTATTCTATAGACCACTAATACTTCAGATCCTTTAAAAGATTATAAGTGAAAGAGAGAGAGAAAATCGGCAGAAAATCTCACCAAATAGTGACCTAATCTCTGGGCAGGAAATGCTTTCTCACACATGTAAAAAATAAAAAATATCACAAAAATTACCCATTAATTTGACATCTGACAGTAATTTGACAAATAAGTTTAAAAGTCTGATGTGTTAAATTATTAGCATAATTTTACAAGGAAACAATAAGCAGAGTAACTGGTTGTGGTGGCCTACATCTGTAATCCCAGCACTTAGGGAGGCCGAGATGAATGGATCACTTGAACCTAGGAGTTAGAGACCAGCCTGGGCAACATGGCGAGACCTCTATCTCTACAAAAAAATACAAACATGAGCGGGCGTGATGGTGGTGCACCTGCAGTTCTAGCTACTTCGGAGGCTGAAGTGGGAGGATGGCTTGAGCCTGAGAAGTGGAGGTTGCAATCAGCCAAGATTATACCACTGTATTCCATCCTGGGCGACAGAGCCAGACCTTGTTTCAAAAAAAAGAAAAAGAAAGAAAAAGATAAGCAGAAAGAGTACTATTTGTGATATCTGGCTAATCCTCTTTATGTATAAAGGAGATTTACAAATCAACAGAAAGACAGACATTTCCAGATTTCCCATAGAATAATGGTGGTGGCTTAATATTCTTTTTAAGAGATGGGATCTCACTAAGTTGCCCAGGTTGTGGCTACCACAGGCATGATCATAATGCACTACAGCCTCTAGACTCCAGGGCTCAAGTGGCCCTGCTGCCTCAATGCATACAGTGGTGTTCACATGCAGTCCCAGCACAAATAGCTGAAACTACATGCACACACTACTGTACCTGACTAGTGGCTGCTTAAATATCTTTTCTCACATTTAAATAAAAAGAAAGAACAAGAAGAAGAAGAAGCCAATATTGAGAACAAATAATCATGCAGAGTCCATTTCTACAGCATGGCTACAAGACAGAGACTACTAAAGATTTCAGTTGACATGAAGTTGGAAAATAAACACCTGAAAGCAGCAGAGGCCACTCTAGAGCCTAACCTGAGTTGAACAAATACAATATTCAACCAGGGATCCGCAGAAGAAGACAGCCATACCTGTGTAGGACAACTTTGCAAACAGCTTTGACATCTGGTGGCTCTGAGCCCAGGCTAAATGAAGCAAAATGTTGGCAATTATTGAATCTAGGCAATGGGTATATAGTTGATCATTATATTTTCTTTCAGTTTTTCTCTATGTTGGAAATTTTTCCAACATAGGCAGGTGGATCACAAGGTCAGGAGTTCAAGATCAGCCTGGCCAATATGGTGAAATCTCATCTCTACTAAAAATACAAAAATTTGCCGGATGTGGTGGCATGTACCTGTAGTCCCAGCTATTCAGGAGGCTGAGGCAGAAGAATCACTCAAACCCAGGAGGCAGAGGTTGCAGCGAGCCAAGATTGCACCACTGTACTCCAGCCTGGGCAGCACAGTGAGACTCCGTCTCAAAATAAAAAAGAAAAATACAACTAGGTCATTTAAAATAAATGTTCAATCTTTACGTGTATCAAGGAAATGCAGGTTAAAACATGATGGGGTTTTTTTTGCCAGCAGTTATTGTATTTATGAATGCAATAATAATACTCAGGTGTAGAGAGGCTGGCCCTCTTAGGTGAGTGAGGTTAGGAATGCAAATGAGTCAAATCTTGCTGAAAAGCAATTTAACAAATTGGGAAAACCTCACTGAAAATAAATTTAGAACAATATTTCCAAAAAAGTATTTAAATTCATAACTATTGATTACATAATTTCACCCCAGGTTAAAGTTATAATCATAGATTTGAAGGAAGACTGTGTAAAAAATTCATCCTTATTTATAATAAATTTGTAAACATTCCAGATGTTCAAGGGTAAGATAATTATTTTTAAATTATGATATTTTCCATATGGTAGTTTCCATATGGTTTTTGGAAATCAAAGGCATATTTTCAAATGGTTTTGATGACATGAGAAAATGCTATTGCTTAAGTGTTGAATGAAAAAGAGCAAACTAGAAGATTATGTATAAAATACACATTACAATCTCTATATATGGTCTTAACGTGGTTATCTAAACATGACGGATTTGCAGATAAATTTTATATATTTTTCTGTATATATAAAAATGCTTTATTATAATCATACATTATCATTATAAATGAAAACTAAAGTTAATACATCTCTCTTAATTTGCATAATCCTGCTTAATTTGTTATAGTAAACTTCATGTGGGCATCATTCTAGAATCATTTTACATTAATCTTTTTGTTCTATTATCAATTCCCCAATTAAAGAATCTCAACAGGCATTGTTAAAAAGATATATTTATGCAAGAGAACCCAATTGGCAGCTTCCAGAAGATCCTCTGCCCATATGAGCAGCCTGGATGATCAAAGGCTCCTAGCCCGTGACACTCTAACAGCTGCTGCTTCTCCAAGTGAATATGATTCTGTGTGTAACGAACATCAGGTTCCCGCTAATCAAGGATTTTTTTGAAAACCTTGCTTGACAGAGAGAACTACATTCGCCCCTCCAACAGCCCCATCTCAAGAGCCACAAAAGTCTTAACTAATTCCAGCACCAACCCAAAAGTCTTAACTAATTCCAGCACCAACCCAAAAGTCTTAACTAATTCCAGCACTAACCCTGGGGAAAGGGAGGAGGTAACAGAAGCGGAAACAGGGAAATTCCCAAAGATACCCTGAGGTTCCAGCTCTTCAGACAGGCTAATGAGGAGGAATAATAAGTGAGGACTGTGAACAATTAAATAACAGATTGCTTCTAACAACCATTTGCTCCAAACTAATCACATTTTCTTTCAATTTCTTTTTTGGCTCTAATTTACTAATGCTAATCCTTAAAAATACAACTCTTGTCTCCAGTGTTAAGAAATAGTTAAACCGATGTGGCTGCCTCTTGGTTCCAAGCTGGAGTAGGTACACTACAGGGAAGAATCCTAGTCTGAGGTTCTGTGCAGTGGTGAAGTCAGTGGAGCAGGGCGGGCTGGAGAAGAGGGGTGTGGGGCACTGATCTCCCAGTACCCCATTAGAACCAAGGAAAAGGCCAGGTGCAGTGGCTCACACCTGTAATCCCAGCAATTTGGGAGGACAAGGTGGGCAGATCACAAGGTCAGGAGTTCAAGACCAGCCTGACCAACATGGTGAAACCCCATCTCTACTAAAAATACAAAAGAAAAAAAAAAAGTAGCCAGGCGTGGTGGTGTGCACCTGTAATCCCAGCTACTCAGGAGGCTGAGGCAGGAGAATTGCTTGAACCAGGGAGGTGGAGGTTGCAGTGAGCCAAGATCATGCCACTGCACTCCAGCCTGGGTGACAGAGTGAGACTCTGTCTCAAAAAACAAAAACAAAAACAAACAAGGAAAACAGGAACTGCAGTTCCAAATAAACTTTGCCTGCATAAGATAAACGTACAATTCTTTTCCTCCTCCTCATCACCCTCCTTCTTCCTTAAAAATCTATTTTGCATGGCTCTTTTGTTTCACAGAGGCACCCTGCTACTGGCAATAGTTACCAAGAAACATGAGGTTCCTGGGTAAAAATAATTATTTCAGGTCCGCTGTTGGTGAGCTGTTGGTTGCTACTTAGGAGCAATTATAGCATAAATCTCATTTTGAACCTCTTTTGGCAAGTAATATCCATGAAAGCTATGCTTCTAATGGAGGAAATTCCTTTACCTTCCTTAACTGAAATTAACTTTGAACGCCAAAAAGTTCAAATGGAGATTTTCTCAAAGTTGATGACAAGCTAACCTACGTTATCCAATCTCCCCCACCCTTAAGCCAGGTTTTCTGAACACGGCTCTTCATTTTCCTGATGTGTAGACCCACAGGGTTTACTTAAATATATAAGGTTCTATACACCACGGTCATAAGCTGCTCTGATTTCTGAGTTCCTGACTTTTGTAGATTTTCTTCCCGCTTTGTGTTCAATTTCTCTGTAAATATGCCTCTGCCTTCAGTGTATCTGCCTCTAAAGGCAGTTTCCTTATCTCTACCTACCTTTCAGCTATCAATCAGAGCGAGAAAGGACCTTAGAGATTCTCTAGTCCTGTGTCCCATTTTCCTCCCATCTAAAGGGGCACTGTAAGCATAGCATTTGTCTTAGATATCCAGGGGATCTGAATTCTGTCTTTGGTAAGCCACCCTGCCCCATGAGGTCTCTGTGAGTAATAGATGGAAATCAAGCCCAGTGCCTTTTGTTTTCACCCATTGCAACTTTAGCCCAAAGAAGTAGTCTTTTCCTGACCAATAGCATGCGCAGCCATGCGAGGTAAAGTTGTCGCCTTAACTCTTCCCCATGCCCACCCAGCAAGTAGGAGGAATACTGGTCTCAAAAGCCAGGCTCCAGGATACATTGCCGGTTTTGTTTCTAGTGGCTGGAATCACTGGGCACCAGAAGGTCAGAGGGAGTTCATTCTTTCTTTTCCCTTCTACACCCAGGTTGCCCACGTAGGAATCAGACCTGATACCCACGACTTCAGATACCCCAGGGCCATTTCCCTCCTGTGCTCTCTTCTCTGACATTCCTGCCCCACTATGGACTTCTGCGGTGCTGAGGTCCAGGCAAGCACAGGACTTTCTCCTGCTCTGTCTCTTTCTACATCCATCTCCTCCGGGACTGTTTTGGGAGTGCAGGCGGAGGGGCATTTTCAAATGAAAAGAAGGAAGACAGCCTTAAATCTCTAGACTTAGCCACACAGTCCAGTCTCAATCTACCAGAGTCAAACATCATTGTTTAGGTTTTTAAGCACAGCTAACAGGCAGCTACTTAGTGTTTTTTGGGGTTTTTTGTTTGTTTTTTGGTTTTTTCCCCTGGTTTCTTTTCTGGGTCTTGTGCCACATGGATCTCACCTATTTTCAATGGTGGGATTGTGGTACCATTTCATAATTCTGCTATCCTATCATGATGTCCAACATTGGAAGTGGTTATCTAAAATCCTTAACAAGAGGTAGGGTTTTAGCAGCTCTAGTGGATATATTCAGGAGATGGAGGAGGAAGTCTCCTACACAGGAAAAGTCACCAGTGTTTAGAACTAGAAGGACAACACCTCATGTATGGCACTCAGGACCCTGGTATTTGCAGATAGAATGTTTTATTTTGAGAATAAGGACAGCTTGGTCAAAATTTTGAATGACAAATTTCATGGACAACAAGTTTCTATAAGAGAAGGAAATTCTCACATTAAAATGATCAGAAATGTAGTACGTGGAATTTTTAACCTTTGGACTTTTATTGCTGGACACTGTTAGGCAGTGCTAAGTTAACAGCCCTGCATAGAGTTCTCCTTTCTGTCCGGATCCAGGAAGGAATCCATTAAATTTGTCCCCAGCCTCTCTCAGTCAGCAGCATCCTGGGCTGGCACGTTAGCACTGACCTGTTCATTAGATAGGTCCACACAGGGTTCAAGCCACACAGTCATGATCTCCTCAATGGCAAAGTAACGCTAATATAACTATTGGGAATCATGTTATTGAGTGTGCTCACTTGTCAAATGCAGGGGTCAGCAAACTTTCTGTAAAAGGTCAGATAATAAAAATTTTAAGCTTTGTGATCCAGACGAACTACTCAGCTCTGCAGTTGGCAAGAAAGCAACCATCAATGATGTGTAAATGAGTGGCATGGCTAGATTTGACCCAGGGCCTCAGGCTGTGGCTTTCCCCTGACCCATGTCTAATTAGAGTTGCTGCCGTTACAATGACAGTGCAAACTAGTGTGTCATTCTCTCTTCTTTCTCTTTAAATAAAGCAGAAAAGTGAATTATCAATCTTTCCCAATTTTCCTTCCACATGACTCAAAAGGTAAGACAGAAAGCCCACGTCCACATAGAATGGACCTCTTTGGTCCATTTGCTCGTTTATTGATTCAGTACTTCTGCGTTGCAAGCATCTTGCAGCACTCTTTTAGGTCCTGGGGATACAGTGATCAGCAAAACAGGTGTCCCTTGCAGAGTTTGTGTTATAGAAGAGGCCAACATTAAACCAGCAATTCCACAAATCTCTGAATAATTTTAAGTCACCATTTCTGTATGTGACTGGAAAGAGAAGAATGAGGAGATATGACAAAGTGTTCAAGGGTCACATAATCCATGCTACAGTCATGGAAGGCATTCTGGATAGTGGCATTTACATATGAGAAGATTATGCTCAGAATTGCAAGTTTAAAATACATTATTTCTATAATCAATAATACTATAAATGCAATTTTATTCTCTTCCATTTTCTCATTTTATTTAGAAATAGATGAGGCTGCCAGAGGGATTTTGACAAGGTAAAGACATTACCCAAATTTAATTATGGTTTCAAATATGTGATATAGACAAGTTCTTAATATTAATCACATCAATCTCAGATTCCGTCAAGCTATCAGAAATCAACAGCTTTTAGAATAGGTTGTAATAATGTTTGAACTATATTCCAAATCATTATGGCCACAATAATCCATTTCATTTAATAACAGAATCTTTGAGGACATAACATCAGCTTAATGATTCTAAGCATTCTGCTCTTCCATTTCTTCATTCATAGTAAGGACATTTCTAAGTATAAAGACACACACACACACACACACGCACAGGCACACACACACAATAAGTTTTAGTATTTGGTACATTAAAATATAAACTCTATATTAAAAAAGACATAAAATTATTAAAGACAAGCAAAACTGGAAAAAGGTGTAGGCTAGGAGAGGCAATATCTTCACTATATAAGAGCTGATGCAAATTAGTAAAACGTTTAGAAGCATCCCAACAGATGGTTGGAAAAAGAGATAAGGAGTAATCTATCTGACACGTATTATGTATTTGATAAATATTTTTGAGTGGATAAGTGAAAAAATAATTGACAAAATAAGAATTAAAAATGATCAGTAAAATATGGAAAAAGTTTCAATCTAACCAGATATTTAAGAAATACAAAGCAACAAAATGCAATTTTTCATCTGGTGACAAAAGTTAAAAATTATGATAATCCCTACTGTATATGTTGCTAGTGCCCAAGAATATTTGAACCCCTTTTACAATGGTTGTATCAAAAGTTCCAAAAATTGGCAAACTCTTTTACCCAACAATTACAAATGAAGGGATTTGGGTCCGATTTTAAGGGAAAAATGGATGTGTATTTTAAAATACATTTATAAGCATTTTCGACATAGTATTATTTATAAGAGTGAAAAAGTAAAGCAACCTACACTTTCATCAATAAATAAGTGGTGAAATAGTCTATTGGAATCCACAAAATGAAATATTATGCAGCCATTTAAAATTATGATCTTCAAGATTATTATCAATACTGAAAATGTTCAAGATAGTTTATCAAGTGAAAAGGCTGTTTATAAAACAATGTATAATATGTCCATATATATTCATATTCATTTATACACAATTAAAAATATGAGAAAACATTTGGCAAAATGTTAACAGAATTTATCTCTTGTTAACATTATCTTTACTCTCAAACAGAGAGTTTGAGCAACAGCTTGTCTGGAAAGCAAACAGCTTATCTGGAAACTCCACAGTTTTTATCATGAATATGTATTGTATTGATAACAAAGAAGAATTAATTTAATGGTTTTGTTTCCAAAAAGTTAAAAGCAACATTGGTAAGCTTCATTCGGTGCCCATTAGGAATATTCTGCGAGCAGACAACAATGGCCTTGCATTGGAAACTGTGAAGCAGCTCTTTCAAAGCAAAGCCTGTGAGTGGAAATCTGGACATAACAGGCAGCCTGGCAGGTGCTGAAATGCATCCAGTGCCAGCTCCTCTGGCTGTTTTAGGGATCCTGGGGTTCATGGCTCTGTGTAGAAGAATGAAAAGCATGGCAACATTTGGCACTTGAGCAGCTTCATGATGGAATAACTCTGTGAGAATAAAAAATAAGGAGGAAGCTTTGTCCTTTTCACTTAGAAAGGGAGAGCTATTCTTTACAGCACCATGGGGATTGAAATAGCAGCAATGAATGTCCTTAATAATGTGCACAAAGATATCACTGGAAATGGTGGATCTTGGTGAAAGCATCAAGACTAGAGACGTGACAGCAGCAGAAGCTTCTTGTAGAATCTTGTTTAGAGGGACAACCCCAAGCTCCTGACAGAGAGAGGTGAACAACGGATATAATAAGCATGCCTAGGACTCTTTTTTGGGGGGAGGGGCCCCCCTTTTGGGAGGCAGCAGTGGGAGAAATCAGCAGTTGGACTTTGCCACTTGCTCCAGCTTGTCCTTCTTCTTGATGGCATAGAAGTTGGAGAAGCCCTTGGCAAAGATATTGAGCTGATCTGCCAGACGTGGAATGGGGAATCTGTAAATAACTGCAAGGTAATATGGTTTGGCTGTGTCCCCACCCAAATCTCATCTTGAATTGTAACTCCCACAATTCCCACATGTCATGAGAGGGACCCAGTGGGAAGAAATTGAATCATGGGGGCAGGTCTTTCCCATGCTATTCTCGTGATAGTCAATAAGTCTTATGAGATCTGATGGTTTTCTAAAGAGGAGTTTCCCAGCACAAGTTCTTTCTTTTTGCCTGCTGCCATCCATGTAAGATGTGACTTTGCTCCTTCTTGCCTTCTGCCATGATTGTGAGGCCTCCCCAGCCGAGTGGAACTGTGAGTCAATTAAACCTTTTTTCTTTCTAAATTACCCAGTCTTGGGTATGTCTTTATCAGCCACATGAAAACAAACTAATACACAAGGTTAAGTAGATGTTTGGGAGGATTAAGAACATCATATTTTACACTTTGGGAGGCCAAGGCAGGTAGATCACTTGAAGCCAGGAGTTCGAGACCTGCCTGGCCAACATGATGAAACCCCATCTCTACTAAGAACACAAAAATTATCTGGGCATGGTGATGGGAGCCTGTAATCCCAGCTACTTGGGAGGCTAAGGCAGGAGAATTGCTTGAACCTGGAAGGTGGAGACGGCAGTGAGCCGAGGCTGTACTCTAGGCGGGGTGTCTCAAAAAAAAAAAAAAAAAAAAAAGACATCATATTTTAGATTGTGAATACATGTTATTTAAACTCAGGTTGATGAAGCAAGACTCATACCAGTTACACTAAAGAGATCAGTGGTCTCAACTTATCTCTCCAACTGAGTCTTAAATTTTTACAATTAAATGTATGTTGCTAGAACTAAAAATTACCCCAGTTTGTGTCTTAGTTATTTCCTTCAAATTGTAACTATAAAAACATTGGAATTTAGAAAATAGGAGCAGTTTATGCGGGAAAGTTGTCATGGATTAAAGATGGTCACAAATTATTTGGCATTCTTCTAAACAAATGGCAAAGCCTGTTTAACCACACTCCCTGAATCAGGCCAGCCTGTAACTTCTTTGACAAACACTGTGCAGCCAAACTAATGCTAGGGCACTTCTAGGCCTAGTTCCTGAGAAAAGGCTAACAACTTCCTCCTAAGTCTTTGGGAGTCTCAAGAAGCCATGTAAGAAATCCAGCCACCCTACTGGAGATACCTTATAGAGGGCCCTGAAACTACCTGGGATGGGGGCAAATTTGAGCTCAGCATTCAGGCTGTTCACTGAGACATCAGTTATGTGAGTGATGTCTCTTGACGCCTCCAGACCAGACCAGGTGCAAGCTGACTACCACTAAATCAACCTAGTCATTGCCATGTGAAACAGAAAAATTGCCCAATAGAGCCCTGCCCAAATTCTGGATCCCTGAAATTGTGAGCTATAATAACAAAAAGAGTTGTTGTTTTAAGCCATTAAGCTTTGGGGTTTGTCATATAACGATAGATAACTAGAACAATGTTATAAGCTTCATCTTCCACAGGGTTGTGCCCAAGAACCTCCTTTTGCCCCACATCTTGCTGGAGCTTTTCTGTTTGTGCTCTTTGTGTAGATTCCCCTAAGAGGATATAGGCTTTATTTTCTGGAGAGTGCCATAGGTGTGTCACCAGGAAGTACAGGAACAGCTCCATGAGTGGTAGAGAAGGAAGTCCCCTTAGCAGGACTTTATATCCCTTCTCCCCTTAGAAATCCATGGGGATCCACTTCACTCTGCACTCACCCCTTTCATACAGGATGTTCTCATCTTGGTTTCTCATTGAGTGGCCCCTCAGTGCCTGTATCAGAGGACTGCCTTAGCTAATTAGAGAAGATGATTCTATCTGATGGGACTGAATGGCTGAGTCTGAAAACCCCCCAAACTTTCGGATTATTTTCTGTGCTTATTATGTGACTTTTTGTTCTGTTGAAAATAGCTAACTTTTATGTAGGTCATTTTCTTAGTTGTAAAATGAAAATAATAACATCTACCTTTCAAGTATCTCAGGATTATTGTGAAAGTCAAGGGAGATGAGGTGGGTGGAAGCTCATTGTAAGCTATAAAATGTTATGTACTTGTAATTTGTTATTATTATTATCATTACTGTTAAGGAATTAGTAAATTATAGATAGTGTTGGAACATGTGGGCTTAGCATTGTGTGATCTTAGGCAATTCACTTAACATCTCAGCAATTTTCTCATCCCTAAGAGTGTTTACTAAATAAATATCTATAAGGTTCCATCCAGCTCTCAAATAATATGGCTGTGATTTTTAAGAACCTATTTTAGCACAGGCAAGGTAGTGCATGCAGTGTGTTCAAAGACGAATGTAACTTCATCCCTGCTGACTTGGAATTTATAATGTAATTGTTAATATAACTCATACTTTAAAAACCAAATAATTCAAATCAATCTTTTAAACACGGATTCCCTGGGAGGAAATTTTCCAGATACAGAAGCATAATATGCTGGATGTCTTCTGTCTGCCCCTGCAGACCCACTCTGTAACCACTCTCAGCCTTGGTAGGCTGACGTGTGTGAACTGCATTACTGTGCTCTCTGGCCTCATGGCATCTCACTGGGTTCTGCCAGCTGAAAGACCCAGCAATAGATGAAGAGAGAGAGAAGAAGAAGGTAAGGGTATTTATTCTCCTAGCTCCTCCTCTTCGGGGTCATCTCGGAATACCTGTTCCCTTGACCAAAGGATGTCTCTCAAGACTGTCATCCTCACATAGATCTAATCATCCAGGTTCTGGAAACTTCTCTCACCCCTTCCTCCTTTGCCCTAGGGATGAAAACAACTCAGCAGCAATGAACCCTAGAATACTTCACCACCCCTTTTGGGGTAGGCAGCCTCTGTAATGGACTGAATGTTTGTGTCCTCTCAAAATGTATATGTTGAAATCCTAATCCTCAATGTGATGGCACTAGGAGGTAGGCTTTGGAAGGTAATTAGGCCAAGACAATGCAGTGCATAAAGGGATTGGTGCCCTTATAAAAGAGACCCAAGAAAGCCCCTTCACCTTTTCCACCATGTGAGGACACAGAGAGAAGATGGACATCTATGAACCAAAAAGTGAGGCCTTGCCACATACCAAATCTTCTGGAGGCTTGATTTTGGATTTCCTAGCCTTCAGAACTGTAAGACATAAATGTTTGTTGTTGTTTAAATCCCCAGTCTATGATAGTTTTGTTATAGCAGCCTGGACAACTAAGGTAGCCTCTAAGATGGCCCCCAATGATTCCTGCTTTGCAGTAGTCACACTGTTGTGTGATTCTCTCCTCTTGAATGTGAGTGGAATTTATTAACTCACTTCTAACAAATGAATAAAGAACATGAGCTAGGATGTCACTTCTGAGATAAGTTTATAAAAAGGCTTTGACTCCTGCCCTGGCCACTCTCTCTTGGATCACTTGCCTTGGAGGAAGCCAGCTGCTATGACCTAGAACAGCCCTGTGGAGAAACCTTTACCTCATGGGATCAAGACTTATTCACACCAATGTGAATGAGCTTGGAAGCCACTTCTTTATCCCCAGTCAGGTCTTTCAGTGAGACTGCATCCCTGGAGGATAGCTTGACTTCAATCTTGTATGAGACTTTGAGCCAGAGACAACTAGCTAAACTGTGCCGGAATACCTGCCTGAAAGAAACCATGAGGTAACAAATGTTTGTTGTTTTAAGCTACTAAGTTTTAGGGTAATTTGTTATACAGCAATAAATAACTAAAATACTTTGTGATTTTTTTGACATACTTGCTATACTTTGTAAATCATCCTTTTATTAAGTATGCTGGGATTATGCATAAAACAATATTTCTGGGCATATAAGAGAAATGAAATACTCTTCTCAGGTTCATTTCCTCTGAAGACATGAGAAGAATAGATAACGGTTAAATATAGAAATTTCCCTGAGTCTTTGAAGACCCTAAGTTCCTTGAAATAATTTGGATTTATTTTCTAAGTATGGTAGATGGGAAGGATTTAAAAGATCTTTTTAAGGAATTTAAAATCTTTTTAAGGACTTAAAAGAGAAATAGCTCCTTAGCATTGAGATAAAAAACAAAGGTCGTAGAGTTTTTTTTCCAAGAACATCCTGAAGCACTTAAGTACATTACATCTAAGGTGACAGACTTTAAACTAAAGTGGCCATGGGGTAAATGGTTGGTGGGATTCTTCAAAGAATGGGCACTTAGTGCCCCAGGCTTGGGAGCCTAGACAAGAAGAAAGAGAATCTCTTTCATGGAACTTCACCCTCCTTTATGGGACCTCATGAGCCTTGGTAGTTGAGATATCACTAGGGCTAAAGTAGTCGAGAGACAACGGAAAGTCAAAGAGGACCTATGACATTATATGGTGGTGACAGCAGCAGCAGAAAATGACCCTACTTGTTTCTGTGAGACTACCAATGGTCTCCCCTGATCCCCCAACCCTCCACAGATACTTTAACCTGCAAAAAGGTTTTGTTTGTTTTTGTGACAATCCAGGGAACGTAGAAGTGGGGATCATGGCAACTCTTACTTAGATTTTGGAAAGTTTTTTTAAAAGTGACATTCAACATAAATGACGTCATTCACCTGACCTCACCCAAGTCAGCAGGGATCTCTGATAAGGCCCCTCTTGGTCCAAATCCTCCCAGGTTTGGTTGAAGATTCAGACAGTATTTGAGCCACACACATTTTTAACTTGATGGGATTGGTATTAAAGCTCTACTGTGAGACAGGAATTTCATTTGTTATTCTCTAGAGAGCCTGCTAATTGCACATTTGTGGTTTTCATTTTTCTTTGAGGATCAGATTTTGTTTGAAATGACTCATTAGAGTTTTTACAACCTTTTCCCTCATTCAAAATTTTGGTTATGGAGAAAAAAGTTTATCTCTGAAAAGAGGATGTGAATCTTTGTGATGTAAGCAAAAGAAAAAATAATCTTTAAAGCTGGTATGTGGCCTCATGCTCCTCTCTAGTGTTTGTGACCTACATGGTGGATATCTCCTCTCCAAGGACAAGATTGGATAGAGTATTATAAATATATTAGTTTTTCTACAATAGTCATCAGTGCTTAGCACTTGTAGGACTAAAGATGATGTACATCACTGACCTATTCATAATACTTCACAAAGCAAAAGGCATGAGGTGAGCTTTTTGGTAAAAGAAACCAGTTTGTTAGCCTTTTCACTGGTGTTAACACAACCGAGAGTTAGGACAACTGAATTCTGTGATAGTATAACAAATTTGGGATGGTTTAATATGGCTTTTCCCCTCTTTTGGTCACTTAGCTCACCCCTTTATGTTGGGAACAAAAAATATCACACCAACGATACATGGCCCAGTAACACTAGTGATGTGGGATAGATACTCAAAGAACAGTGTATCCACAACATTATATGACAAAGTACTGGTTGGCGTGCCACTGAATGGGTACCATGACTATCTATTAGTTATCTCTAAACGAAACATCTTGGCTGTGCACGATCAATCTACAGGCTTAGCTACCCCCAAGATGGTTAGGATGGTGTCTTTGAGGCTATTCCTGGATACCAGGCTAAGTTCGTACCCTTTCAAAACCTGCAAATCTTCCTCATTTACAATCTTGTTGGAATTTTTCTGTATTCTATTGACGTGATCATTTAGCTTCTGTCTTTCTCCTGCAACTGGTTACTGAGGATTTCATTTGGTGTGTAGAGGCCGTAACCAATTATATAAAAAAGGCCCTAAATAATAGTCTTATGGGTATCTCGTTACGAAACAATGAAGAAAGGCTCTAATACAGAACAGTGTGGCTTTAGACATACTCACTGCAGCCCAAGAGGGAACATGCACAATGATAAAAACTGAGTGTTGTGCCTGTATCCCAGATGAATCAGATAACATCACTAAAGTAATGGCTGATATAAAAACCCGAATAACTAAACTTTTAGATACAACAGTCTCTCCAAGTGATTGGGTAAGTAGCTGGTTTTGATACTGAGAAAACTGGTGGAAAAAGCTTTTACTTATTCTAGGAATTATAATCATTTGTTGTGTTTTGTCCTCTTTTTGTCTTCACTGCTGCTGTGGCATTTGTTCACAATGGAGTCAATATACAACTAAAGAAACTAAAATAATGGTTACTCAAATAAATTGCATTAATTAAAGATGTAGTCTGGTAGCCTGTCTCAGGTTACAAAGTCACTTTCCTCATGCTGCTTTAAATTTGTCCTATGCCCTATCAACTTTATAGCTTGATAAATTCCTCCTGCCATAAGACACGACACTCCGTGAATGAGCCTTTCTAGCAATGTAGGACTAAGTTCTTGAACATAAAAAGAGCCTGTAAAGGCCAAAAGAAATCTTTTCTTTTTTCTCTCTGAAGGTTCACTGAAAAACTCAACTCACAAAAGGCAGATTAATTAGAGAAAAGGCATACAAATTTATTATTAATGCGCACATTGGCAAGAATTAGAGTGATTACCCGTTCTTCAAGGAATACAGAAACTTACATATCATGATTGAAGTGACAGAAAGGGCTCAGAGCATGGCCCAAAACAGATTATGGTGGTAAATCAGATTACAGTGGCAAGACAGGTTATGGGAGGGAGAGAAGAGGAAGCTTGGCTAGCAAAGATGGTCTTGTTATGTAAATGAAATCTCACTGGTAACAGATCTCAAAAAGAATACGTGGCAAATGTTTCTTTCAGATCTTTAAGTGTGTCAGGCTCTCAGTTAATCTTTTCTAGATCAGACAAGGGAAGGCCTTCAAAGAAGTCCTCACTGCATCAATGCAGATTTTGTCTACAAACGAAAATCTTGCCCACAAAAGACAGCATTACAGGACTACTGTCTGCAGGCCCTCTGGTCAGCCATCTCAAAATATTTCAAAGAAATATATTTTGGGGTAAAATATTTTTATTTCCTTCAAGCCAAAACTGTTTGAGTTTATCCATGATGCTGTCTTTGAAAGATCTCAATTGAAAGAGGGAAATGTGAAATTAAATAATGCAAACTTAAAGTAAATTAAACCTAAAGCTGCTGGAACATTAAATATCCTGAGCCTCGTGGCATGCAACTGCAAACTTCTACACTTTTTTCTCCTGTTTCTAGAAATAACTAATACCTAAGATGCCAGAGATAAGACCCCCTCAGATCACTACCTCTCCTCATGAAATAATAAAGCAATATTCCTTGGAATGTATCAATCTATAGTCATTCAGATTGCTGTGGTGTGTATACCTGGTATAGTATAAAAATGTTTAATACTGCTGGAACTTCTCTGTTTCTGCCTATATGATTGAAACTTTAACCTCTTCACTTTGGAAAAACTGACCTATTCATTTGGAGTCAGTGCTTCTCCTAAAGCTTCATGCTTGAATAAGCTCTATACTTAATTGTATTTTATTAATTTTATTAAGATTGACATCCTTGCACCTTGAATTGTGTAGAATAGCCGATACTTGTTATAGTTAAAATAAGTGTGATTAATGTAAAAAGTTAAATAGAATAAGGAAACTCCCAGGTACCTTGTACCCAGTTAGGTGTATCACTTTGGCTAAATAAATGACTATTATTTTATAGTGATCTGTGATTCTATTTTGAGCATGTGTTTTAAATCTTTTATATTTGACCAAATTTCCAAAATCGAAATTCCAAATTCCTATTTTGTTTTTGCATTTTACTCAAAAGGTAAACAAAAATCTTTACTATCTCTTGTTAATACAACACAAAAATGTAGTTCAAAGGAGAAAAACCAAATTTTACCTTTACATTAGTATATTGTTAATACTAAAGCTAATTTGAATAAAGCCTTTTAAACAAATCTATCCCATCCCAATCAGTTTTGACCAGAAGGTAAGATTTCCATAAACCTTTTATAATGTTTTACAATTCTTCCCATTCTCTTTCTTTACCAACTTTCTATATCCATTTAGTTCTATCTAGCATTTACAAATATTTTCCATTTAAATCAACTTTTATAAACTTCTAAACTGGGCAAAAATTACTTTTCCTTGAACAAAAACCGTATTCCCTTGCCTTCTTATAACCCCATCACCAAAAACACATTCTACTTTCCTTGTACACCTTGCATATAGAATTTTTTGACATCTAGTAGTTTTAATCACATACATTAATCACAATGCTAAATCTTAGTAACTAATTTTTAGTGAAAAACCTAGGAAGTAAGCAATTTTAAGTATGTACCAGATGTAGAGCTCAGGACAAAGGACAGAGCTGTGAAGACAATGCCTGGAGGATCTAATTCCTCTCAGCATGCCAAGAGACACAGCTAGACTAGGGAGGATGGGGCCCAGATATCCCCAGGTCTCACCATGGCCACTTATCTAGACCTCAAAATCTAAAGGCTCAAATCCAAAGACATTAGCTCACAGAGAAATTAAGCAAGTATCAAAAATAATAGAGAAGCAATGTTTATGACCTTAAAACATCTGTCAGAGACAGTTTAACCCCATCTGACCTATAGACCCAGGCAAAAATGTCTCAATTAACTTCTGAAGATGTTTCTATTTTATTTTATCAATAATTTTATAATGAGGTTTATCAAAGATAAATAAAGGCATATGTATGTGAAAAGCACTGGGGCTAGTTAATTTATTATGAGTACTCATTTAATCTTTAAGTTAATTTGGTACCATTTGTAGACTATATATAAATATATGTGTAGACATATACATATATGCAGACACAACACATAATGTACACATATATGCAGACACAACATATAATGTACACCATATATACATGTACACATAAAATACAGACAGACAAAAAACCTCATAGTTTTGATTTTAGAATTTTAGATATGAGACTGGTAAGACTCATTAGTTTAAAAGGACAGTTGGATTCAAACTCTGCCTTTGTAAATGGAACAAGTTAAAGGTTATTTGTCTCACATGGCCCGAGCTCTTACTGAGTTTTAGAGAAAGCAGGGTAGCAATTTACATCTCAAAACACAGAAGAAGAGAATTCAAGCATTTTCAAGAGGAGTTTGGGTGCGTTAGAGGAAGATTAAAAGTGGATGCCATGGTAAAACAAAATTATAGAAATTTACCATGGGATTTTATAAGGAGACCAATTTCATTTAAATAAGTAGCTTTTAATTTAGTTTCTGTTTTCCAATTAGGCCACTGAGCTCAGGGAAGAGCCTATTAAGGAACAAGGCCAACAAAGTACTTGGAGGTTTTAGGGCCCAATAATTTAAATATGTAAAAAGCAGGTGCAGTTGGAAGGCAGAGCATTTAGACCTTTAAAATAAAAGATTTCACTGATTCCCAGGTCCCCCAAAAGAGGGAAATGCCAGGGGACCAGGCCACTCAATGCTTTCAGAGTGTACTTTGTTTTGTAGGTATTTCCCTAAGTGTTTAAATCATGTCCTTTCTTATCTAAGCACACAAATGAGTAGCCTCTAGTAATATTAACCATTTATTGCAAACAACTGCTGTCAGCCACCTCTAACCCTGTAGTTCTCAGTCAGCCATTATACCTAAGGTCAAATTCTCTCACAATACAAAGTAATGTTTGGTATCCCTCAAAGCCAAAGAGATCAGGTAATGTGATACAAAAGAGGGTAGAGTTTTAGACCTAAAAGGAATCTGTGCATTTACAAGTTTTGTGGTTCCACGAGAAAAAACAGAAATTTTTCCCCAAAAAAGAGGAGCTTATGGCATTTTTTCTGTTTTCCTTGAGGGACCCTAGGCTGTAAGAAATTTCCTTTGTAGGTCCCTTCATGTGGCATGAGGGTGGCAAGAGAAAGGAGACACAGACAGAAGTAAATGGGAGAATGACTGTTAAAAAAAACAAGTGAACAGGCCAGGCGCGGTGGCTCACGCCTGTAATCCCAACACTTTAGGAGGCCGAGGCGGGTGGATCACCTGAGGTTAGGAGTTTGAGACCAACCTGGCCAACATGGTTAAATCCTGTCTCTTCTGAAAATACAAAAACTAGCTGGGCATGATGGTGTGTGCCTGTAATCCCAGCTACTCGGGAGGGTGAGGCAGGAGAATTGCTTAAACCCGGGAGGTGGAGGTTGCAGTGCACCAAGATCACGCCACTGCACTCCAGCCTGGGTGACAGAGAAAGAGTCCAAAAGAAAAGAAAAGAAAAGAAAACAAAGAAGGAAAGAAAGAAGAAAGAAAGAAAGAAAGAAAAGGAAGGAAGGAAGGAAGAAAGAAAGGAAGAAAGGAAGAAAGAAAGAAAGAAAGGAAGAAAGAAAGAAAGAAAGAAAGAAAGAAGGAAAGAAAGAAAGAAAGAAAAGAAAGAAAGAAAAAGAAAAAGAAAGAAAGACAAACAGAGGGACCAAGCACATACTTTCAGATTTCAGTCAATGAAAAATATTTTAAAAGAGGGTACAAAAGAGAAAAAAGAAAGATCTTTATATATATATAAAGAGGTTGATATATACAGGTTGGGGTGTGTGTGTGTGTGTGTGTATTAAAATATTTTATATATATATATATATATATATATAGCTTGGATAGAAGCTTTTAATTAAGCTGGCTTTTAACCAGAGAGCTCTTCAAAAATTTTTTTTTAATTTCTTAATATCATATTTTAGTCAAGACCAACAGCTTGTATTTCTGGCTTTTGAATTTTTTAACCAAAAGTACCTCCCGAGTGAAACTAATAAGCCTTAACCAAAGTTATGACTTAACCAAAGACACAGGAGGCATCTCCAGAGAGATGAATGGGTATGCCAAAAAGTCAAAAGTCACACAAATATCAAACCAAAAGAACTGGTTCCCTGACAGGGAATCAAACTCATGTCATGTAATCTGGCAATTACCAGACTACAAGGTGGGAACTGCCTTCATTATTAATCCCACAGAGAATCTAAAGCAGGTGGTCTGAGCTTACAAATAATTTTAACTTAGTTTTAGATCAGATTAGTGCTCTTCAATTTGGCCAAGGTAATTTTTAAGGCTAGCCATGTCATTATTATGTCTTTTCTAAAAATTTGGTCTTTCTTTCAGTTGTTTAAAATAAGAGATCTCTAAAATCATTGTGGGTTTTCTGTTTTTTATAATTTAGGAGTCTAATTAAAAGGATCCATCTTCTGGCCATTGACAATTAAAATTTTGAATAGTGTACTTATTCTAATAGTGACTCAATCCAAGCCTCTTCCTGTAAAGCCTAGAATGTAATTTTAATTCCAACCCCTCCCTCCCCACCCTCAACGCTGCTAAATGCTCCCAGAAATAGGCTAAGTTAGCAAAAAAACTCTTGTTGCCACAGGTAGTTAAGGATGATGTTTGCCTCTGATAACCCAAAAGTTTGTGGGGGCCTGCCAGTCACAGATCCACTAATCTGTGACACTGGGTAGGCCCTCCTGGGGTTGGACTTTCCCAGCACTATCCAGGCACCAAGGATTGAGATGACAAAAGCCCTTATGGATGGGACTCCTTCGGACAAATCCTCCTGAGAACTTGACACATTCAGAATAACAACAAAAACAAAAAACCCTCAGGTTCCCAGCCATTTTCAGACTGACCGCCTGATGTAACCTGAAAAGCATCCCCACTGGATGGTGAAGACCAAGAGAGAGTGCCCCCACTTGGTCACAAATGAAACTCACAAAAACACGAAACAAGGCAAGACAGAGCTTTATTCGCTACCCCTGTTTATGAACAACACAGAAAGACGAAGACAGAACAACAACAAAAAACCTTCTTAGAGGAAAGAACCCAAACAATGTGAATACTTGTACTACAAATTACCAAAAAGTACACCAGAGTTGCTACATCAAGACTAGTAGCACACAAATCCTTTTCTTCATAATAAAAATCTTGTAGCGGAAACAATGAATTTTACTATCCACTCAACCAGATTGCACAGAGAGAGTGGCTGGGAGCCTGGCTAAGAAGTTTTCACCCTTACTCTATCTAACCAGGTCCTGGGTTTCCTTCACTGTGGCTTCCAGAAGAGTGGGGCTTTGATCATCCTACTCACCGTGTCAGACTGTAACAAAGGGGAAGTTCCCCTTGGCCCTCTGAAGTTTCACTGAAAAATTAAGTCACAAAAGGCAGATTAATTGGAGAAAAGGCATACAAATTTAGCTGATCATAGTTTTTTGTGGCACTGAAGCCTTGAGAAGGAAGACCCACTCCTCCAAAAGGGTGCAGAGGTTTATTCACCATCTTGGGGTTACAAAAAGAATGTGGGATCAGAGTATGGCCAAACACAGGTTGTGGTAGTAAATCAGGTTTTAGTAACAAGACAGGAGAGACAGAAGAGACTTGGTTAGCAAAAGTTGTCTTGTTAGGTAGATGAAACCTCAGAGAGAATAGATAGTAAATATTTCTCTGAAGATCTTTAAAGGTGTCAGAGTCTCAGTTCATCTTTCCTAGATCCAGACAAAGAAAGGCCTGGCAGCATTAATGCAGATTTTCTATAGGTGCAAATTTCCCCTGCAAAAGACAGTTTTTCAGGGCCATTTCTGTTTGCTAGCCCTCTGAAAGCTATCTCAAAATAAGTCAAAAATATATTTGAATGTAAAATATTTTGATTTCTCAGATATCACAGTAGTAGGAATTCTTAACGTTATTTAAAATATTCTCTTTGGCAGATATTTGATATATGCCAAAATTAACAAGCATCCAGTGGTATGGGAGAGTATGGGACTAGAATAAGGCTGTTTGGATGAGTAAACGGCTTAATGTTCTCAGGCTGAGATAGTCCAACATTTTTTTTTAATGGTGGCAGCCTTGGCAATGAATTCAGAATATGGCAAAACCTGCCTCTTGCTGGACAGTTCTTCAATGTACATATATCACAGGTAGTCCCTGCTTCTCCCTCTTTTTCTTCATTTGCATGGTTGACTTCTCTCCTTTCTGATTGATAATTGTTTTGCTTAGTGATATTCAGGCTCATAACATATTATTCACAATTCTGAAGTTCGCAAAGCTCTAAATACTCAAAGTAGTGTAAAGCAAAAATAAAATCATAAACCCAGCCACTTGACTGATGAACCCCTCCTCTCAAAAACGGCATTCCAAACAAACCTTAAAAAATAACTCTGGCCATGATGAGAAGTGAGTGTCAAACATGTCTCATTTTACTTTTCTCCTTTCATTAGCCCATTCTCATGCTGCTAATAAAGACATACCCAAGACTGGGTAATTTATAAAGGAAAGAGGTTTAATTGACTCACAGTTCACCATGGCTGGGGAGGCTTCAGAAAACTTACAATCATGGTGGAAGCGGAAGCAAATACGTCCTTCTTCACATGGTGGCAGGAAGGAAAAGTGCTGAGCAAAAGGGGGAAAACTCCTTATAAAACCATCAGATCTTGTGAGAACTCACTCACTATCACAAGGACAGTAGCATGGGGATAACAACCCCATGATTTAATTACCTCCCATCAGGTCCCTCCCATGACACTTGGGGATTATGGGAACTACAATTCAAGATGAGATGTGGGTGGGGACACAGCCAAACCACTCCCTTTGGAATTCAGGCACAACTGACCACCATTAACAGAGATCTTAAAACTAACAAAGCGGACTCTTTGTAGCAATAAGACACCAGCATAACAGATAACAGGCCCTGAAAGAAATCAAAGAATTTTACCCCAAAATACATTCCTTTGACATATTTTGAAATGGCCCTGCAAAGCTGTCTCTTGTGAGGAAAATCCGCATTTTGTAGCAAATTATTTTCCCTTTCCAAGTCTTTTCCCTGATCCAGGAGAGAATTAACTAAGAGTCTGGCACCTTTTTAAGTCTGATAAGAAACATTTACAATCTATTCTATTAATATCTGAAGCCTGCTACTTAGAGGCTTCAGCTGCATAATAAGAACCATGGTTTCCACAATCCCATATCTTAACCCAGACACTCCCTTCTACTGATTGTAGGTCTTTAGATAATAACTCTTTCAACCAATTGCCAATCAGAAAATCCTCAAATCCACATATGACCTGAAAATTTCCAATTCAAGTTGTCCTGCCTTTCTGTACCAAACCAATATATACCTTACATGTATTGACTGATGTCTTATATCTCCCTAAAATATATAAAATCAAGCCATAGCCTGACTACCTTGGGCGCATGTTCTTAGGACCTCTTGAGACTGTGCCTTGGGCCATGGTCACTGATATTTGGCTCAGAATAAATCCTTCAAAGATTACACAGAGATTGACTCTTTTAGTCAACAGTTTTAGTAAATTGAGAGCAACTCTGACATGAAAGAATGTAAAGCTATACTATTTATTTATCCTGCTTAGTGAGGGATTCATACTTTCATTGCACAGACATTGATGATTTTCATAAAATTATGCTGAGGGTGTTACATAACGTATGGCATATTTATTGTGTTCAAAAAACACAACTATCTAAATTCCAAAGCAAGTCTGGCCCCAAGGGCTTCAGATTTGTCATAACTCAATCTTTCAAGCTTGGAAACTATTCTATCTCTTTAAAATGTCTTTGCACTTCTCCGCCTTGATCCTTTATGTGTCAGTGTTAAGGGATGAGATGATTCTCTCAGAGAATCATTTTGCTTCCCTTGTTTGCAAGTTAGAGGTAACTTCTCATTGTAACCCTATAAATTGTAAATTACAGGTGAGTTGTAGATTTGTGTAAAAGGGGAAGTGGGATGTTAGTAAGGAGGAGAACAAAGAAAAGGAGGAAATTCTTCAAGGGGTAGCTGATCTTTCAAGGATGACAAAAGTTCTTCCTTGAACTAGGTAACACTAGGGTTCTGGATGGAGATAATTGCAAAGAGGCATAAAATAGCCAGGTATCTGCCAAGCCCATTGTGTTCATTTCTCTCATGTCTTGAGCCATCTGAGTTTGTCTGAGCAAATTTTGGGGTTTGGAAGTCATGGCAAAAATTTAACTTGGTCTGGGATAAAATTAGATATAATAATTGCTTGGATTAAATCCAGTTAGAGGGCTCAGATGTCTGACTGGGTCAGAGAGAAACTGGTAGTAAATGGCAATTTCTGCAGTAAATGAGAATTTCCAGCTTTTGGAAATTCTCAGGGATTTTGTGTTTTATCCCCTTTGTTTCTCATTCTTGTGTATTCTGGTACGGGAATATTATTGGCTACATTGATTAAGCGTATCTAAGAACAAAAGCCAAGACTCAATTAAAAATGGGATCCTTAGTTTCTGAAGATCTGGATGCTTTATCTTCTGTCCACACCTACCTTTATATGTAAAAGTATTAGATATTGTAAGCAGCAAATGCTTACAAAAACGGTGAAATGTTATTAATGATAATTAAAAATTACAGTGAGGCATTCCAAATGAACAACACTGCACTTTAAGAAGTGCATCTAAAATTGAGGTCTCTTCAATTAGGCTCACCCAGGACACCTACTGATGTGCAGAAGTTTCTAAAGAGATTTTAATTGTTTTTTTTTTTTTTTGAGATGGAATTTCCTTCTTGTCACCCAGGCTGGAGTGCAATGGCACAGTCTCAGCTCGCTGCAACCTCCGCCTCCTGGGTTCAAGTGATTCTCCTGCCTCAGCTTCCCAAGTGGCTCGGACTACAGGTGCTCGCCACCATGTCCAGCTAATTTTTTTATTTTTAGTAGAGACAGGGTTTCACCATGTTGGCCAGGTTGATCTTGAACTCCTGACCTCAGGTGATCCACCTGCCTTGGCCTCCCAAAGTGCTGGCATTACAGGTGTGAGCCACCGTGACCGGCCTAATATTTTTATTCCCTCTTTTAAAATACTCTTTACAAAAGGTAAATAAAAAGCTTAAGCAACAAATGGATTTTAAAAAATTGAAACTGCAAACCTTTGGCTTAGTTATTATCCCAATGAGGCAGGAGAATAGGACCTGGAGTCAGGGAACCTGAGGACTTCCTAGAACTAAACCGAATGGAAACACTTCAGCAATGACAGGAATGTGAATGGCTTTGCAACTTTACTTCATCTTCTCTACTTACATAGGGTGCATACCAAGTAAATGACTTTATAACTTGACTTTATTCTCTTCATTTACATAGGGCATACACCAAGTAACCAATTGAAAACCTCCAGAGGGTATTGAGACCCAGCAAATTCTGTAACTGAGGCCCTTGAGCTGCTTGCTCAGGCCCACTCCCATCCTGTGGAGTGTGCTTTCATTTTCAATAAATCTCTGCTTTTGTTGCTTCGTTCTTTCCTTGCTTTATTTGTGTGTTTTGTCCAATTCTTTGTTCAAAATGCCAAAAACCTGGACATCCTCAACTAGTAACACCACCCCAGAGGTTAAAAAAAAAAAAAAAAGCTGGAGAAAGTGTTTATAAAATGTATGCCCTCAGGTAAAGTAGGCTGGCTTCTTTTTCAGAGCATTTATGTTTGTCCAGGCATAGAGAATGCTTTCTTTGCTCCGTTTATTAGCTCCACTCTTAACTTAGTAATTTTAGCCAAGAAACAGAAGCTAAGTTAAAAAGACCACCTAATGAACTAACACACCTTCAAAATACACCTTTTTGGTATTTAGCTGGCTATTTCGAAACACTTCTGTAAGTGTTTACACTTATATCTATACAGTAGGCAAGGTATAAAGGATAAAGAGACACACTTCCATCCGTAAATGAAATCTCCATTTGTAAGGCTGTTTGACTCTCTCCACCTCTCTGTACTTCCTCTGGAATAGAGAAAGGATTGTGTCACTAGAAACTCTTACAATGAAGAAAGCCTTGCTTTAAATTCACATAGCCAGTCTTGCCTCTGTTTACAGTGATTTTCCCGGCCATCTTGTCCTAAAGCATTTAAATATACCCTCCTTCTTAAGTTTAGACAAATGATGGTATGTAGGCCTGAAGTCTCAGCTCTGTGCTTTTGAGATGTAAATTTTCTACCTTGGTTTAACTAAGCCATCCTTTTGGAAATGAAAATTTGGGGTAAAAATTTTAGATGGTTCTTAAAAATAATATAAGTAAAGCAGCCAGTGATTAAGTTAAAATAAGGCTAAATCTACCAACGTTTGGATGGACCAAAGGTATATATGTTAGTCCCCCAACACTGCAGAGCCCCAAACCAGTCTGCACTATTTACCCCAGTTTGAAGAAATTTGAAAATTCAAAAAGTGTAAGATTACAAAGAGCAACCTAGCTAACAGTCACTTAGGTCAATAACTAGATGAGTCAATCAAGAAAAGAATGAGTCCCTTGACTCAAGCCCCTGCTGGCATGGGTAAAATGGAGAGGTGGTATAAGAAACTCTTCAGAGTAAATGTCTTTTGGGAAAGATGAATGAGCTGACGTAATAATGGGCGATGGTTTGTGACAAGATATGTCTGGGTGCGATGAAGTCTTTTCTCCTGTAATAAGAGTAAAATTTTTCTGATTGCTGAAACTCACTAAGAAGCAGAGTTCCTTTGAAAAACCTGTCTTAACACAGAGAAGGGGAATTCAAAAAGCATTGCTCTTCTTACTTATTGGTAGCAATAATATACCAAAGCAACATAATTTGGAGTGATATTTCCTGAACTCCTTCCATGGCTAACTTTGTTTAATTAATGTATGAGTCTGTTTTAATACTGCTGATAAAGACATACCAGAGACTGGGCAATTTACAAAAGAAAGAAGTTTAATAGACTCACAGTTCCACGTGGCCGGGGAGGCCTAGCAATCATAGTGGAAGGTGAAAGGCACATCTCACATGGCGGCAGACAACAGCAGAATGAAAGCCAAGTGAAAGGGCTTTCCCCTTGTGAAATCATCACATCTCATAAGACTTATTCACTACCAGGAGAACAGTATGGGGGAAACCACCCCCATGATTCAATTATCTCCTGTCGCGTCCCTCCCCCAATACATGGGAATTATGGCAGCTACAATTTGAGATGAGTTTTGTGTGGAAACACAATCAAACCATATCATTCCGCCCCTGGCCCCTCCCAAATCTGATGTCCCTTTCACATTCCAAAATACAATCATGCCTTCCCAACAGTCTCCAAAAGTCTTAACTCATTTCAGCATTAACTCGAAAGTCCACAGTCCAAATCTCATCTGAGATAAGGAAAGTCCCTTCTGCCTATGAGCCTATAAAATCAAAAGCAAGTTGGTTACTTCCTAGATACAATGGGGGTACAGGCATTTGTTAAATACAGCTGTTCCAAATGGGAAAAATTGGCCAAAACAAAAGGGCTACAGGTCCCATGCAAGTCAAAAATCCAGTGGGGCTGTCAAATCTTAAAGTTCCAAAATGATCTCCTTTGACTCCATGTCTCACATCCAGGTCACACTGATGCAAGAGATGGGTTCCTACAGCCTTGGGCAGCTCTGCACCTGTGGCTTTTCAGAGGATAGCCTCCATCCTGGCTGCTTTCATGGGCTGGCATTGAGGGTCTGCAGCTTTTTCATGTATACGGTACAAACTGTTGGTGGATCTACCATTCTGGGGTCTGGAGGATGGTAGCCTTCTTCTCATGCCTCCACTAGGCAGCGCCCCAGTGGGGACACTGTGTGGGGGCTTCAATCCCACATTTCCCTTCTGCATTGCCCTAGGAGATGTTTTCCATGAGGGTCCCACCCCCACAGCAAACTTCTTCCTGGACATCCAGGCATTTCCATACATCCTCTGAAATCTAGGTGGAGGTTCCCAAATCTCAATTCTTGATTTCTGTGCACCTGCAGGCTCAATACCATGTGGAAGCTGCCAAGGCTTGGGGCTTGTACCCTCTTAAGCCATGGCCTGAGCTTTACCTTAGCCTCTTTTAGCTACAGCTAGAGTGGCTTGGACTCAGGGCACCAAGTTACTAGGCTGTACACAGCAGCGGGGCCCTGGACCTGGCCCACAAAACCATTTTTTCCTCCTAGGCCTCTGGGCCTGTGATGGGAGGAGCAACAACTGCAAAGATCTCTGCTAAAACATAACAAGTCACCTTTGCTCCTGTTCCCAAAAGTTCCTCATCTTCATCTGGAGCCACCTCAGCCTGGATTTCATTGTCCATATCATTATCAGCATTTTCATCAAAGCTATTCAACAAGTCTTTAGGGAATTCCAGACTTTCCCAAATTTTCCTGTCTTTTTCTGAGCCCTCCAAACTGTTCCAACCTCTGCATGCTACCCAGTTCTAAAGTCGCTTTCACACATTCAGGTATCTTTTCAGCAGCACCCCACTCCCAGTACCAATTTACTATATAAGTCCATTTTCACACTGCTGGTAAAGACATACTGGAGACTGGACAATTTGCAAAAGAGAGAGGTTTAATGGACTTACAGTTCCACGTGACTGGGGTGGCCTTACAATCGTGGTGGAAGGTGAAAGGCACATCTCACATGGTGGCAGACAAGAGCAGAATGAGAGCCAAACAAAAGGGCTTTCCCCTTATAAAACCATCAGATCTCATGAGACTTATTCACTACCACAAGAACAGTATGGGGGAAACCACTCCCATGATTTAATTGTCTCTCACTGGGTCCCTCCCACAACATGTGGAAAGTACAGAAACTACAATTCAAGATGAGATTATGGTGGGGGACACAGCCAAACCATATCAATTAACAATTCAAATATCATTGTTAATAATGAGTAAATTAGATGAATGTAAATGACATAAAAATTCATAAATGAACTTGTCATCATTTCAAAAATCTTTTTCAGAAATTTGAAAATCTTAAAATCATGTTAATTTAATAAATACTCATTAAATGTCTGAGTCATTTTTAAGTTAAAATATTGAGACATTAATTATTAAACATGTTCAAGTTTATGTACTTTGACTTCTTGTTTTTATATAGTATAGAGAAGCTAAATATATCTGGGTCTAGTAAAAACTATAAAAATTGTGTTAGGAGGAAATATGTCTCTAAAATATATAAAATACTTTTTATCTACAAAATGCTGATAGTTCAAAATTGAATGCTGCAGTTTAAAATAGCTTACATCCTAGGTTTTCACTAGAAATTAATGTTGCTTGAGTTTTAAAAAAATCTAATATGGTAATTAAAACAACTTCTTATGCAAATAAAGTATGATGTGTTTTTGGTTAAGTGACACTTACATAAAAGGTGTGTTTTAGTTATGGAAAAAGAAAAATACATAATCTTCATCTTAAAATAGAATGATTGGTTCTTCCAAAATGAAAAAGAGAAAAGGTTGTAGAAGTTTGTAAGAGATCAGTCTTAGGAAAGGAATTTTATTTGTGATCAAGCTGGCTAAAATTAGAGGGAATTATTTTTAAGTTTTTCTAAAAATTGAGCATTAGTATCAAAAGTACACTGATGTAAGGCTAGAGTTTGGGCACCTGTTTTGGAACAACTCGGTTTTCTGGGAGCATTGATCTGTTCTTAGTAGAAAATTATGAGAAGCTTTTCTTTACATTTTAGGTAACTGGTCTAAGAAACAAAATCCATGTTTCATCAAGACAATTTCTTGTGCTTTGTGCCTTTAACATTTTTTGTCACTTGGTTTTATTTCACAATGACCTGTGATTCTACTTTGATCAAGTGTTTTAACCTTTGGCATATTTGACAAACTTTCCAAAATAGAATTTCAATATCAAAAATCAAGTATTTTTATCTCAAACTAACTCGGGATGTTACCGAGGGCCCCTGAAGCATCCAAAAGAAAGGTAATAAACAGACTTCATTCATACACTAAATTATATGGGAAACAGTGTCAAATAATAAATAATGTTTAACCTTTTTTGAGTTACAGTTATATGAATGTCACTAATATGTATCTCAAAATTGTATTAAATTCCTGAAATTCAGATATGTCTTGTATGTGTCAGTCATAATTATGGTTATTATATTAAATTATTGTAGGCCACAGAAACAACCATTTTTTGGTCAATTGTGTCTTTATCCATGATCATTTTAAATCTTGTTGTCCATAGTTGGTTGTTTGATTCTCGTGCTTTTTCTGAAAGCTCCTTAGAAAACATTATAATCCTAAAGTGTTGTGTCTTCAAGGTGGTTCTTGGAAAAAATGGAAAGGACACTGTTAAGCACTCCTGAATACAGTTTTATTCTAACTTTAGGATAATATTATTTGGGCTGGGTAAGAATTCCCAGAACTCTACTGAAGGACTGGCTGGTTTATAAAATTGCTAACCCAAGCAGGACAATAACAATTTAAATACTAAGAAAGTACTTTGGCAGATTTTCATGCTAAGTCAGCCAGAACTGAAATTGTTAAGATATGCATCTTGAATGAACTTCATGATCCAAGTTAAATGACCTATAAAAACTAATTTAATAAATAGTGCCATGCACCTGAATTGGAGAAACAAAATTGGTATTTAAGAACAAATAAATCCAACGTTCAGCTTGGATTCATGAAGATCCTGGATGGCCACATGGTCCTTTCTGAGTTCTTAAAACTTCCATTATCAAAAGCTCTGTACTCCATGTCTCATGATGGAAGAGATAAAATGATACAAATATATATTTTTTAAAATTAGTGTAATGACTGTTCTAAATTGCTAAAATGGTATATGACCAGTGTTTGGTTTGTCAAACCCATAATCCTAGGAAGACAATAAAAATTTTAGGTATATTTCTGCTACCTAATGGGCCATTTGAACATTTCTAGAGGGATTTTTTTCAATTGCCACTTTAAGTGCATATTTTATGGTTGTATAGAAGCACTCCCCTGTAGCAGGGCCAATGCTGTAACAGTAGCTAAAATATTTATAGAAAATGTGTTTCCTTCATGGGGCATTCCTGAAAGAATCTCTTGCAATAGAAGTATTTGTTTCACTGGAAAAGTTTCAAAATAGTTAAATAAAGCATTACAGATACAATAGTATTAGGCAAAGCTAACTAAATCAACTAGATTGTCTTGGTCAAAGGTATTATAGATTGATGACAATTAGACACACTTCCAGTGGAAAACATAAGTTGATCTCTTATGAAATAGTCACTGTCAAGCCCATGTCCCTACATGACTAAATGCTGAAGTGCTTTAATGAATTATGCCAAAGTGTATTTTCACCAGGTAAAGGAAGGCTTTCATGATCTACCCACTGAGGACATTCAGACCCTTCATGATCTAGAACTCAGAGATTGGGTATTCTGGAAATGGCATCAGAGAAAGACTGCCCTTGCCATACACATTGCAGCAAGACTTCAGGGCTTCCAACTTGGGGTCCGGAATCTCATGTCTCAGAGGGTTCCTTCAAACTCTTGGAACTGTACACCCATTGGAGACCTTAGGTAAAGCTAATCATGGAAGTTTCTCTCCAGAAACAGACAGCATCCTGGACATGGACAGCTTCCCTAAAATCATGGATAAAGACTTTTCTGCCATTATAAAACTCTTACCTCCTTATCTTTTTATTGTTTATGCATCCATGAACAACTGGTAAAGAAAGGGCTTTGTGTTCACCCATGTGGTATACTTTTATTTGCAGAGGATTTCACAACTAACCTAATGCATGGTCAACCTTACGCTTTATGGATGGAAGATGAAGGGCAAATATAGGCTAGGCATTTCAGTGAGACATTTGTTGCTTCAAAATCAGTCATAAACAAAACATTGGTCCACTCCTGTTTACTTTTGTCAAAGGTTTAAGAGACCATTGACAGGAGGCCTTCAACTTTCTAGGTGGGCATTATTTGTTAGGTCCTTTTATTCATGGCTTAGAGTAAATATAAATGAGGCAATGATTAAAAATGTGTTTTTCATAATAGTCTCCACAGAAAATTTTGCTGCAAAGGCTATAGTTACACAACAGATTTCTTTACATTCTCTGATAAAGGTTTAGTAGATAATAGAATAGTTCTAGATTACATGGTAGCTGAATAAGGAGGAATCTACGCAGTTGCTGACACTTCTTGTTACACATGGATGAACACATTGGGTATTATAGAGGCTCAGTTTCAGAGTTCATCAATAGGCTGCTTGGTTAAAATGGGTAGACTCCTAATGTGGCTCATTCTTTGATTTGTTCAATTTTGGATGGTTTTATTCATGGGGACCCTAGCTATGAAGCATACATACAACAAATGCTTGGTCTTGATAGTCATAATAGTAGTCTCCTTGGTGCACTGTATTCTTTCAAAAGTTTTAAATGTTTGCATGCAGCCATCTGTAGAATGTCAACTGGCCTCTCTTCAGTTGGAATGACAAAAACTCAAAGAAATGTATAATCATGAGAACAGAATAATCCATGAATGATGAGTTGAGACCAGAACCCTAAAATGGTGGTAACTGAGAATAGCACTAAAGCTCTAAATTGTGGTCACATTCTCACCTAGACAAAAACCTGTCCCAAAGGGGAGAATATTAAACAAAATTATCAGAGGCCATTGTTTTGGACTGAGCTCCTTCACTATGCCCCAGTAGACCAGACCAAACTGAAATAGAGCCACTTGTGCTCACTGCCACATAATCAAATTGAAATTTTAAGGACACAGATAGACTCCAAAACAGATGGAAGCTGAGACAAATATGACTTGTGAATTCCATAATGAGACTAAGTCCATTTATAATAGTGACAGAGAATGATGTCAATGCCTAAAGTTTTGGCCAATCTTTCAAAATTGGAAAGTTGACCAAAAGGGAGAAATATTTCAATGTAGTTTGGCCTGAAGCTGCTTCCATACATATTTTAAATTTGGCCTAAAGTTTTGCCAAACATGGTGTGTAAACAGACTGCAACCTACTCTTGTAAAAAGTAGCCAAGATTCAGCCAACTACAGGCAGTCAAGTGTTCAAAGCAGGTTCAAATAAGGCAAGTGCCCAGCTATAACCAATTGTGTTAGTCTGTTTGCATTGCTATAAAGGAATACCAGAAGCTGGGTAACTTATAAAGAAAAGAGGGCTTTTCTTGTTTTTGTTTGTTTTGTCTCATTGTTCTGTGGGCTGTATAGAAAGCATGGTGTTGGCATCTGCTCAGCTTCTGGTGAGGACCTCAGAAGGCTAACAATCATGGCAAATGGCAAAGGGGGAGCTGGTGTATCATATGGCAAGAGAGACAGCAATTTGGGGGTAAGTGCCATGCTCTTAAACAACCAGATTTCATATGAACTCATAGAGTAAGAACTCACTCATTACTGTGAGAACAGCAACACCTATCCATGAAGTCCAAAACCCAGCAGGGAAGACATTAAATTTTAAAGCTCCAAAATAACATTTGACTCCATGTCCTATATCCAGGGCATACTGGTGGAAGGGGTGGGTTCTCAAGTCGTTGAGCATTTCCACTCCTGTGGCTTTGTAGGGTATAGCCCATGTGGCTGCACTCATGGATTAGAGTTGTGTGCCTATGGCTTTTTCATTCTGAGGTCTGAAGGGCAATGGCCCCCTTGCCACAGCTCCACTAGGCAGTGCCCTGATAGGCACCCTATGCGGGGGCTCCAACCCCACATTTCCCCTCAACACTGCCCTAGTAGAGGATCCCTGTGTGAGTCCTGTCTCTGTAGCAGGCTCCTTCTTGGATAACTAGGCTTTCCCATACATTCCCTGAAATTTAGGTAGAAGCTGCCAAGCATTCTTCAGTCTTCTATACTGTGTACCTGTAGACCCAAAACCATGTGGAAGCCACCAAAACTTATAGCTTGCACTCTCTGAAGTGGTGGCCATAGCTTCTGTGAGCTGAGGCTGAAGCTGGAGTAGCCCAGATGTAGGGAGCAGTGTCCTGAGGCTAAGCAAGGAAGCAGCACCCCAGGCCTGGCCCCTGAAACCATTCTTTCCTCCTAGGTCTCTGGAGCTGTGATGGGAGGAGCTGCCTCCGAAACTTCTGAAATGCATTCGAGCTCTTTCACCAATTGCCTTGACTTAATAGTCACTTAGTCCCATTTTGGTAATGATAATCCCTCTAGCAAGTGACTGCCCCACAGCCTGCTTGAATTTACCACCTGAAAAGGCTCTTTCTTTCTCTACCACATGTCAAGGCTAGACATTTTCTAAGCTTTTACACTCTGCTTCTCCTTTCAATGTAAGTTCCTTCCATCTATGAGCCTGTAAGATTTTTAAAAAGTTATTTAATTCTAAGATACAATGTTGATACAGGCATTTGGTAAATATCCCCATTCCAAAAGGGAGAAATTGGCCAAAATAAAGGGTCAATGGGCCCCCACACAAGTCCAAAACCCAGCAGGGAAGACATTAAATGTTAATGCTCCAAAATAATGTTTGACTCCATGTCCTACATCCAGGGCACACTGGTGCAAAGGGTGAGCTCCCAAGTCCTTGGGCAGCTTTGCCCCTGTGGCTTTGCAGTGTAGAGCCCCTGTGGCTGCTTTCATGCATTGGAGTTTAACTCCAATACAAGTTCCAAATTTTTGTTCCTATATCTGAGCATAGGCTTTTAAAAGCAGCCATGCCATTTCCTGAATGCTTTGTTGCTTAGAAATTTACTCTGCCAGATACCCTAGGTCATTACTCTTAAATTTGAACTTCCACAGATCCCTAGGGCATAGACACAATGCAATCAAGTTCTTTGCTAAGGTATAACACAGGTGACCTTGGCTCCAGTTCCCTGGAGTCAATCTGGACTTCACTATTAACATCTATATCAGCATTTTGGTTACAACAACTTAACAAGTCTTTAAGAAGATCCAAGCTTTCTTTCATCTTTGTCTTCTACTGAGACTTCCAAACTCTTCCAACCTCTGCCCATTACCCAGTTCAAAAGCTGCTTCCACATCTTCGGGTGTCTTTATAGCAGTGCACCCCTCCTAAATACCCATTTTCTGTTTTAGTCCATTTGCATTAAGGCTGAGTAACTTATAAATAAAAGAGGTTTATTTTGGCTCATGGTTCTGCAGGCTGTACAGGAATCACAGTGCTTGCATCTGCTGGGCTTCTGGTGAAGGTCTCAGGAAGCTTACAATCATCGCAGAGAGCTAAGGGGGAGCTAGTGTATCACGTGGAGAAGGAGAATGTAAGAAAGACAGGGAAGGTTCCACAGTGTTTTAAACAAGCAGATCTCATATGAACTCATAGAGTTAGAACTCACTCATTACTGTGAGAACAGCACTGAGCCATTCATGAGGGATCTGCCCCCATGACCCAAATACCTCCAACTAAGCCCATCTCCAACACTGGAGGTCATGTTTTAACATAAGAAGGGGACAAATCCAGCTGTTTCTGCAACCCACTTCCATTTTCTGCACATCACTTTCTTTTTTCTGTCTGGAAATGTTATGCAACCAGGTGGCAGTCCTGAAGTTGCTCTGAACCTGATTTTGTTCTGGAGTCTGCCCAATTCATGAATCATTCTTTGCTCAAACTCTATTAAGTGCAATTTGTCCAAAGTTTTGCTTTTAACAAGTCAATAGTGCAAAGAGAATAAATTGGAGGGAGTTGAGAAAGAAGTAGGGGGCCCAGGAAAGGCTTTTGCACAGGTCTCGGAGACACTCTCAGAACAAAGGCAGGAGTAGAGAATAGAAGAAAAAAGTAAAGCAAGTTTAGAACAGAGAATCAAAGTGCCCTGATGGAGATTGGATATGATGGAGAAGGGGAGGAGTTAAATCTAAGTAGTTGATGGTTGCCAGTAGAGCAAAGTTCACTAACTAGAAACTAACATTTGAACAGCTTTGATAGCTGATTGCTCCTTATTTGAAATCACAACCATCTAATCTTACCAGGGTGAAGACCCCAGCCAACTACAATGGTTGTTAGCCATATGGGAAGTGCATGGAATCTGGGGTTGGCTCACCTCAGTTCTTTATTATAACCTCAAAACTAAACCTTAGTTTATTTCTCTGAAGAATCTACAGCATGCCCGAATGTGTGCAGGATGCATACAGTAAGTAAATGAGGTTATGTAGGTAAAATATGCTGCCACTTACAAAATGGGAAAATAAATGTTAGTTACATCTGAATAAGGATTCTTTGGCTCAGAGAGGTTAAGTATCTCCTCAAGGTTACATTGCAGTGACAGATCTAGGACTCTGATGCAGGATCTCTTCTCTATCCCCAATATCCCTGGAAAGAGATGACTATGTGGACTTAGGCTGACATTATACAGCATGGAACAGAGATAATATGAAGTGCCTCATTCACATCATTCCATGTTTTCCCTAACATCGCTACTATTAAGAGAAGATCAGCCCTTTGCCTTGTATTATTTATTGTCAATTTAAATCATAAGTATACAATCTACCACTAGCCTTTAAATAAAAAGGAGAGTAGGAAGAAAGATGCCTCAAAATTAGAAGCACGACTTGACAGGATAAACAGATACAATTCTCTTGAGAGTGCTGTGTCTCATTTGCCTTAGGTAATTAACTTGCTACAGACACTGAGAGCCAATTATTTGATTCAATAAGTGATTCCCATTCCAAACTATGGATAGCTATACAAAAGATAAGTTTATTTTTAGGTTTCCCAAAAGTCTTACTTTATATGTTTCTAATTGGTACCAGCTGTTGCATCTTCCCTGTCAAACTCATGGCTCTGAGCTATCAAGAGCATTTTCAGTCACTGCCAGCTTTCAAATATGGCTGATACTGAGTCACTGCAGATGACTTCACATTGAAATTAACGTGCTAGATCTGATAGGTTAACTGTATATCTAAGCTGGTGTTCACTTTTTCATAACTACAGGAAAAGGCAATCTGATGTTCTGAATGTGGAATAGGCAGGGGTTACAATTCTGCTTTGGCTACTTATTATTGTTATGACCTTTGAAGACTGCTAAACTTCTGTGAAGGTTAGCAATCTTACTTTTAAAATGGAAATGATTTTTTGTAAAGAGGTTGGCAAATTGTCTGGCACATAGTAGGTGCTCAATTAATGGGATATATCTGTCCTCACACAGACAGAATGTCTGTGCTTCAGTTATAAGAGCCTTACAAGTTTTACTCATTTACAATTCTCTTTCCCGTTCTTCTCTAGATCCTCTTCCCATCCACCTTCATCCTCAAGGACTATTGTTCCTTCTCCATAGGAGTGGGGCGAGGCCTGCTCAGGGCTCCCACATAGCCTTTTATGTCTAATAGTGAGCTAGGAACAGGGCATGGTTAGCCAAAACTCATGAAATCTCAAGGTGATTAACAAGGTTATATCACACATCTTATCAGCAAGGCAGGGCTTTGGGAGTTATTGGGCCTAAAACATTGTCCTTGCTAATATTGATGGTTTGTATGGTAGATGGACAATAACACACAAACCAAGTGAAAATAATAAATATAAGAACTTTAACCAAGTCTTGAGTGGAGGTTAGCACACTATCCTACTCTGTAACAACAAGAACACCAAAGTACACCGCATTCATCATTTAAATTTGAAATTAACATAGTTCCTATAAAGCCACCAGTGCCAGTAATAATAGGTCTTATGCCAAGACCTTCCTCATTATTACAATTCTACTTTTAAAATTCCCGTGGTAGCCGGTATCTGAAATTGACCAGCCCCCAAATCCTCCCCTTCCTGTATACCCATGTCACCCCTTACATCGACAGGAGAAACTTACTTTTCCTTCCCTTGATTTTAGACTGATCCTATGGACACTTTGACCAATAGAATACAATGGAAGTGACATTTTGGTCTTCTGAGTTGAAAACTGGCATTTCAGCTTTCTTCTTCTTAGGATGCTCATTTTTATGTTGCTCACTCAGAATCTATCTATCTTTCTAGAAGTCCAAGCCATGTGAAAAAGCCATGTGGAGTTGGTAAGTTCAACAGCCCCAGCTAGTTCACAGCCAATAGGCAACAACTACTAGCCATAAGAATGAGCCATCTTGTATGTTCTAGCCCCGTTCATCTTTCATCTTTCTATAGTCAAAGTCAATATCACATAGACCAGGAAAATCACCCAGCCCAACTGAGTCAACTTAAGAACTTTTAGGGATAATAAAATAATTGTTTACAGTAAGTAAGTTTTGGGGTGCTTTATTATAGCAACAGGTAATTGAAATAATGACTATTTTGGTGAGTCTCACTCTCGTGTCCTTTTGAAACTGCATTTACACAGAAAATATCGGTTTTGATTGAATTATGTAAGAACAAATTCTAAAACCTCATAAAATCTTTCTTCGATTATTTCTTTATGTCAAATCCTTTTGGCTCAATGTTTTATGAGACTACTTGGACAAATCTTAGGCTGATTTGTTTATTTTGCTTTGTTTTAAACCTAAAAACAGGCTTATACATTTGGTTCACATACTTGGTTTATACTTTCAGTATAAAGACTAAGGAGCAGATTATAGGCTATGAGTTCCTTGAGTTAGAGACTTTTCTACCTAACTTTGTACATACAGTCTTACCACAGGTCTTAGCACACGGTAGACGTATAGGGAATATTTTTGATTTCCCTTATATGAGGGTTTTCCTATCCTCTACCCAGGTTAACTTGGCCACATGGCTGCAAATGTATTTTCCAATTCCACTCATCAAGAGTCACTTGTCATGTTTTGCTTTTAACGTTTCTTGAATTATTACTTTAATGACTCTGTTCCATTCCATAGCTCCCCAGTCTGGCTCAGTCTGAGTCAGCAATTCTCAAATAAAATGTCAAATGCCATCTAAAATACTTTACATGTTTCTCTCTAAATAAAACTGAAAACAAGAAACGTACTTTAAAAAATGAAACTCAAAGTGTTTTTTCTCACTTACAAATACATTCGACATGGGTTATTGGTAGGAAATGACTAAGAAAAATTAGGCCAACTAATTCCATCCCCTTTTCCCGCTCCCGTTTCATACCATTTTGGTATGCATGTGTGAAAATAATAATGATAGCTAACATTTATTAATATTAGTTATTAATAGCTGAGCTGCTAAAGCTCCTACTATGTACCAGGCTCCAATATAGGTGTTTTTCATGTTTAACCCATTTGTTCCCACAATAATCTTATGAAGTAGGTGTTATGATTGTCTCCATTTTGCTGGTAGGTACATTGGGGCACAGAAGGGTTAAATAAATTGCCTTAGGTCACACAACTAGGATGCCCGTGTAGATGGGATTTAAACAGGAGTAGTCAGGTTTTAAATCTAAACAGCTAAAAGAGTCAATCTTGAATATCTTATCCAAAGAAAATAGGACATTAGTGACCACTGGAAGGACACACTTTGCCATGCACTTCCAATAATAAGTATAGCCATGCTTACAAGGTCAAATGGTGTTCCCTTCCAATGAAGCCAAAATGAGAGTAGCCATATTTCTTACGTAGCACTAAACTGTAGATGAGAAAAGTATTGAAAATTTCTATTACCATTGCCATTATCAAATATGATACAAGTGTTTCACATGTGATAAGTAGTTATTTAAATTAAATATTTACAGATGTATATAATATGTATGTGTCCAGGTATATGTGTACATATGTGTAAGGGTGTGCATATCCACCTATACTTACAGGGGTATATATTGAGAAATACATAGGCATATGTGGATGTGTAGGAAATGTCTCAGACATCTACATATTCATTATATACACTATACATGTAAGGATAGTATGGCTAAGCTTATTTTTGATCTTCATTAAAGGATTGATTCTAACACCTCTCACTTACGTCTTCATGTGCTCCAGGCCTTACCTCTCATTGCAGCTACCTCTACAGGGACAGGTTCTGCACAGGCTTCTACAAGTTTCTTGCAGGTGCAGCCTACTATTTTCTTGTTTATGCCCTCCATCACTGTCTATCCTTGGGCATCTCTGGGACAACTAGTACTCACAAATGAAATTTGGGGAAGCAGACGTCCTGTATAGTGACCCCGACCAGTGATGGCTGGCAGTGGACAGACAAATGCTTCCCTCTTTATTACCCAGTCTGATGAGTCTCAGATGCATTTCATGTTTCCCAGAGGTTCTCAGTATGAGGTGACCAGTCACTCATTAGGTGGCCAACTCATGGTGCAGGCTTGTGTTGGATTTCCCTCCTTACATTTCATTTCCCCAATCCTTGCCTCTCCTCTCTGCAGTCACATTCTCAAATAAACTCCTCATAAACCTTTACCTCAGATTCTGCTTTGAAGGACACTAGGCTGAAACAGGTACTAGTTAACATATTTTCTTTATTCAATTATTTATTTAATGGGTAAAATATAGCAAAAATCAGAACTTCATATAAGGTTATAGGTCTCATTGCCTGTCAAGGGTCATCATTTCAGTTTATAGCTTTTAAAAATAAAATAACTTCCTGTGGCAAAAGTTTTGCAGGTTGGAAAACATTTATCGCAGGCCAGCAACGGTCTGGTGATCAGACTTGCTGAAATAGTGATTTATGTCAATACTTCTGGAAAACAAATTGAAGTCATTCTCCAAGGCAGATCCCAGTTTCAAGAAAAATTATGTGGTATCATATACAAGTCCTTGGGGACATTATGACTTTTAAAGGGCATGCATTTTATTAAATGTATAACATAGCTATGCAAAATATTAATGGAGGTGCTATTGACTCATGCAGTATATAATAATAAAAGATGAGGAAGATGATGAATGACCATGGAGTGATATATTGTGATTCCACTGTCAAGTGACAGCTTCTTTTGCTGAATCAGTTTCAAAATCAGGATTCTTCTCTGCCTAGCAAGCAAACTTTGCCATTTCTAAGAGGCCATTAATGATCTGGGGAGTGCGGAAGGAAGAGAGAGGTCACAATGTCATCATAAGACATCTTGGTTATCAATTGCTTAGGATTCTCTAGGGCAGGGTTGATATTCAGTACAAGCGATATTCTCAGCGGGGTAATTCTCGGTTGTGAGGAGCTATCTTCTGCATTGCAGGATGTCTGACAGTATCCCTGATGTGGGCCTATTGATTGTTGATAGAATCACCACCACACAAATCATGACAAACAAAAATATTTTGGAATTGCCAAACATCTCCTGTGGGGCAAAATTACACTCCCACCCCGCCTCCTGCAACCCTCCATCTCCCATTGATAATCACTGTCTTAGGGCACTGCAGATACTGAGTGATTGGTGTGATGGGATGCCATACACACAGAATGGGGAGTCCAGGACTTAGGACACTGACCTTGGGCAATTCGCTTAAACTCTATGGGTTTCGGTTTCGAGTAGAATGAAGTAGATATGCAGAAAAATGAGCAATAAAGGGGAAAAGTTGCCAGGATAGAAATACATAAGGAGGCCGCTAGGACAACGTGGGAGGTCAGGAAGGTTTCATGTTGATAGTGTTGCTTTGTGGAGTTCCCCAGTCATTGCGAACTTCATATCTTATTTATCTCTAATCTGGTATTTGGCACATAGTGGATGCATAGTTCCAGATATTTCAGTCATGGTGTCTGCACTCAAGACCACTTTTTAACTAAAAGAATTCACCCATAGCCCCTGCTGAATGCATAGCCTCTCTGAATGTGAAAGTCCCTCCACCTCTGCCATAGTTGACTGGACTAAAGGTGGTGCCTGTGACGAGGGCAACCACTCTACTGGATGGCAGCAACTGTGAGAAGGGGTGAGTGGGGCCAATCAGGTTATCTCCCTTAGGAGGATGAACTTCAAAAACACAACCCAGGGAGAGCCAGCAGTAGTAGGAGCTGAATCTAAGCATACATAAGAACACTGAGAGCATCCAGACAATATGTAAGAAAAAGATATGAGGAAGCAGAAACTCTGAGTACTCAGAAGCTTCCGTATGTATATATTCACATATGGAAATGGACTTATGGGGTTGTCGATGGAGTTGCCATGTCTTTACGTGGGAAGCTCTTTCTTGCCTTTCCTATCACGGCTCAAACGTGGTCCCAGGGAGGCAGTTTGCTCGGGCTACCTGACTAAAGGTAGCTCAGCTCCCACTAACTGTGCTCCATCACAGAGTTTGTTTTATTGTCTTCAGGAGACACCACCACCATAACTATCTTAGGCATTTGAGTGTTTGCGTGTTTTTTTGTTTTTGTTTTTACCTCCCTCCCCTAACTTACTAAATGCAAATGTACTAAATGAGATCCTGGCTCAACAAAAGCGCAGGATCTCATCTGCTTTGTTCACTACCACTGTAGTTCCAGACCTACAATCATCTCTGTTACTGCAACATTCAAAATATATTTTTGGAATGAATTAATAATAACTTTGAAATGAAGAGGAAGATGGCATGAATCACAAAAACTCTTTGGAAATTGTGTCAGAATTTAATTGATTATTTTCATATGCATTATCTATTAATAATAAATACCTCATATTATAAATTCATTTGTGTTGTTTCTCCTGCACATTTCATTAAGTGTTGGGGATTGTAAGAATGAAAGTATTGTCAGAAGGCAGGATGAAAAAAAAAGTAAAACACAAATTGAAATTGTGTTACCATTACAAATTGGCTAAATCAGGCCAGCCTCAATTTCCACTTCCCTGTGCCCATCCATGTGGCACTGTGGAGACTGAGTCCAGAAACAGACAAGGAATGAGTCCCCATATCATGTATCCATGTATAGACCAATGAGGTGGTTTATGGGTTTACAGGTGTTCCTATATATACTAATTTCATTTCTGTTAATAGAGTCCCCACATATGACCATATGCGTGGACAGATAATCCCACCTGTTCCAATCATAGTACCCAATTTCCCATTGCCCCATTAACTGGAGCACAGGGTGGGCTTCTGTGATGATTAGTTTTATGTAGCAACTTGGCCAGGCAATAGTACCCAGTTATTTAATCAGCCAATCATCTAGATGTTGCTGTGAAGATATGTTATAGATGTGATCAACATTTAAAATCAGTTGACATTAAGTGAGGAGATTATGCTCAATCATGTGGGTGGGCTTCATCAACCAGTTGAAGACCTTAAAAGCAAAATTGACATTTTCCAGAGAAGAAATCCTATCTCAAAACTGCAGCATTAACTTCTGCCTGAGTTTCCAGTCTGCTGGCCTGCCCTACAAATTTCAGACTTGCCAGTCCCCATAATCATATAAGCCAATTCCTCAAAATAAATCTCTTTACACACACAAATGCATGTGCACGCACACACACACACGTCCTTCTGGTTCTATTTTTCTGGAGCACTCTGATACGGTATGTGACCAAGGTAAGTGAATCAGAGTTATTCCCCAGGATTTTTGAAAGCCTCTGTCTTCTCTGATTGTGAATCTATAAGGACATGGCCTGGAGAAAGTGCTCTATGCAGGATAAGCCGGTTTGAGACCAATGAGACCAACACACAGTGATGCAGAGGCCAGAGATGGAGGCCAGGAGTCTTGACAGGCAGAGAGAACCCCAGTCCTAATTCTGTTATTCCTGAGGCCAGCTGTAATATCATTCTTCCTGGTTTATGTGGGCATCAAATCCTCTCTTGGCTTACACTTGTTTGAAATCCACTTCCTTCACTTTCAAGCAAGTTATTGGGATTGCTGGGAGGTCAGCGCTGAGTCCTAGTTTGTTTTTCTGGGTGAGTTTCTTGAGATTACTTGTAGGAAAATCTTAAGTCTTTGAAGCTCATCAAAAGTAGTGACTGATGACATATGTTCTCATTTCCCATGTTAAAAAAAACAAAACAAAACAAAACTATATAGGCCCAAACAAACATTGTTTTCAAGCCTAAACAGATGCTAAGGATAAATTTCAGCCACTCCCTGTTGTAAGGCACTTTGCCATCTGCAGCCCCTCTGCCTGAATAGGTCATGTTTATATTATATGATCCCCCCTTTTGTCAGAGTTGATTAGAGCAAGGCTGAGTATTATACCCAAAGAGGCACATAGAGGCTGGCCTGTGACAAATGACTTGTGAGATCTGGCTCAGAAAGATGGGCTGTGATACTCAGGTTTTATTCTTTGGATTTTGGGTATAGGTAATTAGAACCCTGGGTTAGAAGTAGGAGTAGATGGTAAAGCAAACTCATGATGTTGAGGCAAAAACATGGAAATTTAAAATGTATGCATATAAGATGAAGGAAAAAGAGCAGGAGAAGACGATGCCAGTTGGTAGAGAGAGGAGCATTTAGCAGATGTGCAGTGAGAAGCAGGTGCCATGAGAGGAGGCTGTGAAATTGAGTGAGTTCCAGTCCCTGTTCTCATAAGGTGCAATGGTGCTGAGCTCCCTGCCAAGGTAAATACAAGTTCCGTCACCTGAGGGATTCTAAGCTTAGCCTCTGTCCGTTAGAACCAAACAAGTCCTCCTGGAATATGTTCAATGTGATTGGAAAGTGCCTAATGCAAAAAGACCCTCAGAATGCAACATCTTAACTGATAACAGAACAAGACATGTCTTTCAAATAGCAAAGCTACTTAGTTAGAAATATCAACTGGCAGAATGTAAATTTCAAATTGTCTGTTAATATTTACAGAGAGAAAACAACTCTCAGAGACCCTTATTTCTTAATTAAATGATGTTTTCCTTCTGTGAATACAAAAATTGTACCGTATTTTAAATAAGTATAACATTGATTTATGTTATTAGATAGTTCATAAATTTCATTTTTGTTCTTGCAGATTTTTTTAAACAAGAAAAAATCCCACAAAACATTGCATTTTAAAATGACAATAAAATTTAGGGCACAAGGTAACTGATACCTAACTCTAAACAGATTTTTGAGAAAGAAACAGGAAAAAAAAATTTGATCAAGTAAAAGCAAAAGAGAAAGAAATTTTCCCAGTCTTAGCTAAAAGTGAGAAGGATGTTGAAACAAACTGGGAAAGTTAAAAAGATATATGCAAATCCTATAACAGGACTTGTTGTCATTATCCTCCTAAACAAGGAATGCAAATTATAATGTAAATCCAGAGACATAATCTGAGAATAATCAGAGATCACCACTAGCCTACACAGGTTGGGAATGGCTTTCTCCACAGGGACTTAGTGTCTGACTGTCCATTTTTGCAAGATGAATGTCTTCGGGTGCCATAATAAGGCCATGCCATCTGGTTACGATAATGGCCCATGACGACCAAAGCGATTCATAAATTATAATTGAACTACAATTGAATGCAGTCAGCATGTAACAGGACTCATTCCACTCACTTCATTCTAAATTCAAGCCTAGAATTGTGAATGCAAAAGCCAAAAGGCTGGGGTGAGTGTTCTACCAGGAATCTTGTTCGTACCTTCAGCTTCCTTTGTAATTTCTAATCACAGGTGTCGAGGGCCAAATCTTTACAAAATTGCCACAGGATAGTAGTATGCCCAGTGGGCAGATTTTTCTAGCATTTTAACAGTGAGGGTCAAGTGATGGTAGTCAACAAAAATTATCTATTCACTCATTCATTCATTCATTTAATAAGCATTATCTCATTGATTAACTGTGTACTGGAAATTGTTACATAGGGGCTCACAGTCTCACAAAGGAGACAGTTGCTTATAGATTATCTAAGACAATGCACTGTAATAGAAGTATGCTCCCAGGGTTCTGTGGAAATTCCTAGAGGTATGTCTAAAACAACCCAGAAGGGTCAGAGAAGGCTTCCTAACTTTGGTGAGTGATGGCTGAGTCAAGTTTTACATGATGAAAAGATGATATATAATAGCGGGTTCAAGCATGCCCAGAGCTTGCTCCTGCATGATGGCTCTCATGCCAGACTTCATGGGCTTGTGGGTTGGGAACTCTAGTAGGATTTCTGTCCTGGCTGGAACTGGATTTATGGATGCATGGGCCTATTCCTCCATGACTTTGCATGTTCCTTTTGTCTGGAATGTTATGCTACCCTTTCTTCTTTTTCAAGGGCCAACCCAACATTCTCCTTCTCTGAAAAAGCCTTACCAACACTTACAGATGGCACGTCACACATACATTTATGTTAGAGCTCAATTGTTAGTCTGCTAATGGCAGAGCAAGCATTTTCAGAACTGGCATAGAGTTAGCACTTGATTACGCTGGGTGAATGAATGAATCAATGAAGGAATAAATGAATGCTTATCATCACATCAAAGTGCACCTGTGGCCTATAATACTCATCTGCCTTCTAAGACTTCAAGATGGCCCTTGATGGCCATTAAAAACCCAATTCCTGCCCACAAAGAGCTGAGAGGAGTAGGGAGTATACAGTAGGACCTGGCTCCAGGCAGAGGGGCAGGAAGTGAAGCTATGAGACCAAAGCAACGTGAATAAATTTGTAACTGCTGGGTAGATTTCAATCACTACCCAATTAAAAACATAAATTACTTTTGAGTTGGTTATCATTCTCCCAGCTACATGCTTCATTTCATTAATTCATGGGAGGATCCTGATGTATCTGTAACTTACTAAGGGCTGTTCTTAGGAATTTTTTTACTCAAAATGTATGATAATGTAGGTGGAAACTTGAGAGCCACTTCCCTTTAAATTCTCTCTGTGCAAAAGCCTTGCTCAGCAAATGATTGATGTAAATGAAGTTTCAGGGAAATGAGAAATGCTTGGAGCACAGAAGACTTTTGAAGGGAATTGACTCTGAGGACCGAGAAGTACCCAGTGATCCAGACCACAGCATGCTAATTCTCCACAGAGGTGCCATCGTGGTAGTTTCTATTTGCCTGCTTTCCATTCAGGATTTTGGCTCCTGATCCAACAGTGCCTGTGAGGCTGTGGTGCAGACCATTACCCTAACACAGGGAAAGCCACTCTGAACTTCTTGGCAAGGTTCTTAATCTTATGCCTCCTTTCCCCTCTCTTTAAAATGCAGATAATAATAGTATCTACTCCATATAGTTGGGTATAGTAAACACTATAGGTTTGTTAAATCGATTGTTTAAAACAATACAGTTCCTCTAACACCGAACGTCTTTCTTCTATCCCTAGCTCTAACATTTTCCCTCTCTCCTAACACTCCTTTTCTCCCTCCAACTCCTTATACCTGGCTATCATTTCTTTAGTAAATATTTCCTCTAAGAGGCCTTTTCTGATTCCCACCAGCTATGACAAAATTTTGCTGCCCATCCTATGGGATTCTTAGCACTGGATGCTATATGTGAACATTCGTGATCTAGGACTGTAATTTCTTGTTCACTTTTCTAGATTCCCCCCATTAAAATATAGACTAAGAGAGTACAAATTATGCCCACCGTGCTCCTCATTATATTGTCAGCATTGAACATAGAGTATGATCTATTGCGAGCCTCAATGAATGTGAAAAAAAGGTAATTTGAAAAGCAGGAAGAAAGGGAGAGATAGTGGGATAGAGTAAAGAATACAGGAAGGGAGGGGAGAAAAAGGGATAGAGGAAAGGAGGGAAGGAGAGAGAGGAGAGGGCAGATAGAGAGTTGGATCCCTAAGCTCTGTATCCTACACACAAAAATTCTAGGCTCTCAGTTCCCCCCACCTGGCACTCTTGCACTGCCCTGATATCACAGGGACCAAAGATACTAAGTCAAAGGAGAAAGCCACAAAGACTGGATGAGATGATGCAATTGGAGATTCATTGCATCCTTAGGATGCACAGTCCTAATTGACTGACAACAGCAAGCACTGCTTGGAAGAGAAAAAATGGAGCATCTTGCAGCAGAGTTCTCAGTCCTGGTACAACTCCTCCAGCTCCTGTGGGGGCTTCCTCTTCAGCTGTGCAGAGGTAGCCCCAAGGTTTCCTAGAGCAGCCTCAAAACAGACAACAAAGACCAACAGCTAATCTAGAAATTATTCATTATCCGTAGGTAGGAGGTAGGAATGCCAGCTCACAAAATCAGGTGCGCAAAAAAAAAATTACATCTCTTTATTTTATAGAGTTCGGCCCAATTTTTATTCTAGCATTTCCCTCATCCTAGGCATCTTGTGAAACTTGACCTCAGTAATCCACGGGGTTAAGCCATGGTTCCTGGAGTCAGGTGGATTGGTCAGGTGGCAGGTAGAGACATCTGGTATGCGGTCCTGGGCATACCTGGGAAGATACATTGTCCTTGTTTGTCTGGGGCCTTGGGTAACCAGCCTAGGACACCTGTGGTCCTACCTGTGGAGACAATCCATCTGGCATATGGCATTCTTCTCTGAAATCATGGCTCCTCACCAGGATACTGCTAGAAAGCTAGGCTGATCTCCATGCTCCAGCAGGCCTGTATTCCCTGCCTCTCTCCTGCTGCAGCCCTGGTTTTTGTGGACTGAGTGGGAGGACACAGGTGAGTCCCATTCTGTTTTCTGCCTCTTCAGTTCACTCTGCCTCAGCCACCCTTCATACTTTTACTTCTTTCAAAAACCCTCAAACCCTCTGTGAAGGCTTATAAGGAAAATGCCAGCTATTCTTGCCTGTGACTTCTGATTTCTGCTCTGTCACTTACTTTATCTGTGCCGATGAAGCCCAGAACAAACAACCTGCCTGCATGGGGAAGACAGAACAAGGAAAATCAGAGGCAGTGAAGCCAAACAAATGAAATAAATTGATGCCTCAAAATGTTATCTAGCCATTCGAAGGCCCCAAAGCATGAGATCCACAGATTCTCACACTCTACAGAGATGGAGGGTGGCGAGGATGGCGATCTCCCAAGACCTCATATATAATCCTCATCAATTCAGTCCAAAAATGTAGGTTCCAATGCCTGGCCCTTCTGTATGTGAAAGCCATGTGTGGCTTACTGTCTCTCAGCTTGCGTTAACATTCCAGGGCTTGACCAAATGAAAGGGCAAAAGAGGGTACACAGCCAAATTAGCTCAGTGCCTCACATGCCTTTTTCTGGCAGGCAGCTGCCATTTAGGGGCCCCTTGCTGGGAAAATCCATCCCTTAGTACCAGCTGCAACCTTGTATTTATGAGTGAGTCAACCTTTTACCAGCATCACTTGGAAGATGCACACAGTGTTCCCAATTTTAAAAATATAGTTATTTGGCATCTATCCTTTACCCAGAGCTGATTGAGAGTTGTGTTTTCTCATTGCATCAACGGATTCCACTGCTCTTGGTGTGAAAAGATGACAGATGCTGATGCTGTTGCCGTCTGAGTTAGTGAGCCTGTCTGCAAAGCCTGAGAATGTTTGCTGGAAAGGGGCAAGTGTATGTGTGTATGCAAACACATGCAGACACCCAAACACATGCATGTAGACACACATCAGCATGTGCAGCTTCATGGATGGTGTAGGTGTAGGCCAGGGTAGGCCTTACAAAATCTTCTTCAGATATCTAAAAGTGCATTTTTTTTCTGGCTTATTTCTCTATAAAACAGTCCCTACATTTCAGCTACATTTCAGGATTCATTTCTCTTTTGCCTTATGTTATTGGCTTTCAGAAGGAAGCATCCCAAATAAAAAGCAATGCTGCATTTTCATCATAATTGATTCAACCCATAGGTTTGTCAGCTTTGTCAAAAAACTTATGTATCTTTTTTTTTTTAGACGGAGTCTCACTCTGTCGCCCAGGCTCGAGTCCAGTGGTGTGATCTTGGCTCACTGCAAGCTCCACCTCCCGGGTTCACACCATTCTCCTGCCTCAGCCTCCTGAGTAGCTGGGACTACAGGCGCCCACCACCACGCCTGGCTAATTTTTTGTATTTTTATTAGAGATGGGGTTTCACCCTGTTAGCCAGGATGGTCTTGATCTCCTGACCTTGTGATCCACCCGCCTCAGCCTCCCAAAGTGCTGGGATTACAGGCGTGAGCCACCGCGCCCAGCCAAAACTTATGTATCTTTTAACCCCAGTGTCTACACCAGAGCCTGGACCTAGGTGGTACCTAAAACAAGAAGGTATTCCTACCAACACCATTTTTTTTTTTGCATTAGAACTTTCTGTCTTGCAGACTTCTAGTATTATTCTATTATTACTACTAGTCTTATATATTAAACCTGTGTTTGTTGCATGCCTGTGCTGAGATGTTTCTCTGTATATCTTTCATTCCTCAACATGAAGTGCAAAATTGAAATTGTTTTTCTCAGGGGGATTAAACAACTTGTCCAGGTCATGCAGCTTGTGAGTAGCAGAGTCAGGATCTTCCTAACTCCAGAGACAGCAGTGCACCACGATCACCTTAAAAAACTAAATTGTTGGATTCACGAGAGCGAGCGCTCGAAGGGGCCTAAAGAACATCCAACCTCTTTTACTTTCAGATAAGAGTGCTGAGGGCAAAACATATCAAGTGATCTACTCCATGAGGTCCCACAAATACTTTTGGGGCAAGCCTGTGTCCCTCACCTGTACTTGTAACAAATTGTTACTGATCCTCTGCAGAGGACAAGGAGCTCTGCCGAATAGTGTGGCCCACATAATATGTCTAAGTTGGAGCCCCTGCTCTCAGGCATTTGTTGCCTGCAGAAAAATAAAGAACATCAACGAAATGCTTTCCCCTCCAGAGAGAGTGATAGGCACAAAAGGAAATCTTTATGGTGTCTGGAAAGTATGGTTACAGGAGTATAGCCTAGCCCACCCTAACGAAAGCATCATCCTCCCTTGCCCTGCCAGACATGACAGAGCAATGCTGGACTGTGGCTGCTCTGGCACATGCAATAGTGCAATGCCCGGCTCTCCTCCTGCAGGAGGGAGGCTCTCTTTCTCAGGAGTGGGAGAAAGGAGGGAAAAGTTATGGAAAGGCTTCCTGCGACATATTTATTTTCAGTTAAGTCTGACCCACAGGAGAAAGCAGATCATCGAGGACTTAGTGTGAACTACGATTCAGAAATCATTGCTGCCTCCCATCAAGCAGGGCACAGGGTCACCTGGCCTCTCTTCTGCCATCAAGTCACTGTTGGAAGAGCTTTGTAGTCTTCAGTTTACAGTAGGATAAGAGATTCCTAAAGGCTGTCCTGGAAGTGGGCCAAACTTTCAACTCTACCCATTGATGAAGGGGGAAGGGAGTTAGGAGGACTGGGTGACTAGCAGATACTTTGGAAGTTCTCTCTTGAAAGGAGGTGGTTTCACTTGATCAAATTTAATTCTGGAAGTAGCTCAAGTACGAGGGTTATGAAAAAAAATTTTTGGGGGGATTAAGTCAAACTTTTATAAATAGGAATGTGCCTGATATCTTGATTTAAGCCACAAATAAATTTCTGGCACACACTGTGTTTGAATGACTGTCCAGATAATAACCAGGTTGCCTACTTGTATGCAGGATCATATTCCAGATAAGATGTAGTGGGTTACCATCTTACTTAAATCTTCAGGCAGTTCCCATTGCCCTTGGAATAATGTTCAACCACCTTGTGAAGACTGATGAGTCTGTGGACAAACTTCCCCCATTCCTCATGCCCCTACCCAGGATCTGTCCTACTGGTTTGACAGACGTCAAAAAAACACACAACTATAAGTCAGGAGTGGAGCATTGGTGACAGCTTTAAAAATATTCCTTTGCTACTTTCCATATATAATTTACACTGTATGATTGAGAGCTTTTCATTTTTAAGAAGATGTTTATAACTTTAGAGCAAGTCAGTGTTGCTAGAGAAAACACAAATCTGAAAGATTTTTAAATATCAATTTTTATAAACACATGAAAAATCCTGAGTTGTTCTGTTTGGTACTAGATGCTAGCCAGTGTATGCTACCCAATGATCCTGTTCTACAGAGACTCTGGGCAAACATCCCTGAACCAAAGACTAGCTAGAGGCTCACTAACCCCACTTCCTCTATCTGGGCATGTGGAAGACTGTATTTCCCATCGGTCCCACAATTAAGTTGTATCCATGTGAATGGATCTCATCAGTGGAAAGTAGGAGGAAGCCAGGTACACAACGTGCAAATGGCACTCTAAAGCCCTTAGCGTGATCCTGTCTTCTCCGTCTCTGCCTTTTACTACAACTTTGGAAAACTGAAGGACCCTGAACTCCTGAATTACCACAAGTAGCTACTCAACCCTCCAGACAGAGTGATAGGCACAAAAGGAAATCTTTATGGTGTCTGGAAAGTATGGTTACAGGAGTATAGCCTAGCCCACCCTAACGAAAGCATCATCCTCCCTTGCCCTGCCAGACATGACAGAGCAATGCTGGACTGTGGCTGCTCTGGCACATGCAATAGTGCAAAGCCAAGCTCTCCTCCTTCAGGAGGGAGGCTCTCATTCTCCCAGCTCAGGAGTGTTGCCTGCCAAGGGCTCATAGCTGAGTCCCTCTCTAGGAATTGCCCTCAGCCAAAGAAAACTTCCTCTTCCAAGGTTATGACCCCTCTCCAAGATCAGCTTCATCTTATCATTGCCCTTTTAGGGTTTGCAAAAGCCTAGATTCCTTGCCTCAATTTGACATTCCTTTGCAGGGCTTCCCCTGTTCCAGAGCTGCCATGTGGTTTGCTGAGGCCTCTTCGGCAACTGCCTTGCAGTTTAACTTTTCCTTCTGTCCAATCGTGCTTCCTAGTTGTGTTCCCTCACAGGGTAATTCCTGTATTGACTATACCCCAACAAGCTTCCTGCATGAAAATGTGTCTCAGGGTCTACTTCCCAGGGAACCTGAACAGTGACACCTCTTATTCCCACAAGATATTAGGCTTTCTCTTGTTTGAGAATAACCTATCTAAGACGTTCTGCTTTGGACAATTTTGCACTCCCATCCCTGCTGAGCCAACCTGCGTTGGTCGTTGACATCAAACATAGTCCAAATATTTTCTCCTCCATCTCTGCTGCTCTTTGACAGGCTTCCTGCTCCAGGCAGTTCTTCACTCTCCCCGTACCTCCTCCACTGTGGCATTTCTCCAAGCTATTGCAGTCGTGGGCATGGCTGCTGCCTGGTGGACAGTGAGCTCAAGGAGCAGGTCTGAGTCTTCTGTGTAGCCACAGGGGTTATCTCAGTGCCTTCCAGGCCTGGTCCTCAGAGCTGTAGAGAAACCGTCACTCCGGGGCTCACCACGAGTGGAGGGCTTTGGGGAAGCCCACCATGGCACCATAACTTCTTTAGATATTAGTTTGGATTTGTTCTTTCTGTCTTGAGAGATTTGGAAAAGATGAGAGGTGTTTGGCCTTGTTTTCTATAGTATTTTTACTTTCACCAGCCTCTGGCCAATTTAGCAGTACTCTACATCTGAGTTGCTGGAGGGCAGCTTTTCTTCCTAGTCTTTAAGGAAATCTAAACTCACTGAAGCTATCCCATGAAGAAGGAGGAGAGAGAGGTGAGTGCCTTGGAGAGAGTCCCAGTACATAGAAGAGAATGGAAGCCAGGGGTTTCCCCAAATACCGGGGCCTATGTTCCTTCCCTGGCAGCCTGATGAGGAGTGGGCTGGCTGTGGTCCCTACAGAGGACTAAAGTTCAGACTGTGCACTCGTGAGAGTGAGGAGAATGTGTATCAATACAGGCTGATATTTTATGTCCTGGTAGCCCAGCATCTTAGAAGCTCAAAGTCAGATTGTATTTATTCTGAAGACAGTCTTATGACATTTCTTGTACAAGAGGGTTTGTGGTTAGAATTCACCCTGAATATACAGATAGTCAAACTGGTTTAGGGTGAATTTCTCTGAGAGTAAGAATATTATTTTAACCACCTGACTTTCTCTCTCTCTTTGTATCCTAGCTAGAGCCCTCTGAGATGAGTAACGCTTTCTCAGAGGCTTAACAATCCTCCTCCACTCCCTTTGTTCTCCTAGCAAAACATTTTTATAATGTAAAATACCCTTCCCACATCCGGCATATGATACTGACCTCAGGAGCATTCATCTGAATGTATGTCTCCAAGTTTATTTACAGCCTGACTTGTAAATAAAGCTAGGTGACTCTTTCTCTCCTAGAAGCATGGAAGAATGTATGGGATTTAAGAGTGTTGGTATGCAAATGCTGCTTTTGAATAAAGGAGACAAATAGATTTGCAGTCTTGACAAGAGTCACCTGTCCTGGGAAGCACACATGATATCTGGTACTTTAACCACCTACATAGTGATTTTGTGCATATGCAGGTCACTGATACTGGAGAAAATAATAATAGCTGTGACTGTTTATGGGATAGGAGTGCTTCAGAAGAAGGAGATTCAATTGGCTAGAGATTGGAGCTAATTCTGTACTATAACAAGCATATTTAATTGAGAAGTTTGCCTCTTCAAGCTCTAATGAGGTATCCATAAATTCACCCAGACAATGCCATGATAATTGAAGGTATCATGAGATGAATAAATTAGACCTCCCAAGATTCCATCAGCAAGAAGAGCTTTGACCTTCTCCTTCCCCAGGTGGGGTGACTTTGCTCTGTTCTCCCCTCGAGTCATTTTTCATCCTTCTCTGCCTTGCTCTGTGCTCCAAGAGGCTGAGCTGTAAGGACCACATCATGGGTCTCCCTGTCCTTTAGGAGAAGACATCTGCACAGTAGGAGACACCAGCAGGAAATAGGGAGGCATGAAGGATTGGGAATTTATTTCCTTGGGTCTCTGTTGGGTCGCATGTTGACAGTGGTATGTGCCTCTCCGGAAGGCTGTGGGTCCTCTCTGGGGATTGTCTTCCTTCCTCACCTACAGCCACAGCTCTTTCTAACCACTCCACCCCCTTGCCTGGACAGCTCTCAGGGTAGCAATGACTCCTCAGTGTGAACAGCTCCAGGGCCTCACCATGCCTTATTGGTATTCTCTAACCCTACTCACACGTTTATGCGTAGCTTCCTCCTTAAACCCTCCTCTATTACCCCTATCTTGCTGTGCAAGCATCATGATGATATATTATCCTTAGCTCCCCATGCCTGCCAAAGGTAGGGGGCAGCAATATGGTAGGCACAGTAGTCTTCCTTAGAAAACCTTGGCTTTATATCACATCATCACATCACACCATATATTACATCACAATATCCTATTGATATTTCTTATATTAACAAACCTCAATCTTCTAACCATATTTGTCTGCCTTTATTTTTCAAAGGCTTATATGTGCTCCCAAACTCATTTTTGACTATGAAATACAGATGTTTCTTTGAAAATTAATGGGTCCAAGAATACTGTCTTGTTTTGACAATATTCCAGGCCAATATTCCTCACCCAGTATTAGCTGATGCCTTTGCTCACCAAGCTTGTGTCGCCACTATGTAATTCTCCTGCCTCAAACATCTTTTCTACTCATCTCTACATCTTCACAGTCTACTCTTTCTTGCACAGTTGATATCTCTTCTATTTATTCATCTGTCTAGCATATTTTGAATGCCTGCTAAAGTGTCTGCTAAATGATAGGCCCCTCAATAAAAGAGGCGTACAAGAACCTTCCCTACAATTTCATTCTTCTCTTCAGTGCCCCCAAATCTCCGTGTTTGTCCTGCAATGATCACATTCTACTTTGCTCTGTGAGAGTTGTATCCATGCCTGTCTTTGCCACCAGACTGTGTGCTTTCTGAGGATAGAAAATACAACTTGATCTTTGCCTTCTCCTCTTAAGAATCACATACATTCAAGTACACAGAATGCACTCAGTTCATTCACCTCCTCTCAGCCAGCAAATGCCCTGAGTGTCTGATCTGATGTGGAAGACTGCTTTGACAGGCTGAAATCTTTTGTCAGATATTTCAGAGTTGACAAAACATAGGTTCTGACCAAACTGAGCAATTTAGGCATAAAACAATATTATTAACTCCAGAAAGGGGATTTCAGAGGGAGCTGGAACAGAGAAGTTGCCCAATCAGAGCTGTCCTGGTCACAAAATAAGTTCAGCTCCCCAAACTTTTCAGCCCTGATTCTACCCAAAGCCTCAAATAACTAGCCAGGATAGTTTTCATCAGTCTGAAAAATTTACATAACTTCTGATAAAGTCTAGCCCAAACATTCCTCTCACACTGGGCTGACTCATACACCCAAAATATGTCTGACCAGTGAGGTGGAAATAAATGATTCTTATTGGCTTTTAACTATCATTCTCCCCAGCTCTGTTTTCCTCAGTCCTAGGGGCAGATTCTAATTTGGTACAGAAAAAAAAAGTACTCCTGCCAATTCCCATCCTGGAATGACTGAAGAAAAGAAAATGCATGTGATTATTTTAAAGGTACATGTATTTATTTTAAAGTGTCCTTCACAACCTCCACCCCGCTCCACACCCACCATCACCCTCATCACCATAGAATTGTTTTAACCTAATTGCATCTTGGAATTATGCCAGTGCCTCATGTAAATAAAAGCAAGGAGATTAAACACCCTGCAAAAAATGAGATTAAGAATAACACCCATTTTTCAGAGACTTTCAGGAGAAAGTCCTTTCTGCTTTTCTATCAGGAATAGATGTAAATTGACGAAACAACTGCTTTGATATAACTTATGTTAGAAATACTGCAAAAGGTATAATTTATCCAGTTTTCATTTCTAAACTGGATTTGAGAAAGGTTACAGCCAATGTTTACACCCTACTTACAAGAGCGTAGGTGTCCGAGAGACACAGAAATTTTGTTTAACCCTCATTTCTGGTTTCATTTCATGTTCATGCCCCTCTTGGCCTTCTCCTTTTCTTCTGCTTTTATCTTGTCTTGGCATATTTTCTGTATCTCTGATGGCTTCCTAAATACTTTACAGAAAAGGGAAGCGCATACCAAAATTTTAATAATTTCTCCTTTTGAACCCTTATCTGTCTACCTCACAACAGATAAGTCAAATCATTCAAAGTTAACAGTAATTACCCTCAAAGCAAGGGCCAAGATACAGGAGCACATATTCTGCATTCTCATATGCAGAGGCCAGATGGAGAAGGGGAGAATCCATCTGCAAACATTCGTCACACTGCCTCACCGCCCACTTCCACCCTCCAAAATGATATTGCCTCTATTTTCTCCAAAGCCTGATTGGTGGCCAGAGAGAATTGATGTTCTTGACCTAATTTTTATAGGAATTAAGGGTGAAAACACAGGTGCACACATTAATCTCTATATTAAGGGATATCTGGAAGGCTCTTAGATACTGACATTGATTCATGCTTTTGCAGTAATTCATAATTGAAAAATGGAATACATTGATTCTGTCTCGACACCTTACCATTTAAACTGTGCTATACTTCTTCCTTATATCTTAAGAGAATAATTTGGAAAACGTAACATAAAATGCTGAAGATGGAAATTACCTTTCAAGTCATCTATTCTAAGTACAAACGTGTATGCACATGTATTTTTAAAAATTCGGTTGCAAAATTAGCTTATACTTAGTATAAGAAAATCAGATTGGCCTGGAGTGTAAGAAGTAGAATGAGTCCTCTCACTCTCAGTCATATTTCCCAGAATAAGCACCATTAATAGGAACGTTCATTCATTCATTAATGCATGCATTTATTCAAAAAAATGTCTATTGAGCAACAATTACATGCTAGGCTCTGAATTAAGACAGGGAGAAAAAAATAAACACATTGATATAGAAAATAATATTAGCTGATGAGAGAGAGAGTGACAAGCAAGGTCATTTTAGATAGTGTGTGACTGCATGGGAAAGGGAGCGGCAAATACAGAGCCCTTCAGGCAGGGGCGCGCTGGGTATGTTCTAGCAACATCGAAGAGGCCTCTGTATCTATGATGTTGTGAGGAAGAGGGGGAGTGCACAACACGAGATTACAAATGTCAACAGTAGGCAGATTTTGTAGGTATTGAAGCACTGTGTGGAGCTCCGTTTGCTTTCTAAGTGCAAGGAGAAGAAATGAGTGGTTTTAAATGGGAGTGTGGCAACTTTAATAGCGAAAAGCTTTTATGTGGAAAGACATGATCTAGGAAGATGCCTGAACATTTATTTATAAGGAGGCACCATTCAAAGGGCAGAACTGCCATATATAAACATAGATGACCGTTTTGTAGTATTTATGCTTATAGCTGTTTCCTGTTGCATTAAATCCTATAATAGTCTTAATAGCAACAACAAATAACAAAGCTGGACTAGCCAACTCAGCAAGATCTATCTGACGTCTTGCCAGTACCTGAGATCACACGCGGATCATCCAAATGAGGCAAAGGGATGCACGTTCTTGCACCACTAGAACAGCCTATGCCTTTTCTTTATGAAGTTACTAATATCTCTGTATATATTTTTATGATATTTTTATTTTGAAATAGTTTAAGATTCACAAGAAGTTTCAAAAATAGTACAGAATTTCCATGTGCCCTTCACCCAGTTTCCCTCAATGACAATATTTTGCATAACCATAGTACATGTCAAAACCAGGACATTAGCGTTAATATAATACTGTTAACTTAGGTACCGACATTATTTGGATTTCTTCAGGTTTTACAGGTTCTCTTTAAAAACTATCTGTTGACCAGGCACAGTGGCTCACGCTTGTAATTCCAGCACTTTGGGAGACTTAGGGGGGCAGATTACCCAAGGTCAGGAGTTCAAGACCAACCTGGCCAAAATGGCAAAATCCTGTCTCTACTAAAAGTACAACAATTAGCCGGGAGTGGTGGTGGGCACTTGTAATCCCAGCTACTCAGGAGGCTGAGGCAGGATAATCACTTGAACCCAGGAGATGGAACTTGCAGTGAGCCAAGATCACGCCACTGCACTTAAGCCTGGGCCATAAAGGGAGACCCAGTCTCAAAAATAAATTTAAAAAATTGATTAATTAATTAAAATTGTTTATTTATATTTGGAGAGTGTATAATAATATGAAATTGCCTCCTACATGTAGATGCAAGTAACCACCACCATAACTGGGATGAAAAACTGTCTCATCACCACAAAGAGACTCCCTCCAAATATCTCTTAACTGTACTTTTGTTTGGTCACATGTAAGCTTTTGTTTTATGAATACACCAAGGCTGGACATGAAAAATACTTTAATTTGTGCTTCTTCTTTTTTTTTTTTTTTTTTGAAACAGAGTCTTGCTTTTGTCACCCAGGCTGGAGTGCAGTGGCGCCATCTTGCTCACTGCAAACTCCGTCTCCCGGGTTCAAGCGATTCTCCTGCCTCAGCCTCCTGAGTAGCTGGGATTAGAGGCACCCGCCACCACGCCTGGCTGATTTTTGTACTTTTAGTAGAGACGGGGTTTTGCCATATTGGCCAGGCTGGTCTCCAACTGTTGACCTCATGTGATCTGCCCGCCTCAGCCTCCCAAAGTGCTGGGATTATAGGCGTGAACCACTGACCCTGGCTTGTGCTTCTTTATTTAACATTCAGTTTATTAAAATCTGTAAATCTACTTAACGCAATGTTTCTAAAGATTCAAACATCATAAATATTTATTTCTACATTTCATGAATTATCTTAAATATTTACAACTTGATTTAAATGTAATTAACAAAATTCCCTAAACCATCTCAGTGCAATCAAGAGTTTAATTTATCAACCTCTTTTAATTGTTCAATCACCTTCAAAACAGAGTATCAGCATGGTTTCAAAATTTGTTTCTGTACTTTTTACTTACCCTGATAGATAAGTAACAATACTGTGCTTTCTCACACAAACCTGTTAAGATGATAGGTTCTGACCTAATTAACTGATCCCTGGTCATGGCATGAGACTTGCTTGTGTCTTCCAGGGTCTCTCAAATCTAGACAGATCCTCAAAACACCCTCTTTTTCCAATAAAACCTCTCTTATAAATGGAATTTGCAAGCTCATGTCTTCAAACAAAACAAAGACAAAATTTTAGATTTTTTTTTCTCCCTGGCCTGCATTGCAAAACTCATTTTCCTCTCAAATTTATTCACAATTTTGATACAGTTTGTTAGCATTTTTGGAAACATGGGTATGCTTTAATCACATATTATTAGAAGGCTTATCTAGGGTTTTTCAATTCAGGAGATGAGAATCCAGTCCAAGGAGACTGCTTTCTCCCTCTGCTTGTCCATCATATTGATACACTCTGTGGAACAACCTGGTTGTTCCCTGTCCTTCTGATTCTTAATAAAATCTCTTCTTTTCCCAGAAATATCTTGCTTGCTCACAATTCCTTAATCTACCCATTCTTGCCCACATAGGTAAAGAAAAATTCAATATATACTTCATAGGAACAACACTCACTCACCTATATCAACTATCCCATAGGCATTATAATTAACAAGAACAGTCACATATTGTTATATTTTTATTTTTGTTTTATAGCTATCATCCAGTCCTTTTTACTAAATGTCATTTGTTTTTAGGCTTTTTGATGGAATTGCTACAACTTGGTGCATGCCTGCTCCTAAAAGAAATACTCAGGAATTGTCTCATAAAGTCCTCACCTACTGGCAAAAACAAGATGTTCTACTCCCAGGTTGACTTTTTCAAGCCCCAAGATGTTGAGTCAGCCATTCTCCAAGGATCTCGATTTCCTTTTAATGGAAAATAACATTAAACACCAAATATAAGCCTCGCTGTCCCACATGCGTATTGGGGACAAGATGAAACCTGCTTCCAGGCTACTTTGGCAGCAGAACTGAAAAAGGCTTTTTTTCCAGATATATGATTTCTCATCGACAGGGTTGCACAGCCCTCTTTATTGTTCGTGTAAATGACACCCTTGGATCTGAACAATACACACCAGGACAATTGTGTGCAACAGTTCTACAAACTGATATTTCTAATTAAAAAATAAAAAGTAAAAAAATTTCTAATGCATTTCTCATTAACCAGGATACGTACATTTTAAACTCTCATTCAGACAGATATTGCAATGTGTTTGCTTATTATTTGCTTTTGTGGGTCACGCAAAGCCTTCCAATTTGCTGTTAGTTGGCATTTGATGTACCTATTTCCAGACTTCTTATATACATATACAAATTTGGACACATGCAGATAGTATTGTGGTTTTGATACTTGTTTTTTTAAAAATAGAATTCTACTCTATAAATTGTTCTGCAAATTATTATATCTGACCAGTATAATTTTCTGCAATGATGAAAATGTTCTATACCTGTGACTATGGAGCCCTTAAAAACATGGCTAATATGAACAAGGAACTAAACTTTTCATTTTATTTTATTTCAATTTACCTAACTTCGAGTCGTTAGTAGAAGTTACATGCAGCTAGTTGTTAATGTATTAGACAGCTCAGTTCTAAAGGATCATATAGATTACCTTCATGACCTGAGACAGGAAAAGATTTCTTAAGTAAGATACAAAAACCATGGAGTAAATGAGAAAATATTTGTATTATATTAAAGCTAAGATGACACAAGATGGCTCACATCTGTATTTCCAGCACTTTTGGAGACTAAGGCAGGAGGATTGTTTGAGCCCAGGAGTTCAAGTCCAACCTGGCAACATAGAAAGACACTATCTCTTCAAAAAATTAAAAAAAAAAATAGCCAGGCATGGTGGCACATGCCCATAGTCCCAGCTACTGGGGAAACTGAGGCAGGAGGATCATTTAAGCCTAGGAGGTTGAGGCTGAAATGAGCCAAGATCACACCACTGCACTAGAGCCAGAGTGACAGAGTGAGAGCCTCAAAGAAAAAAAAAAAACCTAAGAAATTTTATGTAGAGATACCATTAAAAGCATTAAAAGAGTAGAAAAAGAACCACAGAATGGGAGAAGATATTTGCAACACTGTTAAGACAAAGGGCTTGTATACATAATATATGATGAGCTCCGATAACTCAGTAAGAAAAACACAGACAATCCAAAATGAACAAGGTATAATAAGCCCTCACTTAATGTCTTTGATAGGATCATGGAAGCTGTGACTTTAAGCAAAAAATAAAATATAACAAAACCAATTTTACCATAGGTGAATTGATATAAGTAAGAGTTCAGTTCCTGGCATATTACTGGTGACAAAAAATCACCAAACTTCTAAAAAAAAGACCAAAATACATTTAATATTAAACATTGAAATAAATGTGAGCTACACATACATTTAGGAAAGATTAATAAAAACAATATAAGTTCATTCACTTATTCCAATTCAGAGTCTCGGGTGCTGGAGCCTCTGCAGGGGCTAAGGGTGAAAGGTGGAAATACACCCTGGACAGGACACCATCCCGTCGTAGGGCACACTCACACCCACACCCACATTCATTTGGACTGGGACACTTTAGACTGTCAATTCATCTAATGTGCACATCTTTGAGATGTGGGAGGAAACTGGAGGACCTGGAGAAAATGCATGCAGACATGGGGAGAACATGTCAACCCCACATAGACAGTGACCCCAGCTGGGAATTGACTTTTTTTCTCTTAAGGTTATTATAAAACAATGTTATTTGAGGACTTGCTGTATTTGTACAAGCCCTTGTCTATAAAACTAACTCAGATGGCTAATACACATTTGAAAAGGTGCGGAATTTCATTATTTCATTAGTCATAAGGAAAATGAAAACTAAAGCTCTACACATTCCAAAATGGCTAAAGTTAAGAAGAGCAATATTATCGAGTGTTGATAATATTGTGGAGCACCTTGAATGCTTATGCATTGCTGGTAGGAATGTAAATTAGTACAACAACTTTGGGAAACAGTCTGGCATTATCTAATAAAGTTGAACATAGTCATTCCCTATGAGTAAGCACTTCCAGTCCTAGGTATAAACTGGATAGAATTGCTTTGTATAGAGACACAAAGACATATGCAAGAATGTCCACAGCATCCTTACACATAATGGCCGAAAAACTAAAAACACCTCAAATGTTAGGACTACAATGGTAAATTGTGTATATTCATAGAGTGATATTTTAATCAACAATAAGTACATTAGAATTGCAATTACATGTGATGGCAAAAGTAAGTCTCACAAACATAATATTGAGCAAAACAAGGCACATATGAAAGAATAAGCCTGCTTATATAAAACTCAAAGATGGGTAGAACTGAACTATGGTATTAGAGATTAGAATACTAGTTAACTCAAAAAGTGCCAGAAAGTGGGCTTTTATGACGCTGGCTATTTATTTCCTGGCTTTATGGTAGTTACACAAATGCTTGCTTGATGATACTTTATGAAGAAGGACATTTCAGTTTTAAATACTATTCATTATGTGCGTTATTCTTCAATAAAAAGTATTTTTAGAAAGAGATATTAAAATTTGAACCCCAGAGAACAATTTGAGAGTGACCATTTCCTAAAGCAACTGTTATTACTTTTCAAAACATTTAATATTGGTATAAACAAATAAACAAATACAGTCTCATTATAGTTTGCATTTTATGTTATTAATAATTTTACTAGATATTTGTATTCTGCATCTGTGAAATGCTTATTCGTAGCCTTTTCTCATATTTCTATGGAATATTCGTCATTTGCACAATGATTTATAAGAATAAAATTGTATATTTTGTTCTATTGTAAAACTGTTGTATAGTAAGGATTGTGCCCATTTATCTGTCAAACAGGTTGCAAATATTTCCCCCAGTCTGGCATTGAATTTTGTTTGTAGTGTGATTTTCCCATGCCAAAGTGTTTGTTTTTATTTTTTCTGCAGTCACTTTCATTATATCATTTAGTTTATGGTTTCTGAGGTTTTAATTGCTTATAATAGCATCCCCACTCCTAGATTATAGAAAATATTTCCCTGTTTTCCTCTAGTATTTAAATAGTTAAATTTTAAAAAATAGAAATATTTTATGCATCAGAAGTTTATTTTTGTTTATGATGGGATACTAAGTCTACATTTTTCCTTATGTCCGTCTGCATGTCAATTGTCCAAACAACATTTATCGCATGCATGACTCATGTTGTCTCCACCAATTTGATTCTCATTTAAATATGTGTATATTTACATATGTAAATATATACATATATATGTATAGATATATATTAGATTCCCTTACGTACTTGAGTTTGTGTCAGGATTCTCTGTTATGTTACTTAATTTATTTACCTAATCTTGTACCTATGCCATGATGATTTAATTACTCTGGCTAATCAGGCTACAGCCCAGGCACTGAAATATAAAATAGCAGGTTTTGCTTAATGTTTTGGCTTCATCACTCATATGTCTGGCTTATAGGTGCTATTCCGTGTGCTTCTGTCTCCCCATGGCATCTCATCCTGCAGAGTCTCTGCCCGTGGACTCTCTTTTCAGAAGAGTAGTCAGAAGTCTTAATATCTTATGTGGCATAAGGCTTCTAAGCACAGAAAAGTGTGTGGTGTTAGGTCTTTTTAAGGTATAACCTTGGGATTGCCACCACAGTACTTTGCTAACAAATCTTCTGCTTTGTTAGGAAGTCACAGGTTAGTCACATTCAATATGGAAATGACTACACATGGGCATTATACCAGGAGGAGTGTCCATTGAGTGCTACCTTTGCAGACTAGCTACCACAGTGGGTATCCTTGTCTTAGTCTTATCTATAATAGAAATGTCTTAAGTCCTTCATTACTATTTGTTACTGATTTCTAGATTTTATCAAGATTAAAAAGGGATCTACAATCCACAGAGGTTTGTTTTCTTTTATCGGAATGGTTGCTAAATAGTATCAAATACAATTTGAAATTTATAAAGATAATCATTTGGTTTTCTCCTTTAAAATACTTATGCAATAAACTCTATTAACAGAATTCCTAACCTTGAATCCTTCTTCTCTGCCTGAAGTAAATGCTCCATGGTTGAGATGCATTATTCCTTAATACACTGTTAGATTCTATTTGTTAGTATTTTATTGAAGAGTTTTCCCATTATATACATGAGACTGACTATAATTTACTTTTGTGGCACATTTTGTAAGTCCTTCACTTTGTAAATAAGGCATGTGAGATCAGAGAGGTGAAATGAGTGTCTCAAGTCAGCAACAGAACTTATACAGACAGCCCCTGACTTAAGATGTTTCTACTTATGATATTTTTGACTTTATCATGGTGCAAAAGTAATACACATTCAGCTGAAACTGTACTTCAAATTTTGAATTTTGATCTTTTCCTGGGCTAGTGATGCAGCTGTCTCAAGCCATAGCTCCCAGTCAGCCACGAAATCATCAGGCCAAACAACAGATATTCTACAATGTATAAAATGCATTTTTGGGCCGGGCGTGGTGGCTCACACCTGTAATCCCAACATTTTGGAGACCATCCTGGGCAACTTGGTGAAGCCCCGTCTCTACTAAAAAAAACACACACACAAAAAGCATCTGTACTAGAAATAATGCCTTCTGTGGATTGAAGTGAACAATAATTTATTCTATATTTCAAAATAGCTAGAAGAGAAGATATGAAATGGTCCCAACACACAAAAAAAGATAAATGTTTGAGTTGATGGGTATCCTAATTACCCTGACTTGATTGTTAGAAATTGTATACATGTATACATATGTACAAACCTGCACTTTGTGCACATGTACCCTAAAACTTAAAGTATAATAAAAAAAATAAGAAATTGTATACATGTATCAAAATAGCACATGTACTCCATAAATATGTACAATCATTGTGAATGAATAAAAATGAATAAATACATAAATAACACCCTCTGAGTCCAATTAAATTAGTTTCCTACTACATGATGCTGCCAGTTTCTCAAAATTTTTAGGGTTACCTATTTGTTTGTTTTGATTTTAGGACAATTTCAAAATCTTTTAGAATTACAGAACTCAAGAAAATGTTCAGTGTAGTTCAGTTAATATTTACTAACTGTAAGTTATTCAAATGGTGTTTAAATCTAATCCATCTTCTGCCAGATCTGTGTAACAACACATATTATTAGTAGCAATAGCTTATTTCCCCTGGTTATTAATCCATAGGGATTCTCAAGACTTTGAGACCCTGTAGACCACATGCAGTTAAGACTACAGAGCCCTAGATTGGTCTCACCTGAGTTTTCTTGGGGTGGACTCTGCTGTCATGTGGCATATATCATAATCTTCCCCCCATCTGCCCACATGCATGTAAGTTGTATGCAAGGCCACCTAGAGATGTAACTTCATATATGCCTCACAGCAATGCTTACTTACATCTGTGCCTGGAATTACTCCAGAGCAAGTTGAAGTTCCAAAGCCATTCTGTGAGTTTGGCAGTATTGCTGGGGCCCATGTATTGCATGGCATAAACCTTTTGAAAATGATTATCCTTCTTACTCTCCAAAGGTGGTGAAAGATTCCAGGCTATCTGTACCATACCTCAGGGTATGTTACCATCTCCTCCTCCTCATTCACATATCACCAGTGGTCCTCATATCAGACAACTCCTAAGGACCCACCCCATTAGCGTATCAGGTATTTGGGGGCCATCCATGAACCTTAACTTTGGCTCAGAATGGGGCCTCTACTATGTATGTTGTTTTGTGTGTGTATATTTTCTTCAGAGATTTAAGAGCAAGGAGAGAAAAATAATCTGTGTAACTAAATCTATACAAACTCAGCAGACAGCATAAAATCAAAGGCTTAACCATCTTCACATACTCATAACTCCATATGTAAAGTATATAAGTAGGCAACTATCTGGTGATTTTGCTCAATAGATCAAATTACAATTTGTAAGATTTAGACTAAAACTCATGCTTTAAAAAACAGCTCAGATATTTTGAAATCAGTTAAGAGACCACGAAGTTATGTGCATTTAGGCTTGTGTGAAGAAACTAACCTAAACTAAATAAAACACCAGCAATAACAGCAACAAAACATTTTCAAGAAATCTATAGGATTTGGCTTCAAGCCTTTTGCGTAAGATTTTCATTTAAAGCCAAAGTCCTCTGCAATGAATGCAATAAAATCAGTGATTACTTGGGCTAAACATTTGATGCAATTTTGTCTCCAAGTGTTTCAAAATATCAAAACTATTTTTGCCATCTTAAAATATCAAAAGAGAACTAGGTTCCTTTAAGTCACTATTAGAATTAGTACAATTTAGAAAAGAATTGCTTGGCAAAAAACTGTGAAGGCAGATTAGTTTATTCAGTACTTGAAAAGATTAAAAAGCAGCACTACTTGGAGAAGTGTGGTTCTGGCCCCCAAATAAAATTATAAATCCCTGGAATTGTATGGAGAGACTTTATGTAGACCAAACCGAACAACACAATTAACTTAATACATGATAAAGCAAGCTTTTCAACACAAGTCTATACTTGAAGAGAAAGGATTATTTAATAAGTAATTTTAGAACAATTCAATGACAGTTTTGAGAAGAAAAACACATTCACACCTTTTCCACCAGACATAAATAAAGCCCATGCATGAGCACAAGCTGTTTCATCCACCAAGGAGGCCTCCTCTTGACTGTCTGCCTCCCACGCATCCTCCACCACCTTCCAACACCTTCTGTGTGGTTCCTTCCTAATTTCCTTTCAAAAACATAGATGCATCTTATTCTCTACCCTCAATTCATGTAGCTAACTGTCCTATGGCAAATACAGTATTACATTGGAATCATTTGCAGCCTCCTAAATAGAGGTTTTATTTCAGTTCTTTTAACTTTTGCAACTCTAGTACCTAAGTCAGCATTGGCCACAAAATAGGCATTGGAAGAGTCTTTCATGAAAAAATGGCACCAAAATATACAGGATAATATGCACCAATTAAAATTCCAAGCATGATTTAACAAAAGGTTTGTAAGGAATAACTTTATAAGAATAGACTGCAAAAGCATATGTACAATCAGATTACAGCTATGAAAGAAGTCTAGTTTCATAAACTCAAAAATAAAACTATAGAAATATATGTGTGTATTAGGGCAATTAAAATATTCTCCATTGTTTCATTCATTATCTTTTCAAATATGTTTTTCTAACCACAAATGTTAGCCATGGCCTCAACATAACTATAACAGGTTGTTAGAATGAGACTCTTTCTATAACTGGTTTCAATTGAAGCACCAATACAATACATATCAGATTACAAAAATGAGGGAGAGATGAAGGCCTCCCAGGCAGTGGGTAGCTTCCAAAGTGTCCACTCGGAAAGAGTTGACATGCTGTTCTCTGGCATTGGGAGACACGGGAGACTGGGGCCTGACTCACAAGAAGGAAAAGGAAAACCAACTATGGGCTGTAGACTCAGCCTGCTCCAGAAATGTTGAGAAAAAAATAGGCTTAAAAAATTATGTATTGAGATTTGGCTGGTCTCCTAGAGTTTGCATGGGGCAACAGATGAGCTTTCCCATGGTGAGGAGGCTGTGGTGGGAAGCTGTGGTGGGGCTGTCTAGAATTCCTCCCAATCTGGCCAGGTAAAGGGGTAAGGAGACCCCTACAGGGAAAAGATTTTAGGAAGTGCACAACATCAGGTGACCAAAGGCTGAGAAAGGAGTCTCCTTGGCCACTCAAATTAAATATGTTTCCCTTTGGGTCAAGGAAACTGCAAGAGGGAGGGTTCCAGCAAGAAGCCTTCAAGAGGTCCTCCTGAGGACTTTATGGAAGACGCAGTCCACTTTACCAACTGCAGGGGCCCACAATGCACAAAGCTTCTTCTTATTATTTTTCTCCCATCTGCCTTCCCCACTGGGACCTTGCTTGGAATAATCAACAAGTGATAGAGAAAGTCAACAGGACCTTGCTCCCTGTTCTGAGAAGTGGATCCCAACTGGCAGAGGGAAAAAGGTGTTATCCTGAAGTTAATTGTGTCATTTTGATGACTACAAGGAGTTGGACCTCATAAACTCTGAATTGAGAGCATTTGCTTCTTAAGGAAATGTTGCACTATTTCCTAAGAGTGAGGGGGAATTCAAGAACCTGCAGAAAGAAAGATTCCCATAGGTGGCCAGGCAGGGTGGCTCACGTCTATAATCCTAGCACTTTGGGAGGCCAAGGCTGGCGTATCACGAGGTCAGGAGATCAAGACTATCCTGGCTAACATGGTGAAACCCCGTCTCTACTAAAAATACAAAAAATTAGCTGGATGTGGTGGCGGGCACCTGTAATCCCAGCTACTCGGGAGGCTAAGGCAGGAGAATGGTGTGAACCCGGGAGGCGGTGCTTGCAGAGAGCTGAGACGGTGCCACTGCACTCCAGCCTGGGTGACAGAGTGAGACTCTGTCTCAAAAAAAAAAAAAAAAAAAAAAAAAAAGAAAGAAAGATTCTCATAGGCAAAAGATGACCACCTCTGAATAAAGATAAAAATAAAACTGTGTTTTGATTCCAGTCCACACATTGATGTTGTTCAGTATGTCAGCTGCATAAGAAAAACCTGTCACTCACCTTCCTTCGTGCCCAACAAGTCATAAAAGGAAGCTATCCATGTATGAAAGTCTGTTAAGTTTTGTTTTAAATATATTTAAACCCGCATGTACCACCCAACACTCTACAATATTTTATTTGCCTTTGGATGAGAAAGCTCAGATCACTGAATGTAAGGTAGGGAAGCAAACCCATAGGTCATTGTTTCTCACCCCCTCATTTTACAAATAAGGAAATTCATGACAAAGAGAGTTGAAAAAACATGCCCTCAACACCTTTGCTGGTTAATAGCAAAATGACTTCTGACACTGTCTTCACACTTCCTTTTCTGATCAGCTCCAGGATTTCCACAGCCTGCTGGAGCTACACCCCCAGTCTGAAAGAATCCTGAAAATAGAAAAGAAGTGGGCAGTTTTCCTAACAATGCTAATCAGAAGTTACAGTCTTCTGTAAATGAGTATCAGAGAGGTTCTCACAAAGCAAGCTTCCAGGGAATGTAGGAAGTTAATTACCTTCCTCTATAATTCATTAGTCATCGTCCTTGTAACCTGAGGCTGTTTGAAATACAACTTGTATTTAGTAGCAAAGATTCAGAAGACTTGAGGCGTTAATATTCCCAAGAGAGTCTCTTTTATCTAGTTTATTATCTTTTCCTTTGACAGGCTTAAACAACTTTTAAAATCTATCCTGTGTTTAGTTAAAAAAAAAAAAAAAAAAAGACAGCTAAGATTACGGAAGAAGAATGTTCTGATTGGAATGAATAATTACCTAATATGTCTCCTTCAAATGAACATGAAAATGAGTTTACATATTAAGTAGGATAAAATTGAGTAGGCTTTCAAAAACAAGTTGAAGAAAGGATTGTCTGTCTCAAAATAACTCCCTCAGTGGCTGTGGCTGCACCATTAAATGAACTGCTTTGGGGTAAAGCATTATGACCCCCAAAGCATTCCGGGAAAATGCAAATCTGTTACCTGGAAGGGTGACATCACCATTTCCCAGTGTCTTTCAAGGAGAGCAGGGGCACCCAGGACACAGACTTTTGACTGGTGTTGAGTTGGGAGGTGAAGAAAAATATTCTGGTTACAGCGAATTGCCTCAGAAAGACAGACTAATAAAGTACCCAGAGTAGCAGAAGGGGAAGAAGGAAGGCAGAAAGTTGAGGATGAGAAAGAGAGTGTCAAAAATTTGACATTTCCTCAGGCCCATGAGAAGCAAATGTTTTTGGTGTCTTTCCTTCTCTAAGCTTCTTCTAAGCCCTCACTGAATTCTAAGGAAAATTCATATGCAAAAGATACATATATGATTGTATATGTAGTTTTTGCCGAGCCAGTCATTTGGTCAACAGATATTTACTGTTTTCTATACACTAGGCAGTGCTGAGTGTTGAGACATAATAGAAGTAAGGTTCCTGCCCTTAAGGAACTTACAGCCTAAGGAAGACATGGACAAGTAAGCAGGCATTGACACTACCTAGAACTATCCTTGACCCCAACAGTGTGAGATTTTGCATGTGCCTATCTGCCTGTCTACCCGCCTCACAGTTTAAGAATATGAAATAAACTTCTAGCATTAAGGAAGGGGTCATTTTCTTTTTTAAAATTCCAAATGGTATAAAATTGGTCTTATACACATTAGTCTGTAATTGTGTTTCAGTCTGCCATTTTGAAACAAATTATAGCCCAAACAGAAACTAAACAAGGTATTGACCTCACAGAACTCTGAGCCTCACTTCTAATATGAGATTATAGAAACAACAACAGCAATAAATCACTTCTAATATAAGATTATAGAAAAAAAAACAAAAAGCAGACAAAATAAACAAATGAAAACCTCCAAACCATAAATTACAGGAAAATGTGCTGACAAGTGGGGATCTACATTCACAAGGGCAATGTAGCAGTGGGGTAGCAGAAGTCTCCATGGCGGCATTACCTGAACAACCACTGTGGAAGCACTGGCTGAAATTGTGGGCCATGTCGGGGCCTCTCTGAAAATGGCCCTCCTGCTTCCTGCAGAGAACAGTGAAGAGATGCATGAAGGTGGTGGGCAGTCTGGGGAAAAGCTACTGCTGTCACCAAGTCTGCCACCTTAGAAGTCTGGTCAAGCCACTATGGAAACCCAGGTGTGGGAGGCTAACTGTCCAGGAACACAAGAAAATGACACAGAAATGGGTACCCCTGAGAAGGGTCATGTTTGTATTTTAAGATGGTTTTCCAGAAGTAATGCCCAAAGACTGTTGCTCAACTGAGGAATGGCTTTAAAGGTTAACACTGGGTATGGGAAATAGTCATCTACTTAGTATCCAGTGGGACCCTAATCATTTACACTGAGGGCAGTAGAAAAATCAAGTGATAGAGAAGGCTCTTTTCTGGGAATTAAATGCAGTGAGACAAGGCAGGAGAAAAAATTTGGGTACCCACAGCAGGGAGGATGTACTATAATCAGAAGAACTAGCTCTCGTATTATTGCAGAACTGGGCAGAGGGCAGGAGCCAGAACATGCATTATGGATCAAAGAGTCACGAGGCATCAGTGGTGTGATTAGGAAGTGAATCACCTCCAACAGGGTGTTTACTGTGGTTCAGGGCTTTTTAAAACTAGAGCTTCTGTCCTTGATCCTTTTGACCTTATACTTAGGCTGAAAGTTAGTCTTCCCACCAGAAGGAGGGAGTGCAAAATGCAAGTCACCACTGTAGGAGGGCAGAAGCCAGTGATTACAGTCTGAGAACATGAAAGACAGAAAGCCACAGCATGTTTCCAGGTTGCTGGTACTCAGTCAACAAACAGGAATCTGTGCCTCTCGTATACCAGGCTGACAGTGCAATAAACCATACTCAGAAGGTCCTTCCTTCAAGGAGTGTACATTCCATGAAGGAGTTTATTAGCTGTCTTAGTCTTCTCAGGCTGCCATAACAAAATACCATAGACTGGGTGACTCAAACAACAGACATTTGTTTCTCACAGTTCTAGAAGCTAGAAGTCTGAGATCAGGGTGCCAAGTGGGTTCTGGTGAGGGCCCCTTCCTTTATTGCAGACAGCTGTCCCACTCTATGTGCTCCTATGGCCTTTTCTCAATGCATTTGGGAGGGTCTGGGGGTGGAATGATATGGTTTGGCTGTGTCCCCACCAGAATCTAATGTTAAATTGTAATCCCCAGTGTTGGGGGAGAAAAGTGGTGGGAGGTGATTGAATCATGGGAGCAGATTTCCGCCTTGCTGTTCTCATGACAGTGAATGAGTTCTCTTGAGATCTGGTTATTTAAAAGTGTCTACCCCTACTCCTTCGCTCTCTCTCTCTCCTGCCACCATGTGAAGAAATGCTTGCTTCCCTTTCGCCTTCCACCATGATGGTTAAGTTTCCTGAGGCCTCCTTAGCCATGACTCCTGTACAGCCTGCAAAACTGGGAGTCAATTAAACCTCTTTTCTTTATAAATTACCCAGTCTCAGATAGTTCTTTATAGCAGGGTGAGAACAGACTAATACAGAACTGTTTTAAATGACCAGCTTCCAACAAGGAATTATGAGACACTCAATGAAACAGGAAAGGACACAGGGAAAAAGCGATCAATAAAAACTGCCCCTGGGCCAGGCTTGGTGGCTCACACTTGTAATCTCAGTACTTTGGGAGACCTAGGTGGGCAGATCACAAGGTCAGGAGTTCAAGATCAGACTGACCAACATGGTGAAACCCCGTTTCTACTAAAAATACAAAAATTAGCTGGGAGTGGTGGTGCGCACCTGTAATCTCAGTTACTCAGGAGGCTGAGGCAGAAGAATTGCTTGAACCTGGGGGGCAGAGTTTGCAGTGAGCCAAGATCATGCCACAGCACTCCAGTCTGGGTGACAGAGCAAGACTCCATCTCAAAAAGGAAAACAACAACAACAACAACAAAAATTAAAAAAAAAAAAAAACTGCCCCTGAAAAAATCCAGGCTTTCCACTTGCTAGGCAAAGATTTTAAATTAGCTATGTCCCAGGAACTAAAGTAAATCATTTCTAAAGAAGTAAAAAAATATATGAGAAGAAGTTTTCACCAAATAGAGATTCTCAATAAAGAGATAAACATTATTTAAAAATAGAAATAGGCTGTTTTTTATCCCAGTTATGGTGGTGGTTACTTGCATCTTCATGTAGGAGGCAATTTCATATCACTGTACACTCCCCAAATAGAAATTTCAGAAATGAAAAGTATAATAACAGAAATGAAAAATTTACTAGAAGGGATCAACAGTAGATTTGAGCTGGCAGAAGATTCAGCAAACTTCAAGATAGCTCAATTAATATGTCTAGTCTTGGAAACGACAACAAAAGAATGAAGAAAAATAACCAGAGCCTCAGAGACTTGTGAGACACCATGAAGTATAGCAACACATGTATAATGAGAGTCCCAGAAGGGGAGGAGAAAAAGGAACAGAAAAAAATTCTGAAGAAATAATGGCCTTAAACTTCCCAACTTTCATAAAAAGCAATAATATACACATCCAAGAAACTGAAACAAAAACACACAAAAAATCCATACAGGATAAACTAAAGGAAATCCACACCTAGGTACATCATTATCATCTGCCAAAAGACAGAGAGAATTTTGAAAGTAGCAAGACAGAAATGACTCATCATGTACAAGAGATCCTGAATAACACTAACAGAGAATTTCTCATCAGCAGCCCTGAAAGACCGAAGGGAGTAAGATAACATATTAAGTTCAATGTAATATATCATATTGAAGACTAAAGGACAAAAAACTCATGATCATCTCAATAGAAGCAGAAAAGGCATTTGACAAAATCCAACATCCTTTCATGATGAAAACACCCAACAAATTTGAAATAGAAGAGACTTTCTCTGTTTAAGGGCATCTATTAAAAACCCAAAGATAGCAACATACATAATGGTGAGTAACTGAAAGCTTTCTTCCTAAATCCTAGTTATAAACTTTACTAGAATGTCTGCTCTCACCACTTCTATTCAAGATTATTAGTGGGCCAGTCACAGTGGCTTGAGCCTGTAATCTTAACACTTTGGGAGGCCGAAACAGGAGAATCATGTGAGTCTAGGAGTTTGAGACCATCTTAGGCAACATGGCAAGACCTTGTCTTTACAAAAAATTAAAAAAAAATAGCCAAGCATGGTGGCACATGCCTGTGGGCTCAGCTACTCAGCAGGTTGGGGTAAGAGGCTCACTTAGCCCAGGAGACCAAGGCTGTAGTCAGTGGTGTTCACACCAACTGCTCTCCAGCCTGCGTGACAGCAAGAGCCTGTCTAAAAAAAAAAAAAAAAAAAAAAAAAAAAATACTGGAAGTTCTAGCTAGAACAATTCAGGGATAAAAAATAAATACATACAGTCATCTAGATTGGAAAGGAGCAAGTAAAACTATCTCTTGTCACGGATAACATGATCTTGTATATAGAAAATCCCAAGGAATTCACACACACATACACAAACACAAACTGTCAGAGCTAATAAATGTGGTCAGCAAGGGAGAAAGATACAAGATTACAAGATCAGTACATGAAAATCAATTGTATTTATACTCACTAGCAATGAACAGGCTAAAAATTCCATTAAGAAAAATTCATTTACAATAATATAGAAAAGAATTAAGTAAGTGGAAAGACAGTACATCTTCACGGTTTGAAAAGCTTGATATTATTAGGATGGCAAGACTCCCCAAATTTATTTACAGATTTAATGTAAACTTTATTAAGATCACAGCAGCTTTTTTTTTCTTTTGCTGTAAGCCTTGCAGTCCTGGACTCTTCTTTTTTGGGAGGTTTTTAATTCAATCTCTCTTATTATAGATCTGTCAAGATTTTCTATTTCTTCCTGAGTCACTTCAGACAGTTTGTTGTTTCTAGGATTTTGTCCATTTCATTTAGATTATCTAAATAGTTGGCATGCAATTGACAAGCTAACTAAAATGCAAGAGATCCAAAATAGTCAAGATAATTTTAAAAAAGAAGAAGAAAGTGGGAAGATTAACTAAAAAGCTACAGCAAAAAAGATACTGTGGTACTGGTATGAGGATAGACACACACATCAGTGGATTCAAAAAAAAGAGCTCAGAAATAAATCTTTACATTCCCTGTCAACTGATTTTCAAGAATTTTCAGCAAGAGTTACCAAACAATTCCATGAGGAAAGAAAAGACTTTCCAACTCATGATGCTGTAATACCTTGATAGTCACATGCAAAAAAATAAAGTCAACCCCTTACCTCATTGCCTGTATAAAAATTAATTCAAAATGGTCAAAGACCTAAAGTTAAGAATAAAAATATAAAACTCTTAGAAGAAAAACAGGCATAAATCTTTGTGACCTTGGATTAAGCAGTGGTTTTTAGGTATGACACAAGCACAAGCAACACATGCAAAAATATATAAATTGGATGTCTTCAGAAGAAAAAACGTTTGTGTTTCAAAGGACACCATCAGGAAAGTGAAAAGATAATCCCCCAAATAGGATAAAATACTAGCAAATTATGGCTGATGAGTCTAGTATTCAGAACATATAAGGAGCTTGTACAACTCAAAAATAAAAAGACAAATACTTTAAAAATGTGCAAAAAGATTTGAATATACCAATGGCCAATAAGAACATTAAAATATGCCAACATCATTAGTCATTAAGGAAATGCAAATCAAAATCACAATGAGATAACATTTCACACTCACTAGAATATTTATAACAAAAAAATGGACAATAACAGGTGTTGGTGAGGATGCGGATAGAATAGAACCCTCACACACTGCTGGTGGGAATGTAAAATCATGCAGCTGCATCAGAAAACATTTCAGAAGTTCTATAAAAAGTTAAACATAGACTAGGGCCAGCAATTCTACTCCTAGTTACATACCCGAGATAATTTAAAGCAAATATCTACATAAAAATGTGTATGTGAACATTCATATGAGTACTATTTATAATAGCCAAAAAATGGAAGCAACCTTAATGTTCAATTGATGAATAGATACCTATACATAGTATAGATAATATATCTATACAGTGGGATACACAATATACATAGTATATCTATACAGTGGGATTCATCTGTGAAAAGGATGAAGCATTAATACATGCTACAACATGAGTGAATCTTGAAAATATTATGCTAAGTAAAAGAAATCAGTCACAAAAGGCCACATATTATAAGATTTTATTTATATGAAATGTCCAGAATAAAAAAGTTTCATAGAAACAGAAAGTAAGTTTAGTAGTTTCCAGGGGCTGAGGGAGAGTGGAATGGAGTAATGGGCAAAGGGTTTCTTAGGGGATGATGAAAATATTTTGAAGTTGCATGGTGGTAATATTTGCACAACTTTGTGAAAATATTAAAAACGAATTGTAAACTGTAAACTGGTAAATTTTGTGGCACGCGAATTATATCTTTAAAAAATAATACAGTGAGATGATGTAGGGCAGACAGGGGATGACTCTAGAGGCAACTTTCACGTGTAGCTGAGAGAAAATGAATCCCCAAAGGAGATTTCCTTAGAGTTCGTCATTTTAACAGGAAAGAGGCAATGTAGAGTTTCAAAAGCAGGGGGATGTAGCAGTCCCCTGATCTCTATTTTAAATTACTCTATTTTGTCAGCAGAATAAAGTTAAAGTTATCATCTAAGAGTGAAGCAGAAGAAATGTGGGGAGGTTTGAGAAGAGAAAGTGTGACTACGTAGTGTGTTTGGGAAGAGGAGAGCATGATTTAACGAGAGCCTACCTGAGGTTTGTGGTCATAAATTTAAAGTAAGATGAGGTGTTCTGATTTTATGTTTTTCTCCAGCCACACTCAGTCAATTGAAGCAAGCAGTGAGTAGGTGGAGACATAACTAGGGCTGGCATTTTCCTCGTGAGTGTAATGCACTCTTGAGAGTGGATATGAGCAATACATGACAATTCATGGCATCTTAGTGGGATAACTATGGGGCAGGGATGAAAGGAGGTTAATGGACAGAGAAAATGTATTAAAGTTAACGGCTTGAGTGTTACTGGGGGTTTTAAAAATTATCTGAGTAAGAGTAGTAGAGGGAGTTGGCTAGAAATGTGGGAAGTACAGATGGTCAGAAATTGTGACGATGGAGATTGAGATTCTGCAATTATTATTAGAAACAATGTTTAACGTTTCTCTCTGGATATGAGTGGCTGGGAATGGGTGGAGGACAAGATCATTAAACCAGAAAAGATAGTTTAAAATATTGCTGAGCCATTAAGTGCTTAAACTTGCACGATGTGTGCTTGGAGTGGAAAGAGGTGCACATTTTCAAGTCTTCCTCTAGCAATGGAGAAAGGTGTCTATTGAAGGCTACATATGTGATTAGTATGCAGGCGGCTGGAGACTGGAGGACAAGGGATTTTAGGATGGTAGTTAAGACAATGATGAGAATGCTTATGGGGTCTAGACTGGACCGGGCTTCACCTACAGAAAGAAGTGCTGGTGGACCAAGCAAAATGGTGGTCACACAGGGCTGAGGAGTCACAGATAAACCTGAGTCTCTACTGTTTCTAGGAAGCAGGATCCAACTATGCTGTCCTTTTCCCCACCCAGACACCACATTTCAGCAAGGTAAGGGGTAGAAGATGACTTAAAGTCAGTTTGTGCTGACTTAGCACACGTGTCAATCATTTCTTTAGCATCCATTTCTTTTAATAATTTATTCTCAGAGTTGGGGTTAACACACAGATCTCACTGAAGTGTTTTGAGCCTTAAATAATTAAACTGGAGAAATTAGACAACAAAGTTGTCAAATGAAGGCTGAAGTTATAAACCTGTTCAGCCTTCATGTCCTAGTTAATTCAGCCTTGAGGACTCCAGCTACCAGTTCAGAAACAATAAGGAAACCAAGAGATTGACTCTATTTCATCAAATATTGAGGAATATTTTTGTAACATTCAAAATCTGATGGATCAAAACTAAGAATAAGGTAGAAGGGACAGGGAATTTAAAAAAGCATTCCGAAGCATTCTAAAATGCCTAGTAATCATAAAGCTACAACTTGGTTTAAATCAGGTTTTCCCATGCTTGACTGTGTGACCTTTGGCCATTTTCTTTACCACTTTGGACTTCAGTTTTCTTACCTCACTTACCTCAATAACATGTTGTCAATGGGTTCGTGAAATAATGCACTATTGGCCATATATTTAATGGTTTAGTTATATACAACCCCATACTTTAAAAAATAGGTAGAAAAATAAGAGTGTTAAATTATTTTGAAGGATATGTGATGTACACTGTTTCTTTCTTTGCAGGTTGAGTAATCTCACAGCAAAATAGAAATACATTCCCCAAATCTACATGCTGGCTTGTTAGAACTTTATCTCATTAGCCATTTGATGTTATCTCCTACACTGATAAATTTTGAGCTGTTTCAACCTAGACTCAAACAGGCTGTAGGAGTAGGTAGGAATGGCTCGGGAGGCAAAAGGATGGTTTTTGTGCCTCAATAGACTTGTCTGAAGATTTGGGGTAATCATTGGTAAGACTGTGGTACATTCAAGCTGCATAGAGCCAGGGAATGAAACTAGATAATATTTCATGGTTCTTTTTTGAACTTTGGATAATGAGCAAGAATTTTCATTATTACACATTAATTCTGGAAGATGCCTTTTCTAATGGTATTTGGCATCTCCTTAGGGCCTTTATGTTGATCAGTTGTTCACATGCCACAAGGCAACTCCACTTGCTGTTGCTCTGAACTCACAAGACCGATGTTTGAATTGAGGACTTTACTGCTGAAGTTGCAGGTGCAGGAAGGTGGGGGAGGGGTGTAGAGCTGTGTGCTTAGCTAACTGAGCCACCATCTAGTCAAGCAGGACTGACTCCAACAATTAGTCCCAGCAATGTTCATTTCCTTGGTCTGCTGAATACAGCCACGAGGCACTCAACAAAACTTTTTTTTTTCATTGCTCCGCAGGCATTCTTTAAAAATGTTAGCATCTAAGTATCCATTTTTGTGTTCCGTTAATATGTATTGATCCACCAAATAATGCCTACATACCCAGTGCTTTCCCAAAGAGAGAGAAAGTAGTGCCTGCATTAGCAAATGGGCCTATGCCTATATCTCCTATTCAGTGTTTGGTATTTAAACTGTATCTTCTTTAAAGAATTGAAATTTTCAAATATACCTCATTTGTTCCCAAAGCTGATGTTTTCCAAGTTTTTGAATTAGTCAGTCCCTTTATAAGTTAATCAATCCAACAAGATCACCAAGGATCCCATGCAAATGAACAAAAGTAATCATCATGGGATATAATTTATTAAAATAGTTTTAGTTGTCCTCTCTTTATCTGCCCTGCTCCTAATTTTTGCCACAGGGAATCTAGGTCCTTTAGGGCTTCCTTCTGTTAGGAATTTGGGTAGAGCTGAAAGCAAAAAGACCCATGAGTAATGGCTTTTTTTCTGAATTTATAAAAGCCAAAATTCTTTGAGAAGATAACGTTAAGTGTCCCAGAATCTGATCACAGCGATTTAAGTTTTTCGAGAGCAAGAAAAGAGAGGGAACATTGTCCAAGGCTCGAGAGGAGAAAAGGTCCCTTGGTCCTCAGCTAGGCCTGTTCCTTCCCCCTTGCAGGGTCTCCTCTGCAAGGATGGTTACAGAGTTCATCTGAGGAGGTGGAACCTTGCTCAAGCCTACCAAGGAGAATGCTGGGCCTGAAAAAGTCAAATGGTGTCTCCATAGTAACCAGTAGGGCCTGAGGTGTCAAAGCAATGCTGCGGTATAATAGAAAACCCCAGGCCTCTTAACTAACTATTGGAGTGGGAGGAGATGGCATTGAATAATACCTGACTTGCAAACCTTTCAAAGGTGGATGGGTACTCAGATTCATGATTAAAATGATGTTTAAAAAATTATAAAGCAGTATTTCTTACACATCTGTTTGTGGACTAGGATTCATTTCTACTGCATTAACATTGCATATGGCTTTGCAATTTTCAAAATTATGTTCTTACTTTAGTTAATTTATGCCTTAGAATAAATATGTGAGTACACATTATTATCAGCTTTGCTTTACAGATCGGGGAATTACGATTCACAGAAGCTCAACAACTTGCCTAAGAATACAGAGCCAAGTGGTGGCAGAGTCAGAACTTGAGGTCAGATCCATGTGCCCCTGAAGCCCACATTCTTTTCAATATGGCGTGTTGCCTTTCTAATAGGGAAACTGGTTCCATTTGTTAAGTACTATTGAGGAGATGGCTGGAGTTACTTAAATATAACTAAATTGCTATTTTAAGCCATAATTAGCAATAACAAAATGAGACCTCAATCACAGGTTCCCAGGGTCGCTGTGGAATCAGCTTACTCAGATGTTTCTACCCAGCTGCTCTCAGACCCAAGCTCCTTTTCAGGCCATGAGCATTCCTCTCCTCTTCAGATAAGCTGCCTCCTTGTGTTTTATCCATTAGGGTTGCACCACTGCTCTGCAGTGGGACAGTCTCGACAGGTTTTTCCTTCCCTACTGCCCCAAATACAAACAAAGGGCTTTGATTCTTCTCTAAGCATTTGAGTAATCTACAAGGAAATAGTGTGCTCATGACAGCATACAACAGGAAATTGTTATACAGTTATAAAGTTCTTACAGCAGTGATCCTTTCTCTCTTCGCATGGCAATGTGTCCTGTTAGCCTGAAAACTTCAGCTTTAATCTTGCTTCCCAGGGTGAAGATATTATCAAGGTAGACTATTAAGTGTCATCACTTTCTCACTGTTCATCTATGCCCTCCTTGGGTTTACTTCCCACACTGTTCAACCTAGAATCCATGGCACATCATTTTAACATTCTTATTCCCTTCCTCCACTCTCCTTTCTTCTTACAAAACACTAGCCCTGAATGAGCCCGCTATCCTCCTTTCTTTTGCCTACACCAGAGCAGCTGAACATAGCTGCACAAAATCTCACAACCCAGATGATGGTTTCACTGAAAATTCATACTTTACATGAGCCCTCATTAGTACCAATCAATCCGGTTACATTTATCCAGTCTTTCAATTCCTTAAAAAAAATGACTTCATACCTTCTTCTCTCTCCTTCAGCCTTCTAGGCTCCTTCCTCTCTCAGATAATGGCAATGCCTCTTACTTCACTTTCCCAATTTCACACCCAAAGCACCTGCATCCGCCTTCTCTTTCTTCCCTCTATCCCTCTCCCTACCCAAGACCCATGCTCCATGTGTATTCCCTCTGCCTCCTCCAAGCCATCATCACGTTGTTCTCCTGGGCCATCATTTCTCTCTATTAGGAATCTCTCTTTTCACATATAATTACTATTAAATTATAATTGAATAATTATAATTGAACCTCCCAACTCTTTCTGATCCCAAATAACTCTCCATTTCTCCTCTCAGCACCACAGCAAAGCCTCCAAAGGAGCTGTTCATGTACATCATACCTCCCCTTTCCTACCTTCCATTGTCTCTGAAATGCTACCCACTGCCCTCCAGCAAATCTTGTCAAGGTCAACAATAACTTTCATGTTGCCAAAATCAGGAAGCAGTTGCTTTTCTTCACTCTTTCCACAGTTTCAGCCCCACAGATGATTGTCCCACTCCCGAAGCACTGCTCTCTTGACTTCCTTTTCAGCACATTCTCCTGGTGTTCCTATTAATATCTCACTGGCCTCAGTATTATTGGTCTTCTCCTTTTCTTTTCCTGAAGAAAGTATAGCATTTCCTCAAGGTTCTCTCTGGGACTCTTCTCTTCACTGACACTTTCTTCTGAGTTAATCTCATCAATTCCCAAAACTTTAACTATAATAAATCATATGTTCCAATTCCAAAGTAGTAGTTCATCCTTGTTGAGCTTCAGACATTGATATGGCACCAATCTTTCCAGTGAAATTAAATGTCAAAACATTTCTTTAGATTGTTCAAGCCGCAAATCTAAAAATTATTCTGTTTCTTCCCTCTCCTTGCCTTTGACACAAAATCCATTAGTAGGGAGGTTTCCCACCTCCAAAATCTCTTCACCATCTTCTTATCTGTATCTCTCTTCTTATCTCTCTTATCACTGTCATCTCTCACCTGGATTTTTGTAACTGCATCCTAACTGCCCTCACCTTCCCAATCCTGTCACACTAGAATGAATTATCCCATAATGGCAAAAATAATCCTCTTAAAACAGAAATCAGAGCATCTAACCCCTGGGTTCTGAACCCTCCCAGGGCTTGCCCTTTCCCTAAAGGAAATCCAGACTCCTTATCCTGGCCACACACTACTGCTGATCTGACACGCTTTCTGACTCTGTCCCATGCCCCTGTTACATTTTGTCAGCTTGCTCCAGTTCCACGGAACTTTGAAATTCTTAAACATGGCTTTTTTTCCCATCAGGACCTCTGCATGTACTGTTCCTTCTTCTGATAACTTTCTCCCTCCAAACTCATCTCCTGGCTCTCATTTCTCAAAAATCTCAGAGAGGACTTCCTTGCCACCCCATCAAAAATCTTCTAAACATCACCTTATCTCCTTCATTCTTTTGACTTATCAAGGTTTGTAATTGTTTTGGTTCTTTGTTCAATGACTTGATGCTGCCTGTTTCTACCACAGAATTTATGCTCAATCAATGCAGAGACCGTGGCAGCTTTGTTTGTTCTTGTATCTCTGAGCACTGTGAGGGATACATAGAAACTTATAGATGAATATGTGCCAACTGCAGCAGACAAACACTCAGCAGACAAACGGTGGAAACCAGGAAGCCAACTTTTGGCATTGAACTTATAGGACAATCAGATCTTTCTTCAAATTCCATCATCCGTCTACAAATATGGCTTCCTCCTACATCATAGACAGGGACAAGCTTCATCACAGCAGCCCAGGGGTCTGCTAAGTACAGAGGCACTGGCCCAGCTGGACTAGACTAGATAGTGCACTTTCTTTGACTTCTTGAGCACAGACCCCAAGGAGTTCCATTATGTCAGATCGTGTGCATGAAACTCACTCTTCCCTGTTAGCAGACTGACTGACACCTATGTTGTAACCTATAGGTCTGTCATGGCTGACCATCTGCTGTGTCTAACTAACAGTGTTAAGACTTTTAGCATCTTCATGACCAGGTCAGGAATCCAGCCCTTCCCTAATCCCTGATTTCATGGCTTATCCTTAAACCATTATGACAATTAGTGTCAACTGAGTCAGTCCTAAAATATTTGGCTGTGTTGCAGTGCCAATAAGATTATAATGACTGATGCCTTTAGAATTCACCTTGGCCTTGACTGTATGTGGCCAATAAAATCATTTATTCCAAGACCAAATAGCTATTTCAGCATGGGGCAGAGTGTGTTTTATTACTGATTTCTGATTGGGTTACATCTAGAAAAATGTTCTAGACTTTTGTATTTCAAAATATATACCTATAAATTTTAAAATTTCTGAAGCATGCCTGATTTAGAGAAATATAGGAGAAATACCTCTCCCAATAACAAAATGGATTGAGATCTATGGTACTTCCATACAAAGGAATATTACTCAGCAATAAAAAGAAACAAACTACTGATAGATGCAACAACATGGGTGAGTCTTGAATGCATATACTAAGAAAAAGGGTCAGATTCAAAAGGTTCCATACTGTAGGATTCATTCATATGGTGTTCTGGAAAAGACATAACTGTAGGAACAGAAAACAGATGAGCGACTAACAGGGATGGGGGGGTGAGAGTAGAGATAATTCACCACAAAGAGATATGAGGAAATTCTTTGAGATGATGGAACTGTAATGTTCCATGAGATTTGAGGCAGAAAATCTCCCCATTAATGGGTTGTGTGTTGAAAGGAAAGGAGAGGGAAGAAACAGAATAACTTTTGGATTCCTGGCTTGAACAATGTGAAGTGTTTTGACATTTAATTACATGGAAAACACCAGTGCAGTATCAATTTCTGGAGCTCAACAAGGATGAACTACTACTTTGATTATGGTACAGTAGTCCTTATGTATTTGAGGTTTTGCTTTGCTAAGTTTTAGTTCCATGAGGTCAATATTAAATGGAAAATTTCAGAAATAAACAATTCATAAGTTTTAAATTGTATGCCCTTTTGATCGCATGATAAAAGCTCTTCCAGTCCCACACCATCCTCACTTTGTCCCACCCAAGATGTGAATCATCCCTTTGTCCAGCATATCCAGGCTGCACACACCACCCACCTGTTGGGTCACTTAATAGCCATCTTGGTTATTAAATCAACTGTTAGGGTATTGCAGGGCTTGTGCTCAAATAACCCTTATTTTACTTGATAATGGTCCCAAAGCCCAAGAGCAGTGATGCTGGTATATTGTTATAGTTGTTCCATTTTTCAGTAATGATTGTGTTAATCTCTTACTGTGCCTAATTTATAAACTAAACTTTATCACAGGAATGTATGTATAGGAAGAAGCATAGTATATATACAGGGTTTGGTCCTAGCCATGTTTTTGGGCATTCGCTGGGGATCTTGGAACATATCCCTGGAGGATAAGAGGGGACCATGGTATTGGTGACACAACTGTATGCCTGTTATTATTAGTTTTATGTGTCAACTTGACTAGGCTATAATCTCCAGTCATGCTGTCAAACGCTAATCTAAGCATTGTTGGGGAGGTGTTTTGTGGATGTGGTTAACCCCCACGATCTGTTGACTTTAAGTAAATTAGATTATCCTTGATAATGTGGGTGGACCTCATCAATCAGTTGAAAGGACTTAGAGCAAAACTGAGATTTCCTACAGGAAGAAGAAATTCTGCTCCAGATCACAGCACCACAGCCTCAGCTGCTGCCTGAGAGATTCCAGCCTGCTCTATGAAGTTTGGACTTGCCAGTCCTCATGATCACATAAGCCAATTCCATGGAATACATATATATGTGTGTATATATATATACACACACACACACACACACATATATATATATGCACACACACACACATATACCCTGCTGGTTCTATTTCTCTGGAGAACCCTAGCTAATCCAATGTGCTTATTAAAATACATAGAAATATACCATATGCCCCATAAAACGGCAAATTTTCCTAAATGGAACTTATACCACAATCAACTTGATTTTAAAAAAACTAATCAGGATTCTGTTTGGGGATGTAAACAGAAACAGCGTATGTGTGTTTATGCCTGAGCGTGCAGAGGAACATGTGTTTGAGACAGCGTACATGTGAATATATGCAGTGTGTGCCTTTGTAGGTATCTGTATTTCTGCAAGGGATATGAGAAAGGTGTTTGGGTTAAAAAAAAATCTTTAATCCTGAAAGTGGAGTGATAAAAACAAGGTATGTGTCTGTAGTCTGAGCTGATTAACAGGTTGTTCCACAGCTAAAGGAGGAGGCCTCCATGCAGCAGGACCTCAGTTGGTTTTTGTCAGTGTGCTGATGAGTGCACTGGGGTAGGAAAATTAAATTCAAATTAATCTATTTGTTGAAAACTTCCTACACACAAGATGCTGTGCCAAGTGGTTCAAGGTAAATAAAGGTGAATAAGATGTGGTTACTGCTCTCAATGTTCTCATAGTCTAGTAGAGGACATTTTAACAACTCCACAGATAATCATAATTCCTGACACAGGGTAAGAAACATCAGCCAGATAAAGAAAATTCTATGGAATGCAGAAGACAGGATATCACATTTAGATGGAAAGGTCAAAAAGCCTTCTCAAAGTTGTATTTAAGCTGGACATGAAGAAGGAATAAGATTTTGAGAAGCAGAAAAACAGATGAAGCAGAGACTATTTCAGGAAGAAAAAAAAATGCTTTAAGAAATTTTTTTTAAAAAGTGCAGATCCAGGAAAACATGGGCTGCAGGAACTGAGAGCTCCGGCAAGGCCAAAGAGACCTCAAGTCTCTTATAAATAAGTCCAATTTATTTATTTAATTCAACAAGCATTTGTTCAGGACTTCCAATGTGCCATTTGACTAGAATATAAAGTATTAATATATGTTAAAAAGTGAAAGATAAGACTAAGAAAGGGAAGGCTAAGGTAAAACAGACAGAATTTTAATTAGAAACAGCTTTAAAATGTTCTGTTTCCACTTAAGGAATGAATGAACCCAGACGTAAAATGGGTCACCCTGCCCCATAAGATCTGGTAAGATTTGCTCAAGCCATCATTCCACTCCCTGTTAAATGTCCAATGTCCTCCCCAAGAGGTTTGTGAATTCTTGGGGTAGGTGGTCTTTTTACTTCTCGCTTAGATTGTCTACTGCTCTTGAATTCTTGTTTTCACATTGTGCCCTGCAGCTATTGATTTGTGTGTCTTCCACACCTCTCTAGCCATCCCTTCTTATCTCAGGAACTAGGCTCCTGCCATTTTCCATTCATTCTTGCATCATCAATTTCTCCCGCCCTTCTGTATTATTCCAACAATACCATGGTATCTCCAAACTTAAAAACCCTTAATCTTATGTACTGCTCCAACTATTGCCTGAATTCTCTGCTACCATTTATGGAAAAACATTTTAAAATTGTCTGTTCTCAGTGTCTCCACTTCCTCCCATCCCATTCTTGCAATTTAAAAATAAATATATGGTTAAACATTTATCAAAATAATGGATACATATAGATTAAATACATTAAGTCACTGGCTTTGTCACTGGGGTGCTCCCAGATGTAAGTATCTGGGGTTCGTGTGGCTGCTCAGACTTGGAGGGAAGATGACTGTAACTCTAGGTCAGAGGCAAGGCAGTGGGATCAGGCTCGTCTGCCAGCCAGCGATCTGGAAATAGGCTAAGGAAGGCAGACTGAGGATCTCGTGCCGTATGTAGACTGGCACCAAACCCTCTACTTTGCCTAGTGTGCCTTATTTTAGCATCTCTCTAGATCTTTCCTTCTAACATGGATTGTGCTTGAGGAGGTTAGAGTTGTCATCTAGCTGTGTGGAAAGAGGAAAGGAACCTGAGTGAAAAGGTTCAGCTGTGCTGTGTACAGAACTGCAAACAAGCCTCACATCTCTGGGTGGAGGAATCTGGAGAATAAAAACAAGAAGCTGCTATCACTTTCAGGGGTGGAAAAGCAGAGGTGAAAGACCCCTGCTGCTGTTTGCAACTGTGAGCAGGAACCCAGGACTGCTGTCTGTGGAAGCTGCTGCTGGCGAAGTCCCCACCAAATACAGAAGAAAACGTGGCTTCTCCCTCCCCACTTTCTTCTTTTTCATTTTATTTTATTTTATTTCATTTCATTTTATTTTTTGAGACGGAATCTCCCTCTGTAGCCCAGGCTCGAGTGCAGTGGCGCGATCTCGGCTCACTGCAACCTCCATCTCCTGGGTTCAAGCCATTTTCCTGCCTCAGCCTCCCAAGTAGCTGGGACTACAGGCATGCACCACCACGCCCAGCTAATTTTTGTATTTTAGTAGGGGTTTCACCATGTTGGCCAGGCTGGTCTGGAACTCCTGACCTCATGATCCGCCCACCTCGACCTCCCAAAGTGCTGGGATTACAGGCATGAGCCACCACACCCTGCCTCTCCCTCCCCGCTTCCTTTTAATCTCCCAATTGCCTCCCACTGGCAAAATCTCCCCTTTTGCTCCTCCAGTATTCCACTAATTTTGTAATAAATGCCCTGAATTAAAGATCTTTTAAAAAAAATCTCAAAGTGATTGTATTTATCCAAAAGAATTAAAAGCAGTGACTGGAAGAGATATTTGCACACCCATGTTCATAGCTAAAAAGTGAAATCAACTCCAGTGTCCACTGAAGGATGACTGGATATGCAAAATACGGCATGCATATATAGTGGAATACTCTTCAGCTTTCAAAAGAAAAGACATTCTGACACATTCTCCAAAATGGATGAACCTCGAGGATATTATGCTAAGTGAAATAAGTCAATCACAAAAAGATAAAAGACAAATACTGTATGATTCCACTTATATGAGGTACTTGGAGTAGACAGAATCTTAGAGACAGAAAGTAGAATGGTGCTTGCCAGGTGATGGGGAGTGGGGGAAACAGGGAGTGTTGTGTAACGAGTATAAAGTTTCAGTTTCACAAGATGAAAAGGATGATGCAGATGGATGGTGGTGATGACTGTACAACCTATGAGTATATTTAACACCATTTAATAGTTTAAAATAGTGAAGGTGCTAAATTTTACATTATGTGTATCTTACTACAATTTTAAAAATGGAAAAAAAAATCCTGAGGTGGTTTTCATTTCTTGGTTGGATATTGACATACCCTCCCACTCCCAGCCCAGTTACTCTGCAACACCTACCATTTTGTTAGTCTTCATGGAACTTGCTGCTCTCTGAAATGACCTTGTTTACTTTTGTTTATTTACCATCTGTTCTCCCCCACTCAAGGGTAAGGATTAAGAGAGTAGGAATCTTATTTTCTTGTTCACCTCTGTATCACTAGCACCTAGAATAAAACTTGCTTCACAGCAGATTTTAATAAATATTAGTTGAAAGAATGCACACACACGAAAGGAGCCTTACACATTTTTCTTGATTTCCATAAAAAATAAGAAGGATCAACAGAATTCCTTTGTGCTGTACAGACTTTACTGATGAGTTGGGAAATAGAGGACCCCAAGTTTACATCTTGGGGTCAGTTTTTACTTTAAATCTCTCAAACACACCAATCTTCATCCTCCATTCTCTGGTCTTCTGATGCCCTCCACCCCACCTGTCGTCGGGGAATATCTATCCAAATTCATCCGGTGGAAGAACAGTTCCCTTTTCTCCAGCCCTGACTCCCAAACTCAGCTCAGGGCTTACCACTGTAACTCCAAACACTCATCAGTGTCCCCTACACAGACTGTCTCCTCTGGGTGTCCCCTTCCCACCTCTCTGCAATGGAAAGGTAGCAGCAGAGGGTTCAATTTTCTCACTGATATGAAATATGCTTCTTCTCTTAAAAGGCAAAATAACAACAATTTGTTCTGGTTTAAAACTACTTTTTTATATTATAAGTTTGCTTTTAAGTAGACACTAAATTACAAATGTGTCCTCAGATATGGAGGATAGTGACATGTAAGGACAACCCTACCTATTCTGTATCAAATAATACATTTTAAGGGAAATACAAGAAAATAGAAATATGTAGCTCAGCTCCCTGGCTCTTCTCTAAATGCATAGGCCCATTACAAAGTTAAATTAAAGGAAGGACAGCAGTGGGGGACCTGTGACACTTACTCCTTCCATCTTCTGCTTTCACGAACAAAACTCAACTCAAGTTATTTCTAAAGTCAGAAAAATTAAAACTCAAAGAAGTACCTGTGCATATATGTGTATTACACATCTTAATGGAAGACACACAATTCCAAACATTATTTGAATGTACATCCCTCAAGAAATTCACAGACTTGAGGAGCAATCTTCAGACAAGGTCGGAGACAGAAGTTCCTTTATCTCTGAGAACCAATCGCTGGGCCCGCCACTGCTAAAGGCCACTAAGAGAGAACGGAAGGGGACAGGGACTGAAGGCGGGCAGAGGAGAGAAAAATAGAAAAGAAAATAGGATTGTTTGAATACCACCAGCAATCGCCTCGGGCACATTTTCCTGCCTTAGCTGCGTGAGTCAGCCTGGCCGAACAATCTAAAAACTTCACAGGCCGGGCAGGCTGCAGGGTGCGGTGCCTACTTAGGTCCACCGTGGCCCACATGGACCTGCGACACTGCAGCCGCGCTTTCCCAGGGCCTGGGGCTGCGGGCGCCTCCCAGGCCGGTTCAAGCCACGCACCTCAGAGCGCACTGGAGAAAGTCACTACCTTATTTGCACACTAGTCATTACTGCATCCTCATCACCTCTTGGAATGAGAGTTGAAAATTTAAGCAGAGGATTTCTTTAATCAAATTCAAATGCTTTGCATAGCAAAGAAAACCGGGTCAAGGAGCTGCCGCTACAAACAAGTTCCAATTCTTAGCTAGAGCCAGGGGATAAATGTGAGCAAGTCTCCCCCTAGTGGACAGAGCGCGTCACCTTTCACTCGCAAAGACTGCCGCATCTGGGTCAGGCAGAAATTCAGGAAGAGCCAGGTGAGAAGGTGAGCTGGGAGGAGAGGAGGTAACCTTGTTATTGGAACCCACAGTCCCGCCTTGCCTTCTCAGATTTTCTTTTCAGTGGAAAAGCAAACTGCGTTGAAGTTTTTACACATCGTTTGAGAATGCTTACTCTTAAAATGTTTGTTCCTAATTCGTTGAATATGACTATATGTCTCACTATAATGGAGGGTAGCAGATCTAATGTCATTTTCTGGACTGGTTTTGAAAGGCCTAGGTCACCCCTGAGGGGGCACTCTATTTGGGGACAAGCTAAGGAGGACTGTGGCAAAGAAAGAGTGACTGGAGAAAGATGATCCTGTTTCCATGGACAAAATCAGTCCCAATGTCCTTGCCCCATGAGCAGTGACAGGTCAGCGACATCACCAGGCTGGCAGGATCCCAGGGGTAGGTTGTTCTTGCATCAGAGTCTTCCGGCCGACCCCACCCGCGTGGCAACCAACAGTCATGCTCTCTATCCTTTGCAAAGATAGACTGGACGAGCTGTCTCTGTCCAGACTAATCCTGACCAGTCTTTCCACAGTCTTCTCCAGCTATTTCTGGCCTTCAGTAGGGAAGCTTAGACTGAACTCCATAGAACAGACCTCAAAAGAGTTTCTAGGATCCTAAAATGTATGGAAAATATATATGTATGTGCACATGTTTAAGTGTATATATGAGTGTGTGTGCACGTGTGCATTTGTGCAAACTTTCTATATGCAAGCTTGCAGACTGTGAATTCATTCAATTTTCAAAGTATCTGTGGCCCAGGAAACATTATAAGTCACCCCACCAGTAAAACAAGCCATTGCAGTGATTGAAGTGCCTGGGCTGTGGAATTTGAGTGCCCAAATTCAAATCAGACTGAGATTCCTTGAGAAAGTAACCTAATAGCTGCAGCCCTTAGTTTCCTAATCTATAAAATGAGAATAATAATATAGTACATAATAATAACAATAGCACTTTATCCATTGAATTAATGGAAGGATTAAATGATATAATGCATGCAATGCACTTAGCGATTTACTTGACACATATTCATTGTTCAGTAAAGTTTGGCCTTCATTATTTATAATGAACCCCTTAAATTAGAAGCTGAGAAATGTTAGGGTCTTTAAAATTCCAGTGTGGGTAGCATACATTTTTCAATAATTTTGTGATTTTGGGATGAGATACAAGAATTATTTTTCTTTTGATAAAAACATATTCAATCTCTTTGGAACAATAAGTATGGCTCTATACAGGGTAATAAACTAGATGATAGAATTATAAATTTTAAAGCAAGTAGAAGCCTGAGTTATTACTAGTCATATCTCCTTCAATTCTGCTTTATAGGTGAGGTTATCCAGATACATCATGAAAATGACCTGCCCAGGCTATCCTGATGTTATGGCTACAGTTCAGGACCTTGATTTTTAATTATTAGCTGGCTTTACCACAGCTCTCAGAGGCCTTCCCCTATCTTCATGAGATTCTCAAAGGTCCATTAAAGAAAAAAATTGAGAATGGTTGTCCTGTGGGAAATAGACCATCATTCAGGTCTCTGCTCAAATCCCTGGCTTCCTGTTCCCTATGGCTCAAAGCGAGTTTTCTTCCTCTGAGAACTCTGTATATCACCATCTTATTACCATTTATCTCAGTCTGAAGATGCACATCATACTCCATTTTTCTCTTTGTTCCCTTAGATTTCAAACATCTTGAAAACAGGAAACATGACCTCGTATCTAATAGAATCTGACAAAATATTTCACAAAGAAAAAGATAAAAGGTATAATACAAAGGGATTAGAAAGCCGTTTATCTCATTGATGAACTCCAGCCTGAAAAACTCCAGAGGACCTAAGAAAAGTCCATTTCCCATTGCTGACTTCTTCTCCTCTCCTGGAAACAATATGAACTGGACAGACTGTGAGCAAAGCCAACAGCACAAATAAGGCTAGAGAAAAAGAAATAAAAAAAAATTGGACCCATTTTTATCTTGGGGCCAGGACTCTAAGATTTCAATGGGGCAAAAGATGAATGATTCATGCCTACAAATAGAATATATATGGCAGGAGCTTGTTCATAGGAGTATGACAAAAACTTTGTTTCTAGGCCTGGTTCCTGGACCCGGATCCCACATGAAAGAGCAAGACCAGGTGCCTGGCTTGGTTACACATCAGAGATTGGACAGGAACTAAAGGAGGGGGTGAAATCCCTAGCTCTGAAGGTTAGAGGACTTGAGGGCAGAGGTCAGGTTGGACATTATAGGGTCTTCTGTTTCTAGTCTCCCCAGTCTTGGCTTCTACTCCCATTTCCCTTGCTTCCTTCCTGCACCCCAAATTGGGTCATGATAGAAAAGAGATAGCCACACTTTCTGCTAATGCAAGAATTGTCTAGATGAAGCAAGAGTTCTCAGCCTGAGCTTAAATAGTTCTTTGATTCCCCCTGGAAGAATACACACAAAAAGTGAGCCCCAAGAACATTTGCATATTTGTCTGGGTGGAGGATTTATACATTTCATAGGATTCTCTAAGAGGTCTGTGACCCAAATGAGTTGAACGATGGCTGCTTTAGGGTCTCTCAAATCTTCACAGCTCCCCAAACTCTCCCACAGAAATTCTATTTCTTTTAGAGTTTTCGCTCAGAAGGAATATTTTTTGAATCTATTCCCTGACTTATGGTGGTTTTCACAAAGGAGACTTGCCTTGTGTCATAGACCAGGGACTGTAGACACCAGTGTGTTAGGGAGGATTCTCTAAAGTTGCTGTAAATTCTAAGCTACCGGCAGACAATGCAGGATGTCTGGAGAAACAGATTGCCTGAGATCCTAAAGGAGCCTAAATAATTCACTAACCCAAGAGAAACTCCTGAAGCACATAGCAAACTTATTGACCCCAGAGTGTTCCTTTGACATAACAGACACAGTAGCTTAAAGAAAGTATACGGTAATATGTTGACTGATAATCATTAAAAAATAACAGTAATTTATGTCTTTTTCAATCAGGTCTTTATCTTGACAGAGGGCTGAAAAAAACTTGCCTTAATTTATCTGTAAATTGTCCAGAAACCTGCTTTTATATAGCCGGAGAAAATGAGTGATGAGTCTGTCCCTTTGACCAAAGGAACTCACAACACAGAAGAAAAGAATATCGTCAAGATTCTGCTTTCAAAGACCGAGAATTTACAGTGTGTTGTTAGAGGTTATGGGGTTAGTTAAACACTAAAAGTTATTTGAGAGTAGCAAGCGATTGATTTTCCATGGGATTTAGCAATACTCTAGCCTATAGTAAATTGCAGATGTTGCTGGAGTACCCAGAGGCCCAACAGTGACAATAGTAGAGTACGGCCTAAACACTAGAGAGGCTTTACTTATTCAAATAAGAGTATTGGAAACATGGGCATTTTTGTCTTCTCTTGTGTTAGATGCCCAAATCAGCAATACTATATCTTCCTTCCATCCACCCAGTCTTCTGCACAAAATCCATTATCTTCTTGGACCATTGCATTTCAATGGAGAAGAAAAGTAAATGTCAATGAAAATGGAGACTGGGGAATTGAGAAACTGTATCTCAAAAGATGCTGTTGCAGACTGAGTGTAACACCTGTGGAAGACACTGCTGGTTGCCTGCCTAATATCCACTATCTCTTCTTTGCAATCAGACAACCATTTTGTTTTGAAATAGTTTTTTTTAATTGCATTTTCCAACTCTTCTCCAACTAAGAATGGTCATCTGATATTATTCAGGCCACTGAGATGCAAGCATAAATTGGAAAAACTTTCCCACAAGGTGCTGACTCAGCTAACATGTGCCTTTGGGGACCTTTGTACTTCCTCTTCTTTCATCCTGGAATGGAAACAAGGTGCCAAAGGTGGAGCAGTCACCTAGTGGCATGAGACATGTGTGAGAACAAAATTAAGATGCTGGTGATGGCTGGGCAGAAACATAGAAAGTGCTTGGGTCCTTAATAGCATCACGGAGCCATCATATCAGACCAGGACCCTCTGACTCTAGTCTTTTTATTATATAAGAAAAATTATATCCCATTAGTCACTGATTAATTAGGGTTCCTCTTACTTGCAGCCCAATGCAATCACAATGGATGTAAATGTCCTTATTCTCCTGATGCTTTGGGGCTCCATTAGCCTCTTGAAACACAGATGCACATCTAGGGAGAGGCAAAATATAGTAAAACTATGGTTTTCCTCTCTTGGTTATGAAATAGAATAAGACTAAGTTTCTAGCCCCAGGTGACAGGGATTCAAGAGAAAAGTTAATTTTCATTTTAGAAAAAAATGAATTTTTTTTGCACATTTGACTTTATAGCTTCTGAAATTCATACATGCTACAAAAACACAGTATAAGAAACAACTTATATGCAATACCATACAGTGACACTGTTTAAGTTCATCAGCTTTTACAATTAGAAACAGACTCTCACTGGCAGCATCTTCTTCCCTAGGTCCCAGTCTTTACTGTTTGGGATCAATCTTTACTCTCTCTGCTAAGATATTTCTCCTGTCTTCCGTTTTCTCCTTGTCCTAGAATCACAAATCCCTGTCATGTCAGCTGACCAAAAGTCCAAAATTCTTAATTTATTAGGGATGATAACTTATCCTCCTGCCTTTCATCCTCTCCCATCTCTTCTGTTTCATAGTGAAAGAATTATTGCTATGTTTTCCTGAATCACATGAATAGTCTCCTGTTTCTTCACTTTAGCTTTCCTTTAGAAACTTCTTAAATCTCTGATCAAATGTTTAGGATGGGATCAGTTCAAAGTGTATGGGCTTCCCTCCTCCCAACCATGACTGTAGGCTATAGGCCTAAGGCAGTGAAGACATGCAGGGGGGCACACTGGAATCTTTATTCTCTTCTATTCCAAAGTAAGCCCTGGGGAGGATAGGGGTTTTTGTCTTCTTTTAATAGAGATATTTACATAGATCCTGTCAGCAAAAGAGTCTCAAAGATCAAGGATGGAGAAGCACAGTTTAACTGGAAATAATAAGACAAAACCAGTGATTGGAGCTTCCCCTCTCACCAACTTTGTGTCAGAAACCAGAATTTTACCCCAAGTCCCTTCTCTCTAGCAGCTTTATGGGGCCTGTGGCTCTTGCCCCACCTCAATTTTTCACACCATCAGTGGCTCTTGGCTCAGGTATGGGCTGGCACCTCCCCTATATTAGTGACACTTCAATTTCTCCTGTCTTCATGGCCAGAGTTCCTCTCCCTGTTGAAGTGGCCAATTACCTGACAGCCATTGTCAGTGGGTCCAGCTGAGTCCCGGACTTTCTTCTCACTGGCCGCAGTCAATGTGTCTTGGGCCATGTCCTCAAGAAGTACTTGTTTTCCTTGATAAGGTATCAGGGCAGAACTGCAACAGGGACGCTATCTTTCACCCTGTCCTCATCTAAAACACACACACACACACACACACACACACTGCAATGTTGCAGCAAGGTGGGGTGTCCCGCTCCAGGCTGGTCACTGGATTGGGTTACCTCCCTTACCCACTCTTCCCAGGAAACATTTCCAAACCTCTGCCCTTACCATCTCCGCTGGAAGTCAGTGTAAGAAAATGGCTAAGAGTAGGGGCTTAGAAGCTCATAAAGTTACATTTAAGTCCCAACTTGCTGCTTTTTTCTAAGCTAAGAGACTGACAGTTACTTAACTTTTCTGAAACTCAGTTATTTCATCTTTAAAATGGGATTAATGATGATCCATGCTTTTTAAAGGTTAAATGAGGTCATATATGTTAAGTACTTAGTACTAAGGCTGGCATGTCATAAGTGTTGAGTAAATTGGTGCTTCCAATGATGGAGTTCTTCCTTTTCCATTTACTCAGAGGACAGGAATTCAGCAAATTCTTTCTTCATGTATTTCTAGCTAGTGGCCTCTCTGCTGTGTTTCCCCTATTTTATCTGCCAAGATAAAAGTAAAAAAAAAAAAAAAAAAAAAAGTTTGTGGTTCTCTGGTCCTGTCTCCCAGGTTCTCATCTCTCCCCAGCTGGGTGGATTCTGAAACTTCTGTCCCTCGCCTTGGAAATTCCTTTTCCTGTTCCTTTTCAACACTACTTGTAATGTTTAAACATAAAAAAATGAACCGTGGAATATAGAGGCTTGGTTTCCCCATCAGTTAGGCTGGTTATGTTGTTGGAGTGGCAGAGGGCTCTTACCATGGTTGTGGAGGAGTAGGTAAGGCAAATAGAGAAGCTACTGGCAGATACAGTAGCTGGTAGATACAGTAAGTCCCATAAAAAATACAAAGAAAAGATCTGGAACTCAGGTCAGAAAAGACAGCCATGTAAAAGTGTCACTTGAAAGGATTTAAACACTCAAGTAGGATTTAAACACACAGAAAATGGATGGAGAAGGCCATCTAGGGAGAAGGTGAATTGACAGCAAAATGCCAGAGGCTGGGAATTCTGGAGTTTACCTAGTTTGGCTGAATCAAAGGTTAAATTTCTGGGTTATGCAAGTAAAGATTAGCCTCAGATATTAATATCTGGCCAAGCCTTTTTTCTTTATGTGCGTTATTCACTACAATTGGAATCTAGAAGAAGTCTCTTCTAAGAAAATATAGGAAAGTTGAGAAGAGGCTGAAAAATCAGACTGGTGACCTAGGATCATAGAAACTGGCTGGATTTGCTTCATGGAGAATGTTATATCCTGGTAAATGGGAAGTTGCTATAATGTGTCCACATAATGCTGTTTTGATATACATATGTACTTACACACATGAGCCTATATATATATGTATGTCTATATGTGTGTGTTTATCTATTCAAACATGCATACCATATATATACACATACACACACATATCTATTCAAACACGCATACCTTACGTACATACCTTACATGCATGTAAAAGATATATATCATATACATATATATATATATACACATACATACAAACACATATACAGGCATTTAAGGTATCATGTTAGAATAGATATATGTATGTATATAGACATGTAGACACAGACATAAATATGTAACTGAATTACATATATGCCTATGTGTTTCTCTCTAGTTGGTGAGATTACGGGAAATTTTAACTTTTTCTTGAAGACTTCTGCACCAAATGTATTATTTTTATAATAGGAAAAATGGCTGCTAACTTTCTTCTTTCTCAACTTCCCTTGTTTTGCAAATATTCAATGAGGTGGTCTTGTGTGGACAAGAAGCCCAATAATAGAATAAATGGAGCATTATAAAACAAAAACAAAATGACATTTTATTATTTTAATGCTTAATTTGGCTATCTCAGGGAACTTGTGGAAATAGAAATAACATTAGCTAAATAATATTCTACCCACAGCAGAAAGATTTAATTAAGGAAATTGCTCCAGGTTGCATTTTCAGAACAGACCTATGAGATCTTTAAAACCTGATTTAACAATCCCCCTGAGCCAAAGGAGCAAATTGAGACTAAAGATGGTAAGCTTTGTGGGTGCTCTTCTCCCTTCAGCCCCATTCCTTCTCCACTTCGATCATCTCTGACTCCTTGATAACAGAGATGAGCTGAGTGAGTTTTCACCCCAGTTGCCTAACATTCTTAACTTTCTCTGACTCAGCACATCTGAAGAATGCTACAACTGGAGCTCTATAACTTCACTCACATTATCAGAACAGTTTTGCACAGAATATTGTTCATTGCACATGTTGAAACAGAGAATCAGTGAGTTAAAGAGATGAGGCCGGGAAGATAGAAAGGAGTTACCATACATGGCCTTGAAGGTCTTTGTAAAGAGTTTTGCATTATTCTAAGTGGAGCCACTAGAAGAAGCCACTGGGGATCTTCAGCAAGGCAGTGACATGATCTGGTCAAAAAGGTCACTCTTGCTGTTTGTGGAAATTAACTGAAGTGACACAGAGTGGAAGCACAAACACACCAGTTTAGTGACAGTGGTCTAGGAAAGAGAAAATATATTACACACACACTCTCACACACATACCATGTATAAATAAATATATACATATAGATATATATTTACATAAATACACCGAAACAGTAAGTTGGTGCAATAGTAATTGTGTTTTCTGCCTTTGAAAGTAATGGCAAAAGCCACAATTACTTTTGCACCAACCTACTAGCTACACATAAATATCTTTCTGTTTACTTTAAATAAACGGCCACTACATTTTGCTTTTATGCAATTTTTTCTTGTAACAATTATTTTTCTCATCTACTTTTCTGAAAATCATTTTTGACAGGTATATAGTATTTCAATGAATGGACATGCCATAGTTTACTAAACTGATTTCTTATTCTTGGCCATTTCCTTTTTTGCTTTTATTGTTAAGGATAATAATTTCAAAAACGTCACTGTCAAAACATTGTTGAACATGTCTCTGATGATTTCCTTAGTGTTTCTATTAAACGTGGAACTGGATTTTCCATCTTTTTAGAGTTGTGACACAGATTGCCAAACTGCCCTCCACAATGTTTGTCTGAATTTATACCCATATCAGAAGTGAATAACAATTTTTTACATATTCTCCTCTTATAATTTACATTAGCCAAGTTGATAGACACAAATGTTGTAGTTATTTTAGTTAGTAATTCTTTGATTATTAGTGAGGCTAAATTAGATATAGTGCCCATTTAGTTTATTTCTCTGTGTATTGTCTTTAATGAAAAGCAGAGTTAAGAATCATAGGGTTCCTTAAATTATGAATTTAGGAATATATACGATATAGAAAAACTTCCCCCCATCAGTACATTCTCTGTTATTGCAATTATTTCTTAGATCAGTGTGCAATCTCACTTGGTGCATGCTATCTAATAAATACATTGAGCAACTCTTCAAGCAGTATCAATAAAAGAACATGCTCTAAAAGTGGGTTCAAGTTACTATCTGGTATGTGAAGCATGGTGCTTAACAAATGATTCTGGAACACTCTTGAGAATCCCATGCTGATCTTATGTAAAATTAATTGAACAATCAGAGTTTGTGGTCCTCTGATGAAAGAAGGAGCCCCAAATTGGCAGGCAAACTGTGTGAGTGAGAAAGTAGTGTCTCCAAGAGATTATAGAAAGAGCTCTGAAAGCACATCCTTCACCATGGTACCAAGAATTGGATGAATTCAGCCATGGAATCATGCAGTGTGAATCCTCATTGAAATATAGTGGTGGCTAGCTACTGGTAGAGAGAACGGTGTCACGCTCACTTTTTATTGGCAGAAAATTTAAAACCTAAGAATTTTAAGGGGCTTATCAGTTGGTGAATGTGAAAGCTGAGAGGCTGATAGTAAGATAAGAGGACGAATTTGTGGTTTTCATTTTGAAAGTTCAGTCTTGAGGTTTTATTGACTCAGGAGCAAATAAACCATGCAATGAAGTTCCAACTTGGAGTCTTAATAGTTTTTTACTTTAAACTAGTGTATTAGTTTTTTCTCCCACTGCTATAAGGACATAGCCAAGAATGGGTAATTTATAAAGGAAAGAGAATTAATTGACTCACAGTTCCACAGGGCTGGGGAAACCTCAGAAAACTTACAATCAGGGCAGAAGGGGAAGCAAATACTCCCTTCTTCACATGGTGGCAGGAAGGAGAAGAATCAGTGCTCAGCAAAGGGGGAAGCCCCCTATAAAACCAACAGATCCTGTGAGAACTCACTCACTATCAGGAGAACAGGATGGCAGAATCACCCCCGTGATTCAATTATCTCCACCTGGTCCCTCCTATGACACATGGGGATTATGGGGACTACAATTCAAGATAAGGTTTGGGTGGGGACACAGCCAAGCCATAACAACCAGCACAGCCTAAAGTGAGGTAAGGGAGGTATTGGTATGGTCTATGAGTTTCTTTTAATGAATATGAAAAAGGTGAAAATCCATTCTCTCATATATTTTCCTTATTGAATTCTGTGAGTTTGTTGGAAACTAAACACTGATATTTCATAACTTTTATTTCTTTAAACGCTAGTGAATCTTGGGTTTTGGGTCCCTACTTTAGTCCTGGGTTAAGAGGTGAGGTCAGATCTCAGCTGTTGACACTTTACAACAAATCACCGTACTCTCCAAGGACATCATTTAAGCACTATTACATGTCAAGCCACATCATGGGAAAATGCATTGTACTGAAATTTTGATCTATTCTGTCCCAAGGGGAATGTAATAAAGTCCCAGAAGGATGGCGCCTTTAGCCAAAAGGAGAGAAAGGGAATAATATTCATTAAGCAGCTTCTATGTACCAGATCCTCTATTTGTGCTGCAAATGTTTTATTGCAGTTAATTTTCATAGCAATTTTCTGAGATAGACACAGATATCTCCATTTTTCCTGACAAAAGAATTGGGGCCCAGAGAAATTAAATAGCAGGTGCAAGGCCCCAGTGTTAAAAGTAAATTTATGTCTGTGTGACTTGAAATCCTATGAACTTTCTACTGCCCACCAACATTGTGGATTGCAGGATCTGGGGAAACACTCCCCTTTCACTCAGGGAGGAAGAGAGAGGGGGCAGGAAAGAGTAATTCATGAAATCCCAAGCCTCATACCTCAAACCTGGAAGGAGTTCAACAGGCTATTTAGCCCAACTCCTCCCTGTACAGTAGACAATATAGAGGCCCAGAAACTTAGGCTGAGTTCCCTGGAGGAAGAGTCTGAGATGGGGGTTAGTTTAAAGGAATGAGGAAACAGGATAGAACAGGAGAAGAACCTAACCATACATGTGGACTCCCTGGCTCATCTCTAGCTCCCAAAAATGTGAGTGAGGCCATTTTGGATGCTCTAGCCCCAGTTGAGCCTCCTCAGCTGACACCATGAAAAGCAGAGATGAGCTGTCCCCACTGAGCCCTGCCTGTATTCCTCACTTAAAGAATCATAAATAATGACATGGTTTTTGTCTCCAACCACTAATGATATAGACAGGAGATAGGGAAATAGTGGGTAGAAGCGGGCGGTTCCCTGGCAAAGGCCCCACCCTCAAGCCTAGATACCTGTGGCCCTCAATAAGAGCAGGCATTCCAGTCTTCACGCCCAAAAAGTTGCCTTTTGGCCTGCCACACCCCCTATCCTGTGCCCATATAAACCTCAAACCCCAGACTCCAGAGCAGACCAGCAGGTAGGAGAGGAGGATACAAGCAGGCAGACGGCAGAAGGCCGCTGCAGAGAGAGAAGAGGAGGAACATCTGAACGCAGAGAGGATTTTGGCTGGGGGCGATAGGGGACGGCTCCAGGCGAAGATCATTTTCCCACTCCATCCCCCACTTCTGGCTCCCCACCTATCACGCTGAGAGCCACCTCCATCACTCAGTAAAACTCCCGCATTCGGCTGGGCGCGGTGGCTTACGCCTGTAATCCCAGCATTTTGGGAGGTCGAGATGGGCGGATCACGAGGTCAAGAGATCGAGACCAGCCTGGTGAAACCTCATCTCTACTAAAAATACAAAAATCAGATGGGAGTGGTGGCGCGTGCCTATAATCCTAGCTACTTGGGAGGCTGAGGCAGAAGAATCGCTTGAACCCGGGAGGCGGAGGTTGTAGTGAGCCGAGATGGCGCCACTGCACTCCAGCCTGAGCAACAGAGAGAAACTCTATTAAAAAAAAAAAACAAAAAAACGCTTCCGCATTCATCCTTCCAATCCGTGTGTGACCCAATTTTTCTGGGACGCTGGACAAGAGCTCAGGATACAGAAAGCTGTCACATTGGCCCTCTGCCTTACAGAAAGGCAAAGGGTCCATTGAGCTGGTTAATACTCAAGCACTCCACAAAGGGCAAGGCAAAAAGGGCACACTGTAACACATGCCCACTTTGGCTCCTTCACTTGTCCGTCTGCATGCTTCCCCTCCAGCAAGCGGCTTCAGCAGCGGGGTGATTGAATAGGTGAGCCAACCCCCTTCCACCCCGCCCCCCTCCGCAGTGCACATCCTGCGAGGGGGATCAGGGAACGCTCCCGTTTCACCAAGTTTGGGATTGCTTTTTTGTAGTAATTGATAACTAAAGCATCTCCAAAGCCTTTATCTGATGAAAGAAGGAGAATTCCCTAAAGCAAAATCTGATTACAGTTTCTAGTGAAAGTGTATGTATCCTGGGTGAGAAAAAAAAAATGTTAGAGTCACTGGGAGATAAGACCTTGGACTTGGTGCTTGGTGCTTGGTGCTTAAGCTCTACAGAATTGACTTTCCTGGGAATACGTATCATTACCTTCCTATTATCGCAGCCCTCTTTCCTGAAACTCAGCTTCTAGAGAGAGAGCACTGGATAGGCCTAGCCTGGGTTAGAGGCTTGTCCGTTATCCAGGGATTGAGTATCCTCCAATCGGATACTCGGTTGCAGGAAGTTGCACCTGAAGCTCTGTGACAAAGGAGCTACGTTCATCCCAGTGGAAGGGTCCTGAAGAAAGGAGCTGTCGCCCATTGCTCCTCTAAGCCTCAGACCTTCCGGGGTCATCTCTTCTGAAGCCTGATTGTGTGACTTATTTTTAGATTCCAATACTGTCTTTCAATAAATTCCTTTGCTACTTGAAATCTAAGAACCTTACCTAATACATAAATCTTGACAGAAAGTAGCCTTGTAATATAGTTCTAATTTAGCACATAAGGAAATTGTGTTCTCAAGAACTTTAATTGTTTAAGATATATAGCCAGAATCAAAGTCCAGGCATTCTGAGTTTCACCAATGCCTTTCCTCTAATCCCAAAGAGAAGCAGGTATTGGAATAAATTTTTTCATTTTTCATATGGGAATAATGAAGTAAACACCACAGGCGGGGTGTTTAATGTCTTCAGGTATAACCCAAAGCCCAGTTCTAAAGGAGTGCAAACCTCAGTACTGATGCTTTTTAATATTCAGCCTTATCTCAGGAGATGCCTAATTAATGAAAAAATCTAAATTATTTATTAAGTCGTCACCTTATGTTTTGAATCAATAGTAAAGAAGTGCATTTGCTCCCTTTACCAATTCACTTAGAAGAATTAATAAGAATCTAGATTTTAGTAAAAGAGTTCATTGGGAAAGTTATAAGTTATTCTCCCTACCTAGCAGGTTTAAGCACTGAGTCAAAGGCCTCGAGGTACATTTGTGAGATACTCTTAAAACCCACACAATAAAGTGATTTACATTTTTAAGAAACATTAAATACTGTGAATCGATTATTTATGAGTGTACTTAAATTAATTTCTGCTTTCTTTCTCTCTCTAATGATTTCCCTCAATTTTCTCTGTTGAAAGTAGTGTTTCTCTTTATTTCTCATTATTTTATCTGTCATGTACACATGCTTTCCAAACTTCAGACATATTCCCTATTTTACACAACATATTCTGGTGTTTACTCTAGCCACACTCCTTATATTTTTATAGGCACTGGTTCTACTAGTTTTGCATTTCTGAACTTTTATAGCACTTTCATTCTGGCAATTAAATATGGTTTCTTACACTGTTATTTCCACCTGTGCTTTCAGCTTCAAGATTATATTTTCACTGATAGCAGTAAATCTTTTTTTCTTCTTTTTCTGCCTTACAGTTCACAACATATGAATAAAACAAGGAAATTTTTTCATTTATCGTTTCTTCAACAATATTTATAAAGAGCTTTCTATACATGAGGAATAGTGCTTGGGCCAGGTCACCAAAATGAGCCATTTGTGGCTCAGATGAATGAATGACTATACGTCTCAGCCCTGTCTATTCAAATGTCCTATCCCTAAAAAGAAGAATTAAACCAGTTAAGGTCTTATGAGTCTGAGGCACATCCAAATGACACACTCTAAGATAAAAATTCACAGAACTTAGACAAAAAAAAAAAAAAAAAACAAACAAACAAGAAAATGCTCAGTGTATCCCTGGGCATCAGAGAGGACACAGATCTGCACCGGGAATCTGAAGACCTGAGCTTTGGCTCCAGTTCTGCTAAGACCCGTTTTGTTACAATGACAATCCACTCAGCTACTCTAAGCTTTGGTGTCTGAAAAGCCAGGATGATGGAGAAGACATTCTCTAAGTTTCCTTCCAGTTCTAAAATTCTATGAACAAACAGCAAGGTAAAATTCCTCCAATTTCTAGCCAGAAATAACAGAATGAAATTAGAAAAGTTAAAATTAAGGGTACTTGATATAATTCCCCTCAGTAAAAACTTAATGGAATATGGAATTGTTCTCAAAGTGGTGAGTTTAAAGCTTCCCTGGTTCAAGACATTTAAAATAAATCCTGCTAAGTTACATGGCGTATATTCTCAGCACTTCAACAAAGCTTTTGAAAACACGTGAGAAAGTAAAGGAAGGAAACAGATAAATGAACATTTTTCTTTCTAGAATATCATTGTATAAATGAATTTCATCAGTCCCCAGAAATATACAATTCTTTGCTTCTTAAACAGAAGCCAAAGAAATGAAATAATGGTAGAATAGACTTGCAAAGCACTCAGAGTGAGAAATTTAGAAATTAACTTTTTTTTTCTCCTGCAAAAGCTGTGAGGCCTGCAGCTTCACAACATCAAATGCATTTGCTGTTGTGTACAACATATGAGAAAGTTAAGGAGGCACAGGAGTGAACAATATATCAACATAACAATAAGCCTGAGTGACAAAGTAGTTGAATAGGAGGAAAATATTTTTGGAGCAAAGTGGTAACGGTTGCAATAAGGCATGAGATAAATTATGTGAGATCCATTTAGATGAAGAGACCGAAGTGGAAAAAAAGCAGCAGCAGCAGGAGTTGAACATGAGCTTACACTGTGTTAAAATCCAAGGACTGGGGAAAACTCCCTGGGCAGCAGAGGAAAAGTGCCCAGGAACCAAACCAAATGCAGGAGAGCAGAGCCTGTTTGAAGGCACATAGAGGATTTGGATCATCGAGGCAACACACAGAGAGAATTAATGAGTCAGAGCAGAGTTGGAACATAAGATTTCCATAATGTTATTTTACTCTCTTTTCAAAATTCAGTATTCTTCCTTGGAAATTTGTACCATGCCCCCTAAATGAGCTTCCATATAGCTTCACAGGAGAAACATGAACTGGTTCCAAAGAAGCAGAAGGCATGAAAATTAAAAGTAGATGTCCAAAAATGTGGCCTCAAGTGTAGACAGCTGTGAAATAAAGCAGAAGTCCGAAAGCCTCCAACTATAAGAAAATATATTCTCAAATGTACAAAACTCTATTAACATATAAGTGAGACAATGGTAACGTTACACCCTAATGGAATCGAATTCAAGTTTACACAAACATCAAGGTGGTTAGGCTTTTTAAGTCAAGTCAGAAAATTCAAACAGATAACTCCCCTGGTAACAATATCTCAGACACCTTATCCATGCATTGTATTTCATATCTGCTATATTAACTTTTAGGAATTTCTATTTGTAAAATGGCCAGCACAGAATTGGGATAAGACTTCACTAAACCTTAACTGAAATATATGAAGCACATTGGAATTGGTGGATGAATTGAAAGAAATGTTCAAAAAGAATCTTACAGAAAGATAGAACTTTCTCCCTGAGGTCTGCATGGATGAGGCTGTTTTAAAGTAGCATGCATTGAAACTGTCAGGCCTCAGAGCCCAGGCCAGGCCATTGCATCCCCTGTGACTTGCACGTATACATCCAGATGGCCTAAAGTAACTGAAGATCCACAAAAGAAGTAAAAACAGCCTTAACTGATGACATTCCACCATTGTGATTTGTTCCTGCCCCACCCTAACTGATCAATGTACTTTGTAATCTCCCCCACCCTTAAGAAGGTTCTTTGTAATTCTCCCCACCCTTGAGAATGTACTTTGTGAGATCCACCCCTGCCCACCAGAGAACAACCCCCTTTGACTGTAATTTTCCATTACCTTCCCAAATCCTATAAAATGGCCCCACCCCTATCTCCCTTCCCTGACTCTCTTTTTGGACTCAGCCCGCCTGCACCCAGGTGAAATAAACAGCCATGTTGCTCACACAAAGCCTGTTTGGTGGTCTCTTCACAGGGACGCACATGAAATTTGGTGCCGTGACTCAGATCGGGGGACCTCCCTTGGGAGATCAATCCCCTGTCCTTCTGCTCTTTGCTCTGTGAGAAAGATCCACCTACGACCTCAGGTCCTCAGACAGACCAGCCCAAGAAACATCTCACCAATTTCAAATCCAGTAAGCAGCCTCTTTTTACTCTCTTTTCCAACCTCCCTCAGTATCCCTCAACCTCTTTCTCCTTTCAATCTTGGCGCCACACTTCAATCTCTCCCTTCTCTTAATTTCAATTCCTTTCATTTTCTGGTAGAGACAAAGGAGACACGTTTTATCCGTGGACCCAAAATTCCGGCGCCGGTCACGGACTGGGAAGGCAGCCTTCCCTTGGTGTTTAATCATTGCAGGGACACCTCTCTGGTTATTCACCCACGTTTCAGTGGTGTCAGACCACGCAGGGACGCCTGCCTTGGTCCTTCACCCTTAGCGGCAAGTCCCGCTTTTCTGGGGGAGGGGCAAGTTCCTCAACCCCTACTCTCCTCTCTCCGTGTCTCTACCCCTTCTCTGCTTTTCTGGGGAAGGGGCAAGTACCCCTCAACCCCTTCTCCTTCACCCTTAGTGGCAAGTCCCGCTTTTCTAGGGGGCAAGAACCCCCAATCCCTTATTTCCACACCCCAACCTCTTATCTCTGTGCCCCAATCCCTTATTTCTGTGCCCTGACCCCCCTTCCCGCTTTTCTGGAGGGTAAGAACCCCCGAACACCTTCCCTCCATGTCTCTACTCTCTCTTTTCTCTGGGTTTGCCTCCTTCACTATGGGCAAACTTCCACCCTCCATTCCTCCTTCTCCCTTAGCCTGTCTTCTCAAGAACTTAAAACCTCTTCAACTCACACCTGACTTAAAACCTAAACGCCTTATTTTCTTCTGCAATGCCGCTTGACCCCAATACAAACTTGACAGTAGTTCCAAATAGCCGGAAAATGGCCCTTTGAATTTTTCCATCCTGCAAGATCTAAATAATTCTTGTCGTAAAATAGGCAAATGGTCTGAAGTGCCTGACGTCCAGGCATTCTTTTACACATCAGTCCCTTCCTAGTCTCTGTGCCCAATGCAACTCGTCCCAAATCTTCCCTCTTTCCCTCCCGCCTGTCCCCTTGGCCCCAACCCCAAGCGTTGCTGAGTCTTTCTAATCTTCCTTTTCTACAGACCCATCTGAACTCTCCCCTCCTCGCCAGGCCAAGCTAGGTCCCAATTCTTCCTCAGCCTCCACTCCTCCACCCTATAATCCTTTTATCACCTCCCCTCCTCACACCCGGTCTGGCTTACAGTTTCGTTCCGTGACTAGCCCTCCCCCACCTGCCCAGCAATTTATTCTTAAAAAGGTGGTTGGAGCTAAAGGCATAGTCAAGGTTAATGCTCCTTTTTCTTTATCCCAAATCAGAAGCATTTAGGCTCTTTTTCATCAAATATAAAAACCCAGCCCAGTTCATGGCTCATTCGGCAGCAACCCTGAGACGCTTTACAGCCCTAGACCCTAAAAGGTCAAAAGGCCATCTTATTCTCAATATACATTTTATTACCCAATCTGCTCCTGACATTAAATAAAACTCCAAAAATTGGAATCTGGCCCTCAAACCCCACAACAGGACTTAATTAACCTCACCTTCAAGGTGTACAATAATAAAAAAAAGTTGCAATTCCTTGCCTCCACTGTGAGACAAACCCCAGCCACATCTCCAGCACACAAGAACTTCCAAACGCCTGAACCACAGCAGCCAGGCGTTCCTCCAGAACCTCCTCCCCCAGGAACTTGCTACAAGTGCCAGAAATCTGACCACCAGGCCAAGGAATGCCTGAAGCCCAGGATTCCTCCTAAGCCGTGTCCCATCTGTGCAGGACCCCAATGGAAATCGGACTGTTCAACTCACCTGGCAGCCACTCCCAGAACCCCTGGAACTCTGGCCCAAGGCTCTCTGACTGACTCCTTCTCGGCTTAGCGGCTGAAGACTGACGCTGCCCAATCACCTCGAAAGCCCCTTTAACTCCTTTTAATTATCCCCACCTGCCCAATTCCCTTATTAGGCCGAGACACTTTAAATTATCTGCTTCCCTGACTATTCCTGGATTATAGCTACATCTCATTGCTGCCTTTCTTCCCAATCCAAAGCCTCCTTTGCGTCCTCCTCTTGTATTCCCCCACCTTAACCCACAAGTATAAGATACCTCTACTCCTTCCTTGGTGACCGATCATGCACCCCTTACCATCTCATTAAAACCTAATCACCCTTACCCCGCTCAATGCCAATATCCCATCCCACAGCATGCTTTGAAAGGATTAAAGACTGTTATTACTCGTCTGCTACAGCATGGCCTTTTAAAGCCTATAAACTCTCCTTACAATTCCCCCATTTTACCTCTCCTAAAAACCAGACAAGGCTTACAAGTTAGTTCAGAATCTGCACCTTATCAACTAAATTGTTTTGCCTATCCACCCCCAGGTGCCAAACCCATATACTCTCCTATCCTCAGTACCTCCCTCTATTACCCATTATTCTGTTCTGGATCTCAAACATGCTTTCTTTACTATTCCTTTGCACCCTTCATCCCAGCCTCTCTTTGCCTCACTTAGACTGACCCTGACACCCATTAGGCTCAGCAAATTACCTGGGCTGTACTGCCTCAAGGCTTCTCAGACAGCCCCCATTACTTCAGTCAAGCCCAAATTTCATCCTCATCTGTTACCTATCTCGGCATAATTCTCATAAAAACACACGTGCTCTCCCTGCTGATCGTGTCCGATTAATCTCCCAAATCTCAATCCCTTACAAAAGAACAACTCCTTTCCTTCCTAGGCATGGTTAGTGTGGTCAGAATTCTTATGCAAGAGCCAGGACCACACCGTGTAGCCTTTCTGTCCAAACAACTTGACCTTACTGTTTTAGCCTAGCCCTCATGTCTGCGTGCAGCGGCTGCCGATGCTTTAATACTGTTAGAGGCCCTAAAAATCACAAACTATGCTCAACTCACTCTCTACATTTCTCATAACTTCCAAAATCTATTTTCTTCCTCATACCTGACACATATACTTTCTGCTCCCCGGCTCCTTCAGCTGTACTCACTCTTTAAGTCCCACAATTACCACTGTTCCTGGCCCAGACTTCAATCTGGCTTCCCACTTTATTCCTGATACCACACCTGACCCCCATGACTGTAGCTCTCTGATCCACCTGATATTCACCCCATTTCCCCATATTTCCTTCTTTCCTGTTCCTCACCCTGATCACGCTTGATGGCAGTTCCATCAGGCCTAATCGCCACACACCAGCAAAGGCAGGCTATGCTATAGTACAAGCCACTATCCCGCCTCTCAGAACCTCTCATTTCCTTTCCATCGTGGAAATCTATCCTCAAGGAAATAACTTCTCAGTGTTCCATCTGCTATTCTACTACTCCTCAGGGATTATTCAGGCCCCCTCCCTTCCCTACACATCAAGCTCGAGGATTTGCCCCCACCCAGGACTGGCAAATTAGCTTTACTCAACATGTCCCGAGTCAGGAAACTAAAATACCTCTTAGTCTAAATAGACACTCTCACTGAATAAGTAAAGGCCTTTCCTACAGGCTCTGAGAAGGCCACCACAGTCATTTCTTCCCTTCTGTCAGACATAATTCCTCAGTTTAGCCTTCCCACCTCTATACAGTCTGATAACAGACCAGCCTTTATTAGTCAAATCAGCCAAGCAGTTTTTCAGGCTCTTAGTATTCAGTGAAACCTTTATATCCCTTACGGTCCTCAGTCTTCAGGAAAAGTAGAACAGACTAAAGGTCTTTTAAAAACACACCTCACCAAGCTCAGCCACCAACTTAAAAAGGACTGGACAATACTTTTACCACTTTCGCTTCTCAGAATTCAGGCCTGTCCTCAGAATGCTACAAGGTACAGCCCATTTAAGCTCCTGTATAGACGCTCCTTTTTATTAGGCCCCAGTCTCATTCGACACCAGACCAACTTAGACTGTGCCCCAAAAAAACTTGTCATCCCTACTATCTTTCATCTAGTCATACTCCTATTCACCATTCTCAACTACTCATACATGCCCTGCTCTTGTTTACACTGCCGGTTTACACTGTTTCTCCAAGCCATCACAGCTGATATCTCCTGGTGCTATCCCCAAACTGCCACTCTAAACTCTTGAAGTAAATAAATAATCTTTGCTGGCAGGACTATGCTGAATCTCCTTAGGCACTCTCTAATCAGATGTCCTAGGTCCTCCCAATTCTTAGACCTTTTATACCTGTTTTTCTCCTTCTCTTATTCCATTTAGTTTCTCAATTCATCCAAAACCGTATCCAGGCCATCACCAATCATTCTATACGACAAATGTTTCTTCTTACATCCCCACAATATCACCCCTTACCACAAGACCACCCTTCAGCTTAACCTCTCCCACTCTAGCTTCCCACATCGCCCCAATCCCACTTGAAGCAGCCCTGAGAAACATCGCCCATTCTCCATACCACCCCCCAAAAATTTTCGCTGCCCCAATACTTCAACACTATTTTGTTTTATTTGTCTTATTAATATAAGAAAGCAGGAATGTCAGGCCTCTGAGCCCAGGCCAGGCCATCGCATCCCCTGTGACTTGCACGTATACATCCAGATGGCCTAAAGTAACTGAAGATCCACAAAAGAGGTAAAAACAGCCTTAACTGATGACATTCCACCATTGTGATTTGTTCCTGCCCCACCCTAACTGATCAATGTACTTTGTAATTTCCCCCACCCATAAGAAGGTTCTTTGTAATTCTCTCCACCCTTGAGAATGTACTTTGTGAGATCCACCCCTGCCCACCAGAGAACAACGCCCTTTGACTGTAATTTTCCATTACCTTCCCAAATCCTATAAAATGGCCCCGCCCCATCTCCCTTCGCTGACTCTCTTTTCGGACTCAGCCCGCCTGCACCCAGGTGAAATAAACAGCCATGTTGCTCACACAAAGCCTGTTTGGTGGTCTCTTCACACGGACGCGCATGAAAGAAACCAAACCATTCTTGAACATGAGCAAAGATAGATGAAGTGATGCCATGGATGGATGCCTGCCCAAAGCACCTACCTTGCCTTACAAACTCAGTAGGTGTGGGAGAAGACACATGGGACACAAGGCTTTTTAGTAGGATTAACACATAGGACAATAAGAGTAAGCAAAGATATACTGGAAGTATACTGAAATACCTTATATTTGTGCTAGGTTTTTTTATGTCATGAAGTTCTTTTATGGAAGCTATAACTGACATTTTCCATATGAGTAAATTGGGGTTTAGAGAGATTTCTAATTTAACCAACAGTGCACAGGCTGGAAAAGAGATCTGTACCCAGGACTTGACACCAAGTTGAATGCTCTTTCCATTCTGTTGCCTTCTTTCTTAATCCAACGGAGTCTGCCGTAGAGGAGAACTGGGACATTATTCAAGGGATTTGCACTAACACAGCCAAAGATACTTGCTGTGGAGTTTATGCAATCGTAAGTCAGGAAGTCTCAATCCGTACATCCAGAAATGTACTGAGGCAGGCAGGGCACGAGAAAGAATCATCTATGTGTTCTACCCTGAGGACAGCATGTGGGTAGGAAAGGGAAAGGAAGGAATTACACATTTATTGAGCACCAACATGTACCAGACACTGAGCTAGGTATTCACATGTTATTGATTTTATTCCCACCCTAAGTAGTAGGTCTTATAGATCTTATTTTATAGTGGAGGGAACTGAAGATCAGAGAAGTTGAGAAACATTCCAAGAATTACCTAGCTAGAGGGCAGTGGACCCAGGATTTAAAATGAGTGGGACTGACGTCTAAACCTCTGCTTTCCTTTATACCATATTGCCTCACAACGTGCATGCATATTTAAGCTTTACGGATTGCAAAATGCTTTCACATACTGAATTTCTCCTGACCTGAAGCACAGGGCTCACAGTTGGACCCCAGTCTTGGTAGAAGGAAAATCTGGCAGGGAAAGGAGAAGGTGCCGGTCCCTTCTAAAACCAGAATCAGAGTTTCCTTTGTTGAAGAGAGAAGCAAACTGTGTCATTTTACCAGGCTTCATCTTCTCTGTTATACTTCACGACATGCTCTGTATGTAAGTAGTACTTGTCAAGCACAGACTTCAGAGTTTATTACAAACAGTGGGCTGGGTCTTGCACTAAAGACAGAACATCTCTTATTAAAGCATGGTATATCATTTTCTCTTCAGACCATGAGGACTGAACCGAGCCCAATTACAAAACGGTATCCCTGAAAGCAAAATGCCAGTGAGTATACAGTTGGAGATTGCTTTCTTCTGGGCAGGGTCAGGGAAAATAATCATGACCCAGCATGGAAATGTTAATTTACTAAATACGCATGAATAGGCAAAGAGAGAACTTCTTGTCTTCTGGCTCCAAATCCCCCCTCCACCCCTTCCCCTTATCTCTTACCCACATGGTATATTGTGTTCATTAAGAAAACAAAACAGAGTAATGAGTCAGTGATCTTCATAGATTAGATAAACAAATAGACGTTTTCCTAAAGCATTGGGCTAACTTATACTAGCTGTTGTTGCAATCTCAAAATATCAATGGCCTAAAACAATCAAAAATTTATTTCTCACTCATATCAAATGTGGATCACATAAAGCTTTTTAGTTGGTGTTTTCCCCACATAGTGACTCAGGCATCCAGGTTTCTTCCACTTTGTGGCTCCTTCTTTTGGATTCTAATTTGCCCTGAATTTTATCCCTTGGGCTTTGTGGGAAGAAGGTGGGAGGTTCATTGTGGGGAGACACACTAGTACACTAGTACGTAACTACCTTAGCCCAGCAGTAAGAAAGTCAGAACTTCTGCTTAAATTTTACTGTCTGGAACACAACACATGGCAAGCCTAGCAGGCAGGAAGGTTAGAATATGTTGAGAGGCACTGCATAAGAAGTCTTCACTCCCTCTCCAAGGGACACAACAGAGAAACCCACCAGTCCCTGCATTCAGCTCAAGCCCAGGATTTGTGGCAATGTCTGGTTCTTTTTTGCAGACCAAGACATAGCTCCTCTTGGTCTGGCAATCTAGGAACAAAATGACAAATTATTGGCCCCTCTCTGCCACCCCCTCACCTGCTGGAGCAGGGAAAGGATTACTGCACCATAACTTTCATTCAAAAAATGGAAAGCAATGATGCCACAGCTCTTTGTCCATCACAGTTAAGGAATTACTCTGGGCAGACATAGGAAGAGTTTCTATTGGAGAGACAGTGTCCTTGATTGTGTTCTGATTCCAATCTGTGCTGGAAGTCCATTGTCCACCAACCTCAGGGGTCCTTGGATCCTTCTGGGAGGAGCCTCCTTGTCCATTATTCTTCTTCTCCATGTCTAAAGTGGGGGTTGGGGAACAAGCCCTCATTTGGGGGCCATAGTTTTTGAGGCCTGCTTCCTGCTTATGAATGTTTGGAGGTCCAAGATGGATGTAAGTCTTCAACAATTGGAGGCTGCTCAGGCTTGCAGTTTCTCTAGCAATATGGTTTCCTCAAAAACTTAGTAGACAGTGGTGCTTTGGCAGCATATAAACTAAAATTGGAACCATACAGAGAAGATTAACATGGCTCTTGAGCAAGGATGACATGCAAATTCATGAAACATTTAATATTTTTTAATAATAAAAATTTAGTAGATTTATAATTGATTTGCTTCCAGTGATTCCCCTCCCACTTCATTACTGTGCCCTGTGTCAGTAGCCAGACCTAAAATGCTTTCCTAGACATGGGCTTTTTACAGGGTGAACACACTTCCTGATTTAACCAGAGATAAGGGGCTCCCTAGAACCTGGGGCTTTCAGTTTATTGGTCAGCCTACTTTTTCATGTCCACATATTTCTACTTTTCCTTCATCCCATACTTCTTCCTCTCTCAATCTCATGGCTGCTACCTTGAGGCTATCTGGAGCAATCCATGGGAAGACCACACCTTGCAAAATATTAATAGGTTTACTATTATTATTAAACTGGTTACTATTTATTAATAGTTTGAGAGATAACATTACTCAAGCATTTCTAAACTTTATCTTTTGTTAGTTGGCTTTTCTAACACTGGCAAATTTCTAAACCTTCTCTATTACTATTCTCTTTCATTTCTGCTTGTTCATCTACCAATTCTTCTGGAGCTCATCTTTCTAGAATCTTACCTTGTTAACTGCAGCCCATAATAGCCAATGCAGATGACCACTATGAATAGCTAAAATGCTTTCTAACCATGTCTAGAGTCAGAAGACATGTGACTCACCCCCTCAGTTATCACAGACAACAATTTTCTTTTGCCTCTCTGTGTGGCAAGAATCATGGTCTTTCTGGCCTCTGGTTTGGTTTTCTTGCTTGTGACCATTTAACTATTCAGCTGATGCCTCCTATTTTGGGGATCTTTATGGCAGCATTCCACTTAAACACATCAATTTCTACCTTCGTTAGAGTAGAGAAGGCAAATAGCCATATTGGACACTCCCCAAATCTCAGTTACTTAATAATTTTCTTCCTCATTCATGTCATGGACTGATGCTGGTCAAATGACTGTTCCCCAAGTGCTGGCTCAGAGATTCAGATCTCTTCCACTATGTCATTTCACCACCTTGGATTCAAAGAGTCAGTGTAGAGTGGGAGACAGGATGCAGGAGGCACAGCAGGCACTTAACTGCATCCACGTTAAAGGGACACACATTCCTTCAGCTCAGATTCCATTGGCCAGACAATAGCAAAAGAAGCCAGAATGTAGTGGGGACATGAATATCAAAAATCATACATGGAGTCTCCTCTCCTGCTATAGCACAATGAGATGGGCCTTGGCTCTGTCTACTCCTGAGGTTCAGACCTCTACTCTCTCCCTACATTCCATGATGAAGAATTCCTTTTTCTCATTCATAATTGCTACTATTATTCCCCATCCCTCAGTGTTCCTCTTAGCCAATTATACCTGTGGAGTAGGTATAATTGTCTGTCTGCTTAGGTCCTCCTTCCTTAGATACATCAATGATGATATTATAAGGCCTTTCCATTTTAGAGGATCTCTACTAATCACTAAAAATCACAGAAGACATCACAGAAGCAGCCATGTGCAGACAAAGTTCTGGGAGCCTTAAAAATGTCTACAAGCTTGATCCTGGTCCATAGCTCTTCACTTAACATTGAAGCTGACTATTGGGAAGCCCCCTGGACTTGTACTCTGAACTATTGTTCACGAAGGAAGATGCTATCAGATTTCTTCCTTTTCAATATGAAAGGTGTATAAAAGTAGAGCTTTAAATGACTGCCAGAGAACTCCCTTGAGCAGCTTTTGCATGAGTATGTAACACAATGCTGCTTTAACAAATGGATTCCAATCTGCTGCCCATGGTGATAATAGCTCACTTTCACTGAGCTGAGCTTTTTCTATCCTCCAGGCATCCTCCTAAGTGTTTTACATTTTTAAACCTATTTAATATTCATAGAACTGCCTATGTTATAAACTATTATTATCCCACTTCACAGATTTTTTAAAATGAGGCACAGAAATGATAAGCAGCTTGCCCAAGTTCATATAGCTAGTAAGTTGGTAGAAGCAGAAGTGATATCCTACTGCAGAGTCCATACTTATAACCATGTAACAAGCTGCCATAATATCAGTGCAAAACTTTTAAAAATGGGAGGATTAATTTCCCTTCATACTTCTTTTCTTGGCCAGTTTGAAGAAAAGGGGATTATCCATCATGCTTGGGTCTGCTGCTTTCTCAAAAATAACTTAAATAGTCTTTCCTCTGAGGTCACCTCTCAAATCTTAAAGCATCTATACTTCTTTAGCTCTTATAAAATTTCAAATTAAATAACTTTTATATGAATATTTATTTTATGCCTGCTTCTACATTAGACCAACACTTCTCAATACTGGTCAAAGTGTGATCCTCAAGCTAGGTACAAATAACTCATCTGGGTGCTCTTTAAAATGCCAATCCTTGGGTCCCACTACAGATTTACTGAATCAGAATCTTCAGGAACTGGATTCAGGAGATTATTATTTAAGCAATGCCATAGGTGATTCTTAGGCACACTAAAATCTGATTATTACTGCTTTAGACAAGTGTTTCTGAAATGTGGTCCACAAACCAGCAGCAAGAGCATCACCTGGAAACTTGCTAGAAATTCAAACTCTTCAGCCCCACCCAGAACTACTGAATCAGTAACTCAAGGGATATGGCCCAGCATTCTGTGTTTTATCAAGCTTCCAGATGATTCTGACAGGCTAAAGGATGAGAACAACTGCTCTAGACCATAATGACCTCAAAAAGGTTTGTTTTCTTCCTATATCACCAGCACCTGGCTAGCTCAATATCCAACATATAGTAGATAATAAATATTTGCTAAAGAATATGGATAATGAATAATCAGTTAAAATGGAACGCTAAGGAAATAATCCCACAACAGGAAAAGATCCTAGTATTGTGAGTCATTATGGATTTGTTCTGAAATCATCTAAATCTGACTGTCTACTTGGATCATACAGTGGAAAGATGCTTGCTTCTTACTCTCTCTCTCTCTCTCTCTCTCATTCTCTCTTTGCTCTTGCTAATAGCAGGTTAATGGATTCATCTGGACCATCAGTCATAAGTTAGTATCTTTCTGCAATTTAAATAATAGCACCTTGCTTTTTTTTTAATTTGATGGAGTGTGAGGAATATGGAAAGTTAATATGAAATTAATTTTATAAGTCATTCACAAATTTGAAAAGCCTGGGGTCACTGCATGTGCAAAAATTCCTGTACCATAAAATGATATCTGATTTAGAAACAGATTAAATCCTTACATAGCATTAGGCAGTAGGGGGAAAAAAGGACATAGGTTTAAAATACTAGTTCAAGCCTATAACATACAATATGCCAAAATATTATATATATAGTGTGGGTATATACATACACACAAACAAGACACTAAACATTTATTTTATATATGCAATATGTGCATATGTATGTGTATATGTAGATAGATAGACACACAAAAATGTTTTGTAAAAATAAATGAGCACATCTTGATCAGGTACAATATGGAGTAGATGCAGTTCAACCTATTCTTCTCACTAATTACAGTAAAAATCCCTGGACATTATATGTAAAGCAAATATAAGAAGACTGATAAGTAGAGGGAAAATGGCAGAACACATGGGGACCTTGACAGCTGAGGAAATACATGGTACCAGAAATCCCATCACCAGTGGAAAGTAACCAGGAACTTCCCCCACTCCTGGGGTGGTAATGGAGGCCCAAAGGAGAACCTGAACTTTCACCACACCTGGCAGGAACAAAGGGAGACAGACCTCTTTCTCCACCTCTCTAGTGTCAGAGGAAGACTTCTAAAACAGAATATTTAAATAAGATCAACAATCTTGTAACATAATAGCCAGGATGTCCAGAATACAATAGGAAATCACTTTCACACTAAGAACAAGAAAAATCCCAACTTGAATGACAAAAGACAATTAACAGATGACAACTCTAAGATTATATGGAAGTTAACATTATCTCACAAGGATTTTAAAGCAGCCATCATAAAAAATGCTTAATGAGTAATTACAAACACACTTGAAACAAATGCAAAAGAATAAGATCTCAGCAATAAAGGGAAGACATAAAAAAGAACCAAATGAACAATTTAGAATTAAATAATACAGCAACCAAATTACAAAACCTCAATGGGTAGATTCAACAGCAGAATAAAGAGGGCAGAAGAAGAATCAGTAAACTGCAAAATAGAACAATAAAAATTACCTAATCTAAATAACAAAGAGAAAATAGCTGGAATAAAATTAACAAAGACTCAGAAATCTGTGGTCTATAAAAAGGATCTAATATTTTTTTCATTAGAGTTCCAGAAAAAATAGAAAACAGAAGGGGATGAAAACAATATTCAAAGAAATGACCAAACATTTCTCCAATTTGGTGTCTTACTCTGTTTTGTGTTGCTGTAACAGAAATGCAAACTTGATACTGGGTAATTTACAAAGAACAGAATTTATTTCTTACAGTTCTAGAGGTTGAGAAGTCCAAGATCAAGTCCAGGATCTGGTGATGGCCTTCTTACTGTGTCCTCACAAAGCAAAACGCAGAAGGGCACAAGAGAACAAATGTATTCCCATAAGCCCTTTTTGTAGTAGCATTAATCCATTTATGAGGGTAGAGCCCTCATTACCTAAACACTGCTCAGAAGGTCCCACTTTCCAACACTATTGCACTGAAAATTAAGTTTCCAACACGTGAATTCTGAGGGACACATTCAGACTATAGTGTTTGATAATGACATAAATGTAGATGTAAAAAGCTGACTCATCTCAGTTAGGATAAATCCAAAGAATTACACAGCAAGATACACTATAGTTAAATTTCTGAAAACTAGACTACAGGGGAAAATCAACTCAAATGACAGCAGATTTGTCATCAGAAGTGAATAAGAGAAAGTGACACAATAATTTGCAGGTATTTAAAGAAAAGAGCTGTTAACCCAAAATTCCATATCCAGCAAAATTATTCTTCAGACATGAAGGAGAAATCAAGACATTCTCAAATGAAGGAAAACTAAGAGAATTTGTCACTACAGACCTACTGGGGAAAAAAGTGGTACCAGGAAATTCTTGAAACAGAAAGGAAAGGGTAAAAGAAGTAATCTAGAAACATCATACAAGAATAAAAACACAATGGCAGGGCCCAGCACAGTGGCTCACTCCTGTAATCCCAGCACTTTGGGAGGCCGAGGCAGGTGGATCACCTGGGGTCAGGAGTTAGAGACCAGCCTGCCCAACATAGTGAAACCCCATGTCTACTAGAAATACAAAAAATTAGCCAGGTGTGGTGGCAGGTGCCTGTAATTCCAGCTACATGGAAGGCTGAGGCAGGAGAATCGCTTGAACCCAGGAGGCAGAGGTTGCAGTAAGCAGAGATTGTGCTGTTGCACTCCAGCCTGGGCAACAAGGGTGAGACACCTTCTCAAATAAATAAATAAATAAAAGTTAGAAAATGGCAAGTGTAAATATGAGTAAGTACCATAGACTTTTCTTTTCTTTGGTTTTTTAAATTGTGTGATGTTTGATCCAAAAACTATAACATTATTTTATATGGTTATCAATATATTTAGAGGAAATAGCTAAGGCAATTATATTATGAACAAGAAAAGGTAAAGGAATTTAAAGTGAAGTAAAGTTTCTACAGTTTACAAGAACTAGCAAAATGTCAATATCAATAGACTCTGATAAGTTATGTATGTATAACAAAACACCTAGAGAAATTACTTTAAATTTGTATATAAAGAGATGTGCTAAAATACACTATTAATAAGTTAAAAAAATATTCAATCCACAGGAAGACAGAGAAAAGAAAAACATGAAATGGCAAATCAAATTATAAGCTGCCTATAAGAACCTTATTTTAAATACAGCAATATAAGCAGATTGAAAGAAAAGACAGCATTTTCTGTAATAGCCCCAAACTGAAAACAATAAAAAAGTGAATGGTTAAATGTCCCTGAAAAGATGAATGGTTAAACAAACTGTGGTGTGTCCACACTATGGAATACTACTCAGTAAGAAAAAGGAGAAAACTATTGATACATACAACAACTTAGATAGATCCCAAGGATATTATGTTGAGTGAGAAAAAGCCAATTCCAAAGGACACATACTGTATGATTCTATTAGTATGATATTCTTGAAATTAAAAAGATTATAGGAATGAAAAACCAATTAGTGTTTGCCAATAGCTCGTAATGAGGATTGAGAGAATTAGTGAGTGTGACTGTAGGAGGGTAGCAAAAAAGAGCTCTTCATGGTAATGGAAAATTCTGTATTTTGTTTTCTTTCTGGTTACATGCATTTGTGTATGTGATAAGATGGTATAGAATTGTAAAGAAACATTGTAACAATACTAATTTCCAAGTTCTGATGTTGTACCACAGTCATGTAAAAATAATCATAGAAAGAAAATGAATAAGGGTACAAGGTACTTCTCTGTACTAATTTTGAAACTTCTTATGAGTTTGTAATTCTTTAAAACCAAAAAGTTAAATAAAAAACAAATTATCATAGTTTATGTATATTTTTATTTGCTATCTTTCTTTGAATTTTTTATTGTGGGAAATACACAATACTAAATTTATCATTTTAAGCATCCGAAGTCTACAATTCAGTGGCATTAAGTCCATTCACAATGTTGTCCAACCATCACCACTATCCATTTCTAGAATTTTTTATCAGCCTAATCAGAAACTCTGTGCAGATTAAATGATATCTCTTTTCTATCCCTTCCACCCAGGCCCGGTTAACTTCTATTATGCTGTCTCTGTAAATAATTTGCCTACTCTACATATATCATATAAGTTTATTCATACAATATTTTCTTTTTATGTCTGGCTTATTTCCCCTAGCATAATGTTTTCAAGGTTGATATACGCTGCAGCTCAATTTAGAATTTCAATGTTTTTAAGACTAATATTCTATTATATGAACATGCCACATTTTATTTATTGATTTATCTGTTGATGGGTAGTTGGGATGTTTCTACCTTTTGACTATTGAGAATAATGCTACAGTGTTTTAAAAACTGCATAGCAAAGGAAACAAAGTGAAGAGACAACTTGCAGAAGCTCAGGTCACTAAATAGGAAAAAGAATCTCATAAAACCAATTTTAAAATGTGCAAAATATTTGAATAGACATTTCTCAAAAGAAGACATACAAATGGCAAACAGACATATGAAAAGGTGCTCAAAATCATTGATCAACCGATAAATAGAAATCAAAACTATAATGAGATAACATCTCACCCCAGTTAAAATGGCTTATATCCAAAACGCAGGCAATAACAAATGCTGGTGAGGATGTGGAGAAAAAGGAACACTCCAACACTGTTGGTGGTAATGTAAATTAATACAACCACTATGGAGAACAGTCTGGAGGTTCCTCAGAAAACTAAAAATAGAGCTACCATACAATCCAGTAATCCCACTGCTAGGTATATGCCCCAATGAAAGGAAATCAGAATATCGAAGAAATATCTGCACTCCCAAGTTTATTGCACCACTTAGATCTGGAAGCAACCTAAGTGTCCATCAGCAGATGAATGGATAAAGAAAATGTAGTATATATACACAATGGAATACTATTCACCCATAAAAAAGAATAAGATCCTGTCATTTGCAACAACATGGATGGAACTAGAGGTTATTATGTTAAGTAAAATAAACCAGGTACAGAAAGACAAGCTGCATGATGTCACTTATTTGTGGAAGCTAAACATTAAAGCAATTGAACTCATGGAGATTGATATGGTTTGGCTGTGTCCCCTCCCAAGTTTCATCTTGAATTGTAGCTCTCATAATTCTCACATGTCATAAAGAGACCCAGTGGGAGGTAATTGAATCATGGGGGTGTGTCTTTCCTTTGCTGTTCTCATGATAGTGAATAAGTCTTATGAGATCTAACGGTTTTATAAATGGGAGTTCCCCTGCACAAGCTCTCTTGCCTGCCTCCATGAAGATGTGCCTTTGCTCCTCCTTCACCTTCCACCATGATTGTGAGGCCTACCCAGCCATATGGAACAGTGAGTCTGACGGACCTCTTTTTCTTTTTAAATTACCCCATCTCAGGAATGTCTTTATTAGCAGCATGAGAACAGATTAATACAGAGATAGAGCATAGAAGGATGGTTACCAGAGGCTGGGAAGGGTAGTGAGGAAGTAGGGGAGAAATGGGAATGGTTAATGGGCACAAAAAATAGTTAGAAAGAATGAATAAGACCTAGTTTTTGGTAGCACAACCACGTGACTGCGGTCAAAAATAATTTAATTGTACATTTTAAAATAATGAAAAGAGTATTATTGGATTGTTGTAACACAAAGGATAAATGCTTAAGGTGATGGATACCCCATTTACCCTGAAGTGATTATTATGCATGGCATACCTGTGTCAAAATATCTCCTGTAACCCATAAATATGTACACCTATGTACCCACAAAAATTAAAAAAACAAAAATAATGCTACTATGGACATTGTTGAAAAAATATCTGTTTGGGTCCCTGACTTTAATTCTTTTGTGTATGTACTTGGAAATGAAATTGTGGAGTCATAGGGTAATTCTGTTTAACTTTTTGAAGAACTACAATAGTTGTTTCCAAAGTAGCTGCACTATTTGATACTGCCACCAGCAGTGCACAAATATTCAGATTTTTCCATATCCTTGCCAACTCTTATTTTCCTTTCTTGAAATAAATAGTAACCATCTTAATGAGTGCGAAGTTGTAACTCGTTGTGATTTCGATTTGTATTTCCCTAATTTATTAGTGATGTTGAACATGTTCTTATTGGCCATTTGCTTACCTTCTTTGGAGAAATGTTTATTCTACTCCTTTGCCCATTTTTTAAATTGGGTGGTTTTACGTTTTTCAGTTGTAAGAGTTCTTTATACGTTCTGGGTATTAATCCCTTATCAGATGGACAATTTGCAAATACTTTCTTCCATTCTGTGAGTTGTCATTTTACTCTCTGAATAGTGTTTTTTGAAGCATAAAAGCTTTTAAATCTTGATGAAGTCTAATTCAGATATTTTTTCTTTGTTGCCTGTGCTTTTGGTGTCATATTCAATAAATTATTACCAAATTCAGTTTCACGAAGATTTACTCCCCTGTTTTGTGTTATAAGTTTTATAAATTTAGCTCCCATATGTAGGTCTATCTAGTTTTAGTTAACTTTTGTATATGGTGTAAAGTAAGAATCTAGCTTCATTCTTTTGCCTGTGGATAACGAGCATCCCCAGCAATATTTGTTGAAAAGATTGAGATTGCCTTTTCCCCACTGAATGGACACAGCACTCTTTTTGATATCATTTGACTATATATATTTGTGAGGGTTTGTTTCTAGGCTCTCAATTCTATTCCATTGGTCTATATGTCTGTCCTTGTACTAATACCACACTCTTGACTACTGTAGATTTGTAATGAATTTGAAAATCAGAGAGTGTGAATTCTCCAATATCTTTCTTCTTTTTCAAATTATTAGGCTTTTCAGGGTTCTTTCAGATTCCATGTAAATTTTAAGATAGGCTTTCCTATTTCTGCAAAAAATTTCATTGGGATTTTAATAAGGATCTCATTGACTGAACAGATCACTTTGGGTATTACCGTCGACTTACAAATATTGTCTTCCAGTTCATACATAGAGTATCTTTTCATTTACTCATGTCTTCCTTAATTTCTTTCAGCAATGCTTTGTAGCTTTTCCTTCTTGTTAAGTTTATTACCAAGTATTTTACTCTTTGTTATTCTGTTGGAAATAAAATTATTTTCTTGATTTTCTTTTCAGATTTTTCACTTAGTGTCTATATGCTATATTCTTAAACTTATACAATAAACACTATTCATGTCATTAAATGACTTTCAATAGTCTGACTTTTAACAGCTACATAAAGTCCTATTTGACCACAACATAATTCATTTATCCACTCTCTAATTTTGGCATTTAGTTGTTTGCAATTTTTTGCTAAAATATATAAATCTACAAAGAACATTTTGTTTAAAATTTTTGTTTACATCTTTCATTGTTTCCCTTTGGTAAATTTCTAGAACTAAAGTACTTAGGTAACAATATAAGCATTTAAAATATGATAGATGGATAACTAATGATATGTCATATATTTGTCTTCCAGGAAGAGTGTATCATCTCATGTCATCCCACAGTGAAGAAGAGTTATTGTCTGAATTCATCATACCTAGGGCTGTTTATTTTCATTTCTAAATGTACCTTCCAATTTGAAAGTGAGAATATCTCTTTATTTCAATGAACAATTATTTTGTTTTTAATGAATAGAATAATTTTAATTCCTTATTGCCTATGTGTATTTCTTCTGTTAATTATGTATTAATACTTTATACATTTTAAGTTGATATACTTTACATATGTGAATTGACATTTTTAATATATTTTCTAAATATTATAATATATTTGAATATTAATGATATTAATCCGATGTTTGGGGCAGGTAAGCTAGCACATCTATATCATGCTCTAGGATAGATTGCTGCCTCAACCAACACTGCTTCTACAAAGCGCCTTTTCCTCCCTGTCCCTCTCTGGCAGAAGAGTGCCCATTACTGCCTCTAATCACCTGTGACAACTCCCAGCCCTTAGTCTCTCTTTTGTCTCACTCCTTCTTTTGTCTCACCTTCCTGTGAGCACTGGCAGCTGTCTTGGTTGTCTTAATCACATGAACACTACACAGATACCTGTACAGAATCAGCACAACTTAGTACAATCAAATAGATTAATAATTCTCAAGATGTGGCTGGGTATATTTAGGGTAAGGGAGTCACAATTTCACAAATTTTCACTTTAACAGTAAGAAAAAAATGCCTTACATGTTATACGTTAAGTGAGATAGTAAAGGTTATTAAAATTAAAAAGACATAATTGAGAACTATTTGAATTTTGGTAAGATATTCAGTGAAATCACAATTTAAACAAACACAGAAAATTGGAATTCCCTTAATACCTAAAAATAGTGATTTATTTTCATCATATGATTAGTATTGTCTTGAATTGTCAAGTTTCAATTTCTGTTAATTTTTGCATCACAAATTACCATCATCCTATCTGGCTGTTTGATTGTTGATCATTTGTTTAACCCTACAATATATAAGAATGTATACTTAAATTAACATTGCTTTTTACATATAATAATTTATTAAGCTCTAGCACTTCTGTGAGTGCAGAAACCATCTCCAGTTTTGCTCATTTTATCTGCATTCCGTAACACAGCTTCATATTCAAGAACCGCTCAGTAAATATTGGAGCAATAAATGAAACTATCTACATTTTAGTTCATGCCTTATAGCTGATGTTAACTATAGTGAACATTTGTTGTTTGGGACACTCACCATTACTGCTTCGGAGTGTCACCCAATCGTGCAAGTCTTATGAAGAGGCAGAACTCTGCCGCTGACTTCTTAGCAAGGATTGTGGGCCCATGACTTAGGGTCTACAATCAGATGTGTCTGCCTGGGAATTTGACTCCCTGAGGAGTGGCATAAGGGTAGAGAAATGATCAAAAACTTTTTCATAATAGTCGTTGAATCTTCAGTGTTACAGCAGGAGCAGCAGCAATCTGAGAGTCTTGTGGTAATAAGCGCTAAAAATCCCATTCTTGTGCAATGGCCTTGACTATGTTTTAGGTTCTTTCTGTCTTTCTTTATTTTTTCTTTTTCTTTGTTTGCTATATAGTTATAATCACTTGAACCTTGCATGTTTTATAAGCTTTATTCTCCAGTCTTTTTTCATCGTTCTTTAAATTTCCAAATATTCATCTAAAACATTCATTTTTATACTTACGCTAGTCTAAATGAGTTTCTATTTTTCACAATCAAGAATCCTTATAGAAAAAAAAAGATACTGGCAGTGGAATCCAAACAAAATACTTTCAGGGGAAAGGAAGAACTTGCTGTTGATTAAGTGAATTAATTAATACTATGCCTAAAGTAAACTCTTAGTATTCACACATTCTAATCTTGCAATTGGTGGCATTCTGTAGCAAGCTATGCATTGAATTTTAAAAATTAAAAAATGCAGTTGTTAAAGACAATGCATTGTGTGACATCACTGCTCCTGCCATAGAAAGTGAACTTGAGCATGGGGCATACATGGACTCACAGTGGGGGAGTCCACTAAGACTGCCCAAGGAGTTCAGTCACCTGTAGTACCTGGCTTTCTTAAGTACTTTTTCCTAAAATGATTTGCCTGAAATGGAACTGGTGGTCAAGGCATCACTTCTTATATTCTCTTTTTTAATGATCATTCCTCCACCTTATAAAATAAAGGCTGACCTCTCACATTCCATCCCCAATCTTCTTACTATGGTATATTGTACCAGATAATTGTAATAGTAATAATAATAGCAATAATACTTTTATAAAATAAAGGGACAAATAGAATAATTTTTAGAATCTAATCTGCCTTTAATCAAGGCACCATAAACCTGCAGAAAGCCTATTTGAATAGTATTTTCCTACCTCATAGATCAAAGTGTGGTGTTAGAAACTAGACACTTTGGCTCATCTTTGAATGTTAATTGACCTGCTTCTTCGATTCTGTAATGAAAGTAAAGAATTCTTTGCCCTGTGGAAAGATTTGTGACTAAAAGGCAAAAAGTGCATCAGAAAGAAATACTTTAGCCAGGTGACAAATTTTGGCAAGCTCGTCTGCCTAATTCCTCTATCTTCAAGTAAACTCAGAGATAGAGATGATTTTTTATAAGGTCATACATTAACACACTAAGTTGAATTGAAAAATTAAATTATATTTCCTTTCTGACACAAAATAATTCTGATTTGACTGAGTATTTCACAACAAGATCTGACTTTACCAGGGTGGTTATATGACAGGAACATCCCATTAAGTGAATGAGCTGCATACGTCATTCTAAAGTTTAGTTTTAAAACATGTTTAAAAGGTTTGTGATAAGATAAAATATTGCATTGTCAACAACACTAAAATGATTTCTTTTCATTTTCCAAACTGTTCCAAATTCCTTTGGGTTAAACAAGTGCCTCAGGGTGAAAAAGTGATAGGAATATTCACCCGTCATTTTTAAGCCTACATAAAATCTTGAGAAAGTAAATGAATTTAATGATTGGATAACAAATTCTTTTGTTACAGTCAAATATTTTGACTATAAAAAATTGAAAGAACATCTAATCAAGTTGTCAACTGAGAGATCATTAAAATAATTTGTATAACAATTCAATACGTGTGTATGACATATAACTTGGAAAATGTTCAAATAACTGTGTGTGTTTACACATGTATACATACACACACAACTACAACAACAGCAATAATAAACCAAAAAACTTGTTGATATAAACGCTATACCATTCTGGTGGCAGTCAGGCTGATCCTAGTCAATATGCAACATTAGAGGCAAACTGATGATTAAATGATTTCCATGCTGGTTGCTTAATAATCAATGCCTTGCTGCCTAGGTGCTGTTGCCTCTCTTCCAGGTTGATTTAGAGTTATATCCAGTCAGTGAAGTGGTGTTGTTGTGTGGGGTAAATACCCTGGGTTTGTTGTCTCGTGCCAAGAAGACTTAGGATATGGACACACACAAGGAGTGGGTTTAGGAGCAGAGGTTTAATAGGTGAAAGAAAGAGAAAGAACAGCTCTCTCCTTTCTAACAGACAGGGCTTCTAAAAAGGAAAATCCGACCAGTGGCAGGGTGCTCCAGATTTTATAGGCAGGCTTGAGGAGGCAATGTCTGATTTACATAGGGCCCACAGATTGGTTCCATTAGATGTGACATTTACATAGTGCACAAGGAAGGTTGGCCATCCCACCCTAATCTTATTATGCAAGTGGACTTTCCACTTGGCCAGCACCATCTTGTCTGCTCCTTACTGTACACGTGGCTGGCAAAGAGAAGGGAAGATGGACCTGCAATTTTGAACATGCGTAGTCCCAGGTAGCCTTTTCCTGTTGGGACAGCTGCTGGTATTCACCTGTGAAAGCATCTAGCTTGCTTGTCTATGTCTGTAGCTCAATTTTACAGGGTTCTCTTTATTAGAAAAGAAAATGATTTGGGGGCTGTTTTTCATTAAAAGGAAAACCTTACCAAGGAATCCCATACCCTCACTATCCACCTAAGTAATTTCTTCTTAACTCCTATATCATCAGTACTAGTACTGTGCCAGTTATTAGATATGTTTAATATTGATATGGTTTGGCTCTGTGTCCCCACCCAAATCTCATCGAGAATTGTAATCCCCATATGTCTTGGGAGGGACCGGATGGGAGGTGATTGGATTATGGGGGCAATTTCCCCCATGCTGTTCTTGTGATAGTGAGGGAATTCTTACAAGAGCTGATGGTTTTTAAAAGTGTTTGGAAGTTCCCCCTTCTCAGCTCTTCTCTCTCTTGCTGCGTTGTGAAGAAGGTGCTTGCTTCTTCATTGCCTTTTGTCATAATTTTACGTTTCCTAAAGCCTCCCCAGCTATGTGGAACTATGAGTCAATTAAATTACCCAGTCTCAGGGAAGTTCTTTATAGCAGTGTGAAAACAGACTAATACAGAAAATTGGTACAAGTAGAGTGAGGGTTCTGCTGTAATGATAACCTGAAAATGTGGAAGCAACTTTGGAACTGGCTAATGGGAAGAGGCTGGAACAGTTTGGAGGGGTTGGAAGACAGGAAGATGTGGGAAAGTTTGGAACTTCCTAGAGACTTGTCGAATGGTTTTGACCGAAATACTGATAGTGATGTGGACAATAAAGTTCAGGCTGAGGTGGTCTCAGAGGGAGATGAGGAACTTCTTGGGAACTGGAGCAAAGGTCATTCTTGCTATGCTTTAGCAAAGAGACTGGCAGCATTTTGCCCCTGCCCTAGAGATCTATGGAACTTTGAATTTGAGAGAGATGATCTGAAATTAGAACTTATGTTTAAAAGAAAAGCAGAGCATGAAAGCTTGGAGAATTTGCACCCTGATGATGCAGTAGAAAAGAAAAACCCATTTTCTGGGGAGAAATCTAAGCCAGCTACAGAAATATACCTAAGTAACAAGGAGATGAATGTTAGTCACCACAACAATGGAAAAATGTTTCCAGGGCATGTCAGAGATCTTGGCAACAGCCCCTCCCATCACAGGCCCAGAGAGAGGCCTAGGAAGAAAAATCGTTTTGTGGGCTTGGCCCAGGGCCCAACTGCTGTATGCAGCCTCTGAACTTGGTGCCCTCCATCCCAGCCACTCCAGCTCCTGTAGCTAAAAGAGGCCACAGTACAGCTTAGGCTTCCTAAAGAGGTGCTTCAGAGGGTGCAAGACCCAAGCCTTGGGGGCTTATATGTGTAATTGGCCCTGCAGGGGCACAGAAGTCAAGAATTGAAGTTTGGGAACCTCCACCTGTATTTCAGAGGATGTATGGACATGCCTGGATGTCCAGGCAGAAGTCCACTGCAGGGTCAGAGCCCTCAAGGAGACCCTCTGCTAGGGCAGTGCAGAAGGGAAATGTGGGGTTGGATCCCCCACACAGAGTCCCCACTGGGGCACTGCCTAGTGGAACTGTGAGAAGAGGGCTACTGTCCACCAGACCCCAGAATGGTAGATCCACAACAGCTTGCACCTTGTGTCTGGAAGAGCCATAGGCACTCAATGTCAGCACATGAAGGAGGAGTTGCCCAAGGCTGTGGGAACCCACCCTTTGCATCAGCATGTCCTGGATGTGAGACATGGAGTCAAAGGAGATTATCTTGGAGCTTTAAGATTTAATGACTGCCCACTGAATTTTGGACTTGCATGGGCCTATAGCCCCTTTGTGTTGGCCAATTTCTCCCTTTTGGAATGGGAACATTTACCAAATGCCTGTACTCCCATTGTATCTTGTAGGTAACTAACCTGCTTTTGACTTACAGGCTCATAAGCAGAAAGGACTTGTATCAGATGAGATTTTGGACTTTGACTTTTGATTTAATGCTGAAATGAGTTAAGACTTTGGGGGACTCTTGGGAAGGCATGATTGGTTTTGAAATGTAAAAGGGATGAGATTTTGGAGGGGCCAGTGGTGGAATGATATGGTTTGGCTCTGTGTCCCCACACAAATCTCATCTTGAATTGTAATCCTCACATGTCAAGGGAGACACCTGGTGGCAGATGACTGGATTATCATCAGGGGCAGTTCCCTCATGCTGTTCTTGTGATAGTGTAACGCTATTTGAATTCCAGTTTCCCATTAACCAATCACCAGTTGGTTTCAACAACAATTGTTAAGCATTATGTGAAGCAATCATTTATTATAATTTATCAAATGGAGGTTGTTTTTGTTATTGTTTTCTGAGATGTGTCTCTTAAGAGAGGAATGGACTTTATCATGAACTTTTAGGGAAGTGGAGATTTTTTTTTTTATTATTTTGTTAAAAAAGTGAATTAAACAAAAGCTTAACACAATATCTTTACTTGAAGAAAAAAAGGCTGTTAATTGAGAAGTAGTTTTGATTGTTATAATTATCTCTGAATTTACAATTTTAAAAACACATGGGAACTGTTTTAAATTCTTAGCCCTAAATCCAACTCATCTTACGTGTTTGCAAATTAGTACATTTCTTCCTATAACTCTTGATATATATGCTATCTACATGATTTGATGTTAGTTTAAGTATTTTTCCTGCTTGTGAAGGTAAAATATGTTCACTAAGGAAACTTAAGAATACAGAAAAACAAAGAAAAATTTACCCACAATCCTGAAGCCCAGAAATAAATATTTATTAAGATCACAATTTATGTGTGTTGCCTTTATTAATAGCTTATTAAAAATACCATAATGCTAACAAAATGTAGAAGAATATTTTTAATGCTTACTGGCTCCTCAAAGGAAAGCTTAAAACATAGCTTAAATTAGATTTTTGTTGCTATTAAAGAGAAGTATGATAGAATAATCAATTAAAAAAATTTTGATAACATTATGGTAAAATTACCTTACACTGATATTAATATTAATATAGTTGACATTAATTATCATATGTATATTATAATTAAAATTATAACATTTACTGTGTAGATAACAATAAATATTAATATAATATGTTAATGTAATTTTTATTGATAATATTAATGTAATATAATTTTATCACATGTAAAAATATTATGATGCCATTACATTATAATAAAATTATGGGGGCAGGTATAATAGATATATGAGTTTGAGGAGGAAAAAACTACATGAAATTTCTGATTGTTGATATCATTTTATTTTTTGATATGGATGATGGAGGGTATCAAGTTGTTATGATATTTTGCATCCACTGCTATATTAAAAGAGTAACATAATTTTACTGTAAAATGTCAATATTTTAAATATGCTGGAAATAATTAAAGTTATCATGTAATTATTTAAATTTATGTTGAGAAACGTAGGATGTCAAATTAGAATATGTGAGATGCACCACATTATTTTAAAAGTTATTTTAGCAAAATTTTAAAATGTCAAGTTGTACTATCATGTAATCTCATAAAGAGAATAAAGAATTCAAGCTCAGTAAGTATGATGTCTGTATCTAATAGTTCTGAACAGCTTGAAGCTCACACTCTTAAATTCTGAGTTCAAGGCATGGACTCTAATCCAAAAGTACCTTAGTCTTGCTAAAATCGTTTCAATGGTTGCAGCTATAGAGCTCAGGTAGCTGAATACCATTCAAGTTAGATCTTGTATATTGCTGAATTATAACATCAGCAGCTTCTCAAAATCTCTCTGTGAAAGAATTGGACTTAATGGAGAACTTCGGGAAACTGGAGAACTCTAATCGACAATTCTGAACCCTTTGCCGGCTGAAGCAGCCCCTCTGCTTGACTGATGTGGCTTCCCTTGCCTGAGTTGTTACCAAATGAGAGAAAGTCAAATCTCCTCATACTGCAACCCATACCCACCTCTCACCATCTCCAGACTATACTTAAAGTTGTAGCTTAACCTGCCCCGGAGGTCATTACAAAATTAAAGAAGGGAAATCTTACATATGGAGGACTTAGATTCTGTATCTGAATGTTCATTGAGGTTACACAAGTGCGTGTAATTGCCAAAACCCACCAATTGTACACTCAAGTTTTGTGCATTTTATTATATGTAAATTTTAACTTTAAAAGTCTGTAAACAAATATTTCACACTACTAACTAATATGTATGCTGAACTTTTAGGGGCATGTATACCAAGTCTACAACTTACTTTGAAGTGCATAAAAGAAAAGCAGATTAAAGAAAGATAGAATAGAGAAATAGAGACGTGATAAAACACATGATAAGTGTTAATGGTAGAATCTAGGTAGTTGATATGCACGTGTTCACCAGAAAACTTTTTTGTTTCTTTATATTTAAAATTTCCCATAATAAATGACAAAAAAATAATAACTACTAATTTTATAGACAAACTAAGAAATATTTATAGAAATTTTTTCAGGGTTGCTTATTTAAAGAGTAAGGAAATCAATTTTAAAAATTAGATTAAAGCTGATTTTAATCTACACAACTGAAAATAATGGCCACTCATCCATTCCCAGACGTGGAACTCCCTAAATAGAACAAATGTTTAAATTTGAGAGAGGATACTACAATCATAATCATAAAACATACGAGGTATCTACCTTCTATTCTTTCTCAAGAGATTTTGGGGAGCTTATTGGGATCAAGTAATAAATAGTTTTGACTCTAGACCACAGCCTAGTGGGACCCAAATCTCACTCTGTAACTATATTACCTGTTCTTCAGTGCAGAGGTGGAAAGAAAATCCACAAGCAAAATTCCTCTACCAAGTTCCAAATCCATGAATGAAGATATTATAGTAGAAGGGTAAAGTAGGAGCCCTGAAGCTCCCTCTTCCTTTCATGTCAAATAATATAAAAACAACACTGCATCACTGTGTGAATTAGGGTTTAGTGGCAATTTTTATCTTGAAACCTGAAGGGCTGGCAGTTCTCCCCATAGCCCCAATTATCTAAAGTCATATGTGTAAAAGTTGTATTACAAGTTCGATCATGTGGAATTATTTTAATTATAGCTAGGAACTGTAACAAACGATATAGTCTTGATACGTGGTAGGCAATTATTAAAGTGACAAATGTTTTCTTTACTGCTTCCCACAAAAGAAGAATAACCAAAAGCATTATACTTTTACCTGACAGCGACAGCACTGCATTTTACACCAGGATTTCATCTCATCTGCAGATATGTATCACAATTTATTTAAGGGGAACATCCCCATTCTAAGGCAATGGTTACTCTGGTCTGTTACATCAACAAAATCATTAAAAGAGTAATGCTTCCATGTTTTACTGCTTTTTTTTTTTAAGATGGAGTCTCTCTCTGTCACTCAGGTTGGAGTACAGTGGTGCAATCTCAACTAACTGCAACCTCTGCCTCCTAGGTTCAAGAAATTCTCCTTTCTCAGGCTCCCAACTAGCCGGGATTACAGATGCCTGACACCATGCTCAGCTAATTTTTGTATTTTTTGTAGAGACAGGGTTTCACCATGTTGGCCAGGCTGGTCTCGAATTCCTGGCCTCAAGTGATCCACCCACCTCAGCTTCCCAAAGTGTCAGGATTACAGTCGTGAGCCACCACACCCAGCCAGTAATGCTTCTATTAAAAGACTCAGTAATGATTCATTGAGTTGGAAGATTCAGTGATTCCATTGAATTTGGTATACTTCATGCCATTAAGTAAACGGACATAAAAAAAGCTTACAGTATTACCTGCAATTATTGATCATAGTTATCTAGAAAATATAGAGATGCTTTTGCACACTATGGCTAGGGAGAAATATGGATGAAATTCAGTTGATGCTCTCATGTTACTAAACACAATAGTAAAAGTTAATAGAAAACCACAGCAATGCTATACAGAAAGGACTACTAGGGCCTCAGATTGCTCAGAAATGAAGGTTTAGTTCATCCCGTTGGCTAAAAAGCACCAGCCAGCTAATGTATAGAAAGTAAAGAAGAATTGAAAGAGAAAGTAAACTGGGTAGAGTAGCAAGAACATGCAAATACCAGGGAGCCACAGCCTCATGATCGCCTGCCTAAAAGTATGGCCTGCCTGAATCCTTATGTCTCAAGTATATATATTTTCCATTTATTTCCATTCCATTTACTTCCCCTAGCCAGGGTTTATTTCCCCTAAATTCCATTTATTTCCCTTAGCCAGGGTTCTTAATGTTGAACGTCACGATATAGTTTATACTTGTGGAATATCAAGAATGATTATGAAAAAAAAACAAAACAAAACAGAGGAGAAGTGAGCACCACCAAGATCCTAGATTTGGAGTAAGATGCAACACTTGAAACTTTAGATGTTTTCTATTCAGGAAGCAGTGAGTAAGATGACAGCATTGTCTTTGGAAAGGGAAATGATGCATGCGGTTTTGGGGCTGATAAAGGGAGTAAGTGGCGGAAGTTCACTTCTCAATACACAGGAAGACAATGAGACCAGTTGCTCCCTCTCCATACCCCTGACAGCTAGAAAGGAGCTTAACCCAATTGATGCTCCCAATGGAAAGACACTGAAACGGTGAGAATTATTCACAGAAGTGGTGATGTTGAAAGTTCAGCCATTTAGTAGTTTCACCTGTCCAGGGGTGACAGCACAAATGACAGCATTTTGAGACTTTTCTTGTGGTGTAAACTTGGCCATATTTCCTACAGCCTAACTTCCCTTAATTGCTATCTATCCTCTCAGGATTATTCTATAAGACTTCCCACGAGATTCTAAGCTGTCTGATATAATTACAATAAATTCATTTTCTTAAGTTATCCCAGCATCAGTGTCCATTGTTTAAAGCCAAAAACCATGACTCAGGAAGAAATTTATCTAATACATTTCATTTAAAAGAATTACTAAACAATGAAACTACAATATTCTCACAGGTTTTTATCCCTAAAGGGTAGAAATATGTAAAGAGGCAGGATATTAAATCTTCTACTTCACCTAAGGGGAGAAATGCCTCGTAAATACTCACACCAAATTTCTAAGTCAAAGAGATAAGAAATTGAATTGTTATTTTGGTGTACATTTACTTAATTATGAAAGAATTTAGGAATTTTCATATATTTATTTGCTCAATATATTTTCTCCAAACAGTGTGTATTCATACTTACTATGTATTTTTGGTATTAGATTGTCTTTTATTACCAGTCTCTCTTACACTCATGTACACAGATAACCGAATTCCAGCCTACAACATGTGAGCAGAAGTAATGTGGGTTACCTTCTACCCTATCCCTGAGAAACCACCCATGCATCATCCTTTATGCCCTTCCCTGTTCATGAGGCTCTTGTAGGTTACACTGTGAATTTCAAAGCAGCAAGAGTGAGCCTGGTTTGCTGAATGCTGCTTGCCAATTACAAACACTCATTTTGAACTCTGTGTGAACAAGAAATAAACTTCTCCTATCATTTTGCATTTTCCCAGTTGTTTATTGGGACTTACTCTAGCTAAAAAAAACTCTTCAGAATTAAATATAGAAGATTAAATCTAAAACATCATAAACAAATGGATAATAAATCCACCAAAGAGAATTATTTCTTTCAACAATATCTGGGTATAAGCAGGGTGCTAAATTTAGGTAGGTTTTATTCTGTTTTCTTCTATCTGGATATATATATATGTATATATATTTGCAGGAGTGTCTCAGTAACTGACAGGACATTTGTCTCAAGTGGTGTCTTTATGTCCATTCTGGGTTTTCCTTCAGGGAGACAAACCCTGCAGAGAATCACATCAGTCACTGACATAATGACTCAAGACAGTGAAGTCAACATTCATTGCCATATTCCCTCCTGGGAAATGTTTCTGAGTGCAGGTCACACATGTTGATCTAGCAGAAAATCCAATCTACTTCCTCTCTAAGGTAGAGTAAAAATCAAAAGAGGCAACTTTTTTGTTTTTTTTTTTTTTTTTTTTACAAAGCAGAGACACATCAGTGTGGGTAGAATAGCCTAGATGCTCTTCCTCCATAAGGAATGCAGATTCCCAGAACAGTAGATGATCTGGTCAAGGGAAGTGCTCTGTCCTTATTTAGGTTTATAACTAGGAGTGAAACAGAACCATTTTCCAAAGTCATATTGTGTTTCTGATGCTTCCTGGGACCTTATAAAGATACAAGATACACAAGGTCTTGCTTGTCTTCTGGAAACTGCTTGACCTAGGGGCCAATATGCATAACCTGTACTGCAGGAATCCAGGAGTAAAACTATCCACTGAAAGAGATTTAAATCCCTAACAAAAAAACACAGCAACCCAATTCTGTTCTGCTTCTGCCTTTATGTGATCATGATCAAAAGCAGTCCTGATGCTTCCTTTTTGTCAGTGCAGGTTCTTGAGACATTAGGTTCCCTGTCCCCTGTCTTCACACTTCCTCCCCTGCATCACTCTGGCAGAATGCATCACATAGAATTCTAACTCTTATGTTCTCTGTATTCCCTGTAAGTCTGCAGGTTCCTCAGAAGCAGGGACAAAGCTATATCCATCTTTGCATGTTTGGTACCTAGCTCAGTGCCTAGCATGCACTAAAGACTCAAAAGTTGGAAATATCAATGCCTGCTTGAGTTAAATAATTTAAAAGTTGGAAACAATTTATCATTATGCACTCAGAAAAAATATATAGTGAACGAGTAAATGCATGATTTATCACATCAAATGTTTCCATATGGGTGGTAAATATGTTCAGGAGAGTCACAGACTCAGAGCTAGAGAAATTTTATACCTGAAGCATCTCAGCATTTCTCCTTAAGCTCTGAACTGACTGGTTGACTTAAATTTATTTCACATTCATTTGGCAGTAGCATAAGGAAAAAGGTCCAAACAAGGAAATTTAGAAGTGGTCATAAGAATCGGGAAGAAGAAGCATAAATTTACATCATCTCGAAAGCTACTTAGAGGGATGTCGTGACCATGGGTACATGAAGGCTGAAACTGGTTCACTGTTCTGAGGTTTTGCAGTTAGAAGATCTATACAGACTGTGAGTGAAGGTCACACACACTCAAAAGGCTCTACTAATGGGTCAGTACCTAAGAAAAGGACAGTGCCAGATTTCCCCAAAATTGTCCTAAAATGACAGAGAAGACTGACAAGGCAGGATATGGCTGAAGATTGCATAAAGTGAATTTCTATCCACTCTGAAAAGAATAATCTTGGGAAGGTCCTGAACGTCTGGTAGCCCTCCTTCTTTAAAAGTCAAATACTTAGATGAATGGCTCATCAAGTCCTTGACAGTTATATTCCTCCAATGAGGTCTCCCTTTAAGATCTCCAGTGGATGTTCTGAGGTCAGTTGAGCTCTCAACTTAGGAGGAAACCCAGGCCTACACCCCAGTCACCTTTTAGTGAGTATCAGAAAAGACTCTAAATACTCCACAAAACAAGTAGGCAGAGACATATTAGCTTACTTGCATATTTACCTTAAGTCCCTGGTATTAACCCCCTTACTGTTGACTGCCCAGGTGGGAGATGCACTTCTGGCCTTGTGGATGAGATTTAGTTATAGTTAATGATGCTCTATAGAGAGAAATATATGGAATCACAGCACTCTAAAGTGAATAGTGAAGTAGTTGCTCGAGCACACACAGAGAGCAGGGTGTGGTGGCTCACACCTGTAATTCTAGCACTTTGGGAGACCAAGGCAGGTGGATCCTTTTGAGCTCAGGAGTTTGAGACCAGTCTGGACAACATGGAAAAACTCCATCTCTACGAAAAACAATGCAAAAAATTAGCTGGATGTGGTGGCAGGCACCTATGGTCCCATCTATTCGGGAGGCTGAAGCAGGAGGATTGAGGATCAATTGAGCCTGGGAGGTTGAGGTTGCAGTGAGCCATAATGATGCTACTTCACTCCAGCCTGGGTAACAGAGCAAGTTCCTGTCTCAAAATAACAACAAACAAACAAAAACCAAAACAACTACAGAGTGTATGAAATAGACCTTTGCCTCATGTTCATGTCATAGTCTGTGATCCATATAGAATCTGCAGAGAACTGAGTTTTGGGGAGTAGAATCATCTCTTTTCTGCTTATTTTGTCACTGTTTTAATAGGGACAGGTTCTTTGATCTTGAGTCATGTGGCTGTTCCATGACTCCATGTGGCCACCTTGCTCATAGTCAGTGACACAAATCTCTCCCTTTAAGACCTTACCTCTCTTTCCTCCTCCTCTTCTCCTCAAGCCTTGAAGCTCCTTATTTCCCTTCTTCAGGGTTCTGTCTTCTCAGGTCATCTGGTTCCTGTCTTGATGTGTGGTAGGAGCAGAAAAAGGTACGAATCTCAAACCTTGCTAATGTCATGACTTCTGCACGATAGATCCCGTCTTTATGCTTAAAGTGTTCCTGTTTTTTTCTCTGCCTGCATATTTTATGGCTCAAACATCAGTATGTCTGAAGTGTGGAGATAGTAAAAATAACGGGTAGAACTGCTTGCCCCCAAACATGTAGTCAGGCACAACTGTAAGTTTAAGAAACCAGTAGTGGCAACCAGGAAGCCAAAAGACTGTGAATAAATGAGTGAACTTCCTTCTAATGGAAGTAAGGAGACAGTTGGGACAAGACAATGGTGACTGATCATATGCCATCATAAGAAAGTGAGGGACTTGCATCCGTCAGAGCCATCCCTGGACCTTCTGTAAACCTCCTTCTGCTTGGGTTTGGACCTCCAAGATTTTATCCTGGAAACTCCTTGTGCATGATGAGTTCAGCACATAGGATTAAAAAAAATAATAAAAGATTAATTGGTAAATTTGGTCATTAATATTAATTTGGTCAAATTTGGTCATTAATATCAATTCAATTAACATAAGAAGGAAAGAGAAAAAACATTTTGAGAAAGAAACAGCATCAAATATCCCCAGAGAAATTAAGCAGGGTGAAGGTGGAAGTCTACTATAAAGAGGCCAGTTGTTTCTGATACTCCATCCTGACTTGGACTAATCAGTCATTCAAGAGGGTGATGGTAATCGTAAGTGATTCTATCTTTGTGCTTTGAATACAGCAAGATTTGAAATATCTTCCTGTGAAGAAAGGAAACGTCAAGTGCTATCAATCCATGTGCCAGGGGTCAGAAATGTAAATTAATTCAGATATTAAGCAGCAAAAATAAATACATGGAGTGGTCAGGCCAGGTATATTAGTGTTAGGACCTATGGTGAACAGGAGAATGTGTGCTCCATCTAAACGCTGAAATTTACTGTCTACCATTTTTAATTTTAAAAAAGTATTTTTTTAATTATCAAAAGCTGCTCCTGATACTCTGCTGATAAAATAAAATAAATTAGTGAGTCATGTTGAGCCTTCTGGTTAGTGGAGTGCGACCTCTGAAATTAGTCTATCAGTCTGGATAAATGGAGCTTCCCAGATTTCTCTTACTGTATAAATCTTCTTATCCCTATTTCAAGAGCCCAGCATCTGATTGCTGAAAAACAAAATTTAACCTAAATATAGATAAGATTTTCTCTATAAAAAATGAAGGGAAGTATTATGAACATGGTCTCTTTTTTTCCATTGTTTCAGCTGATCCCTTGGTTGGGACCATCTTCATCTCTCACCAGCCCGCAGAACTTGTGGCTCCCCCACCTTCCCATCTCCTCGTATCTTGGTGCCAGGATGATTTACCCAAAGTGCCCATCTGATTCAAAAACATTTTGTACTTCTCAGTTGGCTACAAATTCAAGTACAGACTCTAAGTATAATATTTTTGCAAGGCCTTTTGCAGCCACCAAATTTCAAAGATTTTCTAAGAACCACACTTTATTTTTTCGCATTTAACATATCCCTCTCTGAAATCTGTTTGTCTTAAAATCGCTGGCCATATGACGGTCATGATGTGGTTATGATGTAGTTGCCACTGCCTGAGGACACACATCAGAATTCGTAGAACTGGCTTGAGTAGCTTGGAAAAAACACCAGCAGCAACAGTGAAGTGCTCCTTTAAGAAATGCCACATCACTGTGTTTTTCGTGGTACACACAGATACTGTATGAAAATGCAGGACTTCAATGACCCAGGATGCCAAATAGAAAGATATTTTAAGCATTCTTGAACCAATTTATTTTGCTTTTATTTTCTTTTCTATTTATGCATGAGAATAATACATGATGTCTAGTTCTAAAAGAATTCTTCGATGAAATAAAGACTTTTAGAGTAGCAGTTTCCTTGGCTGTGTTCTTTCTTTCTGAGTGCTGTGTAGAATAATGGTGCATCTTACAGTGGATGATATTTTCAGATTTGATTAAAATAAAATATCCCAATCTAATCATCCAATGAATTCCTCATCTGTCCTTCTGTAAACCTTTTACGCCAAGTCAACCCTCACCACAAGTAGCTCCTAATCAGAGCTAGGTATGTTTTTGCCTTTGTTCATTCCATTTACTCTATTGGAATTTTTTTAGCACTCATCTCCACTTGTTGCAATTCTACTCATTCTTTAACAGGTAGTTTAAATGTAATATACTCCATGAAATCTTTCCCATGTAACCCATTTATTAAAGCCTCCTTCAGGCTCTGTAAGTACATCTATTAAACTTCAGATATGGTAAACTCTTTCGAAGTCCTCCTACATCTTGGGCACAATGGCAGACACTTGAGCATGTGTTGTCTCTGTTCATCGTCACAATAACCTTTTGGGGTAGGAGTTAGCCCCCATTCTTCACATCAGTTCAGCTTAAATTTAGAGACAACAGTTGTCTTATACAATTTCATAGGCTCTTAGTAGTAGGTGGTAAACACAAACACAGGCCTTTGGGCTCCAATTCTGGTCTATCATTGAATGCCAACTTCCTTTACTGCCTCCCCAGCCCATTTGCATATTAAATGCATTGCATTGAATTTAATTGAATGTGAAATACAAAATGTCATTCAAAACTGTTTTTTGATAATAAAGTTCCAAATTTATGTGAAAAACAAGATAAAGTATTTCAAATTACACTTTTTCATTATTAGGCTAATATTCTTTGTTGAACCTCATTTGCTTAACAAAAATTAGAATTAAGTTTTATTGTACAAAAAGCACTACAGAAGCTTAGGCTTATAAATAACATAATTATTTTTCTTGTTCCTTCGGTTATTTTTTAAAATAATAATGTGGAACTGTGGAAAATTTAACCACAACAACCAGTTTACATTCAAAATGTTAAAATAAAAGAAATAGAATGCTGCCTGATGCTTGTGGGAAGAGTGAGTTACGGAAAACATAAAAAGCCTTTCTTGCGAGGAGGAGGAGAGAACCAATTTCTTTTTCCCAAATACAAGGAGAAATAACTGCCAGTATATGCCTAAAAACATCAAAGACTTGAATCATAATTCTTCCTAATTTTGTGACCTTGGGCAAGTTACTTAACCTTCTGAAAAATCAATGTCCTCATTCACAGAATGAGAATCAATGAAACCACCATTATAGCGTTGCTTGAGGATGAATTGATAATGGTACATAAATTCAAGGTATTATTATCATTATAGAGGCCAATTATCCAGAGGGCATTTGGCCATATCCAGAAGGGGGGCTGTGATAGAATTTGATTGCTGTTTAAAACAAACAAACAAACAAAAACTCTTGCTGTTGTGTAGAGAATAACTTAGAAGTAAGTAAAGAGTTGGATACAGAAAAATGACTATGGTTTTCCAAATAAGCGATTACTGTGGCCTTAACCTGGGTCATAGCAGTGAAGGCATCTCAAGTGCTTACAATTCAGATCATTTTAGAAGACAGAGTCCATACAATTTGATATTAGATTGCTTGTGACAGGATCTGGAGGAATATAAAACCAACAACCGCCTCCAAGTCTGTGGATTGAGCAACTCTGTAGATGGTAGTACAAGTAATTGAGTTGGAAAAGACAGAAAAAATGGGGAATAACTCAGGTTGAGGGGTAAGAGATGAATTAAAAAATTAGTTATAGAACAAAAGTCCACTTTTAGAAATTTCCATATAGTTTTCAAAACTAAAATTCATTTTTATTTTAATTTTGATGATTTGTTTATCTCTGTCCACATCTGTAATGCTGATCTAAATAAAGAGTGTTTTCTTCTCCTCCTCCCTTGGATGATAGGCAATGCCTCAAAGATCTTCTTCCTAGCTGATTTGTTCCCAGAAACCATTTGGTTTTTCCTTCTCCAGCTTGCAGACATTGACTAACTATAGAGTTGAGTCAGCCACCTTGACTAACTCTTAAAATTCTCCTTGCAATTTTCCCTGCAGGAATAATAATTCTGGTTCAGGAATTTAGGGTCTTTAGAGTGGGTTGGCTCCTTTGTAGAACCTGGAGGCAGGGCTTGTTTTAGGGCTTGGAAAATTTAATTGCATCTCTTGTCATGTTAAAGCACTTCCCGACCTCATACCTTCCTCACTCCCTTTCCAAATCACTTTCTCAACAAAACCCATATTGTTCTGTTTGACAAACTCTTTCCTGATTGATTTATTAACATAAATTCAATTGTTACCTTATGGTCGCCATAATAGCAGTTGCAATTTCTATTCTACCTTGCATTTGTAATAATCACCATTACAACCAGCATCTGAGAATCCTAAGCTTTCCCTCCCTTGATTTGTCCAGGCAGAGTCGGTCTGCCTGGCCATGACTGATGTGCAGTGGAATGGGATGAACTCTTAGTAGATTACCTCCTCTCAAATTCTGTAGATTACACATTTAATATTTTGCAGAAAACCAAAAGTGCTTGCTGCTCATGGGGCTATTCTCATTTACTGAAGTCTTATAGCAATACCCACATTTTAGTTGATCTTATTCAGCTGAGAAGCCAAATAAGCAGAAATGGTCTCAGATTTACCGGGAAAAAAAACTACAGCTGCTAGCTTTCAGTGAAAAAGGGTGCCCTGTGCAAGGGCATCTAACATATTATCATATGTCAGCCACAGGAGTGGCTTGTTTTAAATGAACCTCTGTTCAGGAGGTAGAGTGCTGTGGTAGAAAAGGCTACAGCCTTGGGTTATTGCCTTCATTCTGGCACTAACTAGTGGAGTGAATTTGGACAGGATGCCTCACTTCTGTGAGTCTCAAATTCTTTGTATGTAAAATAAAAATGTTTAACTAGATCAGGGTTTCTTAACATCTGCATTATTGCCGTTTGAGCCTGGATAATTCTTTGTTGTTGGGGACTGTCCTACACATTGAGGGACGATTAGCAATGTCCCTGGTCTCTACTCACTAGATGTCATTGGAACCCTCTCTCCCCAGGTTATGAAAACTAAAAATGTTTCCAGATATTGACAAGCACCCTATGGGGGCAAATTACCCTGATTAAGAACTTCTGTACTAGGTGACTATAGGAGGACAATACATTAAGACTTAAAATAAAAAGTGTTATAAACCAGCCAGTCCCCACTTCCATTGGTGTCTACTATAAAAGTTTTTTCTGACCTAAACATAACCACAAGTGGAACTTTTAAATGGATGTATATCTTCTAAATTAATGTTTAAAAGTAAACAAACTATTATTTATTGAAAATAAATAGCAAACATCAACAAAAATACGCTATGTAACATCATGTGGCCATTAATAAAGAATGTTATAAAACATACTACATATATATCTCAGAGCACAAGACAATATCAGATTTAACATACCAGTTAAAACTGAAACCTAAATGACTGCATACATCTATCAAAAGGCAAAGACACTCAGACTGTTTTAGAAAATGCAAGGCTGGTTCAATATACACAAATCAATAAATGTAATCCAGCATATAAACAGAGCCAAAGACAAAAACCACATGATTATCTCAATAGATGCAGAAAAGGCCTTTGACAAAATTCAACAACCCTTCATGCTAAAAAACTCTCAATAAATTAGGTATTGATGGGACGTATTTCAAAATAATAAGAGCTATCTATGACAAACCCACAGCCAATATCATACTGAATGGGCAAAAACTGGAAGCATTCCCTTTGAAAACTGGCACAAGACAGGGATGCCCTCTCTCACCACTCCTATTCAACATAGTGTTGGAAGTTCTGGCCAGGGCAATTAGGCAGGAGAAGGAAATAAAGGGTATTCAATTAGGAAAAGAGGAAGTCAAATTGTCCCTGTTTGCAGATGACATGATTGTATATCTAGAAAACCCCATTGTCTCAGCCCAAAATCTCCTTAAGCTGATAAGCAACTTCAGCAAAGTCTCAGGATACAAAATCAATGTACAAAAATCACAAGCATTCTTATACACCAACAACAGACAAACAGAGAGCCAAATCATGAGTGAACTCCCATTCACAATTGCTTCAAAGAGAATAAAATACCTAGGAATCCAACTTACAAGGGATGTGAAGGACCTCTTCAAGGAGAACTACAAACCACTGCTCAAGGAAATAAAAGAGGATACAAACAAATGGAAGAACATTCCATGCTCATGGGTAGGAAGAATCAATATCGTGAAAATGGCCATACTGCCCAAGGTATTTTACAGATTCAATGCCATCCCCATCAAGCTACCAATGCCTTTCTTCACAGAATTGGAAAAAACTACTTTAAAGTTCATATGGAATGAAAAAAGAGCCCGCATCGCCAAGTCAATCCTAAGCCAAAAGAACAAAGCTGGAGGCATCACACTACCTGACTTCAAACTATACTACAAGGCTACAGTAACCAAAACAGCATGGTACTGGTACCAAAACAGAGATATAGATCAATGGAACAGAACAGAGCCCTCAGAAATAACGCCGCATATCTACAACTATCTGATCTTTGACAAACCTGAGAAAAACAAGCAATGGGGAAAGGATTCCCTATTTAATAAATGGTGCTGGGAAAACTGGCTAGCCATATGTAGAAAGCTGAAACTGGATCCCTTCCTTACACCTTATACAAAAATCAATTCAAGATGGATTAAAGACTTAAACGTTAGACCTAAAACCATAAAAACCCTAGAAGAAAACCTAGGCAATACCATTCAGAACATAGGCATGGGCAAGGACTTCATGTCTAAAACACCAAAAGCAATGGCAACAAAAGACAAAATTGACAAATGGGATCTAATTAAACTAAAGAGCTTCTGCACAGCAAAAGAAACTACAATCAGAGTGAACAGGCAACCTACAAAATGGGAGAAAATTTTTGCAACCTACTCATCTGACAAAGGGCTAATATCCAGAATCTACAATGAACTCAAACAAATTTACAAGAAAAAAACAAACAACCCCATCAAAAAGTGGACAAAGGACATGAACAGATACTTCTCAAAAGAAGACATTTATGCAGCCAAAAAGCACATGAAAAAATGCTCATCATCACTAGCCATCAGAGAAATGCAAATCAAAACCACAATGAGATACCATCTCACACCAGTTAGAATGGCAATCATTAAAAAGTCAGGAAACAACAGGTGCTGGAGAGGCTGTGGAGAAATAGGAACACTTTTACACTGTTGGTGGGACTGTAAACTAGTTCAACCCTTGTGGAAATCAGTGTGGCGATTCCTCAGGGATCTAGAACTAGAAATACCATTTGACCCAGCCATCCCATTACTGGGTATATACCCAAAGGACTATAAATCATGCTGCTATAAAGACACATGCACACGTATGTTTATTGCGGCACTATTCACAATAGCAAAGACTTGGAACCAACCCAAATGTCCAACAATGATAGACTGGATTAAGAAAATGTGGCACATATACACCATGGAATACTATGCAGCCATAAAAAAGGATGAGTTCATGTCCTTTGTAGGGACATGGATGAAATTGGAAATCATCATTCTCAGTAAACTATCGCAAGAACAAAAAACCAAACACCGCATATTCTCACTCACAGGTGGGAATTGAACAATGAGATCACATGGACACAGGAAGGGGAACATCACACTCTGGGGACTGTTGTGTGGTCGGGGGACAGGGGAGGGATAGCATTGGGAGATATACCTAATGCTAGATGATGAGTTAGTGGGTGCAGCGCACCAGCGTGGCACATGTATACATATGTAACTAACCTGCACAATGTGCACATGTACCCTAAAACTTAAAGTATAATAATAAAAGAAAAAAAAAAAAAGAAAAGAAAATTGAGCTATACTCAGTCTATACTAACAGGTCTAGAAACAAAATAACAAAGTTAGAAAAAGATCTACAATAATTTATCTGGCAAAATAATAAAAAGGACAAAAATAGCAAAATTAATTTTAACCAATCTACAAGTCAAAGAAAAAATGATCACAACAAAGATAATTTCATAATAATAAAAAGTATAGGATGAAAATATGAAATTAGAATGAAAGGCATAAACCTTCATTCAGTCAATAACATAACACCAAAATATATTAAGCAAAAACTGTAAAACAAAAAAGGAAAATAAATTGACAAGATCACAATAATTATGAGAAACTTTTACACAATATTATTTGTATTTGAGTAATTAACTAAACCAAAATCAAGCAAGGACATAGAAAATTGGAGTGATTAATTGAGATGGTTAAATAAATTAACATTAAATTTTACAAGGGTTATATAATCATTTTATGGAACTGTGAAGTGATTATCTTAAAACTAATTGTCTATTAAGCCAAAAATGAGCCTCTGTTCATTTCAAAAAGTTGTAAATGTATAGGCCATATTATTTGATGGCAAATACTAAAATTATAAAACATAAAAAATAAAGAAGGAAAAAAAAAAGCCTAACAAATTATTTCATCAAATAAACAATTAAAAGTAGAGTTGGCTGGGCATGGTGGCTCAGGCCTGTAATCTCAGCACTTTGGAAGCCTGAGGCGAGAGGATCACTTCAGGCCAGGAGTTTAACACTGTAGGGCGTGATGATTATGCTTGTGAACCACCACTGCGTTTCAGCCTGAGCAACAAAGCAAGACTGTCTCTAAAAAGAATACATACATACATACATACATGCATACATACATAAAAGTAGAATTACACTCTTTGGAAAATTATGAAAAAGAGGACACCACACTTTTTGGGTTTTTTTGTTTTGTTTTGTTTTTTGAGATGGAATCTCGCTCTGTCGCCAGGTTGGAGTGCAGTGGCGCGATGCAACCTTCGCCTCCCGGGTTCAAGCGATTCTCCTGCCTCAGCCTCCCCAGTAGCTGGGACTACAGGCGCATGCCATCACACCCAGCTAATATTTGTATTTTTAGTAGAGACGGGGTTTCACCATGTTGGCCAGGATGGTCTCCATCTCTTGACTTTGTGATCCGCCCACCTCGGCTTTTCAAAGTGCTGGGATTACAGGCGTGAGCCACCGCGCCCGGCCGAGAGAACACCGTACTTTAAAATGTATGTAATAACAGACTTTTGCTGGTATTGTGGTAAACAACTATGAAGCTGGATAAAGTGTGTGTTGCCACAATTTCAGGTGCTGGGGAGCAGCCTGCACAACACTGTGATTTTGGCTAGAAGGGACGTATGGGAGGTTAGCGCCACATGCATCCTGGGTTTCTCCTGCGGCATTTTCCAAATGGAAATGGAGACTCAGTGTACAGCCAAATACGGCGTGGGGAAGGAAACAGACACTGGACCACTAAAGTGTATGAGATTGTGGATCATGTGTCTGAGAGAAGAGGGATTCTGAGAAGGATCCCTAGAAGGCTTAGGGAGGGGGTCCCTATCCCACGCAGAATCCTATACAGCACAGGTACTGAGCAAAACTCTAGAGGCCTAGCAGAGAGCAGCTCCTGGTAGAAAAGCTAACAGGGATTTCTGAGGTTGCGCAGAGCTAGGGAGATGCTAGAGTTCTGATGGCCAGAGGGGAAAGACACTGGTCAACACCCTAGGATTTCAGCTGACATTCAGAAAGGTCAGCAAACTTGAGGATGGGCCAGATTATTCAAACTTATGTGCCAAGGAAAAAGAAAAAAAACAGAACAGAGCACCTGAGACCCATGGGACCATGGTAGATAATACCACACATGTAACTGGAGACAAAATACATAGCTGAAGGGATACTGGCTGAAGATGTTCTAAAACATAAGAGATATAGCTAAGCTATGCTCACAGAAAAATCTGTTGCTTTATGGAGTTTAACTATACTTGAAGAAAAAAAATAACCAAGGAAACAGTAGCAGAAGAGACATTATTAATTGAATTTTCCAAGTTCTCCCCTGTATTTGGCACCTTATCTCGTGGTCATGTTGGGGCCTTGAAACTACTTCTGGCCAATGAACTCTGAGTAGACAAAATTTCTATCCTGGACTGAGGCAGTTAAGAGACTGTGTCTCTTCCATCTCTTCTTACTCCATGACTTCTTACCATGATGGCCAGTGTTTCAGATGACGCAATTTCATCTGATGTGGAGGAAGGCTGGCCAATCTCAGTAGACTTTTCATTTGTGGCAAATAAATCTTTGTCAGGTTCAGTCACTGGTGTCTGTTCATCATTGCAGTGTTAATTACTCAATGGTTTAAAAGTTAGGAGAATACAGTCAGAAAGGCTCTTAGAATAATAAGAAGAAAATAATTCAAAACACAAGCATAAATCACTGTATTAAAAGGAAGTGAAAATGAACATTTTTCTTTTAAATCCTTAATCAAATAAGCAAAGCTAATCAAGAATAAATGTCAGACATAAATCAACGTTAGTATTAGTTCCCTTAGGGCTGCCATAACAAATTACCACAAACTGGGTGGCTTTACACATGAATGTCTTCTCTCAGAGTCCTATTCAATTAAACCTGCAAAGACTCTATTTCCAAATAAGGTCATGTTCACCAATACCTCCTAGTGTATTAGCCCGTTCTCATCCTGCTAGGAAGAAATACCCGAGACCGTGTAATTTATAAAGGAAAGTGGTTTAATTGACTCACAGTTCTGCATCACTGGGGAGGCCTCAGGAAACTTACAATCATGGTGGAAGGGGAAGCAAACACGTCTTTTTTCACATGACAGCAGCAAGGAGAAGTGAAACAAAAGGGGGAAAAGCCACTTATGAAACCGTTAGATCTCATGAGAACTCACTATCATGAGAACAGAATGGGGGAAACTGCACCCACATTTCAATTTTCTCCACCTGGTCCCTCCCACAAGATGTGGGGATTATGGGAACTACAATTCAAGATGAGATTTGGGTGGGGACACAGCCAAACCATATCATCTAAGGTTAGGATTTTAACATATCTTTTTGCAGGACACAATTTAACCCACGACAGAAGGGACATGGTGATATGGAGTAGATTTGAAAAATGGTGAGACTATGGCAACGCACAAAAAACACGCTAAGAAATATGTGACTTTCTGGAAGCCTATTAATTACCATAATTAACCCAAGAAGTAGTAAAACCACATTGACCAATGTTATCAAGAACTTTGGGTGCATTAGTGATGTCTCATCACACCCCCTGGGAAAATGGAATGCAGTATGGCTTCTAGAAGCTACAGGTGAAAATCAAAGCAGACATCTATGCAAATTCTCCTTGAATGGCTTTAAGGTTTACAATAATTGACTAGAATCTGACACAATATGATAATGTGGCAGGCAGAAAATAATTATTTTAAAAGAAAACTATGACTTAAGCAGATGACAAGGAAATTCAGAATGATTTTTCATAGGGAGAGATTTGCTTTTTTTAAAAAAAAAAAAAAAGAAAGAAAGAAAATAGCTTGATTGATCTTTTTGAGAAGAGTAAACCCTCCTTTTTCTCAAGCTAGCCAGTAATGGAGAAGCATTAACAAAGAGAATTAAATTGCTCTGCAAAAAAGAATAATAGGCATTTTGTAGTTGTCCACTGGTGTATCAAGATAAGACTTAGGAGTCTGGAATAAGGGACACAGGTATAAGAAAAATGATCCAGAATGAACATATCCCTGCAATGTGACAGTAGTTAAGGCCTATGTAGGGACGTAGCCCATGAGAAATGTCCTGTATTGGGAAATTGCCAATGAACTAATTAGAACAACAATAGAGGATTCCTAATATGAGGGCATTTCTTGAACTTTGTTGTAATAACACCTGTAAATATGAACTCCCTTCACCCTCAAATCTTCAGTAAAAAATCACACAAAGATCATATTCTGGAGGTTCTTTGAGAAGATGAAGAAAAAGAGATGTCTTACTTGCAGTTAGGCAGCATGAGATAGAGGGCTGACCATAAGATCCTGGAATATCATTTGTGGAGTGACACAGAATTCGAATGCTCACAAGACTTCATAGCAAGATATGGCAGGACAAGTTCCCCACCAATCTAAACACAAAAGTACACTTGAATGTCTCCAAAGTGTTACCACATTTTGTCTTATGAAGGTTCAAGCTCTTTTATTTGGATATTAAATGAAAGGGTGACTACAGAAGCCCCGAATATTTGAACACATTCAGGTCCAACAAAGGGGTCCATGAGAAATGTGGTTGGCAAGTCATGGAGGCATGCTGGCTGTGCCATCTGCCCAACTACGACCTGTTCAGAGAAAAGGATTCAAAGACCCACAGACGTGCTCAGTTTCAAAGGCAGGCATCCTCTCATCACACGACTAGATGCCCCAGACTTCCTTTCTCTGATGCTTGTCAAGTATTTACATTATATAATTAGTTCTGTCTTGGATTCTAAGTCCCTTTACTCTGCTTTCTCATATTTCTGGCCTTTCATGAAAGGGTGCTTATATCTTATGCTTTAGACAAGTACCTTTCCTTCATTCCACAAATGTTTATGAGTACCTACTCTGTGCCATGAGCTTGCCGGAGGATTGGGGATAGGGTGGAAGGAAAACATAATCCCTACCTCCACAAAGTTTGCATTCTAAGAAAGAGAGAGACAACAAATTAGTAAAAAAAAAAAAAAAAAAAAAAAAAAATTAGTATCAATTCACATAGCGGCAAGTGCTATGAAGAAAGATAAAGCTGGAGAAAAGATCAGAAGTGTTGCCAGAACGTCAAGCTTCCCTGAGAAGGTGAACTTGAATACTAAATTAAGTGAGAAAATGAGCAAACCAGAGAAAAATGTTTAAGGACACATGAGCCAATGCAATTATAAAAGAGAAAGCAAACAGATGCAGAAAAAATAGCAAGAGGAATAAGAAAGACAAGGATAATTTTAGCATTAAAGGCTATAGTTTACTATGAAGATCTGGGAGATGCAATATTTTTGCCCCCAATAACAAACACCACATTAACCCCTGAGTCAAGAGGGTTGGTATTTTGAAATACAGTATTAGTCAGCCATTGACTGCAGGCTGACTCCAGGAGAAGAATATAGTGGCTCTCAAGGGGCATGACTCACAACCAAGATACTTTCTCAGAGAAGGGTGTATCTGTGAGCTATTTGTTGCTAATACTCACCACTCCAAGGGATGTGTGCACCAGCCAAGTAAGTAGAGTCTGGGCAGGTCACCCACAGCTTTAATAGAATCTACTACATTAAGAACTAGCAATTTTTCGGCGTTGGAGAAAGGAGATACAGATTTAAAGCCAATAAAGTATGTGAAGACTCTGTAGTCCTAAACATAAGTCAAAAATATTGGCATGAACTCATAATCTGTTATTTTCTATCTATGTCCACCAAAAAGGCATAGAAATAATTACCAACATAATAGTAACAAGCACCCCTATTACCCAGCCTGTGTTTCCTCATTACCATTTCACACTAAAGGAAATCAAGGCTCCTTTGAGAAATAATTGATTCCAGCTCTGGAACAGTAAATGTACAACATAATCCTGGACTGTCTTATTCTAAAAAGCAAGGAAGCTCTTAGAGACCACTTAGATCATCTCAAAAGAACCAAAGAGTCAATTTAAAGAGGCCCCCACCAAACAAATGTGTTACAACTCAAGCATTAATATTGAAATACAAAATTTTTGTTAAATTCATAAATGTATTATTACAAACACTACCCCACAGACACATACACACACACTCACACACACACACACAGACTCCCTCATTGGTCAGCTTTGGAGGATGCTAAAAATCTGTTGTATTATTGCTGTCAACTCAGCACCATGACCACACTCACTTCTAAAGCTGGAAACTACATTTCCAAACATCTATTCTGTATTAATTTGTTAGGGCTGACATAACAAAATACCACAAACTCAGTGGTTTAAACAACAAAAATTTATTTTTTCACAGTTCCGGAGGCTGAAAACTCACAATTACAGTGCCAGCAGGTTGGGTTTCTCCAGGGCCCCTCTCCTTGGCTTGTAGATGGCTACCTTCCTACTGTATCCTGCATAGTCTCTTCTCTAGGCTCTCACACCTTTGGTGTCTCTTTCTTTTCTTTAGGGACACCAGTCTATTGGATTAGGACCTGCTCATATGACCTCACTAAACCTTAGTTGCCTCATTAAAGGCCTTATCTCCAAATACACTCACATTCTGAAGTATCAGTGGGTAGAGTTTCAACATACGAATTTCAGGGGACACAATACAATCCCTAATATTTTCTAGATTAAACTTTGCCAAAGGAAGAAACTGAGGTTTAGAAGGAGCATGTGAAGCAAAACCATATTATTGGAAGTAAAAAACATCCACTAGTGGTGGCTTCCCAGACTTCTCCATGCTCCTCCACTTTGTGGTCATTCTGGGTAACTCAAAGTCATCGTGGCTTCTTGGACTTTGCTGCAAGCACCTGTCTACCCACCCAATGTGCAGGCCCAAGTCATTCTTGAATTTTTTTCTGATTTCCTGACTGAAGTCCTTCTGACTTCCAGTCCTCCCTCCAGCTCCACTCACAAAGATGTAAACCCCAATTCGTATTCTAAAGCCCCTCTTCTCATAATACATACAGTGGTAGCTGTTTGTTTATGACAGTAAGAAATATATATCTGGTCTTTGTCCTAGTTCCTGACACAGAGCTTTTAAAACCACTGGATTTCCTAAGTGGTGGAGATAATGGGAGCATCTTTGTTTTTCATAACAAGTCCCTTTCAATCATACCTGATTTATGCTAAATAAGTGGCCCTGGATGGCCTCTAGAGAGCCTCCAAATGATGGCTTGTTGCCAGAAGAAACAGCCACATGTTGAGAGGGTTGAAATTTTCTGCCCCACTTTGTCACTTCCAGGGAAGGGGGGGGTTGGAGATTGAGTTCAATCACCAATGGCCATTGATGAAATCAAGCATGCCTGTGCAATGGAACCTCCATAAAGCCCCTTAAACAATGGGGTTTGAAAGCTTCCAAGTTGGTGAACACGTGGATGTGCTGGATGAATGGTATGTACCGAGAGGGCACAGAGGCTCTATTCCCTGCCTCCATGCCTTGGCCTGTGCAGCTCTTCCAAATGGCTATTCACTTATAGTATCCTTTACAATAAGCTGATACTAGGAAGTCAAATGTTTCCCTGAATTTTGTGAACCATTATACCAAATTATCAAACATAAGAGGGAGTCATGGGAAGCCCTGATTTATAGACAGTTGTTATATATATATATAACACCATCTAATCAATGGTGTTACCCAAAAGTTCAAAAAAGCTGAAATAAATTTGAACAAACCTCTAGCTTTTACAGTCAATACACAGAAAATATAGAAGACAGAAAAGCATTTCAAAGGCCACCGCAGGGATACAATTAGAAAAACCCATACTGAGAAAAATGTAGTTTCCCCCTCGACAACAAAAATTACATAAACTAAAGAGATGAAGAGATAAATCATAGCTTAAAAGTGATTTAAGAATCATTTGACTAGTTATAATGCATGGGCTTTATCTGGCACCCAATAAAATCAACAATTAGTTTGTTTACTCTAATTAAAAGAAAATATATATATATATAATTAGCAAAAGTATTTTCCATGAAAATTGGATAATATAAACTTTGGATATTTGATTATATTAAAATTATTGTTAATTATTTCTCATATGATAATGGTATTATAATACTTTTAAAATCCCTATCTTTTAGAATAATGTGCTGAAATATTTACAGGTGAATTAATGTTACATTTAGGGTTTGATTCAACATGATCAGGAGGTGGGAGGAAAAGCGGGTAAGGGTACAGATAAAATAAGAATAAGTTTGCTTTTGAGCTGTTACTTGTGGAAACAGCTCTGTGGGTGATGGGTAACGGGCACATTTAAGTTCATTATACTCTGCCTAGTTTTGCATATGTTTGAAGTTTTCTAAAACTTTTTATAACTAAAATAGTTTTTTTTTTTAAGCCAGGTTGTGTCAGATAAGCTACCAAAATTCCTGAGAACATTATATAAGGGCACAAAAATGTATTAACAGATGAGCACTCATCTGTCTCTGCTAAAGAGAATGTTATATTTGTACACATAGATGCCCTCTTTTTAAAGAAAAAAAAAGATTCTTTTGAGCTGAAAAAGAGATAAGTCAAGCAATGAAGTCAGAGATGGTATGGAGAGGGGGAAAGAGAAGCCACAGGGGGTGGGACTCCAAAAGCCACGGAACCTAAAGAATTGGCATGAGAGGGTCTCTGCAGCAGCTTCTGGGGGAAGAGAGCCAGGAGATTGAGAACAGCTTCTAGGGATTATGTGTGGGAAATGCTTTAATGTTCTTCAAGAACTTACAGTGAAAAATGGAACCCTCTCCTAATTTAAAAGAGAATCCATCTGGCTGCTTTCTGAATGTGGATGCACCACATGGAAGACAAGAGGAAAAAGAGGAATCAGGGATGAACCCTGCCTTGAGGCATGAGTGCCTCTGTAAGTAAAAATGCCATTTTCATTGTTGGGGAAGGCAGGCATTGGGGGTGAACTGAGATATCACTGAAGGTTTGGTTACAAGAACACAAGCTCCCCCATGTACCCAGGTATAAGGGGCATCTCGTGTGAATCCAGACCTTACTCCACTGTTGGAAGAGTCAGAGAAGAGGGAACAAGGATGTCTATACTGGAGATCAGTGGAGCAGATACTGAAGAGCTCAGCCTGATACTGAGAACTCAGGGGGTTCCAAAAACTCACTGCAAAGTGCTGCAAGTCTCAAAAATCTCTATGAAATTTCAAGCAACTATCTGAGGCTCTAGGAGTGAAGTGGGTGGTTCTCAAACGCTCCCCAGAAAAATGCTGTGAATCTCCCATCTGCCCCCTGTCAGTCTGTAACTGTCTGCAGAGGATAATGGCTTCATCTTTTTTCTTGCCTTCTTAATCTTGTGTGTTTCTCTCATTAGAAAATTCTAAACTGGGACCATTCAAGCAAGGAGATTACAAAAGCTATAGTTCCCATCTTTTTCTCAGCAATGCAGAGGGCATATTCCAAGGAGATGGTCATGATGTCTGGCTGATTATATATAATTCAGCAAAAATAGGTATTGATGAGTGGAGAGAGTCAAAATTTCTGTTTTATTCATACTAATGAAGATTCATAAGACTGGAGGTCAAGAGTGAAGCTGAGCTAAATATACACATTTAAGTCATCAGCACATAGATGGTATTCATGTTGGTCTGCTCTTGCCATGTAACAAATTACTTCAATTGAATGGTGAACTTGTTCTTAGTCCTCTAGGTCAGAATGACACAGTGTGGCTGAGTTTTCTGCTTGGGGTTTCATAGGTTGAAATCAAGTTGTCATCTGAGCTTAGTTCTTGTCTTGGCGGGGAGGTTGGGTAAAAATCTGCTTATAAACCCATTCTTGTTGTTGACAAAATTCAGTTCCCCGTGGTTGTAAGACTGAGGTCACTATTTCCATGCCACTGTCAGTAAGAGGATACTTTCAACTCCTGGAGGACACCTGCAGACCTGCCATATGGCCCCTCCAATCTTCAAGCTAGTGACTGTGCATCAAATCCCTCTCATTCTTCGTATCTCTGACTTCCTTTTCTGAAGCCTGCTAGAGAAAAAGACCTGATTTTAAGGAGTTCATGTAATTGAGTAAGGCCTACCTGCAAAATCTTTTTATCCTAAGGTCAACTGGTTTGGGATGTTAATTATATCAGCAAATTTTTGTTTGAGTATCTGAAGAAGGTGTGTGTATACTAAAGGCTGGGAGTATTAAAGAGCATTTTAGAATTTTCCCTACCATTGTTTTTAAAGCTAAGGGGGTAAAGATATGTTAGTCTCCCGGGGATGCCCTAAGGAATTACTGTAAACTTGGTGACTTGAAAAAAAGAAACTTGGCCAGGCACAGTGGCTCACGCCTGTAATCCCAGCACTTTGGGAGGCCAAGGAGGGCGGATCACCTGAGGTCGGGAGTTCGAGACCAGAATGACCAACATGGAGAAACCCTGTCTACCAAAAGTACAAAATTAGCCGGGTGTGGTGGTACATGCATGGTCACAATTCTGGAGGCTGGAAGGCTGAAAAATGAAGGCATCAGCAGGGCCATGCTCCCTCTGAGAGTCTGAGTAGAATCCTTCCTTTCCTCTTCCTTGACCCTGATGGTGACCACTGATTCTTGGCAGTCCTTGGCTTGCAGAGGCTACATCCCTGCAGTCTCCACCTCCTTCATCACATGGCATTCTACTTGTGCGCTCTGCCCAAATATCCTTCTCATAATGACATCGGTCATGTTACTTTAGGGCCCATCCTAATAACTTCAAGGACTCTATTTGCAAATAAGGTCACACTCACAGCTATTCACAAGTATTCATAGGTATTCAGAGTTATGACTTCAACATATCTTTTAGGGAGAAAAATTCAACTCGCAACAGAGGATAACCTAGAGAGTGAGGATATGAATGAGTCCTTGGGCATTTCAGTATTTAGAGGATGGGAAGAAGATGGCGCTCTGACAGGGGGTAGGAGGAAAACCTGAACAGTACAATGTCCTGGAAGACAACTGAAGATGTGTGTTTCAATAAGACAGTGTGATCAACTTTGTCAAATGCAACTAATAATTTGAGTAAGATAAGGACTGAGAAATTGATTTAGCATGGTGGAGGTTATTGGTGACTTTTAAAAAGTAATTTCAGTGAAGATGGTGGTGCCATAACCTACTTAGAGTGGGCTTTTTTCTCGCTCTCTTTTAATTGAAAGTTTATTTGTGATATCTCTGTTCTAACAGAGTGGGCTTTGAGAATTGGGGATGAAAACATGCAAACATAAAGTGAACAACATTCTTCTTATTATTGTAGGATATATTTACAATGCTTTGTATCAAAAATGAATAAACTACCTTCTGATTTTAGGCATCAATCACACTCACATTTGATAATATAACACTCTAAAAAATAGATCCTCTTCTGCCAACCTGACCTAGAATTTCCAGCCAATATGTCAAAACAGAAAGCATGTATCAGAACTGTGTCTAGTAGTGAAGGAAAAAAAATATTGTTTCTACAGCAATAAGATTAGATACTTAGAAATGGAATTTGTCAAAAAATATCTTGGAGCTTATGAGATAACAACAAAGAGGCCCAAATACCAGATCACTATCCACAGATGAATAGTTCTTATATATACATGCAATTATAGATTAGAAAAATAAAGAAAAATTCTATTTGCAATAGCAGTGGTATGTATAAGTATATGTAAATGTGTATCAATATATCCATGTATGTGTAAAACATATATATTTAGAAATGTACAAGATATTTAAGACAAAATTACAAAAGTGTATCTATTTTCTGAAGAAAAGGTGAAAGCTTGAAGATGAATAATAACTTTCCAGAGTTGGTAGGAGGGGAGGATCGCAATGGCATGGTGGGATGGATTATCTTTTGATCAGAAGGTTATTATTTTATATTCAAAAATATGAGGGAGGCAGTAAGGATTGCACATGACATTAAATCATCCAACTCTATATTAAAAACATCTCAAATATTCAGTCAATTTTATACGGCTTGTTTATATCAGTAGTTTTCTAATCTGACTGCATAAGAGGATCATTTACAGGCACTTTAAAAAAATATCAATTCCCATATCGATAGATTCTCATTTAATTAGTGTGGAATGGGGCCTGGACACTAATACTTTCCAGCCCCACCTCCCAAACTATCTTTTTCTTCCATTTATGTAGGAGTAGTTTTTGCAGACAAATCCTCTTACTGAGAACAGCTATTTAAACGGAATAAAACACAGAAATAACTCTTTCTGTTTGAAGTCATTGATGAACAGTTCAAGCAGCTAAGACTGAAGAAAAATCCTAGAAAGATGGGAAACAGCTGTATTTTTTCTTGTTGTCACTGTTTCGTTAGTTAGTTAGTTAGTTAGTTAGTTAGTTAGTTAGTTAGTTAGTTAGTTTTTGGTATGTGCTTTTTATTTTATTTTACCACCCCTTGGGGTATTTGACAATTCATGTCATGGGGCATAGAGGCCAAACAAAAATCAGTTTCATAAACCCTGTGGCCATGCTGAAGGGGGACAAATGTGACAGGGAACTGAAGGGCCACAATCCTGGAGAAATGAAAACCATACATAATTGAGCCCCAAATGCATGTCGTTTCCTATTATGACATTTGTCAGTTATTCAGTGGTGCATGTACCAGGAAGAGTTGGGGAGGGGCTCGAGGCAGTGCCAAGAAACAGTAACAAGCATCATCTGCGAGTCTACAACACTGAACAGAAATTCAGACAGCCTCATGGAACCAGAGAGATGAAAATGAGTTGAGCCTGCTAGGGAGGTCAGGCCACTGTAAATGTCCCAGGCTTTTATTGCGATCACTCCAAGGAGCTATACCCTAGGAGTAAGGACAAACAGAAAATATATGAGCCCTCAAAAAGAAAAGCCTCAATCTTGGCAATGGATGCTTAGATTAAGGTGATCCTCCTATATTCTACCTGCCTGCCAGAAAAATATTAAATCCACTCTAGAGGAAGATAAAATGTTCCAGAGTCCCATACTATTTTTCATGGATAATACCTAGCATTCAAATTAATAGCATGCCGGGAAACTAGACCAGATGACTAAAAGGCAAGAGAAAAAGATACAAATAAAACAGAAACAGACCATAGGTAATTATGATATTGGAGTTATCAGAAATGGATTTTAAAATAATTATGCTTAATATGTTCAAGAAAAAGATAATTAGTTCCTGTGAACTAAAATATATGGAAGAAAATCAAATGACAATTCTAGAACCAAAAATAATGCAAGCTAAAATGAAGAATTCACTGAATGAATGTAACAGCAGGTTACACAAACCAGAAGAGATTAAAAAATTGGAAGGTACTCAGTAGAAAATATCTAGATTGAATCTCCTACACACACACACACACACACACACACACACACAGTGAAAAAATGAAAGAAAGTAACATTCTAATGGAATATAGTGAAAATGTCTAAAATGTATAATTGAAATCTAAGAAGTGAAGAGATAATTAAGCAAAAAAAAAAAAAAAAGACAAAGAGTTGTCTGAAATAAATGAAAAATATAAAGCTACAGATTCCAGAATCTCTTTAAACCCAACCAGGATAAATACACCGAGGCACCTCATAATAACATTGCTAAATTCAAAAGAAAAAGAAAAAAATCTTAAAAGCAGCCAGGTAAGAAAGACGCATGACTTCTGAGAGCAGCAATAAGACTAACATTTGAATTTTTAATAGAAACAACAGAAGCCACCAGACAAGATAATGACATGGTTACAGAATAGAAATAAATTTTTTTTGTTCAGCAAAAACTAAAGCCATTCATTGCAGTAGAAGTGTACCAAAAGAAATATTAAAAGGAGCTTATCAAGCAAGCTAAGGCAGAATGGAATGGGTGTCACAAGCACAGGAGGAACGTGGGCAGATTGAATAAATATATTTTCAGTGATAATAATAATAATATCTTGTGAGGGCTTAAATAAATGTAGAATTAAAAGACATGACTATAATAGCACAAAATGTCAGAAAGGATCAAAGAGTTGTGAGCTCCTTGCATTACCTGGAAAATGGTAAAGGCGCTAATTTAAGGTGGATTCTCTTAAGTCAATGACTGGCCTCACCATGTGGCTGTTTGGCCAGTTTCTGAACTTTACATGAAATTATACAGTATATATTCTTTTGCAAACATTATTTCCATGAGATTGATTCAGGTTGTTACATATAAGAGCAGTTTGCTCTTTTTCATAGATGTATAATATGGCTATGTTAACAGGTGCATACAAATTTATATCTTTTTGTTAAATTGAAATTTTTATGATCATAAATGTCTTCTTTACTGCTAGTAATATTATTTGCCTTAAAATTTACATTGTCTGATGTTAGTTAAGTGATGTCAACTTTCTTCTGGTTACAGTTTACATACTTTTCTTTTCTCATTTTTCCCTAACATTTCTGTGTTCATATATATATATATGTATATATATACGTATATATATATATACACACATATATATGTATATATATTTATATATATACACATCTATACATATATACATATATATATACGTATATATATTTATATATATACACATATATATGTGTGTATACATACACATATATATATAAATATATATATATGAACACAGTAAAAAAAAAATACACCAGGCTGGAGTGCAGTGGCATGATCTCAGCTCATGGCACATGGCAACCTCTGCCTCCCAGGTTCAAGCAATCCTCCCACCTCAGCCTCCCAAATAGCTGAGATTACAAGCATGTGCCACGACACTTGGTAAATTTTTGTATTTTTAGTAGAGAAGGGGTTTCACCATGTTGGCTAGGCTGGTGTCAAAATCCCAACCTCAAGTGATCCACCTGCCTCGGCCTCCCAAAGTGCTCGGATTACAGGCATAAACCACCACACCCAGCCTATATTCTTATATTTAAAGTTTATTCTTGTGAGATTTTATATTGAATAATATATATATTTAATTATATATATAATCTCACAAGACTATATAAAGTTTCATAATAAACTATGTAAAGATTAAATTAAAAACTATCTACATAAAAATAAATTATATGTATATATATGAAACTTATTTAGTTTGTCTCAATCTAGTACAATTACTAACATATTTGGATTTAAATATTCCATTTTACTATTAGTTTTCTATTTGTCTCATCTTATGCTTGTTCCTTTTTTCTTCTTGCTGTCTTTTGGATCAATCAAACATTTAAAAAATTCCAATTTCTGTTTTGATTAGCTTGTTAGTTGCATATTCTTTCCTTCTTCTCTTAGTGACTATCCTAGAATGTATCACTGATTTAAGAGAATCTACCTTAAATTAGCACCTTTACCATTTTCCAGATAATGCAAGGACCTCACAACTCTTTGACCCTTTCCAACATTTTGTGCTATTATTGTCATGTCCTTTATTTCGATATTTATTTGAGCTCTCACAAGATATTATTATTATTATTGTCACTGAAAATATATTTATGCAATTTACCCACATTCTCCTTGTGTTCAAGCCATTCATTCTATCCTGCCTTAGCTTGCTGCCATCTGAGATCATTTCTCTTCCTCCCGATAAGCTCCTTTTAGTATTTCTTTTGGTAGAATTCTGCCACAATGAAAAAGTTTCATATCTTGACGCAGGTGATATATGGGCAAAGTCACTCTTTAAATATCCATGGAGATATACACTTAAGATTTCTGTACTTTACTGGGTATATATTCTGTTTCTATTTTTAAAATTTAAAAAGAAAAATGAAGAAAAACAATGTCCTCAAAAAATCCTAATGGGTCCCAGCATTGAGACCCACAGAGCTCTGTGACACCTGGCAGTTTGCTGGTGTTTGTGTTTGCTCGAACCAAGCACTGGGCATGAGGCTCCACCTCCCAACTGGACTAACTGCCGCCTTGGTGATTCAGGGCACTGCGGCACGCCAAGTGCACTGCATATAGCAATACTGATGGAGACCCCTCACCCAAATATAGGTCTGGAATCCTGCTGCTTCTTGGACCCATGAAGTTTTATAGCTTCCACCCGACTCATAAAATTCTTCCTTTAGAAAATACTAGAATATACCAAATATATATCCCATTACACCCCTTCCCCTTAAGTAAGTCTCAGCTGTTTCCTCCCACAAAAGGAAAAATCCTAGAGTTCTAAGACCTGTATGTACTAAACCTCAGCAACCTTTATCTTGCCCAAAGATTTACAACTAAAAATATCACTTTCTTCTCTTCGGTCCACTTCGACTCTTTTTGTGGTTCCTGATCAAAGACCCCAATCCCAATCACCCAGATCACTTTGTATATGGGAAGACACAGCCTAATTTGGTTCAACCTGGTGGTAAAAGTCTCTGCTTCTGGCCACAGATATTATTTGATTCATCTGGGAGAAAAGGAGTTGGGTGATCATATGTAGAAATCTAGGAAATGCCTCCTTGAACAATTTAATAGCCCAACTACTTATTCTACAAGTGTAGCAAGGATTACAAACCTTAAGTGCCTTGGACTGGTGCAGTGACTGGACAGATCTGGCCAGTCTTCAAAGATGAGCTTTCTTTTTCAATCATAAGCAAAGGATTCCGACAGAGCTGGTACAGTCTTTTACAGGGATCTGCTTAATGTGTGTATTGATGCATATGTTTGCTCAAGATGCCACTGAGTTTCCTCTCCCTGTGCTTGTGAATAGGGAATGCTCCTGGAGAAAAATGTGCTTTGTGTTTCTGTCCAGATTTATTTATTGATTGATAAATTACACTGTGTTTTCGGAAATTGAAGTGGTGCATGTTAAAATAAAAGGAAAACATAGTGGTGGAACATAATATGGGAAGCAGCTGGAGCATCTTAAGATAAAAGGGGGAAATAGAAATGACAAAGAGTTTTTAAAAGAATGAATTTCCTCTTCATCATCTAAACAAATGAAAACGTATCTTTTAGGATCCATTGGGAGAGATGGATTTTGACAACACTTATGTTCAAAGCACTTTGGTATGATGGATAGGCATCTAGCTTCTGCTGTTAAGCAGCATTGTGGTCCTGAGTAAATTATTTTTGCTTTCTGTGCCTCAGCTTCCAAATTCCAAACAGCACAGAAATAATCCACATAGATGACTTCTACATGCCAATGTTCCAAGCATTTTACATATATCCCCTCATTTAATTATCACAATGAGGTGAATGGTATTGTCATTTCTACAGATGAGGAAGCTGAGGCACAGAAAGGCGAGCTGGCCAGCCCATAGCCACACAGCTAGTAAGGGGAAGAGAAGAGATTTAAACATAGGCTCTTTGGCTCAGGGCCTGTGCTCTTATATGCTTAAAGTTCCTCACTTCACTTAAAGCTCTTCACTTAAAGTTCTTCACTGGGCCCCTGGTTGCCACCAGGATAAAGTCTCAAGTCCACAAAATAGAACAGATAACCTTTCACAGTGGAGCCTAATCACATCCTCTGCCCGCATGGAGATTCTCATCATACGCTCCCTGAACATCACCTGTGCCCTTTCTTGCTTGGGCTCTGCTCTTGCTCCTCCCTCTGCCCTGTCCCCACTGATCACCCACCCCTTCTGATCTGCTTTATGGACTCCTACACTTCCTGCAAGTCCCTGGAAAACCGTATTTCCTCTCAGCAGTTTCTTTGAATTTCCTGGTTAAAATTAGGTCACCCCCTGTGTAAGATCCCATACAACTTATCTTGTATCTATGTTGTAGTGTTTGCCACTCGGTATTGCATCATTTAATATATGAATCTATTTCTCCTGTCCGTCCATGGATCAGAGATATTGGGTTTCTTCTCTACCAGGCTAAGGAATTAGTGGTACTGCCCCAAGCACCGTGTTGAGAAGGATTCTGAGGCCATATTTGAGCTCAATGGGAAAATGTTAAATGCAGACTTCATAAGGGTGAGGGCCTTATCTGACTTTTACACCATGGTATCTTCAATGTCTGGCTCAATCTGAGCATATAACAGACATTCAATTAATATTTGTATGAACGAATGATAGATTAATAAGGTCTGCTTAAGAGAGGTAAAATTGATGACATTCATGTCAGATATTTTACTCTTCTTTAGTAATCGCTCAACATTTCAAGGGCAGAGACCATGTCTTATTTATCTTAGCATCTTTGAGGTCTCATTTTGTACATTGAATACAATATTATTGTTGTGTAAATATGTTGTTGAGAGTGCTTAAAGCTTGAAGGGTATGCTGATGCATGGCATGGAAGAAAACTCAGCCATGTGACTCACTCCTTCCTCTGTCCTGTAATAAGCCAAATGGAACACCAAAGAAAGATGTTTTCTGTGGTTGAAGATATGTTTACCAGTGTGTGACTCTCTTGCCCCTGCATTGTGAAATAGCAGCAGGTCTGCCTGAGGTTTAGAATGAAGAGGAAGGCAGCAGCTACTGAGGGGGCTGGGAGGTTGGGAACCACATTTTGCTTTCATGGTTTTCTCCTCCACTCCTAAGGAGTATCTTCAGGCCATCACCTACTTACGGATGCATCTCCACTCATGGCTCTGTGTTAGTCATCCTGGGGTGTCGCGGGTCGGGGTGGGGATTTGTCCCAGAAAAAAGCACAGCTCTCTAAGGCCCTCTCTAGGTCCTTGGAATTTGAAGTGTTGTGTGTTTAGTTGTGTTCTGAATCTTCTTTCTCAAAATTGCTATATGATAAGAAAAGGGAGTTTAGTCCTAGAAAGGACAGATGGCTGAAAACACATTTCTATCTTTGATAACAAACCAAGGCCAGGTGAGAAGCTTCCCCTCAAGATGCCAACTTTATACCCCTGTGTCTCCTGGGTTCTGGAATACTGTTACACACCAGCCAACTATGGATCCCATTCCTCAGAAGGCACCAGTAAGTCACAAGGGAAAAGACAGAAGATCCAAAGGGAGAAATTCTAAAGGGTCTCTGGATGGTGCAGCAGCACCTGAGCAACACTGAGCGGCTAAGTGCACAGTGCTGTCCCCAAGGTGTGCATGAGCTCCTGGAACACGTTCTATTTTTAGATATGCTCAAAAAAGCTCCTCAGAAAAGATGTGAACAATAAAAGTTTTGTTCTTCACAGGAAAAAAAAAGAATGTGACATCTTTTTTTTTGTTTTAATTGGCCTGAATTGGAATGTATTAACTTAAAAATAATTTGTGACATTCTTTGAGAGGTTCTGGAAATCTTTGAAGTGTCATAATATCAAAGATAGTTTGGGGAGAGCAAGTGTTTCCTCTTTTCTCATCTCACTCTGAGACTCACAATGAACTCACTGTGGAATGTAGAGCACAGCCTGCCCAATATAAATTTTACAATGAAGAAAATGTTCTATATTTGCACTATTCAATACAACAGCCACTGGCCACATGTGGCTACTGAGCATTTGATATGTAGTTAATGTGACCTTATCTTACTCTTCTCTTCCAAATGGGTTTTAATAATCCAGCCAGGCAAAATTTCTTCTTTCCTCTTAGTACATACACTTATCTACAACTCCAGGCCATGGTAGCTAAGTCTTATAGATAAATTCCTAGAATCTCAGGACTTCAGCGTCAGGGGCTATACCTGAACAAGAGAAGCTGCACAGCCCCTCCTACTTTTAACTGTTTGGCAGGAATATCCTGAACCCATGGTGCCTGCTATCTCCCTCTTCAAGGCCAGCTGTTATTTGAAGAGCTGCCCTGACCACAGCCAGTGACATTGCTCAGACTCGCTCAGCCCCTTATGGTGCTGTGATCACTGTCCCTCCTCCATTCTGGGATCCATGATGCCCACCTTCCCTACCTTGGGTCCCTGCAAGTAGCCCTGAAAATAATCTCACCCATGTTCCTCTTTTTTTTTTAATCTTTTTTTTTGGAGACGGAGTCTCACTGTTGTCACCCGGGCTGGAGTGCAATGGCGTGATCTCAGCTCACTGCAACCTCCACCTCCCAAGTTCTAGCAATTCTCCTGCCTCAGCCTCCCGAGTAGCAGAGATTACAGGCAACTGCCACCACACCTGGCTAATTTTTATATTTTTAGTAGAGAGGGGGTTTCACCATGTTGGCCAGACTGGTCTCGAATTCCTGACCTCAGGTTATCCACCCGTCTCAGCCTCCCAAAGTGCTGGGATTACTGGTGTGAGCCACCGCGCCCAGCCTCTTGTTCCTCATTTTCCAGGAGACACTGAAACACAGAAAGAGGGACTTGTGTTAGCCCTCATAGAGTTAATGTGGCCCTTCCAGAGTTAACTCTCCCGTTGAAAGCATGACCCTTCACTCAAGTTTCTTATCTACAGCCCCTTCCATGCAAGACCATCTCTGATTGTTTGGTACCCACTGATAACCCTTTCTGTGCATTCCTCTAGCACACATCCAATAGCATCTATTTTGGCCCAAAGTCATTCATCGTTACATTAGTCTTTTCTTAACCAGAATGTAGAAATCCAGAAAGTAGAAACCATTCCTTTAACTGTCTTCCCATGCAGTGTCAGATAAAAATGACAGATTTTGCCCTGACTCCTAAAGTAGTAGCATGTACCCTAAAAGGAAAAAGAATGTCATCGCATCGATTCTTCTCCTCTGGTATATACTATAGAAGAGAAATATTTGCTTAAAATTCCTTTGTGTCTAAACAATGCTTTTGATACATCGTGTCCAAGCATAGATTTAAAAATTAAAATTCTTTGGTCTATTTTTCCAACATGAGTCAGTAAATCCAATCCAGCAAGCATTTATTAAATTCAGAGACCTTATACTATAGTTTAAAGGGCAATACTTTCACACATGAAGGAGATTGAGATTAATATGATAGAATGTAATTTACTTCAAGTATTTATTGCATGCCCACTATCAGCCAAAAAATGTGTAGCTCAGAGCTATTCAAAGTTGGTAGCAGCTAAAGTTTCTAATGATCACTTTATCAACATGGCGAGAATTAAAATAGACTTTATAATTCTTGATGGTAGAAATTAGCAAGGCTGATAGGAGGAAGAAGAGGAGGAGCTGCCAGGTTGTTCATGTGGAAATGCAATGGATCTGCATAGGCCTTGGGCAAAGCTGAGGTTATTTACTAAGAAGTGGGAATTTCATTATTTGGAAGTGAAGACCAACAAGCCTGACCAGAGAGATGAGACCAGACTGGACTAGCCAGGCAATGGCTAAATTTATGAATAGCAGAGGGACAGGCAGAGCTGTCAGTGACATATGGGGGTAGTGGAAGAATCACTCTGGTCCAGGAGCCAGTTGATGGATGCTTTGATTATGGTGGTGCAATGGCAATACAGAACAAGAGATTTCATCCATTTTAAGATTAATTGCCAGAATAATTTAAATACATATTGTTTTATGGAAGAGTTTTAGGGCAGAAATGGAAGATATTTCCAAGTTTGGAGGTTGGGAGAATGGAAGGATGTTCCACTGAAAAAATAAGAACTAAGAAAGGAAGTGAGAAGTTAATGTGTTAAGAATAGGACATATTGAGTGTGTAAAGATAATGGGCTTTCAGATGGAGATGCTAAGTGAATTTCAAAATAAGAAACTAGAACTCGAATTAGAGGTCAGGATGAGGACAGTGGCTTTCATATCAAGCAAGTCTACCTTCCTCTCCACCCAAAAACACTTTCTTCTTAGGCTGTGTGATAAGGAAGTTAGAATATGGTTATACTGAGGCCACTATCTCAAGGGGTCTCCGAGGTGCCTTCTTAAGTCTTCGCAGGTTGTTCAAAATCAGACCAGGAGTTGCTTTATGAGTTGCCCATAAACAGAGGGTCTCAGTTTGAGCCGAGAACTGGACCTTAGAGGAGAGTAAGAGGTTCATCTCCTGTACACATCCAAGGGGAGACCAAGTGTTGGGGACTGAAACTGGGGAAGGAGAGCATTCACTCTGTTCACTCTATGGCTTTCTGGTATGAATTCTAATAAGGTAATCCATGCTCCCCAATTCTTACATATCTGAGACCTAAGTAGGTGTGATGGAGAGCGCATAAGTTACCAACAATAGTCTCACCTTCAGAATTCCTGGAGTTTCACACTCCAATCCATTCCCCCACTGCCTGCACCCACCCACTCTTCCACCTACAGGCAGACTTTTAAGGTGACCTGCCCTTTCTGCATGGCTGCCATGGAGGTTCTTTTCTAGCAGAGAAGGGATATCTCTATGCCACTGCCTTGTACCATCTCCTTCATTGTAATGTTGTCTCTTCAAACCCAAAGCACGTGCCTGTGATGGTTTCTGTACTGGTGCCATTCCAATTCTTTCCTGGTCTGTGGTATTCCTTGCCTGCCAACCATTTGGATCACCCAGCTCTGCCATTGCTCCAGGCAATGAGTGCTGACTTTGTGGGAAACACTTGCTCTGTCTGAAGCCTCGCTTGTGTCAGTTCCAACTTCTCATAGTCCTTTCTGCCATTTCTGTCCACACTGCTCTAGCTGAGACAAAAGAAGACCCTGCCAGGTTGCAGTGTTGCAATTCATCATAGACGTCCAAGTGCAGGCCATGCTACCTTAGCTCATCTCTATAGTATTGTGTGTCTAATCCTTTATTTGAGTCACCTTCTGAGATTCTTACTAGGAACCTGAGACAAAATCTCATTGAGTACAACAACAATAAGTGTGGTATCATTCCATGCCATACCCAGAATCTTTCCTTTCCTACTACATCCTTGCACAGAGCTCTAGCACCAGGTTTTCTCCAAATGCACGGCAATTTCACTGCTTAGCAAGGGCATACTACATGCAAGGTTAAGGATATGTCTCTTGTCACAATTCTCATGTGCAAGACCTACTGTCAGCTTGGATGTATGCAGTCATTTTCTCTGCCTAAAGACTCATGGACTTTATGAATAAACTCATAGGAAGGCCATCTTCACCTTTATTTCATGCCAAAGTTTTGTGGAGTACACTCAGCTTAGGTACACACATGCACTCACACATACATATTTACACACACTCCATAGTCTTGACGACAATAATAGTAATAAGATTAACAACAATCAGGGACTCTACTAAAGGCAAATGTTTCCTTTCAGTAACAAGGAACATGTGTTTCGAGAAATGTAACCAGCTTTATACAGGATTATTTGACTGAAGCCAGTTGCCTAATCTTATGTAAAACATATCCTATTTTCCCTGAAATCCTTGATATGAAGTGGAAATTAGTTTAAGATAATCAGTTTCAAAATAAAGATTAAATCATAATTCATTGCCCTACTTGAGCCCCAAAGTCCCTTGGTCCGTACTTTCAGTCATTTCCAGTCATTTATAAAAAGACAAAACACTGCTACTTTGATAATCCTGCTGATCACTTCAAGCTGCCCTTTATGAGAGTGAAAATTATGCTGGTTCCAAAATATTATCTGATAGCTAGATGGATCCATTTTTTTTTACTGCCAGTAAAATAATAACTTGGAAGAGAGCAAAGGGAGAATAAATCCAAACTGTAAGTTATGAGAATAAGTTGGACCATATCACCTCCCTGAGAGTATGACTTATTTGGCTGATAATCTTTCAGGAAGTGCATCAAAATACAGCAGGGGCAAATTCTGATTTTTTTTTTCTGACATAGTATGAATTGTAAAAGATGGAAAAACACCGAGACACAAAAAGTATAATTCACTTATTGTCATTTGACACCAACTGGAGATAGCTAAATTGTTCTAGCAATTTTTCATACCCCACAGTATGTCTAGGTAAAAAGAGCTGGCTCATGCTCAGAATTTAAATCAAGGCAAAACTTTTAAATGCTTATCCTATCTAAAAGGTCACAGCTTCAAAATATTGTTCAGAGAACTTGCAGTGAAAGCAACATAAAAAGGAGAGCAGGGATAGAAAAAGGAATCCAGTGGGCAAAAGATGCCAACTGTTCCCAAGAGAGTCCAGTGCGACCATCGCAACAGGTACCGGTGGAATTACCATGGTTATTTGTGGAGCAGTCATATCGTGAAAAGTAAATGTGGACATTTTTGCCGTTGTTGATGAGAGATGGAGTGGAGAGTACTATATTTGTAGCTGCTTTGAATCTGTGACATTTATATTCCTGTAAAGTCATATCTATCCCTAAAATCTCTGGAAGATTCATCATACACTACACAAATTTTACCAGGAAATATATTTGATTCCAAGCCTGTTGCCCTCATACATTGTATTTTCTGAAGTGCAAAATCAAGTCAAAACCCCACCAAACAGCTTAGCTCACTCACCATCTGCTACTATTTTTCTAGTCTTATCTTCTTTTGTTCCTCCCTAGCCCCTTCATATAAACCCTCCACACCAACTGTGAATGTGTTTGTAATTCCCTGATCAGGCAATACCATTTCCCATGTGGATGTATTCTCAGATGCAGTTCTCTCTCCATCCTACAGTCAGGGTTCCAGTGTGAAGCTCCATCCTCCTACATCTAGCAGGTTTCTTCCAATAGATCTTGTCAAGGTTCCCTTTGCACATTTTAGCCAAGTGAAACTATCTCCGCTGCTGCACCAATCCCAATATTGCACATACAATGAGGCTTACAAGTGATGCTATTCCTGGTCAATTATTGGATCTCCAGTTTGGGGACACTGGATCTTGGCTGGGCTGTAGTATTTTTGGGGAGTTTACATGCACCTGTAGTGTACAGAACTGAGACCGGCTGCATCTCAGGTTGAAGCAAAATGAAGTGGTCAGGCACACACCATCAACATGGTGTAGCAAGCTTAAAGCACAGGAAGGGAAAGGATCCAGGTTTAATCCAATAAGATGGAAGTCAGAGAAACAAAATGATCCCTGAGGTTAAAAGCACAGTCAGAAGGAACACCTCGAGAAAAACCCTGCAACTATGAGCATAGGTGAAACCTAAGGGCTTCAGGAAATAGAAAATATCTGCCTTCAAATAGCTTGGATTTAAGAGATGCAAGTCAGAATACTCATTAAACTGCTATAATTTTAGTTCAACCTCAGTGACTCAACACACACAGTGATAATCTTCTATGTTTAGTTCAGTCCCTAGTGCACGGATTTCCCAGTGATTACAATGCCTTTTTTGAAATTTGTCTAGTTGGAATCCCAAAGAAAGGTCATAATGTGCTAACTCTTTCAAAATGGGTTTTAACATTGCGTTATTGTGATACCTAACCTCCTTGTTCTTTTAAATATTGTGGCATAGACACCTTTTTTATCCTGGGCTATAATGGGAAATATTTTTGGAGTTAGGCTAGGCTGGCCAACCCTCATATTAAAGCTTAAAGACAATGTAAGTTTAAAGGAATGTAAGCATTAAGGAAATATAAGCCAAGTCCCTCAGCTCATGCCACAGGAGCATTTTCCTTCCGGTGCTGTTTCAGTTCCTTGAGAAGTTAAACGTGCTTTGTTTCAATATTGTGATGTAACCTTGTCATCAGTAAAAGCAATCTTTGATGTCAGCTCAGTATTCCACATATCTCATAGTGCTGAAAATGTCCTTGGTGAGCAGCTCCCCAGGCCTCTGTGTGGAGTCCCTGAGGGATGGAATGACTGCCATGCATAAATTGGCTCTGCTGAATGGTAACACTTCTGGCCCATGTGGGAAATGTGGATACGTATCAGCAGTAGTCCTTCTGAGGATTGATATCCTGGACTGGTGGAAGGCGGGGATCTTCCCCTCAATGTAATCTTAGCTATATCTGTCCTGGAGTTTATCTATACTCATAATTGGACCAGGGTTTGTTTTGGGGACTAAAGATTGGAACAGAATGAGAAATGTTCCAATTTTACTGGTGGTGTTTTATTATCACTCCATTTATTGGTTTGAAAAGTGTCATCAGTAAATCAACTAATCCCAGGCCAGCTTGAGGATGTGATATATGAAACAATTTAGAAATCAGCAAGGTGCACCTAGAATTATATTAAATTTAAATTTTACTGTAAAACTATTATCCTCTCTAAACACTCACTTACAATAAATACTTACGGGGGGACCTGCATTTACTGGTCACTGAGCATAAAGGCAGATTAGGGGAACTAGCTATAAATCTGGTAAATAAGATCATGGAGGCCGGGCGTGGTGGCTCATGCCTGTAATCCCAGCACTTTGGGAGGCCGAGGTGGACAGATCATGAGGTCAGGAGATCGAGACTATCCTGGCTAACATGGTGAAACCCCGTCTCTGCTAAAAATACAAAAAATTAGCAGGGCACGGTGGCGGGTGCCTGTAGTCCCAGCTACTCGGGAGGCTGAGGCAGGAGAATGGTGTGAACCTGGGAGACGGAGCTTGCAGTGAGCCGAGATCGCGCCACTGCACTCCAGCCTGGGTGACAGAGCAAGACTCTGTCTCAAAAAAAAAAAAAAAGATCATGGAAGCCCAGATCGCCTTTGATAATCTAGAAGACCCATTCTTCTCAACTTTATAATTCAAGGAAAGCTTAGGAACTTTATAGACGCAAGTTCCTTATCTTGTTTTTTTGTAGATAACACTTGTGATTAAGAAGTTCAAATTTTAACACATCTAGTAAAGATTTTCTGACATCAAAATGTTGATGCTCTGTTGAGCCCTTCTCTTCACTAACTTGTTAGACCTAACTCAGTAAGCCTAGAGTAATTCTTCCTCTTTTAGACAACATACCTCTATGTCTTCAAAACCACAAACCAGGCAGTTTATTGAATGTCCCCTTACCCTGGCCACTTACACCACTTGTTTCATTAGCAAAGGGTAGGCTGGAGGTTCTCAAGCTAACACATGATGAAGGAGCAGGAAGCCTTTAACCATGACTCTGATATCCTTGACCACTGTTAAGTTTTCTTATCACCTTGAGAATAAATCTGTCCAGAAAATGATGTAGGTTCCCACTACTGTCATCTGTACTGATTCTTCCTTAGCCTCTGATTTGGTATAACATGAGTGAAGATGCATTGACCTGAGTTACCAATGTCTTTACTCAATTTGTTCTTATTTATTTTTATTTTTTAAATTTTTTGTAGAGACAGGATTTGCTATGTTGCCCAGACTGGTCTCAAACTCATGGCCTCAATTGATCCTCTCACCTCAGCCTCCCAAAGTGTTGACATTACAGGCATGAGCCACCATGCCCAACTTGAATTTGTTCTTTAACAACAATATGATGGTCAGTTTGGTGCAGACAGTTATGTGACTCATAAACATGAAGTGAGAAATGGAGCTGTCTTCTGAACGTGATTGTTTCTAACTTATATCGTAGTGACTGGATCCTACTTTCCAGTTGTGACTGAGAATAGGTGTATGTACATAATTTTCTGTTTGTTTGTTTATTTATCATGGTGAAATACCAGTGACCCTAATACATAATTTCCATTATTATCTCACTATTGTCAAAAAGAATGTCTATGATAACAAGCTGAAGCCAAAATCATTAGGTTTGGCAGATGTCCTCCAAGGCTTAGTATGTTTATTTTTCTAACAAGAAGTTACACAGTTACAACCATTTTTTGCAAATATTTGCCCTGAAAGATTTATTAAGAAGTAGATTGCTTTACATTGAAGTTTCTATTTTATATGCAAAAATTCCTGGCAGAGTGTCTGATACTCAATAAATGGTCACCATCAGAAGGATGAGGATGATGCTCGCAATGATGCCAGAGACAGAGATGTCATTGCCCTTTGGATACATCATGTGTTGCCCTCCAAAGAGTGAAAAATTAAAAGGCATATATGAAGCAGCAAATTAACTCTATCTGAAAAAGCTGAATGTGTGTCTTTTGCATGATACAGCATTAGCTTAAGTTCCAAAGCCACCTAACAGAAATGGCTATAGTGTTTGGTTGGATCTATTTTTGGGTGGCTTATCAAATTATTCTTCACTATCAGACAGACTCAGATTCAGTGTTTGACAGCAGCTGAGTATGTGGCTCCTTAGATGTTTTCTAGAGGGATCTAATTAAAAGAATAAGGTGGCTTTTTTTTAGCAGAGAATGCAGACTACCAGGCCTAGATCTGAACAGGAGTCGGGGGAAGAAGCTGCAGGCAGGCGAAGCCACATGGTGGGGCGTTGGAGGAGGAGGGCCTGGAACCTCAAGGAAGGTCCCCTCCTCTGAGAGTGGAGTGGCACCATGAGAATAGCCAGCAGGAAGCATGAGTTACAGAGATGGAAGCTCTCTCTCCATGATGCCCTGCTAATAAGTCACGAAGATAACAGACCTGGAGCAGCTTTACCAGTGCACTTTTTCAGGAATCGGGTAATTAGCTTTCTTGGCAATCACTGGGTATACAGTCCCCTTTCTGAGCACTCTTTGGGGATGTCTAAATGATAGGGCAAGTGCCATTATTCTAGAGTTGTATTAAGTTTGAACAGAAATCACTTTGACACATGTGAAACATTGAGTGCCTCAAGGTTATTTGGAGACATGGACTTCCTACCTGACCTCCACGTCTGAGTCCTCATTCACTGCCTATAACTGTGGGTGTTATAGAGTCATTACAATCATAACTCAATAAAAATTCTGCTAAACTATTCAGTGCCAGACTTTTTATATGCATTATCTGATTTAAACTTTATACTGATTCTTTGGTAAATATTCTATATTAGCTACATATTGAAAATAAAAAGAGGCACAGAGAGGTTAGGTAACCTGCCCAAAGTACATAGATGGTGAGTGGCATGGTGGGGATTCCAATTCAGTGGCTTGATTTTAGGATTAGTGCCTCTCTGGGCACAAAAGAGACACTGTCAGTGTGTGCTGAACCATAGTGGCAACCTCCCATTTCCCTGCTCTCCTGAAATGGCTCTGAACATGTTGGCAGACTCTCTCCAAAGCTCACCACTCCCACAGATTTTGCCCTGATTCTGCCAGTGCTGAGACTTGGTGAAAGACAGAAGATTCTTTCTGATTCATTCTTAGTGTAACTGCCATCTCTCAGTCACCTTCCAGAGAGTCATGGGCAAACTATCGCTGTTGCCTAACTGACCTCCTCTCTCAGCCTCCAGTTTCACACCATTGAATTTTTGTGGAATCCACTGGAAAGATGCACTCCACCCTTTTGTAATCCATCCTCCCAAGGCTTTCCTTGCATATCTCTCTTTATTTACTTCTAGTCACACAAGAAGTGTCCTTGGCATGCTTTTCGCAGACAGTCCTTCAGTTCCCTCAAGTACTTTCTTGCATAATTCTTTATACCTAAGTTGTCTGCCTGCAGTGTTTAAATAATAATCTGGTTTCCTAAGCAATATCCATATTCCCCATGTAAATTTTGGACACTGTTACTTAATTAAGTAGAAAGAGTACTAAGAAGCTGACATTTATTGAACACTATTTTGTGTCAGGAATTCTCCTAGACAATATATCCATGAAGGTGGTAAAGAGTAAATCAGTGCTTGCAGTTTCTATTATTTCCATTTCACTGATGAGAAAAGAGATACTCAGAAAGGTGACACCACTGAACCCAGCTTGTACAACTAATAAATTATGACACAAAAAAAAAACTCAAACCAGCCTTACACCAAACCCATGTTGCAGCCATTACAGTTGTGCTTCTTACACCTTAATCAGCACATGTGCCACCTGAGGGTCTTGTTAAGATGCAGATCCTGATTCAGAAGGTCTGGGGTAGGACCTGAGATTCAGCATCCATGATGAACTTCCAGATGAGAAAAGGCTGTTGGTCTATAGGTCCCACCTTGAGTAGAAAGGCTCTGTAGCACTCAGCTAAGTATTTCTTCACCGATAGTGAAAAGGTCATCCTCAGGCTAATCCCTTCTAGATGCTGTGAATTCCATGTCAGTGAGTAAATATGAACACATATCAGCTTGATCAGGACAGTAAATATGAATGCATATCAGCTTGATCAGGACAGTAAATATGAATGCATATCAGCTTGATCAGGAAAGAAGGTGCAGCATGGTGTTTCCCAAAGTTTGCTCCTTGGATCATTTGCACAGCATTCCCTGGAGCCGCTGCTAAGTGCAACCATCAGCCCAGCCCCACTGGACCAGACTACTGGGAGACAGGACTTGAGAAGCTGATGAAGGATAAGCTTCCCAGGCCCTTCTAATGCACATTCAAGTTTGAAAAGAACTGAAGTAACCTTAGCACCAGGTGGATAAAGATGATCATGGAAGCTCCTTGGGAAAGACCTGCAGACAGAGGACCCAGAATGACATCTCCCTGAAGGCAAAAGAAAGCTTTTTCATCTGTGGTGTAAAAAGTGGGATTAAAGGAACTCCCTCCCCTAGCCAAGAGAAGCCATGAGGGACTGTCCCGTGAGGAATGGTGCATTCTAGCCCAGATACTACACTTTTCTCACAGTCTTTGCAACCCACAGACCAGGAGATTCTCTCAGGTACCTACACCACCAGGGCCCTGGGTTTTGAAACTGGGCAGCTGTTTGGACAGACACCGAGCTAGCTGCAGGAGATTTTTTCATACCCCAGTGGCCCCTGGAATGCCAGTGAGACAGAACCATTCACTCCCCTGGAAAGGGGGATGAAGCTAGGGAGCTAAGTGGTCGAGCTCAGTGCATCCCACCCCCCATGGAGCCCAGCAAGCTAAGATCTACTGGCTTGAAATTCTCGCTGCCAGCACAGTAGTCTGAAGTCAACCTGGGAGGCTCAAGTTTGGTGGGGTAGGGGCATCTGCCATTACTGAGGCTTGAATAGGCAGTTTTCCCCTCACAGTGTAAACAAAGCCACTGGGAATTTCGAACTGGGCAGACTGCACCGCAGCTTGGCAAAGCCACTGTAGCCAGGCTGTCTCTCTAGCTTCCTCCTCTCTGCGCAGGACATCTCTGAAAAAAAGGCAGCAGTCCCAGTAAGGATCTTATAGATAAAACTCCAATCTCCCTGAAGCAGAGCACCTGGCGGAAGAGGCTGCTGTGGGCACAGCTTCAGCAGACTTAAACGTTCCTGCCTGCCAGCTCTGAAGAGAGGAGCAGATCTCCCAGCACAGCACTTGAGCTCTGCTAAGGGACAGATTGCCTCCTCAAGTGGGTCCCTGAGTCCCATGCCTCCTGACTGGGAGATGCCTCCCAGCAGGGGTCGACAAATGCCTCATACAGAAGAGCTCTGGTTGGCATCTGGCACATGCCCCTCTGGAACAAAGCTTCCAGAGGAAGGAACAGGCAGCAATCTTTGCTGTTCTGCAGCCTCCACTGGTGATACTGACACCTCATACAGGTGGGTGCCCCTCTGGGACGAAGCTTCCAGAGGAAGGATCAGGCAGCAATATTTGCTGTTCTGCAGCCTCTGCTGGTGATACCCAGGCAAACAAGGTCTGGAGTGGACCTCCAGCACATTCCAGCAGGCCTGCAGCAGAGGGGCCTGACTGTTAGAAGAAAAACTAACAAACAGAAAGGAATAGCATCAACATCAACAAAAGCCACATCCACACAGAAACCCCATCCAAAAGTCACCAACATCAAAGACCAAAGGTAGATAAATCCACAAAGATGAAGAAAAAACAGCGCAAAAAGGCTGAAAATGCCAAAAACCAGAACACCTCTTCTCCTGCAAAGGATCACAACTCCTCCCAGCAAGGGAAAAAAAACGGACAGAAACTGAGTTTGATGAATTGACAGAAATAGGCTTCAGAAGGTGGGTAATAACAAACTCCTCAAAGCTAAAGGAGCATGTTCTAACCCAATACAAGGAAGATAAGAACCTTGAGCAAAGGTTAGCAGAATTGCTAACTAGAATAACCAGTTTAGAGAAAAACATAAATGACCTGATAGAGTTGAAAAAACACAGCATGAGAACTTTGTGAAGCATACACAAGTATCAATAGCTGAATCAATCAAGTGGAAGAAAGGGATATCAGAGATTGAAGATCAACATAATGAAATAAAGCGTGAAGACAAGATTAGAGAAAACAAATGAAAAGGAATGAACAAACCTTCCAAAAAATATGGGATTATGTGAAAAGATCTAACCTACGTTTGATTGGTGTACCTGAAATTGACGAGGAGAATGGAAACCAAGTTGGAAAACACTCTTCAGGATATTATCCAAGAGAACTTAGCAATATAACCCAATATAGAACCCAATATAGCAAGACAGGCCAACATTCAAATTCAGGAAATACAGAGAACACCACAAAGATACTCCTCAAGAAGAGCAGCCCCAAGACACATAATTGTCAGATTAACCAAGGTTGAAATGAAGGAAAAAATGTTAAGGGCAGCCAGAGAGAAAGGTCAGGTTACCCAACAGCAGATCTCTCTGTAGAAACCTTACAAGCCAGAAGAGAGAGGGGGCCAATATTCAACATTCTTAAACAAAAGAATTTTCAACCCAGAATTTCATATTCAGCCAAACTAAGCTGCATAAGTGAAGGAGAAATAAAATCCTTTACAGACAAGCAAATGCTGAGAGATTTTGTCACCATCAGGACTGCCTTACAAGAGCTCTTGAAGAAATCACTAAATATGGAAAGGAAAAACCAGTACCAACCATTGCAAAAACATACCAAATTGTAAAGACCATCAACACTATGAAAAAATCTGCATCAACTAACTGGCAAAATAACCAGCTAGCATCATAATGACAGGATCAAATTGACACATAACAATATTAACCATAAATGTAAACAAGCTAAATGCCCCAATTAAAAGACACAGACTGGCAAATTGGATAAACAGTCAAGAACCATCAATGTGCTGTATTCAGGAGACCCATCTCACGTGCAAAGACACACATAGGTTCCAAATAAAGGGATGGAGGAATATTTACCAAGCAAATGGAATGCCAAAAAAAAGCAGGGGTTGCAATCCTAGTCTCTGATAAAACAGACTTTAAACCAACAAAGATCAAAAAAGACAAAGAAGGGCATTACATAATGGTAAAGGGATCAAAGCAACAAGAAGAGCTAGCTATCCTAAATATGTATGCACCCAATACAGGAGCACCCAGATTCATAAAGCAAATTCCTAGAGACCTACAAAGAAACTTAGACTCCCACACAATAGTTGTAGGAGATGTTAACACCCCCACTGTCAATATTAGACAGATCAATGAGACAGAAAATTAACAAGGCTATTCAGGATTGAACTCAGCTGTGGACCAAGCAGACCTAATAGACATCTACAGAACTCTCCATCCAAAATCAACAGAATATACATTCTTCTCAGCACCACATCGCACTTATTCTAAAATTGACCACGTAATTGTAAGTAAAACACTCCTCAGCAAATGCAAAAGAATGGAAATCATAACAAACATTCTCTCAGACCACAGCGCAATCAAATTAGAACTCAGGATTAAGAAACTCACTCAAAATCTCACAACTACATGGAAACTGAACAACCTGCTCCTGAATGACTGCCCGGTAAATAACAAAATTAAGGCAGAAAGAAATAAGTTATTTGAAACCAATGAGAACAAAGACACAATGTACTAGAATCTCTTGGACACAGCTAAAGCAGTGGTTACAGGGAAATTTATAGCACTAAATGCCCACAGGAGAAAGTGGGAAAGATCTAAAATCAACACACTAACATCCCAATTAAAAGAACTAGAGAAGCAAGAGCAAACAAATTCAAAAGCTAGCAGAAGACAAGAAATAACTAAGATCAGAGCAGAACTGAAGGAGATAGAGACACAAAAAACCCTTCAAAAAATCAATGAATCCAGGAACTGGATTTTGAAAAGATTAATAAAATAGACTGCTAGCCAGACTAATAAAGAAGAAAAGAGAGAAGAATCAAATAGACACAATAAAAATGATAAAGGCAATATCACCACTTACCACACAGAAATACAAACTACCATCAGAGAATACAATAAACACCTCTATGCAAATAAACTAGAAAATCTAGAAGCAATGGATAAATTCCTGGACACATACACCCTCCCAAGACTAAACCAGGAAGAAGTCAAATCCCTAAATAGACCAAAAACAAGTTCTGAAATTGATGCAGTTAATTAATAGCCTACCAACTAAAGAAAGCCCGGGACCAGATGGATTCACAGCTGAATTCTACAAAGAGGAGCTGATACCATTCCCTCTGAAACTATTCCAAACAATAGAAAAAGAGGGACTCCTCCCTAACTCATTTTATGAGACCAGCATCATCCTGATACCAAAACCTGGTGGAGACACAACAAAAAAAGAAAATTTCAGGCCAATATCCCTGATGAACATCAATGTGAAAATCCTCAATAAAATACTGGCAAACCAAATCCAGCAGCACATCAAAAAGCTTATCCACCACAATCAAGTCAACTTCATCCCTGGGCTGCAAGGCTGGTTCAACACACAAATCAATAAATGTAATCCATCACATAAACAGAACCAATGACAAAAACCACATGATTATCTCAATAGATGCAGAAAAGGCCTTTGATAAAATTCAACATCCCTTCATGCTAAAAACTGTCAATAAACTAGGTACTGATGGAATGTATCTCAAAATAATAAGAGCTATTTATGACAATCCCACAGCCAATATCACACTTAATAGGCAAAAACTGGAAGCATTCCCTTTGAAAACTGGCACAGGACAAGGATGCCCTCTCTCACCACCCCTATTCAACATAGTATTGGAAGTTCTGGCCAGGGCAATCAGGCAAGAGAAACAAAGCGTATTCAAATAGGAAGCCAGGAAGTCAAATTGTCTTTGCTTGAAGATGACATGATTGTACATTTAGAAAACCCCATCATCTCAGCCAAAAATCTCCTTCAGCTGATAAGCAACTTCACCAAAGTCTCAGGATACAAAATCAATGTGCAAAAATCACAAGCATTCCCATACACCAATAAAACACAAATAGAGAACCAAATCATGAGTGAACTCCCATTCACAATTGCTACAAAGAGAATAAAATACCTAGGAATCAAACTTACAAGGGATGTGAAGGACCTCTTCAAGAATAACTACAAACCGCTGTTCAAGGAAATAAGAGAGGACACAAATAAATGGAAAAACATTCCATGGATGGATAGGAAGAATCAATACCGTGAAAATGGCCATACTGCCCAAAGTAATTTATAGATTCAATGCTATCTCCATCAAGCTACCATTGACTTTCTTCACAGAACTAAAAAAAACTACTTTAAATTTCATATGGAACCAAACAAGAGCCCGTATAGCCAAGACAATCCTAAGCAAAAAGAGCAAAGCTGGAGGTATTATGCTACCTGACTTCAAACTATACTACAAGGCTACAGTAACCAAAACAGCATGGTACTGGTACCAAAACAGATATCTGGACCAATGAACAGAGCAGAGGCCTCAGAAATAATGCCACACATCTAAACTATCTGACCCTTGACAAACCTGACAAAAACAAGCAATAAGGAAAGGATTCCCTATTTAATAAACGGTGTTGGGACAACTGGCTAGCCATATGCAGAAAACTGAAACTGGACTCCTTCCTTACACCTTACACAAAAATTAACTCAAGATGAATTAAAGCCTTAAATGTAAGATGTAAAACAATAAATACCCTAGAAGAAAACCTGGGCAACACCATTCAGGACATAGGCATGGGCAAAGACTTCATGACTAAAACACCAAAAGCAACGGCAGCAAAAGCCACAATTGACAAATGGGATCTAATTAAACTAAAGAGCTTCTGCACAGCAAAAGAAACTATCTTCAGACTGAACAGGCAACCTACAGAATGGGAGAAAAATTTTGCAATCTATCCATCTGACAAAGGGCTAATATCCAGAATCTACAAAGAACTTAAACAAGTTTACAAGAAAAAAACAAACAATCCCATCATAAAGTGGGCAAAGGATATGAACAGACACTTCTCAGAAGAAGGCATTTATGTGGCCAACAAACATTTGAAGAAAAGCTCATTATCACTGGTCATTAGAGACATGCAAATCAAAACCACAATGAGATACCATCTCATGCCAGTTAGAATGGCAGTCATTAAAAAGTCAGGAAACTACAGATGCTGGAGAGGATGTGAAGAAATAGGAATGCTTTTACACTGTTGGTGGCAATGTAAATTAGTTCAACAATTGTGGAAGACAGTGTGGCAATTCCTCAAGGATCTAGAACCAAAAATACCATTTGACTCAGTGATCCCATTACTGGGTATATACCCAAAAAATTATACATTATTCTACTATAAAGACACATGCTCACATATGTTTATTGTAGCACTATTCACAATAGCAAAGACTTGGAACCAACCCAAATGCCCATCAATGATAGACCGGATTAAAAAATGTGGCACATATATACCATGGAATACTATGCAGCCATAAAAAAGGATGAGTTAATGTCTTTTTCAGGGACATGGATGAAGCTGGAAACCATCATTCTCAGCAAACTAACACAGGAACAGAAAACCAAAAACCACATGTTCTCACTCATGAGTAGGAGTTGAACAATGAGAATACATGGACACAGGGAGGGGAACATCACACACCAGGGCCTGTCAGGGGGTGGAGGGTTAGGGGAGGGATAGCATCAAGAGAAATACCTAAGGTAGATGACAGGTTGATGGGTACAGAAAATCACCATGGCACATGTATACCTATGTAACAAACCTGCACATTCTGCACATGTATCCCAGAACTTAAAGTATAATAAAATATATACTCCTGCTTTCCTTGGATTAATGTTAGCACAATATATATATTTCCTTTCTTTTTTTTTTTTTTAATTCTGCCTGTATCAATGCATTTTAAGTGAGTTTCTTGTAGGTTGTAAATAGTTGGGTCATGGTTTTAATTCACTCTGACAACCTTTGTCTTTTAATTGGTGTTCTTAGAACATTTATATTTACTATAATTATTAATATGTTAAGGCATGAGTCTGGCATTTTATTTTTTGTTTTGCTTGTTCTGCTTTTTGTTTCTCTGTTTCCTTTTTCTGGCTTTCAGCGAGTTACTTGAAAATTTTTTAGAATTGCATTTTGGTTCATCTGTAATAATTTTTAGTATATCTCTTTGTATACCATTTTCATGATTGCTTTAAGTATTACATTATATATACGAAATTTATCACAGTCTGCTGGTGTTAACCTTTTACCTGTTCAAACAAAATATAGAAACCTTATCTCCTTTTACTTCCCTTTACCCTCTTCTGTTTATAATTATTTCAAATAGTCCCTTCACATATATTTAGAACCATATCAGACAGTGTTATAATTTTTGCATCAACTGTCAAACATAATTTAGAAGACTTGGTCATGAGCAAAAATTGGAATTAAGGCTGAAAGGGCTAGTTATAAAGTTTTAGCATCAGAAGGGATCCAACAGATTAGGTACTGACAGGAGAAGTCACCTAAGAGATGTCAGGAATGAGATTGTTCTCTGCTCATTATGAGGAAGGAGTCACCCATATCAGTAAAAACATGATGGATATTAAATCTTGAATTGGTAAACAATTTAGATGCTTTCTTGGCAATGCCTATAATGTAGAGGAATAGAAATAAGCTCTTATTTGTGTGGCATATTCTCCATGCATGTTAATACCCATGACATAATCTGCTCTCATATGTGGCCTCAGAGGGTACGTAAAGACAAGTGTGATTCAGTCCCTGCTCACAAGTGAGTGCACTGAGTGCAGAGAGCAGTTGTAATGCCAAGGTCAACCTCTGGTCTCCAACTTTGTGCCTCATCTTTTCAACCAGCCCTGAAGCTCCCAGATGTGATTGTGCATCAAAACACCTGAGGGGGCCCCACCCCAGACCTACTGAGTCAGGATCTTCAGGGGGAGACCTGGTCATCTGTATTTTTAAAAACAATGCTGCAGGTGATTCTTAAGCAATCGATCTATGGAACCACGTTTGGGAACCACTCAACTAGACTGTGTGACATGAGCCGCTTATTACTCAAAGGGTCATCTGGAAACAGAAGAAGTAAATAGATTGGAACCCTGGGACCCCTTCTGAAGACAGGAATGGCAGCAGGCACATTTTAGGGTCTTCCCTGCAGTCCTGCTTTTCCTTGGAATGTTAAGATTAGACATGAGGTTCCATAGCAGCTGGAAGTGGGAACATTTAAGAAACTTTTCATTTGAGAAACTGATAGAAAGCATAGCTCAGAACCTAGCTGGTTTATTAGCAAGATCTTCATTAACATTAAAGGATACATTTAAATTTCAATAATTCTAAGATATGGAGAAAGTGGAGGAGGCTGCTTCAGCTGTCGATTTAGAATGAGCTCTTGGTTTAAGTCCTCACTAGCTGTGTGGCTTTGGCTAAGTTAGCTAACCTCTGAAATGTTCAGCCACCACTCCAGAACCTAAAAAATGTCTTAGGAAGGTTCTGTGAGGAAAGATGGGTGAAAGCATGCAGCACATACTAGGTACTCCCTATGTTTAGCTGAAGTTGAATCTGAGGTTCCTTAGAACAGTGTAGATAGGAGACAGGAAACAGGAGTTTCCTTACAGCTGCTAACAAGAGCAAGACTCCGAGATTTTGCTTTCCTCTCAGGGGGTCTGGCCTTCCACATTGACAGATGAGCAGGAAACCAAGCAGCGGTATAGAGGAGCCTCCAGAAGGTTCCCAAGGGAAGCAGTGTCAGAAATTGTTTTACCATTTAGAAACTCTCCTTGGAACGTCTCTTCTTGTGCTTCTCTTTGAAGAATATAAAAGTTCTAATGAACTGATTTTATGCTAAATTTTATTTGGCTGTTGTTCTCATCAAAGGAACCATAAGAACATGTTATGGGGAGGGTGGGTGGCGTAGAGCCCCGTGGAGAAAGGATTTGACCAGGGAGAAAGGGGCATGGGAAGGGAAGTAGAAGTGTTGAAGTCAACTTCGACTGGACTCACAGCATTCCCCATCCATGGGTTTAGCCCATCGTGTGGGGAGATGAACTTGTGGTGCCCACAAAAGGTGAAAGGTTTGCTTCCAGAGGAACTTATTTGAGCTGGGATGAGTGGCCCATCTCAGTTAAGTGGGGAGCCTGTGTTATCAAAGCGCCCTGAGGAAGGAGGTAAACTTTCCTCATCAGAGTAGGGGGAAATCATTTTAGTAGGAGGAAAATGTGCTGTTTCTATGAAACTAGTCTGTATTGTTTCTCAAAGAAAACAGTCTCACTGTGGCAATAGCAACTCACCAGGAAATCAACTGTGATTCTCATTGATTCCCCTGATTCCCACCCTGCCTAGTGAGAAACACCCACTGTGGGGCAGAGAAATAGCAATAGGGGTGAGTGATGGTTTCCACTGCACCCAATTTGCATGGATACTTTTGCATTTTGAGAGATCTGCTGCCCTGTCATCAGGGTCTCTCCTCTCCTCCCCAGGACCTGGGTCAAGTGTAAAAGCACAGAGAACTTTTCTTGGTCAGTCAGATTCCCTAAGAAAGATGGACTGCTCAGAAGAAAGATGGGGACATAGAATATGAAAAAAAAAGTATGGAAAACTTCTCAGCAGAGAGTAGACAGTAACTTTTGGGATTTGGCAATGGTGGAATGGCTGACATCAGTTCTATGGAGTCACGGAGGCTCATCAACCTCTTGAGACTCTCTCTTTCAACAAGAAGAATGCTGTTTTTCCTTTTGCTGTGCTTTAGTTGCTTGGTGCCCACCATGAAGTGTTAAGTTTACGGAGAGAACGCTTCCAGCTCACACCTATGACTTCCTCCCCTGAGTTGCACATATCCTACTGGAATGACTGGGCTGCAACAGATGTAGGACCATTGGCCACATGGTACCTGTCCTGCTGCTCCCAGATGCCTCCAACATCCTGTTCCTATGATTGGTTCAACTTGCCACCTACACTCAGGCAGGGTGAATTCTTTTTCAGAAGCAGCCATCGCTCCTTGCAACCTGACTTCTGTCACCACATCTTCCCTGACCCAACAAATCCACCAGGACACAAAGTATGCACAGAATCCAAGTTCTATTTTTTACCATTTTCCTCTTTGACCTTCTGTGCAAACCAATCAATCACCAGTGCAAATGGATACGAGAAAGCAGACTATAGTCAAATCCAAACAATTTGCACTCCATACAGATTTTTGCTACATTAAAGGAAAAGAAAATCTACATCAATTTGAAACTGAGAATGATGGCATCAAAATACCACAAATATAATATAAGACACAGTGGGAAAAAGATTGTTTTGTGACAGGGATTGGAGAACCCAGGATCCACCTTTCACAAAGGGAAGCATGTGTGGACAGGAAATGAGTAGGACTCCCCAAACACCCCCAGCCACAGAGAGCAGGAGCTGAAGGTGAAGGCAGTTTATTGCATGGTTGCTGAGAAATAAAAGTATACCAAGACCAGCATGGGAAGCAGCTAACTGTAGCATTTACTCCTAGCTTACTCCTGGAGCAGAGGGCATACTTAGTAAAACACTGGAATGCCTACTGCAGTCATGACATGTCAAAGAGGGAACATTGTCCTAGCTGACTTTGGTTTGAAAAATGAATTCTTCGGTATAGCAAAATCTCACTGTGCTGTACCTCTTAATCTAGCTCTCTTCCTACCCCCAATAGACAAAGCTATCTAAAAAGACAATGTCTACAAACAGAGTCTGTCTAAAGTTTCCCTTCTTCCTTTGTCTGAACCTGAACTGTTTGACAATAATGAAATCACTACAGTCTCTGCGTGAAGCCACTTCATTTTCCAGACCAGAACAAAGTGACATGGCACTTCACTTGGTAAGGTTGAACAAACGAAGAGAAATCCTCCAGCAAGGTAGGACCTACTAGATCAAAGGAAACATACAGGTTAAGATTAAGTGACACCCTGTGGTGGCCATGAAAATGTACCACTCAGATCTCCTGTTGTGTGATGGTCCCAGCTGCTGCCCACAGGCTATTCCAGTCAGTGACTATGCACGAATGCAGCCCCATTCGTGCAAGACAAGGGACTCTTAATAGGTGACTTTGGCTAACAGCCTCACTAGCAGCCTCGCCAAAACCTTCTTAGACCTCTGCTATAGTCTGGGATTCTCCCACTGGCTTCTCCTTCCTTCTCTCTCCTGAATAGGTATCAGATCTTGTGGTTGATAAGGCACTTTGCACCTTCTCTGGTTCCATCTTCTTTAGTCTTCACAGACATTTCCCTAAAAATCCTTTTGCATATCTATTCCTAGCTTGGAGTATGCTGAGCAGAGGATCTGAACTAAAAAACACATGAAACAAAATTGTTAGAAAAAGCATCAGGTTTTGAAGGAAACTGCATAAATTTACAGGCGCTAACCCAAAACCAGGCATGATTACATTCAGATGATATACACAATTGCTTAAAAATTTCCAAATTTTCAAATTTTCCAGAGAGATATGCTGAACAATAGAAGCTACCAACCCAGTTAATCTAAAGGCTGCCTTGTTCTTGCAGAATTTGGGGGAAAAGGATAGATTTAAAAGACATAGAGAACAGACCAGAGAGAGCCAATGCATGCATTATAAGTAAACTTAAGAGAAATAAGATAGAAGATGCAAGGGAGAATTAATCATTAACAATATAAAAAGATAGTTTTTCTGATTCCTTGAGATTAAAGAAGTGACTTTTCTGCTCAAGATTCTAGCAACACAAGAAACAACAGGAGTGAAAAGCCGTGTTTTTCAATTGTCAGAGGGCTCCCAAAGTGAACTATCATGAACTCCAATCATGCTCCCTGCTAGTTTAAGAGCAGAAACAACTCAAAGAGCTGGACTAATTTATGGTTCCTGGTCAGGCATTCTAAGAGACTTAATACCAGCTGTAATGTTGCTAGGAAACCTACCTCTGAAATCATCTATTAAGTGACATGGCAGGACCATTAGTTATAGGCTATCAGATCACAATAAATCATAGGATCTCAATTTGATGTGTTATTAATCTAGGTCAGTCTGAATTTTATAGTTGTAATTTTATGATTTGATGTGTTGTTAGTCTAGGTCAGTCTGAATTTTATTGTTGTGATTTTATAATTTCTTTTAAAAACTAGGTTACTGTGTTTTTTAAAACTTAATATTGAATCTCAAAAGATATCTTTTTAACAAACCCTCTGATAAGACTTTGTTGATGAGACTAGAATATATGACTGGCTGCTTAGGGATAAGGCACAGTATTTGGTAGTGAGAATGTCACCACCATAATTCACTCAGCTCTGCCTAGCCACATGTAGAGCCCATATATAGTTATTGATATCTTCAGGGTTACCTTCAGGTCTGAATTAAAGTAGAATTCTACTATCACATTTCTCTTTGAGGACAATTAGGATATGATATATTCAGTATTGTTTTTTTCCAGAAGGAAGAGATCTAGTTGTTAATCATTAGTATCTTCAGTGCTCATGTCTAAAACTCAAGTGCAAATACATGCCTCTGATGGACAGGAGAAACAGGAGCTAGCAAACAGATTGCAGTTTCAGACTATCATGGTTTAGCCATTACCAGTAGCTATTAATGTGTAAGTTATATTAAAATGTATATGTCTCATTTCACACACAATAGTACCCATGATAATTATACTAAAGGCTCTTGATCCTGATTTTAATAAACTAACCACTTTTTATAGAGTACATTAAAATCCCATACTACATGATTTAAGATATATGCATTTTTTTTCTGGTGACTCAAATATTCCTAGTTAATAAATAGCTATTACCATATAAATACACTATACAGGAATTAACAATTTCAAAGAATTAGGTTTTCAAAGAATTTCCAAAGAATTGGAACAAGATCAATTCAACACTAAAATAATCCTGAAAAAAGTCAATACTTCATATTCGCATTTTCTAGTATAAACTTTTTAAGCCCTGACATTTCATTTTAACAAATCTTTTAACACAATTTTTGTTTTATCAATTTTTAAACTTTTTATCAAGATTTTATTAAATTTGAATAAGAAGGAAAGAAAGGAAGAGAATTGAAGGACGTATTTGATGATTTGTTAAAAGGTATAAATACTAGCTACTCCTTTTCCATGTATAGAACAAGTGGGAGGTAAAAAAAAAGAGTAGTAAAGTTAGGGTGTAAGGAAAGTCTCAGTGAGAAGTATCCCTTTGATTGCCAGCCAGCTGTAGGATTTCAGAAAGGCAAAAATGGACGATTGGAGTTAAAAAAAAAAAATCAAGCTCTGCCCTGATGGTACATGGTAGAAGAGGTACCATAATTGCTACAGGAGTAATTAGAAGGAATTTTGATTTTTGATGAGCTCCTCTCAATGAATAATAAAGTGCCCAGCTATCATTTCTTCCCGTTGGTCAGTGCCTGGACTCTGCCAGTTATGAAATAGTTTGCCTAACACCTCTGTGTTTGAAGAGGGTTGAGATCATCAGCAAAACTAGGCCAATGCAGCTTATTCACTGCATCAAAGCTGTCAGTTAAATGCTTGGAGCTGCAAATAACAGCCACCTTGAGCTAGCTGAAGCAAAGAAATTAAATGGCTTACCTAAGTGTAATCTAGAGGTGGGCAGGCTCCATGCCATTTGCCTATTATTCCCTTTCCTCTGTCCTCATCCTGTGCTGGCTCCCTTCAGGCTAGCAACTAGATGGCTGCAGCAATATTTGCTCTATATGGGTCCACAGCATCATCTAGAGGGAGAGAAACTATTCCTAAGTTTCTCTTTAAATGTTATGAAGCTTTCCTCAGAAAAGCCAAATAACCTTCTCCAAGACAGACCTTGAGTCTCTTTGGTCTGTATTGGGATCCCATACATATTCATGAACCAATCCCATTGTCATTCATTGGCTTAGGGCTGGGTTTCCTAATTCCTGCTAGGGTAATGGTCAATTAGTGTAATAGAACCAAATGGTCAGTGGTATTTGACCATTGGTTCTCCAGGTGTGTGTGTGCCTTAGGATCTCCTGGAGAAACTGACCCCCAAAATTCTGATTCAGTAGGTCTGGGATGAGAACAGAGAATTTGCATTTCTAAACATTTTCCAGGTAATGCTGATGCTTCTGGCCCGAGAACTACCCTTGGAAAAGCACTGGATCTGCCCAATCAGGGTTTAACACAGAAGCTGGAGTTACTTCCCTTAATGCCTGTGTTGCTACACATCAGATAAGGAATAGCGAGGTTGTGAAGGGTCAGTCGTCACATTCTCTGCACTGGCTGCGAGGGGTTCACATGGCGCTCAACATGAGTTTTTGTTCACTTCACTGACATTACCTGGGCTAAGCAGGATATGTCACTCTGAGTTCATGGTGCTCCTCTCTGTGTACAGTAAGATATATATATCTCATTTCCTACCTCCTCCCCTGGTCCTTTCTTCCCCTGTAAACATACAACATTTACCAGGCAGGGTGCTGAGGGTTTAATTTCTACAGGTGACTTATATACAGCCTCATATATGTATGTTTGGGGATTTGGTTGCCTAGAACATTATTCTCTTCATGCTTTAATGGGAATCACCTGGGGATCTTGCATCAATGCAGATTCTGGCTTAGGAAATCTGAGGTGGGGTCTGGGATTCTGAATTCCTAACAAGCTCCCAGGTGATGCTGATGCTGCTGGTACACAGGCCACTCATTGATGATTCCAGCCCAGGAGGCCTCCTCACACTCTATCCTTCCTGGTCATGTTTATTTCCCTTTCCAGAACATACTCTTCCCACCTCCAACTCTATGCCTAGAATCTCTTTGTATATTTTCTTCTCCTAAAAATTACAGTAGCTTTTTTGTTGTACATAGAAGCCCCAACAATGGCATAAACCTCCATTAAACAGCCTTGAGATCCATTTTTAGTAGGTACTCTGGGGTAAGTTCTGAGGTTGAGGTATAAGGAAGACCAAGATGCATTAACATGGGACTAGGGTCCAGGCATCTCAGACCGAGTCAGTGTCCTCCTGGTTGTGTGCTTGATGTCAGGTTGATTAGTCTGACTTTCTGTAAAAAGGTCAGTATAATCTTACGTGAATTGAGAGAAAATTTTTTATTTAGCAGTATCATTCTTAACAAATGCCTCAATCACACTATAGTGAACATTGCAATTTATTACCAAAATATTGTGATATGAGTGATCTGTTTACTCCTAATGCATGGGTCCTGGGCTGGGAGGGGAACATGTTAGCTAGGAGGGAAACAGGGATTCATCACTGTCCTCAGCCTTCCTTTTTGTCTAGTCTTTGCTTAAAAGATTTTATTTAGAAGCCACAGGAGACAGTGGAAATGAATCTCCTCCAAGCCCTCAATGACAGCAATGGATTATGCTCATGAGAAATGATCGCACCTAAGGTAGGCAGGAGGGCCAGTGCAGGTAATCACAGTGCAATTACAGCACTGGGTGAACAGCACTGGGCCAGGCCAGATGATGGATGAGTTTTCTGAAGAATAACAGAATAAGAGTACTTGGCAGCAATGACTAAGGTTTGCTCCTGAACATCAAACATCAAATTGGATTTTCTCAAGAATGAGGTGAAGCACTTCTGCGAGACTACATAAACCACACAGTGTCTTAAAGCAATAACTAAATGGTGCAGATCAAAGAAAGAGAAAAACAAACCTACAGAAGGCCTGGTAGTACTGCACTATTTGGATTGCATCCAGTAGTTCTTGAAATCCCATGAGCAAGAGGAAAGGGAAACGAAAGAAGTGGATGTTGGCTGATAACACGTGATAACACATGTTGAGGAGAATGCCATTAAATATCATGGCCCAGCACCTACTATTCAAGAGTAAGGAAAGGGGTCAGATTCCTGGGTCTATGGATTTCTCAGCAAAGTGGGAAAGGCTGCAAAATTGGCTATATCAGTGGAACAAAAGGAGAGAGAAAAGTGAAGGGAAAGGATGGGAAAGGAGCACGGGTGGATGTTGATAGCGAGATGGGAACTCCAAGGGCTGCACTGCTCCATATTTGGCGGGAGCAGAGATGCAATTTATATACTTAGTGACTGTCACCAATTCTGCACTGAGAGAGCTTAATCTCCACAAAATGGCTCTCTTGTAAATGGCCCTTTTGAATATGAAACACAAGGCTTTGGCCTAGTCTGGGAGGAGAAGGTTGAGGCAAGGCAAAGACAAATTGCTCTGCTTACTAGTGAAACAGAAGTCTTGAATGTTTAATGGAAAGTGAGAGCCCTGAAACTGAGAGGAGAGAAGAGAGGAAAGAGAAGCGAGTTGGTAAAGTGGTAGGAGGCCAGGTCCCATAAGGAGGGACATACTAGTAAATTTTCTCTGCTTTAGAGGATGGTGGAGAAATCGTATTGGGAATAGAAACTTCCGACTAGCAACTAGAATTTGTTCCTGTAAATCCTCTGATATCCCTCAAATACTTTTGGTAGAAATCTATTAGACACACTTGCCTCGTATTCATGACAGCTTGGGGGAAATAATATTTAAATGAAGTCAGTATATCTCTGACCCCAGTTGAAATTGTATGAGCTAACAGATTACCAATGGGAAACAGAAAATCTCAGATAAGGGGTGGGGCCTTGATAAACATTTCCAATATACCAGCTATACATAGCACACAAGAGGCTTTAAAAGGTCTTTTTAGGTTTTGCTGTTATTGTTATAAATATGTAATTAATATTGGTCAGACCCCTGGAGTATAAATAGCCTTTACAATTTTGAGAGTTACATGGTTAAGAAGCCAGGGAGGCTGTTTCAATGAAGTGACACATTGTGTTCATACCTTTAAATAATGACAAGGGAAGAAATAATTTTCAACAGGCCCCAGTCTGGAAATACTCCTGCTGAAGCTTATAAAGCTGTCACCAGCATGAGCAGAAAGTGAAGCAGTAGTGAAACACGGGGTGGCAGGTGGTGTCCTCACAGGGAAAGAGGGCTTGAGGACCATGAAGTAATGTTTCTAATAACCAGGACAATCATTCTGCAAAGAGCATTAGAGATGCTAGTGTCCTTAACGGCTCCAGTTCAGGAATGAATGGATAAGGATTAACATGGCAACTGTGGAGATGAAAGCATGCTGTGACTAGGAAAAGGGGCCCTGATAAAAGAAAGAGACTGGGCTGGGCACAATGGCTCATGCCTGTAATCCCAGAACTTTGGGAGGCCAAGGCAGGCTGATCACCTGAGGTCTGGAGTTTGAGAACAGCCTGACCAAAATGGAGAAACCCCGTCTCTACTAAAGATACAAAATTAGCCAGTCATGGTGGCACATGCCTGTAACCCCAGCTACTTGGGAGGCTGAGGCAGGAGAATCGCTTGAACCCGGAAGGCAGAGGTTGCAGTGAGCCGAGATCATACCAGTGCATTCCAGCCTGGGCAACAAGAGCAAAACTCCATCTCAAAAAAAAAAAAAAGAAAAGAAAAAAGAAAGAGACCAGCTTGGGGACAGGAGAAGTAGAAACAGAAGAGCTCTGAAGAGACAGAGGAATTCTAGAAGGACAGGGCAGATCAGACCAGAGCAGAGATTTTTACAATTCTTGGTGGAGACTGAGAAATTTATATCAGAAGTCACCATGTGTCATTTATACTTTGTGGTGTAATTTTGCTTGAATTGTCTTCATAGTGAGTTATGTATATAGTTCTCATTCCAATACCAAAATATAGGCTCTGTCATTTTCAACAAATTTTCTGTGCTGTTATCGTAGATGCTTGGGTTGCGGAAGCCCTCCAGCTGTTGATAAAATGCTAGTAAAAATATTAAATATGTAAATATGCTTTGTGGAAATCATATTGCCAGCCCTTTTTGCTTCTAAAAGTTATTGCTTGCCTTTCTTCAGTGAGGGGAGACTACGTAAGGGAAATTGTATTTTAAGGAAATCTGAAACTCCATATCCTAACATAAGGTAAACAAAGTATTGCTGAATATACTTTCTCAGGAAAGATTAAGGAAAAGTATTCTAGGAAAAAAAGTGAACAAAGGACATAGATAAGTTATAATAGACAAGATACAAATGGCTAAGAAACACATGAAAAACAATATTTAGGCTCACCACTACGCAAGAAATGTAAATGTATACAAAGTACTGATTTATACACTGCAAGTTGGCAAAATTTTGAGAGAATGAAAATGCCTATTACTGTCAAGGATATGGGGAAACTTGATTTTTCAAGCACTGTGATATGAGTAGCAATGAACAGCCTCTTGGAGGGAGGGTTGACCTCTGTATCAAGAATCATAAAATTCATATACCCTTTGGCCTCATAATGCTACTTCTAGAAATGCTTCTAAAGAAAACAACCAGATGAACCAGGAAATATATTGATTGCATCATTGTATAGAATGGTTAATATTTTAAGTTCCAACAGCAAAAATTATTTGAAATTGTGATCTGTTGATAATGGAATATTAATTCAGCCACTTTAAAAAGATGTGAGTAAATAGATTTTACTGAAACGAATAGATGTTCACAGTATATCATTATGCCAATGAGCAAGTTACAAAAGATTATAGTATTTTTTTCTAGTTTTACACACACAAACACACATGGACGCACACATGCACATATGTATACATGTAGGAGAGGGAGACAAGGAAAGAATTTATGAAAATATTGTCAATGGTTTATTGTATCTGGGAGGTGAGATTGTGGGTGATTTTTTTCCCTTATGATTTATCTGTACTGTAAATGTTTTTTGTAATAAACATGAATTACTTTTAGAATATTCATAATAAAAAAGAAAAACAGTATATTTTTTCACTTCCGTCAAAGGAAGTTTAGATTCTTTTTGTAGCTAAATTGGTGTTTTTATTATTTGCAATTTTCTTAATAACAACAAAACTAATACTAGTGACTTTTTATAGCCATATGTGATCTGTATCCAAATGGGCCTATTAAAGGCTAAATCCCTTTCACATTTTTCTTCATAATGACCCTAAAGGAGAGGTGAGGACTAATGTTATGAATGGAGATAATAAGGCACAGATAATCAGAGAAATTCTCCCTTCAGTTCAGAGAAAACTTAGAAGCAGTTCTGAGAAAAAACTGCAAGACTCCAGACTGTTGTTTTGAATGAAAGTTGAGCTCCCCATAGATCTCATCGGTAATTTTATCATTAGTGCAGCCTCAGCACCATGTCCCTTTGGGTAAAAATAAGAATTATTTCCTTCTCGTTTTAAAAGTCTCTTTCTTGAGCCAAGAGTGTGTATATATCTACATGGCACTAATGCTGATGTGTGTGTTGTGTCTCTGATACAGTTTGGCTCTATGTCTCCACCCAAATCTCATGTCGAACTGTAATCCTCATAATTACCCTGTGTCAAGGGAGGGATCTGGTGGGAGGCAATTGGATCATGGGAGTGGTTTTCCCCCATGCTGTTCTCATGACAGTGAGTGAATTCTCACAAGATCTGGTGGTTTTATAAGTGTTTGACAGCTTCTCCCTCACTAGGTCTCTCTCTCTGTCTCTCTCTCTCTCTCTCACCTGCTGCCATGTAAGACATGACTGCTTCCCCTTCTGCCACAATTGTAAGTTTCCTGAGGCCTCCTCAGCCATGTGGAACTGTGAGTTAATTAAATCTCTTTTCTTCATAAATGACCCAGTCTCGGTGTTTCTTTATAGCAGTGTGAAAATGGACTAACACAGTCTAACTCCTACATTCAATAGATATTCTGGGTTGCCCTCTGAACCCAGTTTGTCCTCGAGAAGTGGTCATTGTCCTTCCCCCCAGGATGAAAACTTCCCCAGTAGAAAGGGTTTAGCAGCACCAAGTGAGAAGAACACAGAATCAGACATGTCCAGGTGTGAATCTTCACATCTCCAAGTCTTACTTCCTCCACAATGAAGTACAGCTAACCAACCATGATGTTAATTTTATGTGTCAGCTTGACTGGACCATGGGATGCCCAGGTATTGGGTTAATTATTACTTCTGGGTGTGTCTGTGAAGGTGTTTCTGGTAGAAATTAGCATTTGAATCACTAGACTGAGTAAAGAAGATCGACTTAACCAATGTGGACAGGCATTGTCCAATCCATCGAGTGACCAGATAGAACAAGAAGGTGGAGGAGGGGCAAATTTTCTCTCTTTTCTGAGCTGGGACATTATCTTCTCCTGTCCTGGAACATTGGAGCTCTTTGTTCTAGGGGTGTCAGACTAAGAGCATACACTAGCAGCTCCCCCAACTGCATCCTTCAGCCTTGAACCTCAGATTGGGAGTTACATCATCAGCTCCCCTGGCTCTCCAGCTTGCAGGTGGCATACGGTGGGACTTCTTGTCCTCTATAATCATGTGAGCCCCTTCCAAAATTAATTCTCTTCTTATAAATATCTTATTCGTTCTGCTTCTCTGGAGACCCCTGACTAATATTCTGAAGAAAAGGAGATAAATTCATAGAGTGTGTTAAACACATGGAAGGGATGTCACCAGAGTTAGTGCTCTCTTCTCAGACTCCTACACCCTCTGTGACTTGCCCATTGAACTCCCTGAAGGAGGGTCTGGCTCTTCTACTTTCTGATCATGCCCACAATTCTAAGCCCAGATGGGAGCTCTGTTCAGGAAGATGTAACATGAAGTTATGAGGTTTAAGTTTCAGGACTCCTCCTTGGAGGCCCATTAGGGGGCTGAGGGTCTTGCTGAGAGCTGTAGAATGTTCTACATGAAGATGGGAAGACAGATTACAAGGAGAAAGCATTTCTGGTAAATGCGCTCCTGGTAAATTGCCTAAAAAGAGCTCAGAGGAAAGAATCGCGAATCTCTAAGGCCCTAGGAATGTATTGTGACTTATTTTCTCATTACAAATAAATATTCACTGGCATATCTAATTGGGTGTCTGGATTCTTGTAGCTTTAGCAGCATCCCAAAATTGTATAAACTCCAGGCCCCACAAAACCTGGATCATCCCTAAGACCTTAGTTCAGTTATCTGGCTTAAGAATCCTCTCTCTTACTATTCCCACCCGGTCTCTGCTCAGACATTGAATGAGAGTGAGATTTCTACCTTCCAAGGTAGTTCACTCCAATTAGAAACATTTTTACCCTGTTTACCGAAAAATGCCAGTGACGACTCTGTGTCCCTAAGCTATCCGGATCACAGGTCACATATCTGTTCCTTGGACCACACAGAATACATGCCGTCTCCAAAGCTGTTTCCCAGGCCACACACACCAGCATTTAGCCCCTCTCATCTACCCACTGCAGTTCCTTTTCTGACTGGTGCATAGAGCTGAGCCCAGCCCTTCAAGTATGATCAGACTGACCACAGCATGACAGGTGCATTACCACCCTCCAGTAATGCTGGGCATGGTTTCCGCTTGAAAAAGAGTGCCCACCCTAAAAGATCTCAAGTCAAAAGCTGGTTTTCCATAATAGTGGTAATGAACTTCAATGTGACACTTCTACGGCCAAGACTGATGCAGCCAGTTCACTGCCCAACAGTTGCTGACTGAGGAAGCTGAGTCTTAAACAGAACTACAACACAGGGCACTGCAAGGAAACTAGCTCCACCCTGCATACGCCTGATGCTGCCGTTGCATGGAAGATCAGAGCTGATATGGAGACATCATCAGGTTCCAGTGTGGGACTTGGGTTGCAACCTGCAGGCAGGGCCTGTGCTCTCAGAGAGAACAGAGGAGAAAAATGGTGCCATCATGTAACTACCTTCTTTGCCTGCCTCACAGTCTCAGAGTCTGGCTTCCACACTGCCTTCTTTAGTAATTTATTTTCTTTCTTTTCTTTCTTTCTTTCTTTCTTTCTTTCTTTCTTTCTTTCTTTCTTTCTTTCTTTCTTTCTTTCATTTATTTGAGATGGGGTCTCACTCTGTCGTCCAGGCTGGAGTGCAGTGGAGCGATCTCGGCTCACTGCAACCTCCGCCTCCCAGGTTCAAACGATTCTCCTGCCTCAACCTCCCGAGTAGCTGGGAGTACAGGCATGTGTCACAATGCCTGGCTAATTTTTATATTTTTAGTAGAGACGGGGTTTCACCATGTTGGCCAGGCTGGTTTTGAACTCCTGGCCTCAAGTGATCCACCCCCCTCAGCCTCCCAAAGTGCTGGGATTACAGGCGTGAGCCACTACACCCGGCCTTCTAGTAGTTTCTTTGAATCATAGTCTTGGCATAGTCATGATAGTGCATTAGCTCATATGGTTGATAGGGCTCAGGGGGATAAGTTGTTTCCTCTGTTCTAGCCTATGAACAACCCCCTCCATTTCCCAATCAAAGAAGGAATAAAGCCACACTGCCTACTAAAAACAGTTATGAAACTATAAAGGACTTTCTTAATATCTTGGCCCCAGGATTTTAGGATAAAGACCCTCTCCTGATGTTCAAGGTATGGTACTGAAAGCCAATTTTGTGGTAGGGACAGCAGCCGAATAAGCATGGCGCCAGAGACAGCTAGAACATCCTCAGGGTGCCAGTGCTTCCAGGCACTCCTAACTGGCTCTGTGACTCGAATGTCCACATGCACACAAACCCACACACACACACACACACACACCCATACTGCAGTGGCAGCATATGGTTGGCTTTCTTTCATCGTGCAGTTTACTCTCACTGTAAACTGAGGCACAGCCATGGAGCTAGCGGGGGCCTAAATAAAAGGGTGTGCTAACTGAAACAAGTAAATGCAGGCAGCCCAAGAAGTTTCTATATATACGTTTTATATGCTGCAATTATCAATAAGGAAATCTTAAACAAGTAGAGCTATTTTGGGCATTTTCCCACACTGCTTACTCTCCCTGGCGACTGTAACTTGATTTTGTCTTATGTTGGTAGCCCGAGGTTAAAGAGTATCCCAAGTCAAGTGCTACCATAGACACAGCTCTCAGTTACTCACAGCGTGTAAATGTTAGTGCAGTGGAATTACTATTTGTGATCTAGCATGACCTGTGAAAATTCAGATTTTACTGGAAGAGGGATAATGGCTAACAACAGTAAAAGGCTAAATTTCACTTTTCGGAAACAAGTCAGAATCGATTAAATGGGCAGATTGGTTTTGACAGCTCATTGCTTGAGTGTCACAAAATAAACAACACTGGCTAATGTGTTCTGTCATGGAAGACCAAGCAGATGATATTTTATGCTTTTTAGAATTGACTGAAGAAGATATAAAACAGCACACTAAAACAACAATTAAAATATTCCCCTCGCTCATCCCACCCCAAACCTAACAAAGTCCCGGTGAACCAAACTTAACTCTTACTTTGTTCCACTCATCCATCCACCCATCCATTCAGTCATCCCCCCACCCATCCACCCTACTAACAAGTATTTGCATGCACTTTTCATGTGTCAGAAACAGATAAGTTGAGTTACATAGATGAGAATTTGCTCTCTACAGCGTCTCTTCTCTCTTCTTCCTCGTTTTGGTCAATGTAAGGACTCAGGTTCATGTAGTCACTTGTGACTTCAAGATTGCCAGGGAGATGGGCACCAGGCTCTGGTCAATCAGACTGAGCCTCTCAGAACCATTTCTTAGGCAAGTGCCAGGATCAGAAAGTAGGATTGGATAACTGGGTGAGATGCCTGTGGACAACCCAGAAGTCACTAGGATATCACATCAAAAGCTGAATTGGGCCAAGGAAGAGGGCCACACACTGTGGGGAGGAGGCAGAGTCTAGAGGGGACAAACTAATCACAGAAATCTGTTTTTTCTATTGCAAATAATTTTTTAAGCCACACTGTGCTTATCTTAGTGACTCTCTGTCAATTCAAGGTTTTTTTAAAAAAAATTTTGGTAATGAGAGGAAATGGAGGCTAGAAAAAATAAAAACAGACATTAATACAATGGCTTGAAATCAAGGCAAACTTGGTCAACCATGGAAAATTTTTATATGTAACTTAAAAAAAAATATGCAAAGAAAAAAGTGCATGCCACACAAGTTCAGTAACAATTTTTAAGCATCATTTTCATTTGCTTTCTATTATAACGAAGCCAGAGATCATTACTATTTTCAGATTTGATATAGGCTCCTCAGACTCTTTAATAGCTTGCCCAGGAGCCAGGTACACTCTATAGTCGGCCTTCCAGGACTTGACATTAATTACCCATGCTGAAGCAAAAACTAAGACAGTCGCGGCATTCAGGGTAATTCTTTAAAGTGTGCATGTGGAAGTGTGGAGGGCATTCTGTATGGATTTCTCAAACTGCTGTAGCCACAGAATGAGGCAGGTCAGGACTTCAATCCCAGCTCTGTATTTAACTAGTTTGAATCTCTGTCACCTCATCTGCCAAATGAGCATCATAATACCTCACTCACAGTGTTGGGTTGGTTTTGCCAACGCATGTCTATCATGTCTCCATAAAGGTACTTGAGGACACAATGTAGTCTCAAGGGGAGGTTGAGAAAGTTCCATTGAAGCTGCATTTGAACCACAGGGATTTTACTTTGATTTCACGTTCATCTAGAAGAATCAAGAACTTATTGGGGAGACTATAGCCCTTTCAGGTCACCCCTTATCTACCTTAGAAATCAGGAAACTTTTAATGTAAATGACCAGAAAGTAAATATCAGGCCATACAGTCCCTCTAGCAACTGTTCTACTATGTGTTGTGTTACAAAAGCAGCCGTGGACAATATTTAAACAACTGAGCTTGGCCATGTTCCAAAAAATATTTATTTACAACACCGCATAGCAGAACAGATTAGATTCATAGGACACAGTTTGCAGACCCCAAGTGAGACAAAACATATATCTATGAGATCTATAGCTAGTGTATGTCTATGAGATAGGATATATATAGTTTGTCTTACAATGTCTGACACATAAGATGTGCTCAATAAATACCTCTCTGGCTATTTTGTCTTGACAGCATCCATGACTCAAAATCATATTTATTCATTCAACAAATTTTGCTTTAGTGCCTTCTGCATGCCAGGATCTATTATTGTCACCAAGACACAATAACGAACAAGACAAAGTGCCTGCTTTTATAGAGGTTATATTGTGGAGGTGAGGAAGGAAGAAAGGGTGGGAGGAAGGAACGGAAGGAAGGAAGCCATCAGCTCATGATAAGTGCTATGCAGACAAGAAATAGGATGCTATGGTAAGAAAAATGATAGCATAGCCACTTTTATGAGATAGACATCTCAGAGCAGGTGACATTGAGCTGAACTCTGAAAGAAGAGAAGGAGCCTTCCAGGCTGAGATGAGGGGAAGCCTTCCAGACAGAGTAAACAATGAGAAGGAATGCCATAGGGTGGGGATGAACACTGCCTGACCAGGGAAAAGGAGGAAGGGCAGAGTGACAGAGCTCAGAGGGCAAGCAGGGGGAGGGCAGAAGGCAAGTCAGAGTCAGGCAGCCATTAGATCACTTAGACTGGTGCTGTCCAGTGAAAACATAATGTGAGCCACATGTGTAACTTAAAATTCTCTAGTGTGTATGTATATAGATAGAGTCTATCTATCTATCTATCTATCATCTATCTATCTTATCTGTCTATCTATCTATCTATCTATCTATCTATCTATCTAATCTATCTACCTACCATCTATATGTCTGTCTATCTTTCTATCTAGATATAGACATGCATAACAATGGTAAAACTAATTTAAAATATAAATTTTTGATGGCTGGGCATGGTGGCTAATGCTTGTAATCCCAGCACTTTGGGAGGCTGAGGCAGGTGGATCACCTGAGGTCAGAATTTTGAGACCAGCCTGGCCAACATGGTGAAACCCCGTCTCTACTAAAACTACAAAAATTAGCTAGGCATGGTGGCACACGCCTCTAATCCCAGCTGCTTAGGAGGCTGAGGCACAAGAATCACAGGAACCCGAGAGGAGGAGTTTGCAGTGAGCCGAGATCGTGCCACTGCACACCAGCCTGGCTCACAGAGGGAGAATCTGTCTCAAAAACAAAGAAACAGATTTTTACTTAACCCAACAAATTCAAAATATTATTATTTCAATATGCAATCATCATAAAAATTATTAATTAGAGAATTTTTACTCTTTTATTCATGCAAAGTCATCTAAATCTGGTGAGTGTGTCATACTCACAGCACATCCCAATGTGCACCAGCCCCATTTCCAAGGTCGCTAGGAGCTGACAAATCAGGCAGCATTATTCAGATATTTATGAGGTAAGATAAGAGCTTGTATTTTCACTCCAAGTCCTCAGAGAGTTTGAGCAGGAGAGTGATATGTTCTAATTTACATTTCTGAAAGACCATTCTTTATGGACTGCTTTATGGAGAATGAGTTAAAGGGGGACTCTAAGAGGAGAAAAGTGAGAGGAGCAATTGGAAAGTGAGTGGCCTAGGGCAGACCAGGGAAGGTATTGGCTTGATTGGAGTGGTGGGGTGGGTAAGGAGTTAGAGAGCGTGGATTAGAGATGTTGAGTCTGAGTTGGTGTGATATGCAGGGTAAAGGCCTACAGATTTTGGTCTTAAAGTCAACGCCTGTGTGTACTAGGAATGCTCCCTGTCACACACACACAGAGCTCCAAAATGATTATCATTCAACCATGTCATGTAATACCATGAGAACACTGCTAGTCTTTGCTGATAAAGGTCCACAAAACCAGGTCAAACAAGAATGAAGGAAAGAGGAGAATAAGGGCACCAGGTGACTCGTATTGATTCTGGAGCAGGAATGAGACAAAAGTGTGACCTTTTTTAGTACTACCCTAAACATTTCCCTCCCCATTTTCTTCCTTCACAATGCCTGCCTAGGTCCTATGGAGGAAGTCTCAGTTTCTTAGGATCCTGTCCCTGCTACCTTCCTCTGCCTCACCTCAGCCTTCCCTGAGTCACTGCAAATATTTCTCACCCTTTTCTTTACCCCTTTCCAAAAGAAGCAGCAGATGTTCCAGCTCTCACCCATCTCCAGTCTCAGCTGCTCACTGGCCCAGTCTCAGCCAAAGAACCCCAGAAGGAGAAGAGTCGCATTGGCAGAAGGAAGAAGGTGGCTGCTGGGAGGAACTGCAGGCAGTTCTGGAAGCACACCAGCAGGATGGAAGCCAGAAGAGGACACAAAGCAGAGGCCAAGCACAGACCTAAGCAATCCACAGAGCAAACAGCGCTTCCAGCTGCTTCTCCACTCCCACACTAACCATCGTGGAAACAGGCCCCACGCTTCTAAGATGCTTTACAGCTTGTTGTGTGCTTCCCTGTATTTGTTCCATTGAAATAACTGAGAAAGGACCCTGAGGTGGGCATTTTTGAGAACAATTTCAGGAGAGGAAACTGAGCCCAACTGACTTGTCCAAGATTACACAGCCTGGAAGAAACAGAACCAGGGACTCCAGATCAACCCTCCTTCTCATCATACCCACTAACAGCAATGAGTCTGTGTGGCCGTGGCTGGGAGCCAGCTGTGCAAAGCCACACCACCAAACACACAGGGAATCACACATACCAATGGCTCAGTCTTCCTCATTGTGGGTGGAAGTCATCTAGGTCATGCCCTGTGGACATCAGGCATCTTTTCTTCATTTGTGTCTCCTCATGTTTAAGTTTTAGTCTATGCATTTAAATAAAGGAACCACTATTCTGAGCTGAAAATATCAGTGGCATCTGGGATCAGTCTTAGAATGAAGAGTCTGGCCAGGGCAGTATGGAAAATGTTTTCCATAAAAATATTTAAATGCTTATTTAAATATTTCCAAGTTAATTTGACCAACTTTAAAATGCACCAGAAAGACAATCCAAAAATCAAATGCCCTAAAATAAAAAAGCAGCTAAGTTACATGAGCTATTTATTTCCTTTTATTTAGATTTCTTGTCTAGAGACAAATCAGAAAAGATTTTTATATAGACTTGCCCTGCCTTGTCTCCATCATAGAAGTGCCATATGAAAATAAGTTAACATCAACCAATGCAGCATTTAATGTGTTTGAGGCACTAGTCTAAATGTTTTACATTTAATCCTGACAATAACTCCACAGGTAAGGATGCTACGACTATTTCCATTTTACTAGAGAGAAAGGAGAAGAAGGAAAAGAAGGTAGGGGAGGAGGACAAGGAGGAGGAGGAGGAGGAAGAGAAAAGAAAGTAAGTAGCATTTACTGAACACCTACTGTGGGCCCTCCACTGAGAGAATATAACACTGACCCTTCCCACAATGTCATGGCATGCTATCTACATTTCACAGGTGAGCAAACTGACTTGGAGAGGTAAGTACTTACTAAAGTTCACAGTTGTAAGTAGTGGAGGCAGGATTCAAACCCAGGTCTTTTCAGTACAAGAGATTCTTGTGATAAGGGCTTTCATATCAACCCGGTGTTGTGGGACTGAGGGACACAATGATATTTTGATGTATGAACAGTGCTGAGTTTCTCTTTTTATTGCCTTTTCATTAATCTAGTTCACTATTCTGTCATTTGATTGCTCAATAGGCATTTCACAAGTGCTGAGTGCACACAGAGCACATGTACATCACCATCTTCCCTCTGTTTCTTAAATCCTCAGCTGGCTTGGTCATTCTCAATCTACGAGAGCACTGTGTGCACTTGATCCCAGGCCTGAACGGGCTTGAACAGCTGAGAGAAGAAGGAAACGTTCACTGACCACAGCCTATACATCAGGTTTGGTGCTCAGCACTGGCTATTCATCCAATAAAACAACCCCGTGGAATAAGCATTTGGTATTCATTTTACAAAAATGGAAACTGAGGCTCAGATAGTTACAGTGACAGAGCTATAAAGTATCAAATCTTGGTGAAATGATACATATGCTACTTCAAATTGGCCATCATGTAAAAATTAACAACAATAATAAAAATCAAAGTCAACTCACGTGACCTCCAGACTTCTCAAGGTCAAAGCTACTTATGACACCTACTCTTGCCCTCCCAAGCCCCTGAAAAAAAAAATCAATTATCAATTACTCACTAGGACAGGGAGGGTTGGACAAACAACTGAAATCATATTTCAAATATTTTGGGGTCAAGCAAATGCCCAGGGTACTCTGCCAAGCATGTAAACACTTATTCATTAGAAAAACCATGTGAAATGGATGGGAAATAGGCTCCATATGTGTCCTGCTCATTAAGATAAAATAAAAAATATATATCTTTTCAAGAGTTGTCAGCCATGTAAGAAGTCTTTTGAGGGTTCCCCAATGATCCCCACCCCCAATATAAAACAGGAAAGAAACCTTTCTAAAGTTAATTTTCTTCAAAACAGAAAATGAGATTTGTCACATGCCATCATTCAGATATTCAAATATGACTCTGGGCTTGGAAATTATATATATAGCTTTTGAATGGGACTCCGAAATGGAACATTTTCTAAACTAAAACGAAGATGGAAGGAAAGGAAGACACGGAGTGAGGGAAGAAGGGAGAGAGGAATAAACCGGCCAAACATCACTTATTTGTCTTACTGTGGGCCTTTCTAAAGCTCCAAGGAGCACACGGTAGCATTTGTCCTCCCTGGGCCAGGGCTTGGGCAAGGGTAGATCAACTAGGGGAGCTGGAACCCCAAGCATTTGCCTGGCTAATTCTGTTCCCTCAGCTCTACACAAGCATCACTGTCAAGAGCACTCCTGCCATTTTCTCTTTTTTCTCTCTCTTCCTGCATTTTTTCTCTTTCCAACCCTGGCACAAATACATTATTGAGCTATTTATCGGTGCCAGAAACCAATCGCTGCTATCATATACACCATCAAATTTATTCATTCATTTAATTATCAAATATTTTTAGCCTGTGATTTGTCCCAGGCACTGTGCTGGGTTCTGGGACACAGTGGTGAGCAAAGAGCTGGGGTGTAAACCAGGGCATCTTCCAGTTGTCTCTGCCTTCTCTTCCGAAAGCAGACAGTCAGGGGCCAAGGGCCAGCTGCTGTTCTCCTTCTTTAGGAATCAAATGAGATATCAACCGTCCTTTTATTTTTAGAGAGGGCATTTTCTTTCATATCCCCCCTGAGAAGCTCTTTATTCTGACATATATTCATGCATTCATTTATTCACTCAACCAACAATAATTAAAATAGACTAAAAGCCTAAGAGAAGTACAGTGTGGTGTATAATACGTAAGCTCCAGGGCCAAGCAGGCAGGACTTCTCTCACCAGCCACGCAACCTCTCTAAGATCCCATTTTCTCCACTGTAAAATGAGGCTTATCAAAGACCTACCTCACAGGTTCATCAGGAGGATTTCATACCATAATAGTACACCGAGTTGGGGGAGGAACCAAGTTGGCCGAATAGGAACAGCTCTGGTCTACAGCTCCCAGCCTGAGCGACGCAGAAGACGGGTGATTTCTGCATTTCCATCTGAGGTACCGGGTTCATCTCACTAGGGAGTGCCAGACAGTGGGCGCAGGTCAGTGGGTGCGCGCACCATGCGCAAACCGAAGCAAGGCGAGGCATTGCCTCACTCGGGAAGCGCAAGGGGTCAGGGAGTTCCCTTTCCTAATCAAAGAAAGGGGTGACAGACGGCACCTGGAAAATCGGGAAAATCGGGTCACTCCCACCCGAATACTGCGCCTTTCCGACGGGCTTAAAAAACGGCGCACCACGAGATTATATCCCTCACCTGGCTCAGAGGGTCCTACCCCACGGAGTCTCGCTGATTGCTAGCACAGCAGTCTGAGATAAAACTGCAAGGCAGCAGCGAGGCTGGGGGAGGGGCGCCCACCATTGCCCAGGCTTGCTTAGGTAAACAAAGCAGCCGGGAAGCTCGAACTGGGTGGAGCCCACCACAGCTCAAGGAGGCCTGCCTGCCTGCCTCTGTAGGCTCCACCTCTGGGGGCAGGGCACAGACAAACAAAAAGACAGCAGTAACCTCTGCAGACTTAAATGTCCCTGTCTGACAGCTTGGAAGAGAGCAGTGGTTCTCCCAGTACGCAGCTGGAGATCTGAGAACGGGCAGACTGCCTCCTCAAGTGGGTCCCTGACCCCTGACCCCCGAGCAGCCTAACTGGGAGGCACCCTCCAGCAGGAGCACACTGACACCTCACACTGTAGGGTACTCCAACAGACCTGCAGCTGAGGGTCCTGTCTGTTAGAAGGAAAACTAACAAACAGAAAGGACATCCACACCGAAAACCCATCTGTACATCACCATCATCAAAGACCAAAAGTAGATAAAACCACAAAGATGGGGAAAAAACAGAACAGAAAAACTGGAAACTCTAAAAATCAGAGCACCTCTCCTCCTCCAAAGGAACGCAGCTCCTCACCAACAAAGGAACAAAGCTGGACAGAGAATGACTTTGACGAGCTGAGAGAAGAAGGCTTCAGATGATCAAATTACTCTGAGCTATGGCAGGACGTTCAAACCAAAGGCAAAGAGGTTGAAAACTTTGAAAAAAATTTAGAAGAATGTATAACTAGAATAACCAATACAGAGAAGTGCTTAAAGGAGCTGATGGAGCTGAAAACCAAGGCTCGAGAACTACGTGAAGAATGCAGAAGCCTCAGGAGCCGATGTGATCAACTGGAAGAAAGGGTATCAGCAATGGAAGATGAAATGAATGAAATCAAGCGAGAAGGAAAGTTTAGAGAAAAAAGAATAAAAAGAAATGAGCAAAGCCTCCAAGAAATATGGGACTATGTGAAAAGACCAAATCTACGTCTGATTGGTGTACCTGAAAGTGATGGGGAGAATGGAACCAAGTTGGAAAACACTCTGCAGGATATTATCCAGGAGAATTTCCCCAATCTAGCAAGGCAGGCCAACGTTCAGATTCAGGAAATACAGAGAACGCCACAAAGATACTCCTCGAGAAGAGCAACTCCAAGACACATAATTGTCAGATTCACCAAAGTTAAAATGAAGGAAAAAATGTTAAGGGCAGCCAGAGAGAAAGGTTGGGTTACCCTCAAAGGGAAGCCCATCAGACTAACAGCGGATCTCTCGGCAGAAACCCTACAAGCCAGAAGAGAGTGGGGGCCAATATTCAACATTCTTAAAGAAAAGAATTTTCAACCCAGAATTTCATATCCAGCCAAACTAGCTTCATAAGTGAAGGAGAAATAAAATACTTTACAGACAAGCAAATGCTGAGAGATTTTGTCACCACCAGGCCTGCCCTAAAAGAGCTCCTGAAGGAAGCGCTAAACATGGAAAGGAACAACCGGTACCAGCCACTGCAAAATCATGCCAAAATGTAAAGACCATCGAGACTAGGAAGAAACTGCATCAACTAACGAGCAAAATCACCAGCTAACATCATAAAGACAGGATCAAATTCACACATAACTATATTAACTTTAAATGTAAATGGACTAAATGCTCCAATTAAAAGACACAGACTGGCAAATTGGATAAAGAGTCAAGACCCATCAGTGTGCTGTATTCAGGAAACCCATCTGACGTGCAGAGACACACATAGGCTTAAAATAAAAGGATGGGGGAAGATCTACCAAGCCAATGGAAAACAAAAAAAGGCAGGGGTTGCAATCCTAGTCTCTAATAAAACAAACTTTAAACCAACAAAGATCAAAAGAGACAAAGAAGGCCATTACATAATGGTAAAGGGATCAATTCAACAAGAAGAGCTAACTATCCTAAATATATATGCACCCAATACAGGAGCACCCAGATTCATAATGCAAGTCCTGAGTGACCTACAAAGAGACTTAGACTCCCACACATTAATAATGGGAGACTTTAACACCCCACTGTCAACATTAGACAGATCAACGAGACAGAAAGTCAACAAGGATACCCAGGAATTGAACTCAGCTCTGCACCAAGTGGACCTAATAGACATCTACAGAACTCTCCACCCCAAATCAACAGAATATACTTTTTTTTCAGCATCACACCACACTTATTCCAAAATTGACCACATACTTGGAAGTAAAGCTCTCCTCAGCAAATGTAAAAGAACAGAAATTATAACAAACTATCTCTCAGACCACAGTGCAATCAAACTAGAACTCAGGATTAAGAATCTCACTCAAAACCGCTCAACTACATGGAAACTGAACAACCTGCTCCTGAATGACTACTGGATACATAACGAAATGAACGCAGAAATAAAGATGTTCTTTGAAACCAACGAGAACAAAGACACAACATACCAGAATCTCTGGGATGCATTCAAAGTAGTGTGTAGAGGGAAATTTATAGCACTACATGCCCACAAGAGAAAGCAGGAAAGATCCAAAATTGACACCCTAACATCACAATTAAAAGAACTAGAAAAGCAAGAGCAAACACATTCAAAAGCCAGCAGAAGGCAAGAAATAACTAAAATCTGAGCAGAACTGAAGGAAATAGAGACACAAAAAACCCTTCAAAAAATTAATAAATCCAGGAGCTGGTTTTTTGAAAGGATCAACAAAATTGATAGACCGCTAGCAAGACTAATAAAGAAAAACAGAGAGAAGAATCAAATAGACTCAATAAAAAATGACAAAGGGGATATCACCACCGATCCCACAGAAATACAAACTACCATCAGAGAATACTACAAAGACCTCTACGCAAATAAACTAGAAAATCTAGAAGAAATGGATAAATTCCTTGACACATACACTCTCCCAAGACTAAACCAGGAAGAAGTTGAATCTCTGAATAGACCAATAACAGGAGCTGAAATTGTGGCAATAATCAACAGCTTACCAACCAAAAAGAGTCCAGGACCAGATGGATTCACAGCCGAATTCTACCAGAGGTACAAGGAGGAACTGGTACCATTCCTTCTGAAACTATTCCAATCAATAGAAAAAGAGGGAATCCTCCCTAACTCATTTTATGAGGCCAGCATCATTCTGATACCAAAGCCGGGCAGAGACACAACCAAAAAAGAGAATTTTAGACCAATATCCTTGATGAACATTGATGTAAAAATCCTCAATAAAATACTGGCAAACCAAATCCAGCAGCATATCAAAAAGCTTATCCACCATGATCAAGTGGGCTTCATCCCTGGGATGCAAGGCTGGTTCAATATATGCAAATCAATAAATGTAATCCAGCATATAAACAGAGCCAAAGACAAAAACCACATGATTATCTCAATAGATGCAGAAAAAGCCTTTGACAAAATTCAACAACCCTTCATGCTAAAAACTCTCAATAAATTCAGTATTGATGGGACGTATCTCAAAATAATAAGAGCTATCTATGACAAACCCACAGCCAATATCATACTGAATGGGCAAAAACTGGAAGCATTCCCTTTGAAAACTGGCACAAGACAGGGATGCCCTCTCTCACCACTCCTTTTCAACATAGTGTTGGAAGTTCTGGCCAGGGCAATTAGGCAGGAGAAGGAAATAAAGGGTACTCAATTAGGAAAAGAGGAAGTCAAATTGTCCCTGTTTGCAGATGACATGATTGTATATCTAGGAAACCCCATTGTCTCAGCCCAAAATCTCCTTAAGCTGATAAGCAATTTCAGCAAAGTCTCAGGGTACAAAATCAATGTGCAAAAATCACAAGCATTCCTATACACCAACAACAGACAAACAGAGAGCCAAATCATGAGTGAACTCCCATTCACAATTGCTTCAAAGAGAATAAAATACCTAGGAATCCAACTTACAAGGGATGTGAAGGACCTCTTCAGGGAGAACTACAAACCACTGCTCAAGGAAATAAAAGAGGATACAAACAAATGGAAGAACATTCCATGCTCATGGGTAGGAAGAATCAATATCGTGAAAATGGCCATACTGCCCAAGGTAATTTACAGATTCAATGCCATCCCCATCAAGCTACCAATGACTTTCTTCACAGAATTGGAAAAAACTACTTTAAAGTTCATATGGAACCAAAAAAGAGCCCACATCGCCAAGTCAATCCCAAGCCAAAAGAACAAAGCTGGAGGCATCACACTACCTGACTTCAAACTATACTACAAGGCTACAGTAACCAAAACAGCATGGTACTGGTACCAAAACAGAGATATAGATCAATGGAACAGAACAGAGCCCTCAGAAATAATGCCACATATCTACAACTATCTGATCTTTGACAAACCTGAGAAAAACAAGCAATGGGGAAAGGATTCCCTATTTAATAAATGGTGCTGGGAAAACTGGCTAGCCATATGTAGAAAGCTGAAACTGGATCCCTTCCTTACACCTTATACAAAAATCAATTCAAGATGGATTAAAGACTTAAACGTTAGACCTAAAACCATAAAAACCCTAGAAGAAAACCTAGGCATTACCATTCAGGACATAGGCATGGGCAAGGACTTCATGTCTAAAACACCAAAAGCGATGGCAACAAAAGCCAAAATTGACAAATGGGATCTAATTAAACTAAAGAGCTTCTGCACAGCAAAAGAAACTACCATCAGAGTGAACAGGCAACCTACAAAATGGGAGAAAATTTTTGCAACCTACTCATCTGACAAAGGGCTAATATCCAGAATCTACAATGAACTCAAACAAACTTACAAGAAAAAAACAAACAACCCCATCAAAAAGTGGGCGAAGGACAAGAACAGACACTTCTCAAAAGAAGACATTTATGCAGCCAAAAAACACATGAAATAATGCTCACCGTCACTAGCCATCAGAGAAATGCAAATCAAAACCACAATGAGATACCATCTCACACCAGTTAGAATGGCAATCATTAAAAAGTCAGGAAACAACAGGTGCTGGAGAGGATGTGGAGAAATAGGAACACTTTTACACTGTTGGTGGGACTGTAAACTAGTTCAACCCTTGTGGAAGTCAGTGTGGCGATTCCTCAGGGATCTAGAACTAGAAATACCATTTGACCCAGCCATCCCATTACTGGGTATATACCCAAAGGACTATAAATCATGCTGCTATAAAGACACATGCACACGTATGTTTATTGCGGCATTATTCACAATAGCAAAGACTTGGAACCAACCCAAATGTCCAACAATGATAGACTGGATTAAGAAAATGTGGCACATATACACCATGGAATACTATGCAGCCATAAAAAATGATGAGTTCATGTCCTTTGTAGGGACATGGATGAAATTGGAAACCATCATTCTCAGTAAACTATCGCAAGAACAAAAAACCAAACACCGCATATTCTCACTCATAGGTGGGAATTGAACAATGAGATCACATGGACACAGGAAGGGGAACATCACACTCTGGGGACTGTTGTGGGGTGGGGGGCGGGGGGAGGGATAGCATTGGGAGATATACCTAATGCTAGATGACGAGTTAGTGGGTGCAGCACACCAGCATGGCACATGTATACGTATGTAACTAACCTGCACAATGTGCACATGTACCCTAAAACTTAAAGTATAATAATAAAATAAATAAATAAATAAATAAAAAATAATACACCGAGTTATACACCTAACACACTCAATGCTATGGTAGCTGTTATTATCCCTGCTATTGTATTGTGCCATGCACTATATGCCAGGCAAAAGAAAGTCAGACAAAAATTACAAAGGGATCTGGAGAGGACAAACACTACTCCAAAACAGAGGAGACCACATTATTTCTCCCTGACAAGTCTGATGCTTCTCTTATCAATTCAGCCACCATGGGTGAGTGTAAGACACTACAAAAGTCTTCAGCTTGCTCTTCCTTGTTTGAAGGTGGAATGACTCCAGCAGCCTTTAAACACCTCATTTTTTGCCTGAGTGCACATTATACATAATTAATCACACTGCAGAGCCCATACCTGAGAAAGCTGTTAGTTCAATAATTCACCTTGTCTGCTTGCATAAAACAGATGTGACCCCCCCAAGCTGACTTGAAAGTCCATTAGTCCATGAGATGCAGTATCTTCCTGTGTATCTACCAGCTGGAAAAGAAGTAGCCCGAGTATGTCCTTGAACTGAGAAGGGGGTGAGTCCACCGCCTCTCCAGTGAACACTCAGGACGGGCAGGTTCCATGAACAGGAAATGGCCTCCTCCCAGGGTGGAATATGTGCCTTTTCAACCCATAAGGATAAAGCTAGCAAATGATTTTGCCCAGAAAAAAAAAAAAAAAAGGGAACTGAAAGAGAATGTCAGTGTTCCAAGTGGAGCCAATTAACTCATTTAGATGGTAAATAGTAATGTAAGTATAAGTGAATGAAATTATTAGACAATTTCAAACTCTAGCTTTGGGGCAGATAAAAAAGTAGGGGAGGAGCAGGAAAGTGATAGCAGGACACAGGAAGTAATCACAGATAAAGGACTGCTGAGTGTGAGGAAATCATCTGAAAGTGCTAGTCAGAATTCATTTGTCTCCCACCTGTAGTCCCTTGGCTTCCACAGCAGGTTCTTTTGCAGATACTCATTCACTGTTTTATGTAATTATTTATGTATTGAACATTTGAAAGAGAAATTCCCCACTTGACATCCCTGAATATGTATATATGTGTGCAGTAGCCAAAAATGACAGAAAGGACCAGCATAAAAGGTGTTCAGTTGATGATTGCGCTCAACTGAAAACAATAGCAGAGAGAGACTTAAAAATTCCTCATCAGGGGCAGATCAGCTCTGATCCAAGCACTGTCTGGATCAGGAAGGTTTATAAGTGAGCTGGGAACTGACCCAGGCCTTTTCTTCTTGCCTTTTCTGGCTAGGGTTTCTCCAGAGCCTTGGTGAGAGGGGTTTTGTAAGCAAGACTAGAAGGGTGTCATGGTTAATGCTGGGTATGCGCTTTGCACCATAAGTCCTCTGGGTACATGTGCACATGCATCTTTACGGATAATTTGCTGGTTTTGTCTGACTAGATTTTGAAGGGGTTTGGGTTGTGAGTTTAGAATACACAAACACGATGCAATTGCAGTTTATTGTTTGCTAAACTGTTCTAAGTCTGTGCCATAATGTGAGTTCAGTCCTTCTCAGCTCATTCTTTTGTTATTTTTATAGATCCTTGTAGTATATAAATAGTATTTATTATTTGTCCATGATTCCTCCTTCCCGCTTTGCCACTGCTGTGACTGTCCTGTGAACAGAGTGTACTTTCCATCCCACTGGCATTGGACTTGGCCATATAACTTGCTTTGAGCAATAGAACATAGATGGAGGAGACAGCATGTTCCAAGGTGAGGCTTTAAGACACATGGCAAGTTTCCTACTGTCCTCATGTACTCTTATGAGCTTCTCATTCACTGTGAGAAGAGTAGAATTCAGGTGGCCTTCAGCCTGAGTCTCAGAATGAGAGCCCCATTGATCAGATATGAACCCAACCTACAGCCTGAAGCCAAGTCCAGCTGAGGCCAGCAAAGCACCACAGAGTCATAGCTGACTCATAGACCTGTGAATGAGAAACAAGTATGTGTTGCTATTTGGGGATTCTTTGTTATGCAGAATCATTGTATCAAAACCTGACTAATGCAAGTCTCAAGTTAAAGACACCTCATATAATATCTAGGAGAATTTCAACACAATTGATAATTGCGTCCCACTCTCCAGAAGGGAGTGGGCAAGTAAGTAACTTTCCTCATTCAGTGTTGCCTAAATATGGCCTGTATCTGGCTGAGAGTGCCAAATATGTTATAAGTAATTTGAAGTCCAGAAATCAGGATAGCATTCTTATATGCTATTGTCTTAGTCCCTTCATATTTCCATAGCAAAATACCTTAGACTAAGTAATTTATAAACAACAGAAACTTATTGCTCACAATTCTGGAGGTTGTCCAAGATCGAGACACCAGCAAAATCAGCATCTGTTGGGAGCTCGTTGGGAGCTCGTTCCTCATAGATGGTGCCTTGTATGTGTCCTCGCATGGTGGAAGGGGCAAACAGGCTCGCTCAAGCCTTTTATCTTCTTTTTTTAAGTTCCGAGGTCCATGTTCAGAATGTGCAGGTTTGTTACATAGGTAAACATGTGCCATGGTGGTTTGCTACACCTATAGACCCATCACCAAAATATTAAGCCCAGCATGCATTAGCTATTTTTCCTAATGCTGTTCCTCCCTCCTCCCCTCCCCATGACAGGCCCCAGTATGTGTTGTTCCCCTCCCTGTGTCCATGTGTTCTCATTGTTCAGCTCCCACTTACAAATGAGAACATGTTTGGTTTTCTGTTCCTGTGCTATTAATGCCATTCCCAATCACCTCCCAAAGCCCCATTTCTTAATATTATAGCACTGGTGACTAGGTTTCAACATATAAATTCTGGGAGCACTTAAACATTCAGACCATAGCAGCTGTAATCCGGGAAACCCTGGGTAACTATTTATAGGTGTTATTTACTTCTTTATTAATACTAATGCAACCATTTATAAAAGGCTCACTGCTAAGTCTTTTACATATGCAGTCATTTTTCTGTATCTATGGGAAATTGGTTCCAGGAGCCCCTTCAGTTACCAAAATTCTCAAGTCCCTTATATAAAATGGTGTACTATTTGCATGTAACCTACATACATCTTCCCACATCCTTTAAATTATCTCTAGGCTACTTATAATACCTAATATACTGCAAATGCTATGTAAATAGTGCTGAATACTACATTGCTTAGAGAATAATGACAAGAAAAATGTCTGTACATGTTGAGTACACGTTCCATTTTTTTCCATATATTTTTGGCCCACAGTTGGTTGAATTTACAAATGAGAAACCCAGGGATATGGAGGGCTGGAATTATCTATTTAGTCCTCAAAATAACTAAATAGGATACTTATTACTATTTTACAGAAACCAGAGCACAGAGAGATTAAGAAAAGCATCTAAAACCACATGAGTATAAGTAGTGGAGCCAACACTTAACCCCAAACAGTCAATCTCCAAAGTATCTTAAACTGCTCCCTGTTGAAGCCTATACCCCTCCATGGGGCTTACAAAAGGGTGTTTACACCTCCTTACCATGCTTCCACCCCTGCCTTTTGCTTCCCTCGGGATTCACTGACTTAGGATCTTGACACGAGTCTGCGGAGACCACATGTAAACAGATCCCATGTGCTGTAAAGCCCAGGAAGATGCAGAGGGCATCCAGCTCTCAGGCAGGAAGGTGGCCCTGTGATCTGGCGAGCTCTTGTCAGCCACCTGGGTGTGGGCTATGGCTGGCCTGTTCCTTACCGTAGTAGGTGTTCACAAAAACCGCAGTTGTTTTTTTACCATGACGTTTCTTTTCTTTTCCAGGATAGGCTATGCTTCTTATTTTTCCCTTCAGATACTCAATATCCCTTGTCCCCACTTTGCTCTTACTGCTCTTACATCTTTGTGTATTTTTCTTCGGTTTACAGTCTTTGCTTTTACTGCCCTCAAAATTCCTCAAGGGCTTCTGAAGGCTTTTTATGATTCTTCCGTCTTCTCAGGACGCAATGAAAGGCGTATTTCATTCAGGTGGATCTAACATTGTAGGTGGAAAGAAAATGATTCCTTCTGAGACTGCTTAACCAAAAGAAAAAAGAAAAGTAAATTTGCTGAACTATAAAGGCAATACATGTTCATTGTAGAAAAACTAGAAAATATAGGAAGCAAAATAAATATAAAAACTGTAAGTCTCCCTCCCCAAGATTACTCTTTTAGTTGATAGGTTAATATTTTAATAGATTTCCTGCCTGTTTCTTAAATACATGTTACCATAATCATGATTTTATAGTTTATGACATTTAGTAGCTTGCTTTTGCACTTAATATTAGAATGTAAACTTTTTTTTCAAATTTATAAAAAGTATCAGAACAGTACTTGTCAAAGCATGCCATGGACCACTGGTCTCTAAAAATATCCCACAAAAAAATGGGGAACATGGTCAAACATGTTTGGGAGACAGTGCATGTCACATGGCCCCATGCTGGAGATTCACAATGCACCTTGGCTCATTTAACTATCTGAAAAATTGCAATAAAGGAATCAATTTCATTTTATTTATCCAGGGTTTCTCAAAAACATCTGAATTTGCATTCTATTTTTGGAGGAATAACTATTAACATCCCACAAAAGTAGTGTTTCATGGACCAGTGGGTCCAGACTAGCCTAATAAGAGTCCAGAGAATTTCTAATCAGATGCCCCTTAAGCTTCTCACTTAGTACACCCATAATATTCAGTTGTTATTACAGATCTAGGCACCAAAGCTCTAAAAACAAGAAACTTTTATTAATCCCTGCAGAAAAATAGAGTTGAAGTTAAAAGAAGAGATGAAAGGGCATATATATTTCCAGATTCAATTCAGAGTCCTAAAAAAGAAGAAATAAAAACTAACTCATTAACCCATTTCACAGTATAATTGACAGTCACATGCTGCCAGGTGTGCTAGGTCTCTTTAAGTAAAAATAAACAAAATAAAGTTTCTCACATAATTCTCATCACAGATCTCTTCAGCACATATTATTGCACCCATTTTACAGGTAGGAAAACAGAAGTTGAGAGAGTGTGAGGGTCTGATTCAAGGGCAAGGTTGACGAATGGCAGAGCAAAGATTTGAAGCCAGCCCTTCTGTCTGAGACAAACACTGTTCCATGGTATTACAGTCAGTGGGCTCTGGTCACTCTCTTCTCTCAGCAGCCAGCAACAGCACGATACCTTTCACTGTGGAATTAAAATTAGTAGTCTAGAGCTTAAAGTTTTCATTTTAATACCATTAGCCGTCTTCTCAAGTCATTTAATTATGTCCCAGCACAGGATTCCTTTTTCCATCCCTGAAGCTTTAGCAGAATCATGCTCCCAACGCATCTCATGCTCCTGCATATTTGGGATCCTAAGCTAAATCTCTCTTTCCATCTCATACATTAAAATTACTTCCCTTAATGTATTGAATTTCAGCCCTTTTTTTGGGCTGAAATTTATTTTACATTAGAAGGCATTGGAAATGCAAAACTGAGAATCCATTTTAACAAGGAATATTGAATAGCAGATCACAGACCATCTTTCCATTAAAGGAGAGGAATTAGAAATGGGTTGACATGCTCTGTGGGCCTCATTAGGAAAAGATGAAGAAAAGGAAACTAGAATTCATTGAACTATCTCAAGTCAAATGCTTTATCGATGTTGTCTTACTTAATCTTTAAAGCCATTTATAAGACAGTTACCATTATACTCCTTGTACAGATGGGGAAATTGAGAATCACCAAAGGAATTACTTGTCTAAGTCCACGAACTTACAAAAGGGTCAACCTAAGAGCTGCTCCATTATGAGAGTTTAAAGCCATGTGCTTACATGCTGGGCATGGTGGCCATCACATCCATCTATCAATTCCAAGAGAAATGGCCCCAGATACAACCCCTGGACAAGTGAAGTTTGCTCTATGTTGGCTGCTAAAGACAAGGTCAGGCTAAGAATACAACTTTCACCTGGAATAGTACTGGTGTATTCCTGTTATTCTGTCATAACTATCAATAACAGCCCATTTCATTCATAAAATTGTCTTAACTTGGAATAATAAATCACTAGAAGCCCCCAGGTTGAATGAATGGGTCCACCCCTCAGCAGTAAAAATCAATGACAAAAATCTCAGAGACAGGGCAGCTACCATTCCAGAGAAAAACATTAGAAATTACAGTCCAAGGGCCATGGTTATATTAAAGTGTCCTCCCTTGCCCAAGACTAAATACCAACAACCCAGGTAAGATGAAAATGGTAAGTGCATGTGTTTTCAGGCACCAGAAAGCAAAGGAAAAGCTGAAAAAGCAACTTTTCACTGTATTCCAACTGGAGGGAGAAAGGCCCCACGGAACAGGGCAGGAGAGCAGTTGATGTGGAGTAGAGGGAGTCATGCTAAGGCCTGGAGAGCATGGGAAGCCAACCTGGGCCAGAGAAGAAACCCCTGGTTGAGCTGGAGAAAATAAGGGCAAGGCCCTAACCCTCATTCTTGGAGAAACTGGAGTGATGGGCAGAGAAGCAAGGTTTGAATTTTGTGACAAGGCCTGGTCTGGATCACAGGACTCAGGCAAGTGTCTGGGGAGGCCCATTGTCAGAGGAGGACAGGCAGCCCTAAGGCCTGGGATTCGTATAGTCCGCGAGTGCAGCACACGGCTAGCACAAGCAAAGCCAGCAAACTGAAAACAGAAGGGCTAAAGGGATTTTCTGCATGTCAGAAATGCAGGCAAATATTAAAGTCTCAAACCCACACCATCGAGCCAGAGGATCTATGCAGCAATGGGGCCAAGGGGGAGGGTTGGAAGGAAGTGATTCCTAGCTACCCATTAGCGAAATCATTGAGTCCTCCTGGATTTCTAGAAAGGCTAGCACTCAGGATTTTATTTTATTTATTTTTGCTCGCTTTTGTAGTGGTTTGTTGATGCTCTAATGAATAACCTATCTTTTAACTATTTCAAATATTAAATTCCTATTTCATTTCTCTTAGAATTTTTCCCCTTTAGTACTTATTAATGAATCAAAAATCCAGGCCAACCCATGTCAGTAATTGAGCTGCAATTCATCACTTCCCTCCTCTTTCATGTTAGAGATAAAGTGTCCACATAGCAGAACCCACAGGTATTATAACTGTTCTTAAGACCAGGGGTTGGCCTGGTTAGGACAAGGTTTACTGCGTGAGAGATGATGTTACTGGATAAGTCTCAGATTGTCCTGGATCTAGTTGCTCTATCTCCCAGGACAGATGCAGCTTATCCTGAACAATAAATTCTGGACTACAACCCCTAGGCCTTTCACTTTGCAGGATAAAATTCATTTATCACTGAGAGATAAATGAATAGTAAGAAGAGGCACATTCATAAACTCTGAAAAGGGATGAATTCTTCTTGAATAGAGGTATGTCCAGCACCTCCTTCAACCTCAGTCAGGCATGCTTACATCTTGTTGATGTAGCTGCAACAAACTATAAGGTCCCTGGCAGAATCTACATCTTATCAGCGTCAATTTCATGGGTGGGCTAGCACTAAGTAGCTATTAATTCTGAGCATTCACAGTAATGTTGGTTAGAGGAAGGGGAGATGCAATGGGGAACCTAAGCTGGGGAAGGCAAAAAGATTTTAACCTAAAAACCAGCTCTAAAGGACTGGTAGCAGCAGTGTGATGCATGGTGTTGAGAAGGATTCTGAGGCTCACCAGGAAAGAGTTGCTCCATTAGTCAAGTCCACCATGAGTGCCTTAAGTGGGAATGATGCCATGCCTAAGTGTCATAGAGCACTGCTCTGACCAATGCATGGGCCCTCTGCTATTTGTAGATGTTTGGTATGCAATGGTGGTAGGAAAAGCCCAGTGATGATTGATGATCTGCTCATGGGAGAGAAGGAGGAAGTTTGAAGGAAAGACAGATCCTGAATGCTTTGAAAATAACAGTCAATTTCTTACAAAACAAAAACAAAAGCAAAAAAACAAACCAGCCATGATAAAAGAACAACAGCTGAAGCAATGTCCCAAGGGAGGACAATCCTGAGCTGATGGAGACAGCACGTGAAATCTCAGGGAGAGACTGATCCCCAGAACAAGTGGGCTGTGGCTCAAAGCCAGGTCACTGAGGCTGGCCTCCAGTCCAGTTCTCACTGGGCTGCACAAGTCCTTAAAGAGTGTGCTGTAATGGAGAGATGAACCAAAGAAGCAATTCAACATGGAAAGCAGTGCTCTTTCATTCCAAAAGAGAGTCTTAGACTCCTGGAGAAAAAGAGGCTTTTATTACACTCTCAGCATGGGGCCAATTAGATTGGAAAAGAGAACCCACGGTGTCTTCCAGAACTGAAAGAAAAGAAGCATTTGCAGCAACAGTGCCGCATCCAGACCTGCCAAGGCATTTGCAGATGGTCACCACAGCAACCGGTAGCCCGAAGGCCACTCAGAGGGAGATCACAGTGCGTGGGCTACCCTAGGAAGTCTCTCCACTGAGCTGCAGATATGGATTTGAAGATGATTGGCCACAACCTACCAGTAGGAGCAAGCCAAAGAATTAGCATCTGGACCACCACTGTTGATTTGGCTGTACCCCAGGGCTGATGACCCCAAGACCCTTGCACCCCTGTCATCTCCGTCGCCATAGCCCTGGCAGAACAGCTCCCTGTGTTTTCTGATAATCTACTTGTGCTAGGCCACAATCATCCTCCACCCTTAGATTTCTTGAAGGGCCTCTCATGGTTTTCCATTTCTTCCTTTCCCAAAAGCCCCAGCCTGAGGGGCCTGGCCAAGGGAGCCAATGAGTCCCTCTTAAACCACTGGGAAGAAGGAAAATACTTCACAGAGCCGATTAGAAACAAAGCAAATGATTCTGTGGAAACATTTAATTCATTCTTGGCAAGCCATGCCATGGGCTTGGAAAAACAGAGCTGCGCTTCGGTCTTCTCCCCCGGAAGCCTATTCATTCGATCTATGGAAAAAAAGAAAGGTAAAGCTGACACTTTTCAGCAATCTGCAAGTAATGACAACAAGGCCTGGGAGTACCTAGTGTTAGCAGAACTGGCGCAGCAGAGAGAGCTGGCTCCAGCCTCGTGGCCTGGATAAGTAATCAGACTCCATGCAAACAGTGCGCACCCTACCTGGGGCTGTGGGACATGCTGGCCTAGGCCTGTTTGGTGGAACTCTGAGCATTGCCCCTCTTGGATCCATCTCCAGGGTGCTTTTTTTCTGCAGATGAAGATGATCTTAGCTCCACATGGAAGGCTGATTATTGTCAGAGCTCCTTGCCTCTCTACCCACCACTAAGGGAAAGTGGAATTGATGGATTCACCATTCACGATGTGTCATTTCATCAAGGACAGAATTATGTGTTGTTTGAAATATTTGCCGATGCCATTATAGGTGGACCTGGCAACTGGAATCCACAGTCGGCCGTTTGTTTCACAGTCTCAGGAGCCCACCTCTCATTTCCAACAGCAGACCCTACTAGGGGATTAGAGGTCCCTTTCCTGTCAAGAACTGACCTGCAGAATCAACCCAACTTTCCAGCTGGCCACAACCAATTGAAAGGTGTTAGCTCATGACATAAAACATATTTGCCCTCCCAGCCTTGGCCCCTCTGTGAGCTTTGTGTTGTCACTGCTGCTACAACTGGATGGCTTCATCTGGCAAGGAATGAGTGACCAGCCCAAGGTCAGGCAGCCTGAGGATGGCAGAATCAGTGACATTGCCTCAGGTACTTGGCAAGTCCAAGCTAGCCTCGGCTGAGAACACCAGCCCTCGCCAGCATGCTCTCCACTTTCTGTGCTCAGATGGCTCAGACTGTTGGCTTCTGCTCCTGGTCGTGCTGGACTCCTGCCCTCAGCCTGGCCCACTGCTTCTGGGAACACACACACAGCAGTGGTTGCCCTGGTTCTGACAGTTCCCAACACAGTGAGCATAAAGGGTGGGGATATGGAGCCCCCGTGGTGACACCCTGGGGCCCAAACTGCTAAAGAGTGACATGGATTAGGTAAAACATTGGCATACATCATTTTAAGGAAGAGATGCATCCTTCCTTCATTCATTTCTTTATTCTTTCACTGGACTCTGCGTTGAGTCCCTGCTATGTATGTCAAAATATGTGAAGGCAATGAGGATACAGAAAGGGAAAGACCTGGCCTGTGTTCTGGAGGCATCGGTCAGGCAGAACAGACAAAATGCCTGGCCCTAGACTGACTAAGTTCTCTCCTTCCTTTTTTGCCACAGCCCCCTGAGACCGGACATTCCCAGCCTCCTTCTTCCTGCCTCATAGGGGCCACTGGTCAGTTGATCCCTGAAGGTTCCCTCCAGAGCTGGACATGCATGCAACGGGGTGGCCTTGGCCAGTCCCACCTGTGCTGCAGGGTTTGGTGGGTTTACTGTGAATCACTGCAGGGAAACAGCAGAGAATGAAGCAACATAAAAGCAGAGGTGGGAGGGATATTTCCAGCTGTCGTGTCACTTCCTGGTGTTTACTAACTCCCCCTGTGGCACCTGGAAGTCCCCCTGGATGTCTTGCTGACAAGTAGCTTTGATTCCTAAACCTTATAACCTCTCCCCCTGCCCACCCTCTGAAGGCTACTCATCCTTTCCCGAGATGTGGGCAGGAAAACCTCTGCTCTGAACCTACACTGCCAGCACCCCAGCCCTGGTAAGACCCTCCCCAAAGACCCTTATTTATAAATAAGGAACATGGAAGAGGATTAGGTCAAGGCAGAAGAGGTAGCAGACAACAATGAGGGGAGAAAAAGAGAGAGATTGAGAGAGAGAGAGAAGGAAAGGGTCGGGGAGTCGCAGAGCAAGAGAGAGAGAGGTATAGGTATGAGGGAACAGGAGCCAAAAAGAAAAGTGAGGGGCTCCCAAAGAAGACATTGTTTTTGGCAATCTTGCCTGGAAGCAATTCTGGCAACCTCATTGCTTCCATTTCCTTTTCTGTAAAAGGTGTGGAAAGCACTGTCTTCTCTCTTTGATTTCCTGTGAGACTGAGTTAATGAGAGCAGAGAAGTGATGGGGAGGGGGAAGGAGAAAGCGGTGAGGACAGAGCCTCTTCGTGATGAAGCCTAGAGATTAGAACACTTGCCATAAATTAGTTTCCATCAAAACAGCTTCATCTGTGAAAGATAATGTTGTTTCCTCATTAGTGGTTTTTGTCTGTGATAATTAAGCCTCCACATTTGATCTCAGATAACCCCTCCTAACTTGACATCATTCAATCTGCTGAGATTGGAGGAGGGATGGAAGCGACATTGACTCACAAACACTGGATTCTTTTCATGGATGCTCTAATGGCAATATGAGAACTTACTGAGGGCGCAGATGTGCAGGAACACATTACATGCACAGCCAGCAGGCCTCCAAATTCCCCTGCTCTCCAAGCGGTGTTAATCCCCAAATAAAAAGGCTTAAACCCCAACCATGGGGGGAAGTTCAGTAACCATGCCATCCCATAACATATACGTAATCAAGCCATAAATATTTCAGAGAATTTCCCAGAGGCCTTTCCTCACTCAAGCCTGCTTGCAGTGAATTAGAGCCCTAGCAAACCCCCTCACACCTAGTCAGTGTCAACTCCTGTCTCCCTCTCTCTGAATTAGTCACAGAAATCTATGATGGAAAAAAAATCTATGATGGAAAAAAGAAACCAGGCACACCACCATGGACACCTCCTCAAGAAAAGCCTGGGGAAGGTCCTTCAGGAAGTGTCCAGAAAATGGCGTCATTATCACAGGAGATGACAGCTTCATGCGTGTAATTGCCCCTGCAGGTTTTCCAGTGGGACAAGATGTGGAGGTGGAAGACAGTGATATTGAGGGTCCTCACCCTGTGAAGGCCTAGGCCAATGTGTGTGTTTCTGTCTTCATTTTTCACAAAAAATTTCTAAAAGTTAAAAATAACAAATAATTTTAAAAATAGAAAAATGCTTATAATGATAGAAATAAAGAAAATATTTTTGTACAGCTGTACAATGTGTTTGTGTTTTAAGCTAAGCATTATTATAAAAGAGTCAAGCAGTTTTAAAAAATATAAAAGTTTATGGAACAAAAAATTTATGGTAAACTAAAGTTAACTTAATATTGAAAAAAGAGAAATTTTAAAATAAATTTAATGTAGCCTAAATGTACAGTGTTATACTCTGCAGCAGTGTACAGTAATGTCCTAGGCCTTCACAGTAACTCACCACTCACTGACTCACCCAGAGAAACTTCCAGTCCTTTAAGTGCCATTCATGGCAAGTGCCCTACACAGGTGTACCCTTTTAAAAAATATTTTATACCACATTTTTACTGGAACTTTTCTATGCTTAGATATGTAAAGATATACAAATACCATTGTAATGATGCATTTCTTAGAATGGATCTCCATCGTTCTCAGAACATTCTTACAACATTTCCCCATCATTAATTGACACATGACTGTATTTTCTTTTCTTTTGATGCTTTAATTTGAATATTTTCTAATGACCTACTCTAGTTCACTAATCCTGTTTCCTGTCACGCCTATCTGCTTCTCTCTATTTGTAATTTCAGATACTGAATTCCTTAAATTCCAGAATATTTTAATTTTTAATATTTTTATTTCCAATTTTTTATAATTTTCAGTTCTTTGCTAAAATTATCAAACTTTTCTTCTATCTTTTAAACATACAGCTCCCAAAAAAGTTTATTCTTCCCTTTTCTAGGAAGAGAAAGGAAGAGGCTGATCCCTGTAATCCAATCAGGCATTGAGATGAATATCAGCTATTTTTGCAAGTTTTATAAACTCAGTCTACTTTTGATTCGCCATTGTTTCTACCATATAGCTCTTCGAGGCTATTAACTGAAGGCCTGGTGTGTTCCACTAGTAGGCCTTAAACTCTACTCTTTGTTTTCTCAGCACAAGACTGCAGAAAATTCTGCTCAAATGTTTTCTTCTTAGATTTTTAGCCTGCTACCTCACAGAGCTTCAGAATTTAACAGACTTCTTGAGAGGGAAGCTGGATGATGTTTGAGGTTCCCAGGTCTCCAATTTTTCATTCCAAACCTTTAAGACCACACAAAGCCCTGTCCATTTTTCTGTCACCTAAAGATGTTTCTTTACTTGAGCAAGGGTACATTCTCAGCCTCTTGTTCTTGCCCATAATCAGTCAAATGGCCACAGGAAAAAAGCAGCAGCGCATTTTCAGCTCACCTCCCTGTGGTTCTGCCCTCTCCAAAGCCTCAGACCTTCAGGTCCTCATGGCTTCAGCAGATCTCCATTGCCTTTAAGCCAATTATTCTTACATTTCATCTTGATTTATTACTTGTTTTAGAAGAAACATTGGTCTGTTCCCAACATTCTGTCCTTCATGGGGCAAAATTCCAGTCATTTATTTTTTAATATCACTTAATTTTTCTTTTTGGTGTATCCATGTCACCTGAGATTTTTCAAATTATTTAACATCCAGGGATGTTTGTCTAGTTATTATCTAAATAATAATACGGGAATGAAGCCTACATGCCTGATGAAATCTAAGCTTGTTTTTGAAGATTGTAGACATTTTTTTCCCCAAATAACTTCAGAAAATTTTGAAATTATAGTTTTTCTTAAAAGTTTTTATAAGTTAACATCAAAGTCTTAGACAATGACCTGGCTCACTGTAGCAAAGCCTACTTCTTCTTTATACATCCACAGCTCTCTGCCCAGCCCCGGCCATCTCTGTAAGTTGAAATATTTGATAAAGTACAATAATAGTCCAGCACTGCAAAGGAAAAGAGGAGGACTGGCTTTGAAGAGTGTATCTTCCCTTTCTGAAGAAAACCTCAAATATAGCATGTTTCCAAATACCCATTTTACACATAAGAAAAGTAAGATTCAGAGAGGTCAAGTAATTTGTCCAAGATTATGTAGCTAGTAAATTGTGTCACTAATATACTAGTCTGTCTGTTACTCTTTATCCCAGAAAATACATACAAATCCAGATAAAAGAACATATTAGGTGAGTGCAAAAGTAATTGTAGTTTTTGCATTGTTAAAATCTGCCGTTTGATATTGGAGTACATTCTTAAATAAATATGGTTAGTGTATAGTTCTTCTATACATCATTTTAGTAAGCATTTCTCACTTTATTTTTTTTTTGTCTGATGACATTACTTGCTGTTTATTTTATGTTTATTTTAGACTATGGAAACGATGTTAGACAAAAAGCAAATTCAGGCAATTTTCTTATTCGAGTTCAAAATGGGTCGCAAAGCAGTGGAGACAACTCGCAACATCAGCAACACATTTGGCCCAGAAACTGCTAATGAATGTACAGTGCAGTAGTGGTTCAAGAAGTTTTGCAAAGGAGAAAAGAGCCTTGAAGATAAGGAGCATAGTTGTCGGCCATTGGAAGTTGACAATGACCAACTGAGAGCAATCATCGAAGTTGATCCTCTTACAGCTATGAGAGAAGTGGCAGAAGAACTCAACGTCAACCGTTCTACAGTCTTTCAGCATTTGAAGCAAATTGGAAAGGTGAAAAAGCTCAATAGGTCAGTGCCTCAGGAGCTGAGCAAAAATTTTAAAAATTGTCGTTTTAAAGTGTCATCTTCTCTTATTCTACACGACAACAAGAAATCATTTCTTGATTGGATTGTGACATGCAATGAAAAATGGATTTTATATGACAACCGGCAATGATCAGCTTAGTGGTTGGACTGAGAAGAAGCTCCAAAGCACTTTCCAAAGCCAAACTTGCACCAAAAAAAGGTCATGGTCACTGTTTGGTGGTCTGCTGCAGGTCTGATCCACTACAGCTTTCTGATTCCCAGTGAAACCAGTCCATCTGAGAAGTATGCTCAGCAAATCAATGAGATGCACCAAAAACTGCAACACCTGCAGCTGGCATTGATCAACAGAAAGGGCCCAATTCTGCACAACACGCGACCACACATGGCACAACCAATGCTTCAAAAGTGGAACAAATTGGGCTATAAAGTTTTGCCTCACCCGCCATATTCACCTGACCTCTCACCAACTGACTACCACTTCTTCCAGCATCTTGACAACTCTTGTAGGGAAAACACTTCTACAACCAGCAGGATGCAGAAAATGCTTTCCAAGAGTTTGTCGAATCCCAAAGCATGGATTTTTATGCCACAGGAATAAACAAACTTATTTCTTGTTGGCAAAAATGTGTTGATTGTAATAATTCCTATTTTGATTAATAAGGATGTGTTTGAGCCTAGTTACAATGATTTAAGATTCCTGGCCGCAAATCACAGTTATTTTGCACCAACCTAATAGAATTATCTCTGGACTGGTTTCTTACTGTGACGTTATGGGAGACAGGTGAGATTGACAGGCTTATTCAGTTCTTTTCTGGAGTTATCTGGTTTCTGATTTCTCCTAAAACTTAAAATATCCTATAGATGTCCTGTAGCATTCCAAATGTGGATTTTACAAATATCTTTTTTTCTCTTAAATATAACCTAGTTTATAAATCATCTGAGGGCCCCTTGAGATAATAAACACTCAAGCAACAGACACAGAGATGCCTTTTGAAGCTGCAACATCTTGTAGGCACAGAGAAGTCATGAGTCACATCAAAGGGAAATGTATGTTTATTGGGAAAGCCTTTTGTTGAAGTGGCATAACAGAGTTCTGCAGTAACTGAGAGAAATTCCTATGAGACACCCAGAGAAAGAAGATGAAGTCTGCTCTAGTGGTGGCAGAAGGAATACCTCTTACAAGATAAACCTCCAACAATTACCTTCTTGCCTGGGGGATGGAGGGTTCTGATGTTTCCAGCAGCTTTCCTTGGAGGAGGAAACTCACTTGTCATTGGTGGACACGGGGCAGGATCATTTGCTGTCATTTTAACATTTATATATTTAGACTATCTGGCTTAAGTAGATGGTTGATGGTATATAATTAAAAACATTAATATTTACCAATTGTTGAGGAATACCATGTGCTGGCCCTATGCTAAGTGTTTCGCATACAATTTAAATCAATAATTCCAGTGAGATTAGATAACATTATTCCCATTACACTAGAAAAACAGGCTCAAAGTTAAGCTACTTGCCCAAACACACATAGCTGTTAAAGTCTAATTGAGGTCTGTAACTCCATACTACATGCTCTTTTAAATTCTTACATTCTGTCTTTCTACTTAGTCTTTTCACAATTCTCTTTATGTAATGATGACAGTGTGAGGCTTACAAAATGTGGCTTGCTGTATTGGTCTGTTTTCACACTGCTATAAAGAACTACTTAAGACTGGGTAATTTATAAAGCAAAGAGACTTAATTGACTCACAGTTCCATATGGCTGGGGAGGCCTCAGGAAACTTACAATCATGGTGGAAGGCAAAGGGAAAGCAAGGACCTTCCTCACATGGTGGCAGGCCAGAGAGACAGAGAGAAAGGGGAACCACCATATACCTTGAAACCATCAGATCTCATGAGAACTCATTCACTCTCCTGAGAACAGCATGGGGGAAACCGCCCCCATGATTTCGTCACCTCGCCTCAGGGCCCTACCTCAACACCCGGAGATTACAATTTGAGATGAGATTTGGATGGGGCCACAGAGCCAAACCATATAACTTGCCCATCTTTGAAACTGTCCAAGCACAATATAGTGTTTGCCATGTTACTTAATGAAACCTATACAACTTCTGTCTTTAGTACCTTAGGAAAATCATTTATTCTTTCTTCTTTTATTAAAAAATTTGAAAAGTTAATTTTATTTGGTCAAATTTTCAAGTGACTTAACCACTGTGAAGTCACAGTTGGAAGCTTTCTTGCCTGGGATGTTCAAGACCACTCTATTGGAGCAGCCTCGAGGTATAAGATTGTAGAGAGCCCCTGGGGGCTCAATTCCTGAATAGGTGAACTCTCTCATTCATTAAACATATCTGCTAGACTCCACTTGGTGTCTTGGTGTTACAGAAATGAGCAAAACGTAATACCAGGCCTCATGGAGCTTCTGATATAATACAAGGTTATTAATTAGACTGGAGAATGACACAGGCTATATTGGAGACATTAGTTGATGCTGTTGGGGAGTGGAAGAGAATAGCATCCAACTCAGAGAATGAGGGAGGGCTTTCCAGATAAAAGATGCTTGAAGTTTATCTTTCATCCCATCCTCAGGACTCAGAACATTTGGTGCCAAACCTTCTCCACTAATTCACAGGTAAAAGAGTGACTCAGTTCATTTGGGCTGCTATAGCAAAATGCCATAAACTGGGTGGCATAGAGAAACAGAAATGTATTTCTCACAAGTCTAGAGGCTTGGAATTCTGAGATTAAGGCATAGGCAGATTTGTTGTCTGGTAGGTATTCAGGTCCTGGTTCATAGAATGGCAACTTCTCACCATGTGTCCTCATATGGTAGAAGGTACAAGCCAGCTTTTTCTCTGGAGCCCCTTTTATAAGGGCACTAATTCTATTCATGAGGGCTCCACCCTCATGAACTAATCGCCTCCCAAAAGCCCTACCTCCTAATATCATCACACGGATGCTTAGATTTCAACATATGAATTAGGGTGGGGGGTAGGAAGGGTGGGAAGGGGTGTGGGACACAAACATTCAGACCATGGCATTTTGCCCCTGGTCCCCGAAAATCCATATCCTTCTCGCATGTGAAATACATGCATTCTATCCCAGTCACTAACGTCTTAGTTTGTTCCAGCATCAACTCAAAAGTCTAAAATCCAGAGTCTTAGCTAAATTTCATCTATATTAGATATGGGTGAGACTCAAGGTATGATTCATCCTGAGGCAAATTTCTCTCCCCAGCTGCGAACCTGTGAAATCAAATGTTATGTGCTTCTAAAATATAGTGAGGCTCTAAGCATAGGGTAGACATTCACATTTCAAAAGAAATACACAGAAAAGAAAGACAGTAACAGGTTTTGAACAAGTCTAAAACCTTAAAGCTCAAGAATAGCCTTCATTGACTGGATGCTTTACTGCCTTCTAGGTCCACTGAGGTGAGGTCCCACCTTCCAACTCTCTGTGGCAGCGGTCCTGCCCCATGGCTTTGAGCAGCCACACCCCCATGGTGGCTCTCTGCAGCAGCCCCACCTCCTTGGGGTTCTGTGCCTGAGTCACGTGCCTGTGGTCCTCCCACCCCCAGTGGGAATCATGCACCAGTGGCTCTAAGCGTCTGAGGTCACAGTGTGTGGCTCTACCCTCGTGGCTGCACTAGGAATTGCCCTGGTGGGGTCTCTCTACAGTGATCTCGCCCTCACAGCAAATCTCTGCTTGGGCTCCACAGCTCAGCAGGGCATCCTTTGAAATCTGGGTGAAGGCAGTCATGCCTCTACATCTTTGCTGGGTGCAGTGCACACCATACCAGGGTCTGCTGGAGCTGCACCGGGGGCAACCAAGAAGCTTGGCAATGAAGTGTGGAGAACAGAGCCTTGAGGCAGTGCCTGGTAGCAAGTGCTAAGATCCTGCAGGTGCCCATGCCCCCTCCTTTGAAATTGTTTTTTCTCCCAGGCCCTGAAACTCTGGGCCTATGATGGGAGGAGCAGCAACATGATGTCTGAAATGCCTTCCAGGTTACTCTTTTATTATCTTGTACAATAAGTCCTGGCTCTGCTCAGATGGCTCATCCATGCTAATCTTATCAAGTGGTCACTTTTTCAAACCCTCGGTTTTCTCTCCCAGACATGCTTTCTCATTCCTTTCAATATGAATAAGAATTTCCCAAATATTTATATTCTGCTTCCCTTTTGATTAATAATTCTATCATTAAATCAATTCTCTCTTCTTGCATTTACTATAAGGAGTCAAGAGAAACTAAGCTTCCACACTCTGCTTAGAAATAGCTCCAGCTAAATATCCAGTTGCTCACACATTCTACTTTAGACAGAATTCTAGGACAAACACTACTCAGCCAAACCTGTTGCCACTTTATAACAAGGATCCCCTTTCCTCAAGTTTTCAATGACATGTTCCTCCGTTCCACTTGAGACATCAGCAGAATGGCCTTCACTGTCCATATTTCTACAAACATTCTGTTCACAACCACTTACGCATTTGCTAGGAACATTTAGGCTGTCACTACAGTACTCTTCTTCTGAGTCCTCAATCGAATCACCCTTTAAGGTTCCTTCACACCAACGTAGGCTTCTCTAGTATTCACTTAGAAACCCTTCCTGCCTCTGCCTATTATCAGTTCCAAGCTGCTTCCACATTTTAGCAGCACTGTAACAAATACCTAAAATTTCCCCTTAGGTATTTTGTAGAAGTGGTATTTCTTCCTCTTCTTGGTACCAATTGTCTTAGTCTGTTCAGGTTGCTATAACAAAATACTATAAAATAGATATTATAAATAACGGAAATTTATTTCTCACAGTTTTGAAGGCTAGGAATTCCAAGATTGAGGCAGCAGCACATTCTGTTTCTGGTGAGAGCTCACTTCCTGGTTCACAGAAGGCATCTTCTCACCATATTCTCACATGGTGGAAGGAATAACGCAGCTCGTTGGGGCCTCATTTGTAAGGGCACTAATCCCATTCATGAGGGCTCAGCCCTCATCCTAATCCCCTCTCAAAAGTGTCACCTCATAATATCACCACATTGGTGGTTAAGTTTCAACACATGAATTTTCGGAGGGCCACAAATATTCAAACCATAGCAAAGAGATGGCCCTCTCTTTACTTATCTGACAAGAGCAAACCCCAAAATAGGCAGTCTACTTGCCACCTGGTGAGATGTCAAAAGTCCCAGGAAACCACCTTTTCTGTTAAATTTAGAACAGTGTAGCATCATCTATTCACAATTAAGTGTTATTCCATGCTAACCTAAAAACACCCTGGAGGGAATAAGCATTGATAATTTTTTCCAGAAGTAGACCATCAGTGTAAAAAAATATGAGAAATATTCTGATAAGTTAAATACTAACAACAGGTTCACCTGGTCTTGAATCCTAATTCTTCCATTTGATAATTGCGTAATTCCAAGTAAGGTGTATCCCCAGTCACACTCTCCCTTTCCTCACCGTAGATAAAGATAGCACACCTGCACAGCTACTGCCCTTGATTCCTGAGCAGGATCAGAGGAGCAGAGACTGTACAAGGACTACACTGTCCATTTGTCTGCAGGCAGAAAGGATAGACTGGGTTCCTGGGCTCAAATCAGGGATGCCACTGAAAGCAAGCTTTTTTTTTTTTTTTAAACGCAGTCTCACTCTGTCGCCAGGCTGGAGTACTGTGGCGCGATCTCAGCTCACTGCAACCTCTTCCTCTCGGGTTCAAGTGATTCTCCTGCCTCAGCCTCCCAGGTAGCTGGGACTATAAGCACGTGCCTCCACACCCAGCTAATTTTTGTATTTTTAGTAGAGGCAGGGTTTCACCATGTTGGCCAGGATGGTTTCCATCTCTTGACCTCATGATCCTCCCGCCTCGGCCTCCCAAAGTGCTGGGATTACAGGTGTGAGCCACCGCACCCAGCCAAAAGCAAGGTTTTATATAGATGGGAATTTTACAGCCCCCTCATCATACTCTAGAGATGACAGTAATGTGTTTTCTAGCACATATGCATTTCTGAGGCAACCTACACTTCCCAAGACACCGGGGACCCCCATCTCATCTCAGCCAGTAACCACAGTTAATTAGAATAGGAATGGACCTTGACCCAGAAATGGCATGAGCAATCAAAAATTTTTCTTGAATAATTAGATTCCTCTCTTGGAAATCTAAAAGTGAAATCAAGCAACTGAGATAGGTAAAATAAACTGACCCCCTAATGTCAAGAGGTAGACTTCAGGGTCAAAGAAGGCTACCTCAATCAGGATCCCTGCAGAACAGATGGCATGCTCAAATGTATTAGAGGACAGTTTTAAAAATAGGCTATTTGTAAAGGTGTGAGTGGGGGTGGGAAAACTACAAGGAATCATGTGATACCCCAGGTCTAGTCATGGCAGACACTCTCACCACCAAAAGGCCTGAAACAGCAAGAGAGAAGCAGTCACTAGAATGCAGGTAGAACAGCAAAGAGAGAGCCAAGTGGCAGGAGCTGTGATCTGCAGGTGAGGGACAAGAAGGGAGTTAAGAAACAAGACCTTGCTCTTTTTATTTCCTCCATCTTTAGCCAGAACAGACAAAGCCAATCCGAAGCCAGAAGGAAAAGGAGCCCAGTGGTACAAAATTCTGGGGCAAATGAGGATGGAGAAGGATGGAAATGAATCTAGAAGGCAAATAGAGTAAGCAGCAGCCCAGCACAGAGGCCTCAATGGACCATGCACAAGACTATCCATAAACAAAAATAGCCAATTGGCTGAGAATAGCAGAAGAGACCAGATATGCAGAGATGCCCTAAGAGATCATGCAGCCCGTAAGAGAGAGCAGAGCCTCCGCTCTGGAATTGCTGCCAGCTTAGCAATTCCATTTTAGATGTTTCCTGTACCTGAAGATCCCTATGTCCTTCACAGGCACTGTCTTGATGAGTCTAATTATTTTAGTCAAGTACTATTAACTAATATTCCACTCCCTGTGGAGGCAGTTTCAGACATAGTTTCCAGTGATCCCTGCCCCTTGCAAGCTTCCCCTGGAGTATAGACTAGACCTTAGTGACTTGCCTCTACCATACAGAATACAGCAAAAGTGATGGAATTCCACTGTCAAAATTAGGTTACAAAAGACTCTTGCCTACTTTTGTGCTTGCCTTCTCTTGCTGGCTCTGATGAAGCAAGCTGCCACTGCTGTAAGCTGTCCTATGGAGAGACCCACATAGTGAGGAACAGAAAGCAACTGTGTAACTGAGGTTCTCCGTGCAACAGCCCACCAGGAACTGAATGCGGCCAAACCATGTGAATGTACTAGGGGACAGATCTTTCCCCACTGAGGCTTGAAATCTGCTGCACTCCCAGGATGATACCTTGATTGCAGTTTCTGTGAGGTAATAAGAGCTGTTGTTTTAAGCCATTAAATTTTGGAGTACATTGTTTGTTACACAGCAGAACAGAACAGAACAGATAGCAGAACTAATACATTCCCAGAACATAATTGTTTCCTCTACATGAGAGGCCGTAGGCCTGAGACTCCTGTCAGGCTGCACTGGGAGATTCCAAGGATGCTGAGCACCCTCTGAGTATCTCTGAGACCTGTGAGAACCACCTAAATGGAAGATTCCTTTTTGGTCTAGCCATGGGTGAATTCCAGGCCAAGAGCCTGAGTCTTTGCCAGCTATTCAAATCGAATGCCACGTCTTACAGCTCATAAGACCCCTTCTTCTGCCTTTCTGTTCTCTTCAGACTCTAGCTACATTGTTGTGTCATTGTTAAATTTTCTTTGAAAATTATTTCAACTACTGTCATGGGTTGTGGGATATTCAGCCCATGTTCCCCCATTTCCAAATTGCTCCTCCTCCAGCATGCATGGAAATGATGGTTTGCACTATTTCAGAAGTACTTTGATTCTTTTCTTCATCTAATCTCTCCTTTAGGTTCCATTCACTTAACCTTAGAAAGGTGATTCTCAAAGGGAAGTTGAGTGGGGGACTTCATATAGCAAGAAAGGGGCATATTTTTCTTCTCCTTTGAACCATAACCATTTAAGGCAATTATAATGCTATGTAATAAAGGAAAAACATTTTAATGATATCCGGGCTGTTATTTAAAATGCCTCTTTGTTTTTATTTCCATGATGTGAGTTGTTCATGCTTGCTGTTTTTTTCCTCCCATGGGACGGGAGCTGGCAAGTTATTAAAAATATCTCACTGTAACAAATATATTACAAAGAAGGATATTGAAAACATATCTCTCTAAATCATTGCCGTGTTTCTGGTGATAGATATACAGTAACAGTGCTTTGTTTGTCTAATTTTAGCAGATTCTAAACAATCTTTAATCCTAGGAGAAAAAGTGTTTTGGCTTCTGTACACATAAGGAAAGAAAAATTGAGTAGAAGTTAGAACACTTAAATTATGACCCCAACTCAGTTGCTAATTAATACGTGGCCATAGGCAAGGTTATAAATGTTCTTGCTAGCAAAATGAAAATGTTATTGCACAGGGTTATTGAGAAGACTAAATGAGATACTGCATGTACAACACTGATATTCAGTGCTTAGACTCAGTATTCTCTTGTATAAAAACAGGGTTACTCTTTAAAATAAAAATAGGATTACTCTTTAAACAGATCTACAAAATACTGTGCAATTGAAACCAACATGCAAAAGGGTTCAATTGAAACCAACATGTAAAAGGGTTTTTTATGGTCCTGGATAAGTTGATTTGACATTTGTCAAAGTAGTGGTTCAGCAGCACCATGAACTACAATAGCTTCCAGATGGATTAAACATTAAAAAATAGAACTGTTAAAGTACTAGAAGGGCTGGGTATCATATGTAAAACAAAAGAAAACTCTAAAATGTGACTGTAGGAAGGCAGACTGGCTGGGGTCCTTGGGATTCAAGGAATGGCACAATGGTTAGTTCCCTGGCTTTTTTTTTCCCCCCCTCTTTTTTGCCCACTATATCCTAGGCTGGGAGCTGGAGAAACTAGAGAAATTAGCAAGACAAAAACACCACAGAGTATAGACAAAAAAGCTCCAAGAAATGCATTATTTCTCTAGCCTAGACCAAGAAAGGAACAACAAGACAAAAAATGTTTAGACAATAACTGCCCTATTCTAGGAAGACACCATGAAAACAAGATGGGGCCCACCTCCATTCCATCTGCAAAGACCAACCAGGAGCCTAGACTTCTACAATCACCATGTGCTGTAACATGTGCCCGAGTCTTCTGCTAGGGTGGCATCAGAGAAGGTTGGGTAGGGAACTAGGACTTTCCTCCCCATCAGTGGTAATAGGGAGCACCTCCCTGATGAAAGTCAGTGGAGGCCATGGGAGAAACAGTAACCAGGTGTCCCCTCTCATCAGAGTGGTGTCAGCAGAGGCCTAGAGGGGAGCCTTAACTTCTACTCCTGCCCAGCAGTAGAAATAAGATACCCCCATAAGGGTGTCAGTGGAGGCTGGGTGGGAAACATGCACTTCTCCACCTCCAGTAACAAGGAGGCATTTCTACTTCCTTTACCAGTGCAGTGTTAGAAGAAGACAGCTCTTTATGAACTGAATTGTGGCTCTCTTAATTCATATGTTAAAGCCCTAACCCCCAGAAACTCAGAACGTGACTATATTTGGCAATAGGGCTTTTTAAGAGGTAATTAGGTGACAATGAAGCTATTTGGGTGTGCCTCTATCCAATCTGACTCGTGTCTTCATAAGAAAAAGATATTATGGACACACATAGACATCAGGGGTACACATATACAGAGGGACTACCACGTGAAAAGGCAGCAAGAAAGCAGTCATCTGCAAGCCAAGGAGAGACCTCAGTGAAAACCACCCCTGCCAGCACCATGATCTTGGACTTCTAGCCTCCAGAACTGTGAGAAAATAAAGTAGAATACCATAGCACCCAGGTTGTGTTGTTTTGTTATGGCAGCACTAGCAAATTCATAGACCAGCTAAAACAGGAAGTTTAAATAAGAGTCTCATAAAATAACACCCAAAATTTCCAGGATATAGCTGAAAATTACTCAGTCACTCATCATATCAAGAACCAGGAAAATCTTGAGTAAATGAGAAAAGACAATCAACAGATACCAACTGAGATGGCACTGATGTTGGAATTATTTGACAAATATTTTTAAACATGCATCATAAAAATTCTTCAATGAGCAATTAAGAACACGTTTGAAACAAAAGAAAAACTACAAAACCTTAGCAAAGGAATAGAAGATATAAAGAGAAATCAAGAACCGAAGATGGCCAAATAGGAACAGCTCCGGTCTACAGCTCCCAGCGTGAGTGACGCAGAAGATGGGTGATTTCTGCATTTCCGTCTGAGGTATCTGGTTCATCTCACTAGGGTGTGCCAGACAGTGGGCGCAGGCCAGTGGGTGCGTGCACCGTGCGCAAGCCAAAGCAGGGTGAGGCATTGCCTCACCTGGGAAGCGCAAGGGGTCAGGGAGTTCCCTTTCCGAGTCAAAGAGAGGGGTGACGGACTCACCTGGAAAATCGGGTCACTCCCACCCGAATATTGCGCTTTTCAGACCGGCTTTAAAAACGGCGCACCACAAGATTATATCCCACACCTGGCTCAGAGGGTCCTACGCCCACGGTGTCTCGCTGATTGCTAGCACAGCAGTCTGAGATCACACTGCAAGGCGGCAGCGAGGCTGGGGGAGGGGCGCCCGCCATTGCCCAGGCTTGCTTAGGTAAACAAAGCAGCCGGGAAGCTCGAACTGGGTGGAGCCCGCCACAGCTCAAGGAGGCCTGCCTGCCTCTGTAGGCTCCACCTCTGGGGGCAGGGCACAGACAAACAAAAAGACAGCAGTAACCTCTGCAGACTTAAATGTCCCTGTCTGACAGCTTGGAAGAGAGCAGTGGTTCTCCCAGCATGCAGCTGGAGATCTGAGAACGGGCAGACTTCCTCCTCAAGTGGGCCTCTGACCCCTGACCCCCGAGCAGCCTAACTGGGAGGCACCCCCAGCAGGAGCACACTGACACCTCACACGGCAGGGTATTGCAACAGACCTGCAGCTGAGGGTCCTGTCTGTTAGAAGGAAAACTAACAAACAGAAAGGACATCCACACCGAAAACCCATCTGTACATCACCATCATCAAAGACCAAAAGTAGATAAAACCACAAAGATGGGGAAAAAACAGAACAGAAAAACTGGAAACTCTAAAACGCAGAGCACCTCTCCTCCTCCAAAGGAACGCAGTTCCTCACCAGCAACGGAACAAAGCTGGATGGAGAATGACTTTGACGAGCTGAGAGAAGAAGGCTTCAAACGATCAAATTACTCTGAGCTACGGGAGGACATTCAAACCAAAGGCAAAGAGGTTGAAAACTTTGAAAAAAATTTAGAAGAATGTATAACTAGAATAACCAATACAGAGAAGTGCTTAAAGGAGCTGATGGAGCTGAAAACCAAGGCTCAAGAACTACGTGAAGAATGCAGAAGCCTCAGGAGCCGATGTGATCAACTGGAAGAAAGGGTATCAGCAATGGAAGATGAAATGAATGAAATCAAGCGAGAAGGAAAGTTTAGAGAAAAAAGAATAAAAAGAAATCAGCAAAGCCTCCAAGAAATATGGGACTATGTGAAAAGACCAAATCTACGTCTGATTGGTGTACCTGAAAGTGATGGGGAGAATGGAACCAACTTGGAAAACACTCTGCAGGATATTATCCAGGAGAACTTCCCCAATCTAGCAAGGCAGGCCAACATTCAGATTCAGGAAATACAGAGAACGCCACAAAGATACTCCTCGAGAAGAGCAACTCCAAGACACATAATTGTCAGATTCACCAAAGTTAAAATGAAGGAAAAAATGTTAAGGGCAGCCAGAGAGAAAGGTTGGGTTACCCTCAAAGGGAAGCCCATCAGACTAACAGCGGATCTCTCGGCAGAAACCCTACAAGCCAGAAGAGAGTGGGGGCCAATATTCAACATTCTTAAAGAAAAGAATTTTCAACCCAGAATTTCATATCCAGCCAAACTAAGCTTCATAAGAGAAGGAGAAATAAAATACTTTACAGACAAGCAAATGCTGAGAGATTTTGTCACCACCAGGCCTGCCCTAAAAGAACTCCTGAAGGAAGCGCTAAACATGGAAAGGAACAACCGGTACCAGCCGCTGCAAAATCATGCCAAAATGTAAAGACCATCGAGACTAGGAAGAAACTGCATCAACTAACGAGCAAAATCACCAGCTAACATCATAATGACAGGATCAAATTCACACATAACTATATTAACTTTAAATGTAAATGGACTAAATGCTCCAATTAAAAGACACAGACTGGCAAATTGGATAAAGAGTCAAGACCCATCAGTGTGCTGTATTCAGGAAACCCATCTCACGTGCAGAGACACACATAGGCTCAAAATAAAAGGATGGGGGAAGATCTACCAAGCCAAAGGAAAACAAAAAAAGGCAGGGGTTGCAATCCTAGTCTCTGATAAAACAGACTTTAAACCAACAAAGATCAAAAGAGACAAAGAAGGCCATTACATAATGGTAAAGGGATCAGTTCAACAGGAAGAGCTAACTATCCTAAATATATATGCACCCAATACAGGAGCACCCAGATTCATAAAGCAAGTCCTGAGTGACCTACAAAGAGACTTAGACTCCCACACATTAATAATGGGAGACTTTAACACCCCACTGTCAACATTAGACAGATCAACGAGACAGAAAGTCAACAAGGATACCCAGGAATTGAACTCAGCTCTGCACCAAGCGGACCTAATAGACATCTACAGAACTCTCCACCCCAAATCAACAGAATATACTTTTTTTTCAGCACCACACCACACCTATTCCAAAATTGACCACATACTTCGAAGTAAAGCTCTCCTCAGCAAATGTAAAAGAACAGAAATTATAACAAACTATCTCTCAGACCACAGTGCAATCAAACTAGAACTCAGGATTAAGAATCTCACTCAAAACCACTCAACTACATGGAAATTGAACAACCTGCTCCTGAATGACTACTGGGTACATAACGAAATGAAGGCAGAAATAAAGATGTTCTTTGAAACCGACGAGAACAAAGACACAACATACCAGAATCTCTGGGATGCATTCAAAGTAGTGTGTAGAGGAAAATTTATAGCACTACATGCCCACAAGAGAAAGCAGGAAAGATCCAAAATTGACACCCTAACATCACAATTAAAAGAACTAGAAAAGCAAGAGCAAACACATTCAAAAGCTAGCAGAAGGCAAGAAATAACTAAAATCAGAGCAGAACTGAAGGAAATAGAGACACAAAAACCCTTCAAAAAATCAATGAATCCAGGATCTGGTTTTTTGAAAGGATCAACAAAATTGATAGACCGCTAGCAAGACTAATAAAGAAAAAAAGAGAGAAGAATCAAATAGACACAATAAAAAATGATAAAGGGGATATCACCACTGATCCCAGAGAAATACAAACTATCATCAGAGAATACTACAAACACCTCTACGCAAATAAACTAGAAAATCTAGAAGAAATCGATAAATTCCTCGACACATACACTCTCCCAAGACTAAACCAGGAAGAAGTTGAATCTCTGAATAGACCAATAACAGGAGCTGAAATTGTGGCAATAATCAATAGTTTACCAACCAAAAAGAGTCCAGGACCAGATGGATTCACAAGGATCCACAAGGTACAAGGAGGAACTGGTACCATTCCTTCTGAAACTATTCCAATCAATAGAAAAAGAGGGAATCCTCCCTAACTCATTTTATGAGGCCAGCATCATTCTGATACCAAAGCCGGGCAGAGACACAACCAAAAAAGAGAATTTTAGACCAATAACCTTGACGAACATTGATGCAAAAATCCTCAATAAAATACTGGCAAACCGAATCCAGCAGCACATCAAAAAGCTTATCCACCATGATCAAGTGGGCTTCATCCCTGGGATGCAAGGCTGGTTCAATATACGCAAATCAGTAAATGTAATCCAGCATATAAACAGAGCCAAAGACAAAAACCACATGATTATCTCAATAGATGCAGAAAAGGCCTTTGACAAAATTCAACAACCTTTCATCCTAAAAACTCTCAATAAATTAGGTATTGATGGGACGTATTTCAAAATAATAAGAGCTATCTATGACAAACCCACAGCCAATATCATACTGAATGGGCAAAAACTGGAAGCATTCCCTTTGAAAACTGGCACAAGACAGGGATGCCCTCTCTCACCACTCCTATTCAACATAGTGTTGGAAGTTCTGGCCAGCGCAATTAGGCAGGAGAAGGAAATAAAGGGTATTCAATTAGGAAAAGAGGAAGTCAAATTGTCCCTGTTTGCAGATGACATGATTGTATATCTAGAAAACCCCATTGTCTCAGCCCAAAATCTCCTTAAGCTGATAAGCAACTTCAGCAAAGTCTCAGGGTACAAAATCAATGTACAAAAATCACAAGCATTCTTATACACCAACAACAGACAAACAGAGAGCCAAATCATGAGTGAACTCCCATTCACAATTGCTTCAAAGAGAATAAAATACCTAGGAATCCAACTTACAAGGGATGCGAAGGACCTCTTCAAGGAGAACTACAAACCACTGCTCAAGGAAATAAAAGAGGATACAAACAAATGGAAGAACATTCCATGCTCATGGGTAGGAAGAATCAATATCGTGAAAATGGCCATACTGCCCAAGGTAATTTACAGATTCAATGCCATCCCCATCAAGCTACCAATGCCTTTCTTCACAGATTGGAAAAAACTACTTTAAAGTTCATATGGAACCAAAAAAGAGCCCACATCGCCAAGTCAATCCTAAACCAAAAGAACAAAGCTGGAGGCATCACGCTACCTGACTTCAAACTATACTACAAGGCTACAGTAACCAAAACAGCATGGTACTGGTACCAAAACAGAGATATAGATCAATGGAACAGAACAGAGCCCTCAGAAATAACGCCGCATATCTACAACTATCTGATCTTTGACAAACCTGAGAAAAACAAGCAATGGGGAAAGGATTCCCTATTTAATAAATGGTGCTGGGAAAACTGGCTAGCCATATGTAGAAAGCTGAAACTGGATCCCTTCCTTACACCTTATACAAAAATCAATTCAAGATGGATTAAAGATTTAAACGTTAAACCTAAAACCATAAAAACCCTAGAAGAAAACCTAGGCAATACCATTCAGGACATAGGCATGGGCAAGGACTTCATGTCTAAAACACCAAAAGCAATGGCAACAAAAGACAAAATTGACAAATGGGATCTAATTAAACTAAAGAGCTTCTGTACAGCAAAAGAAACTACAATCAGAGTGAACAGGCAACCTACAAAATGGGAGAAAATTTTCGCAACCTACTCATCTGACAAAGGGCTAATATCCAGAATCTACAATTAACTCAACAAATTTACAAGAAAAAAACAAACAACCCCATCAAAAAGTGGGCGAAGGACAAGAACAGACACTTCTCAAAAGAAGACATTTATGCAGCCAAAAAACACATGAAAAAATGCTCATCATCACTGGCCATCAGAGAAATGCAAATCAAAACCACAATGAGATACCATCTCACACCAGTTAGAATGGCAATCATTAAAAAGTCAGGAAACAACAGGTGCTGGAGAGGATGTGGAGAAATAGGAACACTTTTACACTGTTGGTGGGACTGTAAACTAGTTCAACCATTGTGGAAGTCAGTGTGGCGATTCCTCAGGGATCTAGAACTAGAAATACCATTTGACCCAGCAATCCCATTACTGGGTATATACCCAAAGGACTATAAATCATGCGCTATAAAGACACATGCACACGTATGTTTATTGCGGCATTATTCACAATAGCAAAGACTTGGAACCAACCCAAATGTCCAACAATGATAGACTGGATTAAGAAAATGTGGCACATATACACCATGGAATACTATGCAGCCATAAAAAAGGATGAGTTCATGTCCTTTGTAGGGACATGGATGAAATTGGAAATCATCATTCTCAGTAAACTATCGCAAGAACAAAAAACCAAACACCGCATATTCTCACTCATAGGTGGGAATTGAACAATGAGATCACATGGACACAGGAAGGGGAATATCACGCTCTGGGGACTGTTGTGGGGTGGGGGGCGGGGGGAGGGATAGCACTGGGAGATATACCTAATGCTAGATGACAAGTTAGTGGGTGCAGCGCACCAGCATGGCACATGTGTACATATGTAACTAACCTGCACAATGTGCACATGTACCCTAAAACTTAAAGTATAATTAAAAAAAAAGAAGATATAAAGAAAACTTAAATGGAAATTTTATAACTGCAAAATACAATAACAAAATTTAACAAGAACCAAAAGGTGGAATCAATAGCAGATGAACAGAACATAAGAAAAAAATCAATAACCTTTAAGATAGAACAATGAAAATGACCCAATCTGAAAAACAGAAAAAAATAGACTGAGGAAACCATGAACATGGCTTCAGGGACCTGTGACATTATAACAAAATATTTAACTTTCACAGCATCATTGTCCTGGAAGGAGAGGAGAAAGAGTGGGGCCAAAAAAGGTGCAGAAAAATAATGACTAAAATTTCCCAAGGCAAATTATATAGACCCAGATTTAAGAAGTTGTGCGAATCTCAAGCGGCATAGTCCAAGTAAATCTACACAAAGACATATTCTAGCCAAGCTTCTGAAAATAAAAGACCAAGGAACATTCTGCAGAGCAGAAAGTAAGAAGTGACATAATCCCTACATGGGAAAGCAATTTGGATGACAACATATTTCACATCAGAAACCATGGAGACCTGGAGGGAGTGGCACATTTTTCAAATGATGAAAAAGCAAGCAAACAAACAAAAATGCACACAAAAATCTATCAACCCTAAATTCTATTTCCAGGTGGAAAAAATCCTTCAGGAATTAAGAAGAAATCAAGACATTTTCAGATGAAAACAACACTAAGAAAATTTGTCTTAGAATGGCAGAAAAAAAGGAATCTTAGAACATCAGGAAGGAAGAAAAACCAATGGAAAGACTAAATGTAACTAAGTATCATAGAATTTCCTTCACTTGGAGAAGGAAATTGTGCTTGATAGTTGAAAGGAAAATTATAATATCGTCTAATGTGTTTCTCCAAGTGTGCCGAAAAAATATTTAAGATAATTATAAATGGGGGAAAGCAAAGGGACTTAAATGAGGGCCAGGTTTCTATACTTTGCTTGAACTGTTAAAATGTTAATATGAATAGTCTGTGTCATTTATATAATATTCTTAAATGATAAAACTAAAGAAATGGAAAGTGCATCAGTGGTTTCCAGGGGTTAAGGATGTAGGGGAAGGGAGTTTATGTGACTATAAAGAAGTTGTTTTACTCTGTTGTATTAGTCAGTTCTCATGCTGCTACTAAAGACATACCCGAGACTGGGTAATTTATACCGAAAAAAAGATTTAATGGACTCACAGTTCCACATGGCTGGAGAGGCCTCACAATCTTGGTGGAAGGCAAAGGAGGAGCAAAGTCACGTTTTACATGGCGGCAGGGAAGAGAGCGTGTGCAGGGGAACTCGCCTTTATAAAACCATCAGCTCTGCTGAGACTTATTCACTATCACAAGAACAGCGTGGGAGAAACCCGCCCCCATGATTCACTTACCTCCCACTGGGTCCCTCCCACGACACATGGGGATTATGGGATTATTATAGCTGCATATATTTGAGCAGTGCACTCCACCTCTCTAACCCTCAATTTGCTTGCTAGTAAGGGACAAGGGACCCCCAAATGGGTGATGTACATATTATGACCCAAAGAACGACCATGCCCTATCAGAGGTTTCAGATCATAGCCCTATGGCCACAGTCTTTGAGGTAAAAATGATATTTGGCAAACAAAAAATGATGCATTTCTGTATCTGGAATTTTAAATTTACTCAGGTAGGGAATTTTGGTTTCCCTGTGATTCTCCTGGCACAGGTCTTTGTCCCAAAAGTGGAAGGGAGAGAAAACCCAGGACATCTAGGGATTCCAGACTATATGCTCTTTGATTAAATAGTCTTTCACCTGACTGTCCACGAGGATTTGTCCTTCTGTGATCTGTGTCTGCATTTAAATACATTTCTGTTTTAAACATTCTTAGACCTGTGGGAGCTTGTTTTAAAAGAAGTGAGTGACAAACTCCCCCATAGTGTGTGTGTGTGTGTGTGTGTGTGTGTGTGTGTGTGTGTGTGTGTATTATATATATATATATTTTATATATATTATATATATATATATATATAATATATATATATATATATTAGCAAAGTAGTTTTAAAAATCAGGCACTTAGCCTGCCAAGTTTCATCTCTTGGAAATGACAAGAGAGGCTGCCTCAGACTTTAAAACATCTAATTTGTAAGTGGTCCATCTATTTTTATAAAGGGCGGAGAAGGGAGTGGTGGGGGAAAATATCCAATCTCATTAAAATTCTCACAACGATTTAATGAGGATGAATTGTCTTCATTTTATAGTCAATGAAACAGGGGTTCAAAAAGATTAAGCAACTTGTTCAAGGTCACACTCAATGTTAACAGACATCCTGGAGTATAAAGGCAGTTTTCTCTGAATCCCATGTTCTTGGCCCTGGCTGCAGGAACCTCGCTGATACCACCAAGAGTAGGCAGGGATGCTTTCAGCAGGAAAAGCAGAACAAAAAAACAAAATAAAATGAGGAATCCTTGAAGTCTTAGATATAGAAAAAGGACGGGCGTAGCTGAACAATAACAGCAAACACATCTTAAGAGGCCAGTCCCTGAGGACACTTGCACCAGGAAGACAAATGGGCTTCAGATGCCCCCCACAGCCCCTAACCCACTTATTTTTATTTTCCTCCATGTTACCTCTATGATTTGGAATAATCTAAAAACTCCCTCTTTTTTTAACTTTTTTTTCTGATTTTATTATCTTTTTTATGATTTTTAAAAATTGACACATAATGATTGTACACATTCATGGGGTGCATAATGGTGTTTTGATACATGTAATGTATAGTAATGATATTATGGTAATTAACTATCATCTCAAACATTTGTCATTTGTTTGTGTTGGGAATAGTCAATATCCTCCTTCTAGCTATTTGAAACTACATAATATGTTAATATTAGCTAGAGTCATCCTATAGTGGTATGGAACACCAGGGCTTCTGTCTAACTGTAACTTTGTATTCTTTAACAAATCTCTCCCTAGCCTTCCTTTCAAGTATGGAAGGTATGGTAAGGGCAGTTCTAAACTCTACTTGAATTTCCCAAGTCAGGGAAGGGCCACCTGTGGAACCATTGCCTCTCCCCTGATGCCCAAGTACAGCTGCGTGCATACGGCAGAGGTCTAGTTTGGGCTTTCGCTTCAGTGGTCACTGGGAGAGAATTTCAGGGTTTCAGGATTTTCCCAGTTGTGATTTCATTTTATTGTCACAATAACTCTGTGCAATTGACAGAGTACACAGTAAATTCCCAAGGCATGTCCATTTATTTTGTCTGTTATTGTTGTTTAGCCAGTTTGTATTGAGTCTTTTCTTTAAGCTAGAAACTTTTAAATGAGCATGGATTTATGTAAATTAACCCAAATTATGCACCATATTAAAGGTTAAAAAGCTGAGGCTGAGAGTAGACCAGGTGCTCATACCAGATTACATAGCAGAATCAAAATCCAGATCAATCAGTTTCCCAGTACATGGCTTTTTCCACCAGGGGTCAGTAAACTCTCTTTCTGTAAAGGTCCAGATAGTAAACATGTAAGGCCATACTATGTCCATAACAACTACTCACCTCTGTCCTTGCAGTACAAAAGCAGTCCTAGACAATTTGTAAGAAATGAGCATGGCTGTGTTCCTATAAAATATTATTATTTTTTCTTTAAAAAAAAAAAGGCAGTCAGCCAGATTTGGCCCATAGACCATATTTTCCCATCCCTAGGGCAGACCACTACCTTGGTTCAGAAAGTGTTAGTGTTTTTAAGCAGGTCCTAAAATTCCTCTGTAATTGCTTCCCCAACCCAATGCCAATACACCTACTTGCCTTTCCTCTTTCCCTTCCTGAAAGTGTGGCTCTGTACAAGAATCCGGCATCTAAAATTAGTACTGGATTATATTCCTGTTCTCTATTAGATTGAAATGTACTCCAGTTACAGAAAAGCACATGTGCTGTCTCCCCAGGAGAAATTGCATATTTGTGCCAAGAGAAGCCTAGTCACTGGAGCTCTCCAAAATGCTTTCATAGACACCATGGCTCTATTAGTCAGTCTTGGAGTAAAGAGAAAGAGGCACATATTCTCAGGTCCCCCTAGGTGGTGTTTGGGCTTTAGCTGGGGATACCTGGACTTGAGGTGGCCATGACTGCCATCTTCTTAGCCATGCTGACATCTTGGCCCCTGCACTGCAAAATGTGAAGAATGGAGGACAAGATCAAGAGCACAGAATCCTTCAGGATACACGCCAAGCTCTGGGACCATCTGCTCTTCCACTGACATCTTCTCTGTGTATTCACAAAAGAGTATCTGATTAGATTGATGTGTGACCCTGCCCTCTGGCAGATTCTTGTTGAGTAGAGTCTTGCCCTGTATGCTAAGCACTATTCTAGGCGCTGGAGATATGTCAGTAAACAAAACCCCCGCTGTCGCAAACTAACATTCAGATGAGAGAAAAGAGGACAAAAGCAAACGAATACATCTATAATATTTTAGATAGGAAGAGAAATAAGGGAAAGGAAATGGATGGATGGATGAAAATGTACTATTTTAGATACGATGATCGGAAAAGAACTTCTAGATGAGGTGAGATCTGGCAGAGACTTGAATGAGATGAGGGGCTGAACCATATGACTATCTGAAGGAATCACATTCTGGGAAGAGGGAATAGCAAATGCAAAGATCTTGAAATATGCCTGGCAATCTGAAGACAGCAAAGAGGCCAGAGTTGCTGGAGAAGAGAGAGAGAGAGGAAAAGAAGCATAAGATGAGATCAGAAACTCTGCTTGTGTTACTATAACAGAGCTGAGCCTGGGTAATTTATAAATAACAAATATTTACTTCTCACAGCTCTGGAGGCTGGAAAGTCCAAGATCAAGGCATCAGCAGTTCGATGTTTGCTGAGGACCCAGTCTCTGCCTCCAGGATGGTACCTTGAACACTGCATCCTCTGGAAGCATGAATGCTATGTCCTCACATGCGAAAAGAGACAGAAGGGGCAAACTCACCCCCTCAATGCCCTTTCATGGGGCACAAATACATTCATGAGGTTGGAGCCCTTATGGCCGAATCACTTCCTAAAGGCCACATCACTTAATACTGTTGTCTTGGGGATTAAGTTTCAACATGAATCTTGGAGGAGGCAAAGACATTGAAACCATAGCAAAAAGGGAGCAAAGGTCCAAAACATGCAAGTTTTCTAGATCCTGGACAGGATTTTAGATTTTATTCTGAGTGAGATGAGTGGCCATTGGGGTTTGAGAGGAGAAAAAACATGAGTTTTTAAAGGTTTAGTCTAGCTGCTGCATGTGCATATGCATGGATGTGTAGTGGGGGAAAGAGAAGGGAAACAAGGATGAAGTGGGAGACCTATCAGCAGAGTCAATAGAAGTTACTGATGAGTGGTAAAGAGAAAGTGCAGAGTCAAGGATGACTCCCAGGTATTGCACCCTCTCACATCCTCACCACCCACCTTTTTGTTCCAGCAGTTGCTGTGGCAACAAGCTGCAGTGGGTGAAGCCTGGCAGCACCGTGGCCTCAGCTGCACCTTGCATTTCTTGCCTTTTGCCCCAGAGTTTCTTAGCCTTTCCATGGGACTCTTCCAGAAGCTCACTCAGCCATTCAGGTCCCTGTGTAAGCCTGGAAGACCAAGGAAGTTAACACCTCAGGGGCAGTTTTTGACCAATGAGGGTTTAGAGCAGGTGGATAATTCTGAGGCTCAACGTGTGTATCTTTTAAAAGAACACCCATTGGAACTAAGCCCCCAGGTATCCACAGCAGTAACCAGCTCTACCATAGTTCCTTGGAATGGATTTTCCTCTTTCCATTTTACTCTTCCTAGTCCCTCACTATTGTTCCCTGGGTCCCCTTCCAAAAATAAACTTAAAACCCAAACAGTGTCAAGAGTTTATCATTGAGTATATGAAAGTTTGGACTGCTCATTCCATCACCAAGTGGAGATGACAAGGAAGCAGTTGGAAGTACTTGAATCTGGAACTCAGAACACAATATGCAAAAGAGACCAGGCTACTTGTCTTCCAAGGTCACTGTGTCAAGGTGTACCAGGCACCTCCACCTTCACAGCTCCACCAATACAATGCATCTCCATCTCCTACTGTTCCCTTGGCAGGTGACTTCTTCTTGACCCTGAAGAGGATGCAATGAACAGTGGAAAGAGCAAACAGCAGTCTTGTGATGACCTGTCTTGTGATGGCAGCTTTTCCACGCTATTTTCATTTGTTTCTAGCTCCAGTAGATGTGATGTCCTCAGAGCAGATGAGCAGCCACATTAGAATGAAGGCTTGTCGAAAGTCAGCATGGCCACCCCTGCAGAGAAACATGGTCTGTTGGGAGTCTTTTCCCTTTGTTAAGATCCCCCCTGAGGTTTTAGGGGAGGAGAAAAGAAAAGTGAAATGGGAGGCAATTGGGGGAGGCAAGGAGGCCAAGTGCCATGTCCCCAGGAGGCCTCTTAGCTCTCTGACAGCCTCCAACCTCTGCCACCAGCCTGAGCCTAGATTTCTGAGACACTGCAGAAATAGGACATGGCTTTTGTTTTCATCGCTATTTAATTTACTCAAATGAAAACTGCAATTACTGAGCAGTTATATATCCTCATGTGCTTCAGGGATGCTGTCCCTGGCACATTTGCTATCCCCATTTGGAAAATTCACCTGTAAAAGCATCAGAGTCGCCTGCATTGTATGTGGAAATCTGCAATGTCATCCTTTGTGCAAGGGATAAAAATTCACCCCGGGGCACCAATTTTAATAAGGCTTAATTAGACCAATTTGTTGTAAGCAGAGGTTTCCAGTCTGCAATTTGACAAGCAGCTTGAGCTGGTTCACTACATTTTCACAGTCGGGAATTTCTGTATCTCAAACAAAAGGTCAAATGGAACATGAGATTTTATCCAAAAGACTCATAAAGGGATAGTGAATTTCTGCTTGGTTTTGTATGTGTGTCTTTTGTTTCGTTTTTTTAGAGTGTCTTTATGAATGCTAACAGCATGATCTTGGGGGGACAGAATCAATCAGATCCTCTCAGGTTGTCTGTGCATCCAGCAACATGTAGGAGGGCACATAGAACAGGTCATCTCTTGTGCAGGCCTTGCCAGTAGCTCACAGCCCTCTTTCTACAGAGTTGGAGATGAACTCACAGTCCCAGACGCAGAACACAAACAATACCTGAAAATTCATTGGAGTCAGCATGAGAGATAAGCCATCTTGCCCAGGAATGACAAATTTTTTTTGTATTATCTTTGGACTGGAAAACCGTTTGCTTAAACTATGTTAAGATACGCAACAAAGTTGATGTCACATATCCCTGGAATTTCATCCAGGACCATTCTAATGAAAAGCTTTACAAAATTCACTGATTTTGCTGTAGGGAAAGAGTTGAGGCTTCTCTTCAGGAGGCGGGGGGATATGAGTCAGAAAAAAAGAGAAAGTAAGTTGAACAATATCTCTTTCATCAGTGAATTTTTGATATCAAAAATTCTAGACATTCTACCTAAAAATGGAAAGAATGTTCTACAATTAAAAGAGGTTTCCATGCCAGGCATGGCAGCTGACGTCTGTAATCCCAGCACTTTGGGAGGCAGAGGCAGGTGGATCACCTGAGGTCTGGAGTTCAAGACCAGCCTGGCCAACATAGTGAAACACTGTCTCTACTAAAAATACAAAAATTAGCCAGGCATTGTGGTGGGTGCCCAGCTACTCGGCAGGCTGAGGCAGGAGAATCGCTTGAATCCAGGGGGCAGAGGTTATGATCGTGCCACTGCACTCCAGCCTGGGCAACAGAGCAAGACTCTGTCTTAAAACAAAAAAAAAAAAAGAGTTTTCCAGAAAGTTTTCAAATGGTCTGTGGCAAAGAGAGCCAGGCCTCGGTGCCAGTCTACTAGGCAGTGTCTACACTGTGCCTACATTGCTGCGAGCATCAAAAGGCCCACCTTTTCTCTAAATATTACCCCTTCTGATCTAATATGGTGCCTAAAATGCCCACATTGAAATGAGACCATTGGTTTAATGCCAGAAGACCCAAGACAAAAATATGAAAATATTCACTGATATTGTTGGCAAATTGACTCTTGAGGGAGTAGCAACCAGGTCAGCTATGTTTCCTTTTTTTTTTTTTTTTTTTTTTTTTTTGAGACAGAGTCTCGCTCTGTCGCCCAGGCTGGAGTGCAGTGGCGGGATCTCGGCTCACTGCAAGCTCCGCCTCCCGGGTTCACGCCATTCTCCTGCCTCAGCCTCCCAAGTAGCTGGGACTACAGGCGCCCGCCACTACGCCCGGCTAATTTTTTGTATTTTTAGTAGAGACGGGGTTTCACCGTTTTAGCTGGGATGGTCTCGATCTCCTGACCTCGTGATCCGCCCGCCTCGGCCTCCCAAAGTGCTGGGATTACAGGCGTGAGCCACCACGCCCGGCCAGCTATGTTTCTTTTAGTGCCAGGAAAGAACTAGAGCATAAAATGCTGCCAGGAAGATGGGCCAGTTTGGAACTGGGGTATGGGAGATGGCAGAGAGACACAGGGGACAACTCCATTTGGGGCAAGGAGGAGAGAGTCAAAAGAGACGAAGCTGAAGGTTGGAGGAAGAGGGCAGTTACAGAGGGGAGGGTGACACAATCAATAGCTGATAGCTGACGTGACAATTTTTTCCTATTCCTGGTGAGAAAGCTCAGGGAGCTACACCGGGCCCCGTTTCTCCTAGTGGCAGAATTGCCCTTGGCCCTGAATGCTCTATTCCAACTGCCAGGCTCTAGCTGGAAATGCTAAGACCCTATGGTTGGTGAGGGAAGCCTTTTCCCCATCTACCAGAGAAGGAGCATGAGCAGGCAGAGTGAGGCCGGTCCTACAGGATCACTGGACATTCAGCAGGGACTCCTCTTCAGGCACGTGCACACCCACACCCATGGGCTGTGGAGGCCTGCCTGGAGCACCTGCTCACTGCCCAAGGTCCAGGCATCAGTCAGAGTCCAGCTCTCACCATCCCCAACATCCAGCCAGCCCATGCACTTAGAAGGCTGGGCCATCTGGAAATCTGCCTCCATCACAACAGGCTAGACATTTGGATGACAGATCACAGCTTTGATGAAGCTCAGTGGCTGCTTTTAACAAGAGCAACTTGTTGCCATGTGTCACAAAGGCACATTCCTGAAAACAATGTGGGTTAGACCAGGCAGTTCATAGGATGAGTCTTGGAACTGGATTTTATTTCCTTCCAGTTGTTCGGAGGTGACATAGATAAAGCCACAACTGCATGACTCTTGTGTGAAGCAGCTCCTCTCAGACTGTGATGCAAAAATATCTCTGTGGTTGTATCTGATGCATCTTTGCTGTTTGCCTCACAGTCTCTCCCTGTCTCCTACTGGGCCTCTTATTTCATAGTAAAAAGAGTTGTGTACTTAGGCTCGGAGCCTAACAAATGAACGATGCAAGAAACAAATGAAGTTGCAAGCATTACTGCTATAAAGATAACACATGTTAAGTGATGTGGGGTTGATAATATTCATACACATTATTTAGGCAAACATTTCAATACACTCGCTCTCACAAAACAGTCAAATTGGCCTAATGATATGAACAATAAGTCATGGAACCGATTTCAAGAAAAACAAATTTTGCTTTGCAAAATCGCATTCAGAATATATGCACTGGAAACCTACTTATAAAAAAAGTAGCTTGTAAAAATAATTTACAATTATTAAGTGAAATTAGATAGAATTTGAATCCAATAAAACAAGATTTCCAAAATTTTTGAAAACAATTATTTTACCAAGATTTTTATGATAAAAAATTAAAATGTGCACCATATTGTTCTTTGACATTTTTACAGTTTTTCCCCCTACTTAAAACCAAAGGAAATAAATAACAGATTTGGAAATAATTTCATTTGTATGGAAAATGCCTTCTCTTCTTTGCTGACCTTTCCCAAAGAAGAGGGAGAAACTGATGAATCCACTCTGACCCTCCGGAGCAGTCCAGGCACAGCAAACACCTCCCAGCTCAGCTGGACGTTCTGGTTCCACCGGGAGGCTTTTCTAGCTGCCATCTTTATTTTCTTTAACCAAAGCAACCCAACCATTCTATGGCCTGAACCTCCATGACAAAGCAAAGAAAGGGTGAGGCAATCCTGCTCTGAGTTACTGTGCTCTCAACAGGCAAGTCAACCCTGGTTTGGGGTCTAAATTCTCCTGCCAGGGCCTGGTGGAGTCGGGTGTCTTTGCATGTTCACAGATCATCAGAAAAATTCTTTCAAATACATCTCAGAAAATCACAGGATCAGGACAGTGTGTGGATCATCATGGAAATGACATTGCTTAGGCTGCATTGCTTTGACTATGAAAGCAGATATTCCTCAAGCATCACCCCATAAAACAGAATGGAGAATGCTTTTCAGTGCGATCAAGCCAGTTGTCCTGTGTTCCCTCTAAGGTTCCTGGGGTGTGTCTGGAATGGTAGATGCTGTGGATAAACCTGAATCTTCTCTTCTCCTTCCAGCTTTCATTTTCTTCTGACTGCCTGTTTGTTCTCAGAAATAGTGAAGTGAGCAAATAAGTTTAGGAAGACAGAATCCCCCTGGCCTGACTGTCTTCAAGAGCAAAATGGGAATTCATACCGAGTAGAGAGGGCCCTTTGAACCACCTTCTTCACGGAAGTGCCCACAAGGGGTCAGACCGGAACGCATTGCAGGCTCACGTTGTCACAAGGCAGCCTGCTGGCATGGAGGGAACCCAGCCAGTCTGCTGCCTCCTTCTCCTCCCCAGTGCCCCCCTAACCACTGGAGCCAGAAGGAGCTGTTCAGGATCTGATTCTTTAACTTACATATAGGAACGTGGTGAAAATGACAATATAATAAATGGTATTTACGCTCTTGGAGCCAAGGTGAATCTTTTTCATCACTACAAACATTTCCTTAAGCCCCAAATTTCACAGCTGAAGAAACTTCTCAGGGGAATAACTTAGTTAGCCAAGTTCCCGTTGGAAGAAGCAGAGAAGTAGCTTATGTAAGTTTTTAAGGCCTAAGCTAGGTTATGACACAAAGTGGCTAGAACATGACAGAATTGTTCCAACAGAACTCCGGGCAAGCTGTGTTTCCTGGCGTTTTACTCATAGGTGTCACCCGAGCTGGCGACACTAGCAGGACCAGCTGTTTAGACTCTAAGCCTCCTCTATCCATCAGCCTACAGTCAAGCAAGTCAACAAAAGCAGTGGTGAAATGTATTTACCTTGGAACAGTTCTGTTAAAGCAACCAATGCCTGTCTTCATGCAGTGGAAGACTGAAGGTCAGAAAGAACGCTCTTGTTAGCAGCCTCTTCCTTCCCTTCCCTCTCTAGATGCTCAAAAGACAGATGAAGGAAACACAAACACAGCCTGGTGCAGGAGGCAAGGTGTCTTATAACAAAATGCCTCAAGCCCTACTTGTGTGGATCCCACTAGAAACCAAGGGAAGCCTGAAAAAGCCTCCCAGGGTGTGTAAGTTGCATTGTCACAGCTCAAAAAAGTTCTGTGAATCTGTTACACCTCAGCAGAACCCAAAGCCTGTTGTTCCCTGCACACCCACACTGCCTGTTTGTCTCTCTCCTTATCTACTTAGTTACCTGTTCTTTAAATGCCCAGACTACTCCACTCCTGAAAATTCACACACACACACACACACACACACACACATGCACACACACACACATAGACACACACACACATCTTTGCAAAGGTAAAGGCTACTTAGTCCTCTACCAAGACTCATCTCAGTAGTCACTTTCTCTGGCACTCTTGACACTCTCCCAAACAGAAAACCTCAAATGGGGCTTCCTGAGGCTCCCACGGCCAGTGGTATGGCCCTCTGGTTCGTACCACAAGCCATTCATCCTGCACCGTGACTGTCTGCGGAAGGACCATGTCTTAAACCTAATGTTCAGAATGTCTGTTGAATTAAAGCAAATACAGCTTAGCAGAAAACACTTTGATTGACAGTAGAAATTCTTGTAGATATATTCCCTTGTCAGTGTTCCTTCTGTGGGAAATTGGCACCATCATCGCCACCCAGTTACTCAAGCCAGAGACTGGCCTATCCACCATCCAATCTGTCACAAACTTCTCCCCTTTTTACTTCCTACCTCGTGGTCTTGGGGTTTATCATCTCTCACCTGGACTATCTCAGGGGACTCCCACCTAGTCTTTTGACTGGAAATCCACTTTCATTGCAGTCACTGATCTCACTGAAACAAAGGCCTGGCTGGTCACATCACTCTGTTGCTTAACACCACTCATAGCTGGAGCAGACCTACCCATCTGGTGCCTCAGCCCACCAGGGAGCCATGTGGAGAATGTGTGATGGAGATTTTGGCACCTCCTCCACTCTCAAGGCAGTTGGACAGGACCTAAGATTCCCCAGATGTGACATCTAGCTCCAAGCACCTCAGTCTATTTAGCCCAGTACCTAGACAGATGCGACCTAGTCATGTGACATGACAAGGAGCTAAGACCCCAGCCCCCTAAGACCCCACTCCCACCTCCCAGCCACATCTCACACCTACAAGCTTCACCCTTGCCCTTCAGCCTGCACCTTTTATGGTGCAGCCCCAGGTATGCAGCTATTTGTTACCAGGAGATTTGCTCTCCCTCTACCTGAAACACCTTCCTACTTTTCAAGTTTCTCTAAATATAAATTTCTCATCCTTTTCCACCACATTGACCTTTTCCAAGCTAGCTTGCTCAAATTAATCTGAAAGGGGACCATAATAAAAATGGATCTGATGCATGTTCATGTCATTCAACTGGTTTAAATAAATCCAGTGTAGCAACATGATTGTAAAGCCAGAAAGAGCCCCTTAAAGAAATGAATGTCCGGGTTCTTAACTCAACGTCAGAATAATCATCAGCATTTGCTCCTTTTCCCTGTTGTTTCCTTCTGGCCCACTTGAAACTTGTCATTTTTCAGAATTAAAATCTCAAGTTTTGCAAAGCTTGTACTCCAGGATGTAGAATCAGAGATTATTTTTGCTTGCTCCTGAGAGTTATGTTTGGAGGAGATCGCTAATTAAAATACCTTGGCGCCTATCCCTGAAGGCAGTCTCCTCCTCCCACTCCAAGAGCTTTCCAGCTCATGTCCTTGTTACTTGTCAGATCCAGATGAATGTGAAGACAAAGAGTGGCAAAGTGAAGAGAAATGCAGTCAGGCTCAAACTGAACAAATCCACAAACAGCTGTGCAACCATGAGACAGCATTTATTAGGTTTTATTTATTGATTCAAGAAAAATTTATTGACTACTTACCAGGTTATGTTTCTTAATTAGGGTAATGTAGTCATGGATGTTTGCAACATTTTTCTCTATGCCTTTTTGTGTGTCTGAAATATCTCATAAAAAGGAAGAGTTTTCCAGTTGAAATGGTTTATCCGTGTTTCAGTGAAAGCTGGGAGAAGCTAGTCAACCTCCTGGGTCTTTCTCGTTCTTATTGAAAGATGCCCTCTTACAGGACGGTCTGATGGTCAGGAAGCAGTCAACGAGTTAAGATGAGTGAGGCCTTCAACCTGAAGAGTTAGTGATTCTTAGTGTACCACAGTTTTAACAAAAATTGCTCTTGTCGATGCCAAAGAGATATCTTTTCTTCCCAGCTAAAAAATTTTAGGTCAGGACCCTCAAATATTCCTATTTACAGAGGGAGAGAAGAAAGAACTTAGTTTTACTGAGTACCAACAATGGGCAATTAGAATCATAATTATGCTTGTTCTTCATTGAGGGTGCTTGTTTCTCATCAAATTCAATATTCATAGAACATTTTTATTTCAAGTCATCTCACTCTGCAAGAGCTTAGTTGAAGAACCAATTGAAAACATCCCATGTGAATGAAACAGGACTGCTCTCATTGAAGCACTTGGTAAATCCTCATTGTGCCCAATCATTAGACTAAGCCATTGCTCAGCTGTAGCCTGTGGCCTAAAAAAGAATATGCAGGCCAACCATTCAGCTGATTTCCTCACCCTCTCCCATCAGAGATGGCTCTTTGAATTAGTAAACCCAAGTAATTTTCTGTCCTCTCTGCCCTCCCTTTCTTCTTCAATTAGAAATGAGAAAAATGTACAGAGATTAAGCTAATCCCCAGCTAAAGGAATGCCACACAAACTTGTAATCAACCCACCCAAGATGATGAAACCGGCTCATGCAGAAGAGCTTTCATCATTCACCCATCCTGGCTGCCATGATTAAGTGTTGGGAAAGAGGCCGGTTAGCCTCATGGGGAGAATAACTCAGTCCTTGGATGAATCATGAGCTATAAATAACCATCCACAATTCTCCCTTCTCCATCATTTCCCTTATGCTGCCCTCTTTCAAAGATGAGAACCAACAGTGAACTGAAAAGGGATTTAAAGCTAATCTTAAGGAATCTGTTCGTTTTACAGAAGGTAGGAACCACCAGGCAACGTCAACTGATTTTCCCTACCCCTCCTGTCAGGGCAGAGCAGGGAATCAATGAGATTACAAGTAGGAAAGTATTTGCAAACCCTCAGTGCCTCCCATTACTGCCCAAAGTCTCCTAGCCTGTTAGTGGCAGGGGTCTAGTTTTCCCGATTCTCAACCCTGCTCACTATACTACATGGCCTCTTTGTGTTACAGATAAGCAAAAGTGAGACCCCCAAATGCTTAAATAATGGGGATAGTCACAAACCACACTTAGATCCCAAAGCACCTAAGTCAAAGTCTTCTTTCCAAGGGCAGCATTGAAACAATGACCTGACTACCTCAGGCTGCAGATACGAGGGTGATTAGTATCCAAACACAGGAATGAAAAAAAACACAAAGGCCCAGTGCCCCCAGCCAGTCACTATTACGCCCTGCACTTTATTCAGTTAATTCAAACAACTAGGGATTTTCCAGTCAAAAAAAAAAAAAAAAATTCCAAGTTAATACTTTAGCTGTCATGAATGTAAAAGAAACATAAATGTCTTTGACGAGCATTGGCAATATGCTGGCTTGTCAAAAACGTGGGTTTGCTTTTGTCTATTAATAATAGTCTTTATATATACTGTTGTAAGATACAAAAATTATAACTAAATACAGCTGTTAAAATTTAATGAATCTGAAGTTGATACAACTAATTGTAAAGTATAACACAGGACATCTTGAGAGAGAAAATGCATTGTTTTACATCTTAAGCCCTTTATTGACTACAATGCAGAACATTTTATTTTAAGACACAGTGGGTTTTGTTTTTGTTGATGTTTTCACCAATTCAACTGAAGACGAAAGTCAAGACAATCAAATGGTAACTAGTAGCAGCCTATCAGTAAATGAGGGCAAGTATAGAGACTGTTCTTTGGACTGAGGTTAAATCAATTAGTCAATAAAGGCTTTTCCACTGTCTAATAATTATAACATATTAACAGTCGCCAAATAGTGTTGGATGGGACTCCTCTAGAAATAACTAAAGCCTTTCATTTTATACATGAAATAGCCACAAAATGTAGATGGGTTACATCAACTCATTGGATTTGCCCATCTTAAATTACTCTGAGATTCAGAGAAATCAAAATTTCATCATATGTTGTGCAACAGTTTCTTCAAATACTTTCTCATGCTCAATAAAATTAACATGGCATCCAGACACCCTTTAATTTCAACACATGACATATAAATGGTCACATCCATCATACACACATAGATGATTAGAAGACTTGAGGACTACGCAAGGATGGCAAGAAATCACTTGATTCTTCGGTTATGCCCTAGTGACAAATATATATTTCTTGGCAACCAGCCAATCAATTTTGGAAATAATGTTAGCCCATGACCTAATACATTCTAACAGCCTATCACTCGCTTTTCATGCACCATTAGGGCCGGTCACCAATCTCCTGCTGTCTTTCCCAGGCATACATTCCTTTCTTTGGAAACCTGAAATGCCCCTAGATAAATGTGCCCTTCTCCAGAGAAACACATTTCCCACTCCATTACAAATCCTGACTCAAAACTAAAATTAATACAGGCAGGCAATTGAGGGCTCTTAGAAAACTTCCTTAAAAATGACAAATGTATGTGATGTTAACACTATCCAATGTATCTGCATGCCACCTTATTAAATTAAAAACACCTGGTGTATTTATACAACATGTTCAATGGCTTACAGGTTAGGATCCTAGAAACAATACATGTCTTATAGCAAAAAATATACATATAATAATCCCCCTATAGTTCATATAAATGATGCAATGTTTTTGAATATATCTATATATATATACACATATATACTCTGTGTGTGTGTGTTTACAGAATCGGGCACACAAATACTGCAGTCCTTCATTGGCTCTTCCGCTTCAGTGTCAAAGTCACCAGATTTCAGAGTCTTAAGGATCGAAACAAAGGTCACCGCTGGGGACAAAGGACTGGCTTGATGCACCTTCCCTTGTGAAGGACCAAGTTTGCTGGACAGTGGCACCCAGCAACGCACGGCTTGTTGCATGGACCAATTTCATTCCAGTTGTCACACGTCTTGATACATCCCGGACCACAGGTATCGTACACAGCACCATGCTTACACTGGGTGGCTGAAAAAGAGAAGGAGACAAAGGCATAACATGGAGAAAGGCCCCATTAATTCACCCTCAGCCAGATGCCGTTCTTGCAGGCTCATGACACTTCATGGACGTTTCCATAGCTCAGGATCACATTTGCATTTTAACAAGAGAATGACAAACACCCAACATTCTTCAAACACTCTGGGAATCAGCTACATCTATAAAAACAAATGCAGGTAGATCTGAACAAGAATTTATCTTATTCTTAGATAAGATAAACTATAAATGTGTAAGCCTATAGGAAAATCTTTAAGGCTATTTAGTTATTGTACAAATAACTAAATAGTATAAAACATCTGCTGCAAATAGTCCTTTCAGCTATTGAGCTGTGATGAATAGGAATATTTTGTGCAACTACATCAATATTCAAATATATGAAATTACCCACAGAGAAAAAACCTACCAAGGATATTGGGAATGTGTGACATATTTTAATCAATGTAATCGTGTGTTAAATTAATAAATTTAAGGCATGTTGGAGCAAGACTGGGGTAAGCCAAATAGAGAAAAGTCAGATATGTGACTGCAGGGAGGACAGCAGCTGGCTGGGTCAAACAATATAAAAATGATGATGTTGCCACGTCACAGCCAATTTACTATCTTTATTGACTTAGAGGCAAAGTGATTTTCACAAAATTATGAGAGATCCTGAAAATTCATGACTAGACTTGTCAGAAAAAAATAATGCAAACATTCTGGAAGTTTTCTGACACACAGCCTTTTCCATCTGAGTTACATCCAGTGACAGTTGAAGGGGCCGCCCCTCATTCCTCAAGAATAGGAATGTTGACACAAGTAGGAATTTAGATCAGGGACCCTCCAAGAACACCAATAACAATTCCATCTTCATTTAAAGTTCCTTTAAACAAAAGTAATAACAATGGAAGACATTCTCAGCTTCAATGCCTCTATTGTTTATGCTGTTTGCAGAATAATACCTGGTAAGGAATCGTGTAATTGTAAAATTTAAAGATAGAACTGGTTTGCCAGCAAACGGGCCTCAATTTGAGTCTTTCAAGTTATGCATTTAGAGTTGCCACAAAATGTTGATCTTTGATCATATTTAAGTAAAAGAAAGTTAATAAGCACCATAAAATAAATTCTATGAAGGCTTCTCAAATATCCATTGCACTGGTTAGAAACAAATGAGAGAACACATTCTATCCAGCGAGTAATCAATGACTTCTCATCAGCTCTTACTATTCAAAAACCAAGTTGTATGAAACAAAACATCTAAATAAAACCAACTTTAAACTACTTGACTCTATAATGAACATTTTTCTGTATAGATTCATAGTAAGCACTGGTGCATTATTTATTTATCCCTGCCTCAACTGTTAACTAAACCATTGACTCTAGGTAAACACCTGCTCTGAACAAAGTCCCTGTACCAGATGCTTTGGGGATAGAGGTAAATGACATGGCTGCTGTCTGATATACCAGCAGAGGGATGAGTTAGTAGCAGCTAATTACTAGTCACTTATATTGAAACATCCCATATCATCTATGCCTTATTGATTCCTACACCTGGCTCACACTCAGCTTTCTGAGGTGCCTTCTCAAAGGTAACTTCCTATTCAAAATAACATTTTCATATTCACTACCTCTTTTCCCTATTTATTTCTTCTTTACACATACTACTACCTGACATCGTATCATATTTACTCTGTCTTCCAACACTAAAATGTAAGCTCCTTGAGGGTGGAGTTTTGTGTGGTCCCTCACTACATCTCTAGCACACACATTTTCTGGCACTTGGCGAGCATTAGATATGAAAGCCAGCAATAAATACTTGCTAAATAAAGCTGTTATGAAACAGAAATAACCACAACAGAGAGGGGATTGGAATTTTCCATTTGCATCTCAGGATCTGTCCTCTACCCCCTCTTTACCCTGTTGTGTGATCTGTGCCCTTGCTCTTCTCTACAGATGACATCAATAGGCTCCCTCATGCATGGTGGACTCCAGTGCCTTGATCTGGTGCCATTATCTAGCTTGGTGAATGTCACCACCATTCACCCCATCTTCCATTCTTCTCAACTGAGTTCCCAACCTTTCCAACTGAATTCCCACCTCTTCTGTGTGGATGGGATGGATGTTCCTTGATTGATAAGAAGAGCACCTGCTGCTTATCCCATCACTGCATTTACAACATGAAATTGTAGTCATCAGTTTCATCCTCTCATAGTCTTTCTCTCTCTCGCTACATACACACACCAACTCAAATATAGGCTACTAGAGGGGAACACTGTTCTGTTTCTTTACCTTCTGCAGGAGTATGGTGTTTAACATTTACTACTCAGAGGACTATTGGGAGATTGAGTGGATGGATACATGGGTGAGTGAGTGGGTGGATTGACATAACCCTTCCTTTAAGTCTCTCAATTTAGGCTTCTGTGATAATCTTTTGACTTTTCACTGATCCTTTCAAAGTCCTCTTTTTTTCTCTTCTCAGTGACTAACAGAATACCCTATACATTGCATTTGCTTAATGATTTGGAAACATCCAAGCTGAATATCATATTTATACAGAGTAATTGTATTCATGTGTTGTTATGCTTCAGTGGACTAATGGTGGTCACAAATGGAAGTTAGGATCACCTGGGGAACTTCCTGATGCCCAGACTTCATCCCAGATCAATTACATTAGGACACCTCAAGGTGGGATCAGGATATCAGTAATTTAAGAAAACAAAACAAAACACTCTCCCTTTCCTTCCGACCCTGCCCCACACTGGCAATTCTAATGAGCGGCCAAGATTGAGACTTGATCCTGCAAACAAACCCTACATTCATGCTTCAGTCACTCAGAGACTCATTCCTTTTTAGCAACTGAGAAGAAAACTATTTCCAAAGTAAAATTAGGTCCTACTATTTCCCAACCTCTTCTACCTCAAGCCCCACTGAAGCACTTCCCCATCCCAGAGCACTCATCCTCTTTCAGCGTTGGTTGTAGGTCGTCTGCAGGAGTACCCTTAACTTACCCCTCACTGCCTCTTGTCATTTGCACCCATCCTGGATTTGCCATTCTTCTTTTCTGCCCCATCTCTTTCAGAACTTGCCCTACTCTTTGTCATAGCAAATTAATCTTCTCCCTATCTACTTAACAACAAATATTCCCTAAACTATCAGATTTATTTTCTCCCTCCTTTCACCTCCAGACTTTGGGGAAGAATTTACAGTCATTTTAGCCTAGTCTTCTGCAATTCATTAATGTTGACAGGCTCATCTTCCTCACCCACCCCTTGACTGAAGCAGTTCCCTCCAAAGTTTTCACTAATGTCCATATCCACCAACATCTTGCCAACTCCCATTTTCCCAAGACCACTCTGCAAAATATTTGGTCTTTGTGTCCATTTTATCTTATGACAGTGAACTCTCCTGGTTCTTCTGCTGACTCCTGGAGACACCTTCTCTCTCTCTCTCGGGTTTCTTTACCCACTTCCTGGCACTAAATGTTCACATCACCTCCTGGAATCTCCCCCCGACATTGTTTTCTCTTCTGTCTGTCTCTTCCTCAATTACTACAGTTTTATCTCTGACTTCCAGTTAGAGACCTCTGAAATCTATTACCATTAGTTCTGATTCTTTTCCCAGTCTAATCAGTTTTATCTTAATTCAGATGTCCCCCACTTCAAATAGGTTTCTGGATATCCCCGCAAGATGCCTTCTCTCCTCTGCAACCCACAGTACTTTTAACGTTATAGTTATTTGCTTATTTGCTTTAATCCCTTAATTACAGTACAGCTATAGTCCTTAATCAGAGATATTCATAAGAGTCTCTTGATATGCCTTTAAAAAATATTTATTTCTCAGCCCACCCCTAAAGGTTGTTGCTCTGAATCTGCAGTCGTGCCTGTGCAGCTGTTGATTTTAAAGTTTCTGGGGGTCACTGTGACAAGTACCCGCAGTTGAAGAGAGTGTATCGATGAGGCCTGGGCTCTTGAGGGCAGGACTCTTATCTTCTGTAACCAAAGGTTCTGGCACAGGGACAGGCACGGGGGAGCAGCTCAATGCATGCCTCCTGGATGGGGATTTCATATTAATGATATTCAACCCATCATTCCTTTTCCTAGTGTGGATTTTATCTGGCCAATCTTGAGTTCATTTTCCACTCCGCTGCTTTCAGAACTCACCTTGCCCTCTTTCAACTCACTTGCCCTCTAGAGGCTTTGCTCCCCTTTAAGTCTTGCAAGGATTCCTGGTAGTATAAAAACTTCTCAGCAGCATTTCTTCTTTCCCACCACATTCTTTGTGTTTCCCTGACTATTCTATAGCTATGAAGTCTCCCATGTTTTTTCCTCTCTCTGACCTCTCAATTCTTTCTTCTAGTCTACCTTTCAACTTCTTCTAAGGCATCTTACCTTTCTACTATTAAGGACTGGTATGTCCCTCACAGTCTACAAGTCAAAAGTAGACTGCAGGAAATGAAAACTACTAGAGAAAAAAAAAGAAATCTCTCTCTCTTGTATGATCCTTCATCCTATAAATACCATCTCCAATTCAATTCAAATTAAATCAATAAACATCTGCTGAGTATCTATGTGCCAGGCAGTCTCTTAAGCCTGGGGAATAAAATGTGATCAGATATCATCTTTGTCCTCCAGTTACAGGAGGTTGGGCTTACAACCAAATAGGTAAAGCTGATGTGTAAATAGATTCTTAACAAAATATAAGATGTATCACATCAGACAATAACAAGGTACAGGGGAAGAGTAAGAGAGAAAGACATTAGTTCAACACTGAGAGTTGAGTAGAGATCAAGGAAGACTTGAGAGAATGGATCCTGTGTAAGTATCAAGTGAGCAAACTTGATTGTCATTGTCAGACAGACAATGACAGGGAGAGCTTCCCAGACACATAGAACAGCAGGAACAAAGGTAGGGGTACAGGCAACAGCAAGGTACTGTGGCTTAATCAGGGAAGGGCGGATCCTTGGTTTGGTGGGTTAGAGACATGGACCTTGAGGAGGGCAGTTGGTAGGAGAGAGAGGCAGAGAAGTAAGCCAGGATCAGAGACCACAAATGACCCCACAAGCCTTGGCAAACGGAAGCCTTGGAAGGGTTTTAAGCTGTGGAGTGACATCACCGGATTTGCCTTCAATTCAGCACAGCTTTTAGATTATCCTAGAACACTAACACTGACCTGAGCCCTCATTTACCCTCTGTGAATTCAGTTGTTTTTTCAAACTTGTAAAAGACATAAGATCATTTCTTAAAACATAGGTGTGATGTGATGGGCACATATGTATTTTAAAAGGATCTATTTTGTTAAATAGTTAAAAAACAACATGGCCAGGTGCAGTGGCTAACGTCTATAATCCCAGCACTTTAGGAGGCTGAGGCAGGCAGATCACCTGAGGTCAGGAGTTCAAGACCTGCCTGACCAACATGGAGAAACCCCGTCTCTACTAAAAATACAAAATTAGCCAAGCGTGGTGGCACATGCCTGTAATCCCAGCTACTAGGGAGGCTGAGGCAGGAGAATCACTTGAACCTAGGAGTTGGAGGTTATAGTGAGCCGAGATCACGCCATTGCACTCCAGCCTGGGCAACAAGAGCAAAACTCCGTCTCAAAAAACAAACAAACAAAAAAAACAGGGATCTGCCAAAGTGGTTAGGATTAGAGTGCATTTATTCTCAAAGGGGCATTAAAACCGCTATAGGTGAAACATAAAAACATTATGTGCCGGCTTTATCAATACATTCAATCAGCATGGCAATGTGCCTTCTGGAACTCAACCATCTCCACATCCCCCTATGGGGTGCTGAAGGTCACCATACCTGACTTTATCTCTTGAACTTTTACAGGAGGCATCCAGTCAGTCAAGAAATAACTCAGTGTATATAATTAGGGCAGAGTTGCTGCAGGGAAGGAGCTAGAACCATCTGGGGTTTGCAGAGCCAAACAAGGAGGAAGAAAACTGTTCACATAGCCCAGCAAACCATCCGTTATGCTACAGAAAGACAAAAACACCCACGTTTCCAGCACCTTTTCCATGTATAAAATGTATGACTGAATGTGCAGTGACAATTAGTATCAGTTATAGGCAGGTGGCAGACATTCTGCTAAGGATGACAATGTAACATACAGCAGACAAGATCACAACACATTTAGAGTCAGAAGGTACCGAGTAACAACCACCAGTGATAGGGAACAAACAAATAGAAATTGGAAAGTCACTAAGGTGACTAAGATTTAGATACATATTTGGATGAATTAGTTGACACTAATATAAGCACATAAATATGCATTCTTTTTTTTCCACAGTGCTCTTGGGTCTCTGTGTTCTCATAATGATTAAGGACGGGGCAATGATGCAAGCTGACCTGGGTTCAACTCCCAGCTTCCTTGCTTCCTAGCTCTGTGACTTTCAGCAAATTACTTAACTATTTTAAGTCTCAATGACCCTCTGAGTAAAATGTGGGTAATATAATGTTACCATATAAAGTATTATGGGCATTATCAAGATAAAATATAATATAAAATGCTAATATAGTCCTTGGGGGAAAGGAAGTGCTTAAAAAGAGTGAATAGTAATATAAATGATTATTATTAAACTTTTATATACTTTCACTATAGCCCTTAGCATATTACATTTTATTTAGTAATTCCCATGCTAAATTAGGGTTCCATTAGTCCTTTGTGCCATAGGTGGCGGGCACATATTGTGTCTATAGTCATGACAGTGTTAAAATCCAGGCTGGACTTTAAAATGTCACTGGCTCATTTAGAGTTTCTCGCCTGGCTGACTTCTTATATGTTCAACTTCCAGACTTTTTGCTCTGGAAGATTTCTCCTTTTTGTCTTATGTGGCCTCAAGTGCCGTCGTGAGTCAAAGGACCTGGGAGCTAAAAACAAGTAAAGAGGGCTTTTATAGTGTTCAGTATTCTACATGAATCTGAACTGAATCTACTGAGAGATGCTACAGATCTGTGTAAATTTATTTCTTCATGTACCAACTGTCAGTCTGTGGAAGTTCATAATGTGTGTGTGTGCGTGTGTGTATGTGTGTGTGTGTATATGTGAGAGAGAGAGAATGTGTGTGTCTAAAACATTCCCCTCCCACTGAACTTCATTTGATGGAGTTATACTTCACCCAGATGGCTCCACTAAGAACAGGTAAATGGAATCTTTCAGGAGCCATATTCCTTTTCCATTAGAAAAGTAATTTTAGCTCCAGAGACTCAGTCCCTGAAATGAAGATGCTGACATGAAATGTGTAGTCCTCAAATGCAACGTGTGCACTGAAATGGTGCTAAGTATAGCTCTGGGCCAGGAAGAGAAGGATCATATATCCTGTATCTAATATGATCCCAACAACAGCACTACCACAGCTAATCAAATTAATAGAATTCTGCTGAGCCCTGCATTATACCAGGATGGTTGGCTGGATCAAACTTGACTCCATTTATTTTATTCATTTTTCCAGTAAATTCAAGGGAAAGGGGATTCAAAATAGAGGGAGCTAGGAGTATTCAAGATGGCTGGAAGGACCCAGTTCTTCAAAAACCTCACCCTCACATATTCTACCCAGCACTGATGCATTAGGTTAGAGGTGGACCATTTGCCTCACCTTTTAGCAGCCTCAGCCACACCTTAAGTGAATTATTTTTATCGAATCAATACTTCTCTGAGAAGGGCAGCATTGATAGAGTGGCACACTTGCTGTGGAAGGTGAACTCTGATATAAAGATTGGACTTGGGTTTGCAGAGGTGGGGGCGCAACCAAAATGGAGTCAGAGGAAGGTGAAAGGGCTCTGGTGCTTTTCAAAAAACACAGACTAGTGACTGCACCAAGGGGCAGCTGAGGAAGCTTCAGCAACCCCCAAAAATCCATCATCCTACCTCCCCACAGCCACCCAAGTAAACACACAAACTAACTCAGGGGTTTCAACACTGGCTGCAGGTCAGAATCACCTAGGGAGTTTTAAAAGGTACACAAGGCCAATTGAAGAAAGACATCAGGGCATAGGGCACAGGCTTAGGTTCCTGGTTTATTTTTTAAGCTCCCAGGGTGATTCCAATGTCCAGCCAGGTTATAACTCACAGGTCTAAGTGAACGCAATGTCTGTACACTGCAATCACAGCTTCAAGGCAATTCTTAATGCTTCCTTTAACCAGTGACCACTCTTATCTTCAACCAATGTAGACATTGTGGAGTCAGCAATGGCATGGGTGGCCTTCTCTTCTGAGATGTGAGCTAAGGCTATTAAGACTAGGGTAGCATGCTGAAAATCCCAGTCTCTTTATTTCAGGTAAATCTGGCCCTTTAAAAACAAAAATTTGCCAATCCTTGAACCAGGTGACAACTATTCAGTCATTTCTCCTTCAAATCTAAATAACAACAGCAGCTACCCTTGACTGAGCATCTTCTATGAGTTGGACACTCTTTGAGATGCTTCAAGCATATATCACTAATGTTTGTAACTAGATAGCAGGTATTATTGTAAAATTGCAAATTTCTAAAATCTAGACTCTCTCCCTTCCTCTCCACATGCACTGCCACCATCTTAATTCAAGCCACCATCAGTTTTTCACCAGGACTATCACAATAGCTTCCTGCCTAGTACCCTGCTTTCAATCTTGTCCCCTTCCAATTTATTCTCTATCTAGTATCCAGGGTCATCTTTGGAAAGCAGAAAGAGGCTTGCTTACAAGCTATCAGAGGCTTCCACTTCTCTTGGAATAAAAGCTAGACTCCTTTCAAAGCCCTGCCAAGTCCTGCGTGATTCAGCTACTGCTCCTACTCCACCTTCCTCTTGCGCCCCTCTTCCCCTAGCCCACCTCAGGCTCAAACCACACTGGCTCCTCTCCACTTTGAGAGCATGCTAATAATTTTTCTCCTACCCTATGCCATCAAACATGTTTCCTCTGCATAGAATGCTTGCCCTCACTCCCTTCACTCCTTCAGGGCTAGGCTGAAATATCATCTGTAGAGAAGCCTCCCTCTTCATCCCATCTCAGCCCTCTCCAATGGTTTTCTATCACTCTGCCCTGTTTGTTTCCTTCCTCATACTTACTGTAATTTGTAAGTTTTTATTGTAGAGTTATGTTTTTGTCTGTTTCTCCCACTAGGCTGCCACTGTGTCAATGACTGGGGCTTCATCTCTTATACTCATGAAAGTACCCAGTGTCAGCACAATGCCCACTACCTAGCCACTTTGTAACAAATATTTATTGCATGAATAAAGAATTCCATTTTACAGATATCAAATAAGCTAATTTACTTGCCTGAGGCGACAACTATTATAGAAATCTCTCAGAGGGGAAAAAAATTCTACTAGGCTTTGTATAATAATCTCTAAAAAAAAGTATCTTGCTTATCCTGAAGACCTTAAATGACTGTAATTGTCCCGAATCTCCTTTGCTTCACACATAACCTAAGCCACAGCTATAACCGCCCATGAGCTAAGTATATCCAGCTGGTAGTTTGAGGTCAAGAGGATTTTGCAACAGTGGAAATCTTTAAATTGCTTAAATATGCTTGTCACAAAGCATTTATCTTAAGTGCTGTCTACCTTGCCCAGTGGGAAGTCCCTGTGTTTTATCAAGTAGCAATCCAGATGGGCTACTGGAAGGGATTTTCCTCTGGCAAGGGGGCATGTGGCCACTCATGTCAGCATCCACAAGTCTCCTCCATTGCCATCTTGGGCATTGCAGTAAACTTTTGATGGGTAGATCCAGCAGGACTTTCTTACCTGCACAATTCTGCTGAGGCTCCCAGTGGACTTTGATGCCCTCTCTCTGGCAGGCCCGGGTATATGCCAAAAATGACTCGCAATAACAGTTTTTATGGACTGGACATTCACACATGTCTGTCACACAGGACCTATAGGACCCAAAAGAGAGATAGAAACATTTAAAAATATCAAACCATAAACACCCTAAATATAACTTCAGAAAGGGTCGTAGATGGGAAAACCTGATTGGCCCATTAAAATTTGCTGTTTTAGACTGGAAATCTAAATTGGCAAAATTCTGTGTGGAACTTAAGTGCTGGATACCTTTGAACAGTGTGATATTAGATTTCCTTTCCTCTAGAGCAAGATTATCCAATAGAACTTGCTGTAAGGATAGACATGTTCTAACATCTCCACTGTGCAAAGCCACTCTCCATATTTGGCTACTGAGCACCTGGAATGTGGCTACCACAATGGAGGAACCAAGTTTCTAATTTGCTTTTATTTTAATTAACTTAGATATAAATAGCCCAATGCGCCTAATGGCTACCCTACTGGAATACCATCGCCATCTTGTGACAAGCACTGATATAAAACTAATAGACTTTACTGCAATGTTTCCAAAAATGGTAACCAACTTGATGAAAACACAAAATCCCATGGCTTTCTGAAGACAGACGATTAGAATTCACTTCTGTAATATCTTAGAATCTTAGTCTTTTAAGGAACACTGAATCTTCATTCTTCAGAATGTAAAGTGACAAATTCTAAATAAAGCAAACATTTCAGGTCTCTAATTAGACTGCAAGATGAACAGAATTGAATCAAGGTCTCTGCAGCTGAAATATGGAAATGATGGACCAGGACATAAATTGAACGGAAATGCAAACTAACAAATTTTTAAACATGTTGACCACAAAGACATAATAATGGCCTTACATTAGTGTATAATATTACAGTTTACAAAATGCTTTCACACGGAGCCTGTCACTGGATGGTAAACAAGGCATAATACAGTTTCTTGTTCCATAAATGAAGGGGTCATTTTACAAATAAATACATGGGCCCAAAGTCAGCACTTTTAAGTGGAAAAGAGCAAATTAAATTATATCTCCCAGCTTTGAAAGAGTGTCCTTTTTATTATACTACACAACAATCTCATCTTCTTCTTTCAGCAAATTTACTGCCTAACAGTTTCCAGTTAACATTTATGCAAGAGGCCTCCAAGACTAATAAAATTAAACTATCCTTATATTTTTCACAACCTTGTTCAGCAAACTCCCTTCCTCACAGAAGCTATTCAAGGCTGAACACAGAAAAAATAATATCCAAGAGTACAAGCTGCACTTACGATCTTGAAAAGTGATCATGACACTGCCACTGGACACTATAATGTCATTTTCCCATGGTGTGGGACCTGTGCACAACTGATTGTCGAGAGCAGTCAGCTACCTCTGGGTATAAAATCGACACACTGTCTGCTCTAAACAGGAATTAAACAGCAAAAAACAGATTCAAGGAGCAACAGACCCACAGTGAACCCACAAAGTTATTGCAGCCCAACACTCAAGGGCACAGTTTTGGGAAATAGGAAAAAACAGGGACAAAAGAGGAACAGATGTAAAACCCAAAGAGCCTCCTTCCATGTCAAGGACTGAGAGATTATTTGATGAGTGATACCTAAGACACGATAACCAGCACAGAAAAAGAGATCTTTCTTTCTTTGTAGTAATCATGGTTGTACTTTTTTTTTTTTTTTTTTTTTTTTGAGATGGTGTTTCACTCTTGTTGCCCAGGCTGGAGTGCAATGGTGCGATCTCAGCTCACTACAACCTCCACCTCTTGGGTTCAAGCAATATTCTTGCCTCAGCCTCCCAAGTAGCTGGAATTCAGGTGCCCACCACCATGCCAGGCTAATTTTTTGTATTTTTGGTATAGACAGGGTTTCACCATGTTGGCCAGGCTGGTCTCGAACTCCTGACCTCAGATGATCCACCCACCTCGGCCTCCCAAAGTGCTGGGGTTACAAGCATGAGCCACTGTGCCTGGCTCAAGATTGTATTTCTTAATACTTCTCCCCACTTTTATTATAGAAATCTTGGGAAATCACCTTCACTAGCAAATGCATTCAGGCATTAAACACAGTCTTTACACTGGGTAGAGACTCTGGAATTCCAAAGAGAAGCCAAATAAAGCTTGTCCTTAAAATGGCGTCTAAATGCCAGTGTATGAATCTCCCTCAATGTCATTTCCCTTTGTTGTTTCAACTTTCATTTCAGAATAACCCACACCCATCATATTTACGCTCAGACTTCACAGCGACATTTTCGGCTGCCCCAGGTTCTAACCTGTAATCCCATTCCTACTTCACTTTCCCAGTAGAATTTGTTCCCCATCCTCTCTCCTGGCCCATGGGGGTGGGTCTCTTTCTGTATACACGGCTCCCACTGCCAAGACCTGGATGGAATGGCATCTCATGGACCTGGTAAAATGATGGCACATATATGGGAAAAGGCTGGTCTCAGTGTGAGGAAATGTGTCCCCGGATTTGAGTGAATGTCTACTGTAATTCTGTAAAATTCCATGGACAATAAACAAATAAAATGTAATTTGTTCGGGTAAGGGGATTGTTAGTGAATGCTTTCCTTTTCTCTTGATTTCTACGTGTCTTATGAAGCTATTTACACAATTGAAGATAAATTACAGACAGCTAAATCCAATCATTGAGACTGTTGAGAGAAAATGTTTTCAGCACACATTGAATAACCACTGTGTACATACACTCCACCTCACCCACAGACAGGTCCCTCTGTCTCCACAGACACAATCAATGATATGCCGTTCTGTAAAACTAAGGAAGATGTGAGCTTTTTATATGATCAACCACTCATGGAGAACAATGTGTGAGAGAAAAATATTTGTCCAAGCCAGACCTTTACTTGAAAATGTTGTATGTATTTTTATAGGCTTGAAATATGTGTTTTGTCTCGGAAGTTAAAATTCATAAATGTTGTTTTTCACTTATCAAGTTGATGATTTTTACATAAAATAATGAACAGAGTTTGTGACAGAATGGAGAAGCAGTCATCCCCCTGCCCCGCTGGCAGTGGTGTGAAACTGCCAGCTTTTACACAGAGTGTTTTTCAGGGAATGTCTCCTCCAGTCCACATGGCAATGGGCTATGAGGCAGAGATTTTCACTGCTCCATTTAATAGATACGGAAGCTGAAGCTTGAAGAAGTTAAGTAATTTACTCAATGTCACAGGGCTGATCACAGATCCAGAACTGCAAACCTAGGACGACACCTTGTTTTTTTCTGATCTCAGAACCCATATTCACAGTAACTACATTCGATCTTTCTAGAGAGCAACTGAGTTATATTTATACACAGCCCAGAGAAAGGTTCTTACTCTCTGATGAAAATTTTACACCTAAGGAAATAGTAATGCCTGTGAATATAGGCTTCAAACCTAGGAATTTTCATCACAATGCTATTTAAATAGAAAAAGAAAAGGGAAATAACCTAAATTATCCATAATAAGGGCCGAGCTAGATAAATTCAGGTGACTTCTGTGATGAAACACCCTACAGCCATTACAATGAAGTTTTGAAAATATATTTTTAAATATGAGGAAATGTTTGGGAAGGATTAACTGAAAAAAAAGAGAAGGATAACAAAATTGTGTTTCAACATCGTGTCATCACACAATGAAAACAAGAATAACTGAAAACAGATACGACCAAATCCAACGGAAAGCTCGGTGTGGTGGATTGCGGTTCTCCTTAATTTTCTTACCTGTATTTTCTACATAGGCCTGATTCCTTTGTTATTTTGCCAATTCTGTTACAATAGAAACCCAAAGAGTCAGGCAGGCACTGTGAATACATATCACTTTTCTAAAAAGGGAAACATCACAGTTTACTTTTAATACTACACAAAAGAATATCATGAAAGATATTAATATTGAAATCAGAATTTCAGAATGATAGTGGGAAAGTAAAGAATGGGAGTAAATGAGAGCTTCTATTTGTAGGTCTTAGTTATTCAACGTTCCTCCAGCTAAAATCTGCCCAATCTGTATTTTGGCAGCCTCTTGATACAGACTTCGGCTGGATTCACTTTGCGTTGCCCTCACACTTGTATTTCATTGGTCTACTAATGTGGTGGTGGAATAGATAATGGAATAATTTTGCATGCTTCTGTTGGTTACAAAGGAATTTATTAAGAGAAAAATAAAAGCATCTTCAAATGCACTTCAAATTTTAGGGAGGGACAAAACAATTGTTATTCAACTATTCAATTCATGTTTATCACACTTCATAATTCAGTGTGAGGAAAATCTAAGTTATGACACAGTGAAGTTGAGTTCTTCTGTGTTTATGGAAGATCGTTGTCCTTTTCTTAATCAGTATGCACCCATAGTCTACATTTATATTCATTTTACAGAATAAGTAGCAGAATTTTATCACTTCTGGGAGTGACTGAGATTTATGGCTTTGGTACCTCTGCTGTCATGACATTGTTCTGTCACATTTATGTTCTGTTTGATGGTGAGTTGGTCAGGAAACACGGCTGCCCAGTGTGCTCCAGTGGGAAAACACAGGTTGCATTACTCTGAGCTTTTCCAGGAAAGCTCTGCAGGTGAAGAGTGCCTGCCTGACTGGTTTCTATTGTAACGGAATTGGCAAAATAACAAAGGAATCAGGCCCCTGCAATCCCCTTAAAGCATACTGTCTGTCACAGGAGCTTCAAATTAATGTATCTAGAAATGGTTTCCTGATTCATCTGCCCCACTCCTGGCATCTTGCCTGGCAGCCAAGAGGTTCAGGGTTCAGGTAGGACTCTTGTTCTGTGTGGTTAACACAGCTGCTCAGTGCCACAATAGGGCAAGAGAAGGCCCAGAGCTGCTGCAGGGGCCCAGGGAGCTGGCACCAGGCTGGGCAGCGCTTTGTCACACATCCACTACCTCCCTTCTCTCAATGTTTGATGTTTGTGTGTCATGTTTCAATGACTCCTTGAAGGCATGTTTTAACCCTGTTCCTCATAGCACTCGGCACGGTAGTGGGATCAGAACTGACCTGTGGTCAGTTCCCTCCCTGAAATCCAATTAAACACAACTCATCTGCAGAGAAGCCTTCAGAACTATTTTCCCGCATCAAACTACAGCTACTGCCTCCTGAAAACTCTACACCAGAAACCATTAGACACATGTGGTTATTTAAATTGGAATTTAAGTTAATTACCATTAAATAAAATTACAAGTTCAGTTTGTCAGTATCATTAGCCACATTTCAAATGTTCAATGGCAGCAGGTGCCAATGGCCCCCATATTGGACAGAGTGGATTGAGAACACTACCATCACTGAAGAGAGTGCTATTAGATGGTGCTGCCAAGAGTGCAGCTCCATTAGCGCCAGGGAATCCATTTCTGTCCTCCTAGAGGGATTTATAGGTATACTGAGATTAGGATCAAGCTCACCTCTGATTGGGCACCTACAAAAAAAATTCAAAGTTCTTGGCATCAAATTCAAGGTTCCTAGCAGCCTAGACTTCAGCCTACTTTTCTAACTCCATTTCTTTCTTCCCCACTCATTCTTTTACCAAATCATAGAATGTCCCATCAACCCTTGGACTTCCATCCACCTGGCTATTCCTGACTGGAAGGTACTTCCAGGTCTTTTCCACTGGAAAAATCTAATGTCTATCCTTTAAGACTTAATTCAAATTCCTCAGTGGTGCTTGCCAAGTGGCCCCAAAAAAGTTAGCCACTCCCTATAGGGTCCCATGTCCTTCATACCTTTCTTATTGCACAGATCCTTTGAAACATCATCTCTTTTCTTTCCGGGGGACAAGGACTGTGTCTGGCTTATCTAGCCCCCCAGCACAGTGCCGTGAACACACAGCTCAGTAAATATTCAGTGAATCATTCAAAGAGTGAAAGAGAGTAACCTCATGACCTTTTCCCAGCTTCCACAGGATTGGACAGCTGGACACTGATATCTGAAGGACATGAATTCCATCCTTGCTCCCACTCTGTGGCCACTGCTTAATACGGCCAAGGCCACGGGAGCTGTTGGCCATAACAGCCTCTGAACTAAGCTGCTTCTGCAAGAACCTTTCTGCTGTCATTTTCATTTTGAACTTATTGCACTCCTCTCCTGTCTCCAGAGGAATTTTTTTTAATTTAATGACTGGTGGAAAAAAAGGATTTGATGAGAGGATTCTGCTTTAACCACACATTTTCAATAAAGCACATATTTGATATAAGAAAAACCTATAGTTTTTCATGTTATTAAAAAGGCAAACCTCCAATACTGCTAAAATCAAAACATCAAACACATCTATGCTTCCTAGCAACAGCATATCCGAGTGGTTTCCCCTCTGCTCTCTGCTTTCTCTGGCACAAGGGCCATGCCTGTCAGACAGAGGCAAGTGCCTCTGCTTCCCAGGCACAGTTTTGAACGACAGATGTATTACCCACTGGGCACCCTCCACACTGCTTCTTGGAGAACAGAAGGGCAAGCCAGGAGTGACAGGTGCCAGCTCCACCTCGGAGCCAGATATCCAGCGTTCTGGCTGTTTTCTCTGCCACCACAAAGGGTCTTCAGCTGGACAATGTTTGTCAATCTGAAGGTCAGCTTTCCTGGGAGCAATGGCAGGATCAAGGCAGAACGCAACAGTGCAAGGAAGATAGCAAGAAAACCACCATTTGGTCATATGGCTTTCCTTGTTCCACATATCTAGGAAGGTCATAGAAGTGAGTGAAGGCATCTTAGGTTTATTGGTACCTGGGCATCAATGGAAAACAGGGGAGGGAGAAGATAGGGAAGACAGAGTCCTAGCTGAGTGAGCAGAAGTGTGGTTAGCTACCATAAGCCTATTAAAAAACTCACATTTTAATCCTTGAAATCCTGCCCTAATTTCCCTAATCTGAGTTGCATGGAGACAACTAAAGGTAGTAGCCAAGGTAGGAAGGCACATCCATGTCACATTATACCTATGAAAACAATGTCATCCAATATCACGCTCTTTTCCTCAGCCCTATACAGGCACGTTCACACACTCATTCTTATCCTTCCATCGAAGGGGTACAAAAAACACCACTGTCACATGAAAAACACGGCCAGAAGCTTCAATCCTGGGAACTGTGAGGCTGTTTTATTGAGCTGTCAATGAAAGGGCAGGGCTAGCCTGCTGGGCCAGCCAGCAGGGAGCTCCTGCTGCTCTGTCCACGGCTTTCCTGGGCCAGCCCCAGTTTGGCATCCCTGTGGCTACTGTCCATGCTGGCTTAAATATTGTTGAGAATATTCCAGGTTCTATGGCTGCCTGGGGTTGCCAGGACAGAACAGCAAGTCCAGGCATTTTCATTAGCTTGTGGATTTCATAACCTTCATCTGGGGAGACAGGGCAGGAGGATACCTGGAACGGGAGTCCAGCCTGTTTCTCTGGTTGTAGATATAAAAGTTATCTCCGGTTCAGCTTTCCCAAATTCTCCCCTCATCCCCCTATACTCAAGTTAAATTGTTAGCCCACTCCTCAGTGAAAAGAAGGCACTCATGGAGCTCTGTTTGTTTCAGGCACTAAACAAGGTACAGAGGCTAACAGAGATGGGCTCCTCCAAGAAAACAGGATTGTGCAAATACTAAGAACCAAACTCCAAATGACATAAAGACTATTATGAATGAGAAAAAGGAAATTCTAGGCTAAGGGAGGTGCCTGAGTAGAGGCACAGAATTTCCAAACCACCAGATCTTAGATTTGATAGTCATGTGGTCAACCTCCCAATATCAAAAACAATACAAAGCAAAAAAAGTCCCTGACAGAGAATCATGCAGCCTCTTCCTGAGACCTCACAGGACAGGGGGCTGGTTTTCCTGCAGGGCAGCTCAGCAGATCTGCTGGTTATGACATTTCTTTCTTCTAGGGATCCAAATCCTCATAATCTCCAGTTAACTCTCAGGTCTGACATCAGGAGCCACACAGAATCACTCAATGTGTCCCTGCTCATAAGGACTCTTCAGTTACCTTCCTGCGCTCCCCTGCTCAGCCTTGTATTTTCATCTTCCTGCCTTCTGTGTTCCTCCCTCCCTGTCAACTGCTTGCTTCCCGGCTTGTCAAGAACAAAAATCCAACAACCAAATTAACAAGAGAAAAACCTACCAAACCATTTTTGTTCATGATTCACAGTGAATCTCTTACTTGATTGCCTGCCCACTGTCCCTACCTTATATACATTGCTTACTTATACATTCCAACACTTTTTACCTAATTTAGACGCTCTCCAATTACTAAAAATATTTATTTTTAAATCCTCCTAACTTTCCCCAGGAGGTGAATGGCATTACGTGCACAGCAGCACACAGGAGCTCCAGAAATGATCATTCACCTCTGACCCTCTTCTGAAGCTATGGATTGTTTTTGTGGAATAATGTAGGCATCTGTGGACACAGAGACCTCCTTTAAGGAAGTAGCAATTCTTAGGATTTTTCATGGATGCCAGCTTTGGAAGAAGCTCCACATACTTGCTTTTAGTAGAGGTACGCTTTTAACAGTGACCAAACAGCTATCACGCATGTATGGAATCTAAAATATTTTCTCCCTTGATAAGGCCATATATCAGACCATATGTGAAGAGTATAATCTTCATGCCCACAGTTAAATTCTCGCCCATCTAATAACGGGGAAGGGATGTGCACCATTTTGCTATTTTCTCTATACCCAGGGGCCACATCTTTAAGGAGCCCAAAGCCAGAGACTATATAACCAGTAACCCTTAGAAATACTCCTGTTGGGAAGTTAAGCTATCTTTGCTCAAGTAGGAAACACTGGCTTCACGGAGGGAAAAACTGACCATGATTAACAGACTTTTGCTGAATTGTCACTCTTCTAGAGATAACGCCTCATTTCACTTTGGGCCCCATCCTAGCAGAGCCCGGCAAATCTTGCAAGATGGTCTCAGGAGCTGGCCAGGGAGAGGGAAGCTTGGTCACGACCCCCCTCTAGTGGCCGAGAGTTACTGCATGAAGTAACCATAATTCTTACTCCAGCATTTGCTTCTAAATCAAACAACTCACCTTTTTGGAGGCTGGCTGATAAAAAAGAACATAAAAATGGTGCTTGGCAGAAAATCAATCACTCTTCTCTTAAACTTGTGCTCAATTCATCACCGTCATGCTTACTGTAAAACAATTGTAAGGCTGGTGAACTAAACCCCTGTGTAATCCTAAACACCTACCCCTGATGCCTGCCAAGAAGGGTGAGTGCATCTGAGGCAGGCTTCTGGAAAGGGCAGGGCGAGATGGGCCACCACCAGGAAGAAGCCTCTGCTCCGTCCACCTTTTTCAATCTTTTTTATCTTTTTCACGAAATCTCATTTCACCTATGTACTACATCGAACGTCACATATTTTTTTGTCTCTAAAAAGAATCTCAAGTACAAGAGAGTCGGAATCCTTCACCTAAGCAGAAGAGAAACATTCTTTACCACTAAAGGAAAAACTAAACTGTTTTTCCTGCTTCCACACGCTGACTCAACACAGAAAGCTTCGGTCACCAAAACATGTAGGGACTTCTCCCCACTAACCACTAGTTCTCCAGCGGACACCAACTAGATGTCCTGAAATTTAACTCAATTCTGACACTATCTACTGGAGTTAGCGTCAGATCCCACAGCAAAGGTCCCAGTCCCACAGCACTGCTCCCCACTTTAGATATCAATCACAGTCCCAGGTTGTGGCCTGTGCTTCTGACCAACCGGTTTATAAATCGGAGTTTCCACAACCCCCTTCTTGGATCCAGTTAATTTGCTGGAGTGACTCACAGGACTCAGGGAAACACTTAAGTTGCCCAGTTGATTACAAAGGCTGTTACCAAGGATACAGATGCACAGCCAGATGGAAGAGATGCACAGGGTGAGGGTGTAGGAAGGGATTCAGAGCTTCTGTGCCCTCTCCAGGCACACCACCTTCCAGAACCCAGGCACACCACCTTCCAGAACCCCTGTGTGTTTAGCTATCCAGAAGCTCCCCAAACCCTGACCTTTGGGGTTTTCGTGGAGGTGCCATTACATAGACCTGATTAATTATATCACCAGCCATTGGTGATCAACTCAACTTTCAGCCCCTCTCCCCTCCTTGGAGGCTAGAGGGAGAGGCTGAAAGTCCAACCCTCTAATTACATGGTTGGTTCCTCTAGCAATGGAGCCCCTCTCCATCCTGAGGCTGTCCAGGAGCCCCCCAAGGATCATCTCATTAGAACAAAAGATGCTCCTATCACCAAGTAAATTACAAAGGATTTAGAAGCTCTGCATCTCTCACTCCTACCATTCAGGAAATTAATTGCAAAGGTCTTAGGAGCTCTGTATCAGGAACTGGGGTCAGAGACCAAATTCAAATTTAAAAAAAAGATTTCCCTAGTGCCCTTACCTACACAGTTTCAGGAGCTCTATGTCAGAGAGCAATATACACATTTCAATATACACATTTCACATCTACCAAGTCTGAGGTGGTAATACCATCAGGGACCAAAAGTATCAGCGTGTTGCCAATATTCAGCCACGTCTTGGGGTAAGCCTGATTCTTAGTTTGTAAAGTGATGGGGTCTCCACAGTACTAATATTCTGTGATTCTGTCAAGATATGAACTTGCCCAGGGCTCAGCTAGCCCCAAAACTAGGTAGTATATGTATTTTAAAAGCCCCCAGCCCAGAAATGAGAGAGGGATCTTTACCCCAAAGAAACTCACTGTCTCCTTTTTGGTGAGCTCATCTCATCATAATTCTACTCCCAACATAGATACATACCGTCTTTGAAATTGTTCTAGTCCCCTCAACAAACACCAAGAGAATATCCGCTGTGTGCAACCTGTGGGCTGGGCATTGTGGGAAATGCAGAAAGAAAGAAGAACCTGGCTTCGATCCGGAGGCCTTTGGGGCGTGGTAGGGAGAGCAGGGCAGAACTGGCTTCGATCCTGGGGCCTTTGGGGTGTGGTGGGGAGAGCAGGGCAGAACTGGCTTCGATCCTGGGGCCTTTGGGGTGTGGTGGGGAGAGCAGGGCAGAACTGGGCCAGGCAACACTCAAGGAGGAGTCTTGAGGGCAACATATTAAGGGGGCACTAGCTCTCAGGCTCCAGTAAGTACAGGGCTGGCACTTGAGAGCAAATGCCTTCTTCAATGTTGCTTCTCATGTCTGGGCCCTAGAGGAGAAGAAAACATGCCTACACAATTGTCCCACGGCATAATCTACTCGAAGAGGCAGCAAGGTAAGTGATCACCACACCAAGATTGAACCTCAATTGTGTTATCTTGGGCACATTATTACCCCTTTCCACATTCTCCTTTCCTTGCCTAATCTCTCCCTTAGGGTTCTCAGAAGGTAAATGAAAATCTGTATTCTCCCCTTCCCCCAACGAATCCCTAAAGAAAAGAGCAAAATTCATCCATGCACAGAAATGGAAATGGTTAGAGGACTAAGCAAAACAGAAATTGCAGCATTCCATCTCCAGCCCCACTGAAGTTCAGAGTTTGAAGGATGTGCAGGAATTGAACTTTGTTCTTTCTTTCCTATCACCCTAGGGTGCCATCCCCCGGGATGCCAGCCCCAGCATTGTCTCTAGTCTTCCCATTGGCAGCCGAACAATACTAGCCTGGGTTTGCCTGTGTTGGCCATGGCCACCTCCAGAGAGTGCAGTAATTGGGAGTGTGGAGTCACAAATGGCGGTGAGGAAAATTTATGAAAGTGAAGGCCTCTAGCATCTGGAGGCCACACCCCAGCCACACGCAGCAGTCACCACCAGCCCCCTGCTTCAAAGGGGCCGATCCTTCCATAGGCCTTTTTCACATTAGGCAGTGGATGGCTGCCAAGTCCCACAAACAGGCAAAGGCACAAATCCTCCACTACGTGCATTAATCAAAGGGCGGCAGAGGCGGCTGCCCCTGGAGGATGCGGTACAGTGGTGAACTTTTTCAGATGCTGGGGGCCTTGCATCAAGCATCTGCCGTGCCTTTTGGCTCCACAATAAACCAGCATTCACATCCCATCACTGCACAAGAAAGGGTCTTTTCACACTCAATGCCCTTTGCAGCCTTGGCTGCCGAGGGATAGCTCAGTCCACTGGACCTAAACAGGGTGCTACCCGTCCCAAGAGGCCCACCCCCACCCATCAGTGGGGCTGGCACGCCACCATCCTCAAATCCCAGAAAAAGGACTCCATGACCAGACATTCCCCAAAGCCAAATCATAAACACCACAGGCCTTCCCCTCCATGCCAGCTTCCCCACACCCTCTGCTAGAATGAGAGCACCCTCAGATGAGCCCCTGAGAGTTGGAATGTGAGGCCTGTTTTCTATAAGCAACTGCAGAGATAATTGCCTAAAAGGCCCCAGAACACTGGCCCAGAGGCATCACATGATTTTCTCTTTTTACCATCACATTACTAATAAGTGGCAAAGACAGCATTCAAAGCTGAGCCCTCACCCTCTCCCCTAAGACAGGTCGCCTTCTAAAGCACATGCTGTTCCTTCTAGCTGGGGTGTTCTTCCTCCCCCTTCTCCTAGTTAAAATCCACTCCTCCTTCAATATGCAGCTGAGTAGCTTTCTCAGGGAAGGTTTCTGAGATCCCCAGTCTAGATAAGGTTGCTCTTAAACATTCTCCTGGCATTCTTGCATGGCCCTTATCACACCCTGCAACTACACCCCCATGGGAGCGATCCCTCACTCCATCTACTCCACCATGCCCCAGGGCTGGCAGGTGTTGCTCACCAATTTTCCCCAGCCCTAGTGCAGAGCCTGTTCTAGGGTACATGCTCAAAACCTGTTTTCTGAATGCATTACTTACAGATGTTTATATAGTCAAGTCCAGATAAAGCGACTACTAAGTGACAATGAGATTTACAGGGTTAAATGGCCTCAAAGTGAAGGAGGAATAGGCATTCCATGGATTTAACTACTACTAACATACTGAGGGAAGTTCTGAAAACTGGAGTAGACAGCTAGGAGGTCAGTGGTGGTCTTAGCAGGAATACTTTTACAAGAGTGGTGTGGCCAACAATCCTCCTGAAGTGTATTGCAGGTGGAAAATATGGGAGGCAATGAGGAAAGGCCATTCTTTCAGTAGGTTGTCAGATCAGAGGAGAGAAATGAGGAGATAATTTGAAGGGAACCCAGAAGACAGAGAGAGAGAGAGAGAGAGAGAGACAGAATCAAGAAGACTTGAACACATTTTGCATCAAAGCGGGGAAGGAAGTCCAAGATAAGATGCTGAAGCTAAAGAGATGGAGGGTTTGGGTAACTGGTGACATAATATCAGGAAGAAAACAGGAGAGGAGGGGGTCAAGAACACAGGGAAAAGATTACCCTCCTATTCACTTATCATTGCTAGTAGCCAAATTCCTGAAAAAAAGAAAAAGAAAAATGTAGAAGTCCTTATATTCATATACGACAACATAGGGAGAGGTAACCTCTAGATCAGCAGTTGGAGGAAGGAAGACCAAGGTGCTAATCCAAATATCTAGCAAAGAAGCAGGCAGAACTGAATGCAATTTGCAAATAGTGTTTCCAGGTGAGGAAAGACTCCAGACAAGGGACAAGATGAAAGCCACTAGAGAATGAGGTTTTACTCCCCAGTTCAGTCCATGCCCTTGGGGACTCATGGCAAAGGAACTGAAATAAAACTAAGCCTAAATTATAATATGGCAGGTTTTCTTTCTTTCTTTCTTTCTTTCTTTCTTTCTTTCTTTCTTTCTTTCTTTCTCTCTTTCTCTCTCTCTCTCTTTCTCTCTCTCTCTCTCTCTCTCTCTCTCTCTCCTTCCTTCCTTCCTTCCTTTTCTTTCTGTCTCTTTTTTTTTGAGACAGCGTCTCGCTCTGTCGCCTAAGCTGTGGTCACTGGCACGATCTCAGCTCACTGCAACCTCTGGAGTCAGTGGCACAATCTCGGCTCACTGCAACCTCTGCCTCCTGGGTTCAAGCGATTCTCCTGCCTCAGCCTCGAGGTAGCTGGGACTATAAGTGTGCACCAACACACCTGGCTAATTTTTTGTATTTTTAGTACAGATGGGATTTCACCATATTGGCCAGGATGGTCTCAAACTCCTGACCTTATGATCCACCCACCTCAGCCTCCCAAAGTGTTGAGATTACAGGCATGAGCCACCACACCCGTCCCTAATATGGCAGGTTTTCTAGATTTTAAGCTTGTGATCTAAGAATAGTGATAGAACATTTTTCCCCAAAGCAGGGGATCTGAAATTGAGAAGCCATTTTTTGGCGGAGGAAGGGGTAACCTTTATAGATGTTTTCTTCCTAAATATTTTTATGTTCCCACTATACAATAAAAGTCTTAATAGCAACAATCATGGCAACCCACTGTGGTTTAGCGCTGTGACAGCTCAAAAACCCAACAGGCCGGATGACTCACAAAAAGTCAGAGAATTATAGAATCATAGAGTCTTAAAAGACCTTAGGGAATATCTACTCCCTGCAGGAATTCCTTTTATAATACTCCTGCCAGATGGTCGTACATCTGCATCATGTCTGTGATAGGAGCTCGGTAGCTTTTTAGGAATCTCATTCCTGTGATAGACAATGACAGCTTCTATCTCTCAGGAAGTTTTCTTATATATTAAATGAAAATGTGTTCTATAACTTCCAGCCCTTTATTCAGATCCTGCCTTCTGTTACACTGTAGAATTATTCTATTCTATTTCAGCTTCCATGTGACATCCTCTTCAAACACATTATATAACATAAAAATGTTCCACTTAAAAGTTAAACTTTTGGGGGGCTTTCAGAAGTATTCCTATCATGCCATTTTTTACTTCCTTTGCTTTTATTTATTTTACTTCCAGCAGCTAAAGGGTGTTCCACCTAAGCGCAAACATTATTTTCCTTTTTAAAATTCTTTTAATAAATCTCTACTTGGCAAGCAACTGTGCCATTTGTCTGAGCAAGGGACAAAGATGAGTAAGGCGGGGTACTTACTCCAAACTTCACAATGTGCCAAAATAGGTTGTAATAAAGGAGGAAAATAATGGGTGTTACAAAAAGCAGTCTAGCATTACCAAGGGAGTTCAAGGAAATAGATTACTCTGGCATGGAGGATAGGAAGTGAGAAGTTAGGAAAGATTTTGAGGAGGTGGCATCATTTGAGTTACATCTAAAAGAAAAAAATAAGTTTTACCCAGGCAAAGAGGAAAAAAAGGCTTTTTAGAAAAATGTATACTTTAGACATACATTTGTTTGAATCGGCATACATTCCATTTGGGGACCCAAGAACATCAAGAAGGGGAACAGACATCACGAGAAATCAATGGGAAAGGTAAGTGTTGCTTATTTAATGGACTTCCTTGTATGCCAAACTATGAAGCACAAACATTATTTAAGTAATCAGAAGGAGTCACTGACAGTTGGAGCAGAAAAGTGATAGAATTCAAAATACGCATCAGGAAAGCAAGCTAATAAGAATATTTTGGATGGAATGGAAGACGTGGAGAAAAGAAGTTATGTAGGGATTAAGCAGCTATTTCAGAAGATCCAACTAAGGTTTTCCAAGAGGGAAAGACACCACTTACCTGCGGGAACACCAGTAGAAATTGAGAGGGGACATAAAGCATTGAGATAGGAGAATGTATAGAGCCTGAAAAAGGGTCTCACACTGAGGCAAAAGGGAAAAAGAAGAGTCAAAGATGCATCTGGAGATTCAAGCTTGGATTTAAAGTCTGCCAAGAAATTAGAGGGATGCAGAAGAAGCCGGTAGTAGAAAGGAGCGGGGTGGAGCGGAGGAGAGATGATGAGTTTGTATTTAAACCCACTGTGTTTCTGATGGAACATCCAGGGAGTGGTGTGGTGGTAAATGTTCAACAACTGGTTCTTGGTGGGATCAGGGAGAAGAGGGGACCCCTGATTGGTAGTGCATGCTGACTTATGTGGTGTAAATAGCCAGTGTGGCTGCTTCTAAGCTACAGTACCAACATGGCATCACTGATCACTAAACACACAGCTGGGGAGAAATTCTAACAATTGGCGGTAGGGGGACAATAGAAGCCAGCTCCATCACACCACTGTGTCTACATTGGAGAGAGGAGACAGGGTTGAGCCAGAGTGTTCCTATTGTACAGTTAATAAAATGTGATTCTCTGCAAAACAGAGACCATGACTACTGACAGACTTGGACATCCCTACTGACATGCATCCAACTTCAGCCAAAAGCCCACCAACGGGTTCTCTCACTCTCTCTTACCAACATTCATACACAAGCCATAAAAACAAGGGCTGACAGCAACCAATGAGTTCATGCTGGTTTTATTTTTCATAGTGTCTTAGGATGATTCCTCCTTTAAGGTTTATTATTCTTTTGCCTACCATGAAATAGTAACTAAGCATTTTGCTAAATCAATTTAAAAATTGCTTTGTTTCATTGCTATCATTGTAAGGTACCTCTGGGCTGTCTGCTGTTTTATAAAGGCTCTTAATAATGCTGCTTAGTCACTCATAGGATGCAATTTGGACATTTTTTTTAAAAAAGAGAAATTCTAAACTACTTTTTATCTCTTTCCAGGTGTATAAAAATCTAGCATTATGTCTATATAATACTGGGGCAGTTAACGATGCTATGGTAAGGAGTATTATGTGGAACAAGAAATTTAAAAGGTGAGTGAAGTGAATTACACATATAAAGATAATGGTTGAAAGCCACACACTGGGGAAGAAAGTAAGAGGAAAGAGGAAAAAGCAGCATGGTTGAAAAAGATGTTATTAAGACTCAATAGGAAAAGTTGTAATTTCTCACCTATATATTTCCAACTACAGCACAAACATCCTCATACGCCTTCTTGGTGACACAGCAGCCAGTTAAATATTTTTGTCTAACCATTTCTTATAATAATGTGTAGGGGAACAGAACTTTTCTTCCCTACATAGCAGCCAAATGTTCTTTCAAATGTATTAAACAGATCATAAAACTCCTTTAATCAAAAGTTTCCAAAAATATCTCATCACATTTAAAGTACAATCTAACTAAGCCCTAGTCATGGTCCACAAGTCCCCAGATGAGCTACGCTCTTCCTGCTTTACACCTTCATCTCCATTTAGAAGCCCTAGCTCACTACCTTCAACCAGGCTGGCCTTCCTGCTTTTCCTTAAAAATGCCATGCTCATCATCTGGAACAATCTTCCAGGCTAACTGGAGAAGGGGTGGCTCTCTCCTTTTCAAATTTCAGGCCAATAGTACCTGCTGAGACATTCATTCCCTGACCACTAGTATCTAAAATGACCCCATTCTCCCATTTCATCACCTTCTCTCAAGTCAGAAATTATTTTGTTTATTTGGTTATTTTTGGTGGCACTCCCCAAATAGAATGTAAGTGCTGCCATGAAGGACTGTGTTTGTTTAATTTCCTGCCAAATCTTCAGCATCCAGCACAGTTACTAGCACATTGCAGGTGTTCATCTGTGGAATGGCAAATGCTCCCACTCCCATTAATTGGATACATTTCAGAGGAAAAGAAAACCTTATTGAAGAATGATCCATGTTTTCACAATGCTGTCCTCCATTGTATCTAAATATAATGCTGTGCCACCATAATGCCAAATTAAGCAACACAACAATATTGAATGAATATTGAATGAATAATTCAACACATGTCTTGGGGCCTTGCAAAGGAGCATAATCAGGCCATTTGAAAGATACATGACTAAGAAAGGATGTGCTTATTTCTCTCTGTCATGCTGGGAGCAATTTACAGTATCCTTAGGAAGCACTGCAGTAAGGTAAAGTAAATGTATATATGAGTTTCCTTCAGTCGCTCATGCATTCAACTAGCATTTCATAAGCATGAAGCTGAGAACTAGTGATATAAAAATAAAATGTCAAAATCTCCACTTTCAAAGACTTAAAATAGAATGAGAGAAACAAATAGAAAAATAATTTTATTACCATATGATCAATATTACAATGAAGATATGAAAATACTGAAAGACAGCAGGAAAGGGAATGATCAACTGAGTTGGAAATGGGGAGGGCATATTTGAGAAAACTTCATTGAGGAGGGGACAAATGATCAGCAATGGTCAGAGTTTTGCATGAGTGTGAAAGGCAAACAAGGAAAAGCAAAACACCAGGGAGGACAGCCCATAGAAAGCCATTAAGCCCTGAAATGGCATTACCCACTAGAGAATTATAATAATTTTATATGGCGTAAGTAGTTGAACATGTGTGGGAAGAGACCACAGGCTTACCAAAATGTAACAAGGAGAGCATAGACAAGAGAACTATAGACTATCTATTTACAAATATAAGGGCAAAAATACCATATAAAACATAATTAAACAGAATTCAACCGTATATTAGAAGAATAATATATCATAACCAAATACTGGGTTTTTTTTTTTAGGAATGCAAGGTTGGTTTGATCTCAAGATATTTACTGATCTAATTTTTCACATTAATAGATGAAAGAACTGCTATGTATTCATACTTACAGGTGCAACATAATATACAATAAATGTAACATTAATCCTGGTTTCAAAATTTCACAAACATGTTAAAACTAAAGCAAAAGAATGTTTCTTTAACAGTGTGAAGAGTCTGTCTCAATTTAGAGAGCCAAAATTGTTCTTAACAATGAAATATCAGAGGTATGTCTGTAAATTCAAAAAAAGGATGCTTTTCATTACCACTATTAACTAACATTATTCTTAAAGTTATAGTCTCTAAAATTACACAAGAAAACAAATAATATGCATAGATTGTAGAAAGTAAAGGACACAATTTTACTTGCTTGCAAATGACATGATAGCCTGTAATTGAGAAACTTCAAAAAAATCAGCTATAAAAACAGTTTTCCTATATGCCATCAATAACTGCTTAAGACATTAAACTATACAAAAAGACCCACTTCACAATGCTAATCCATTACTGTCACAAAAAAAAAAAAAACTTTACAATGCAAAACCTATGGAAAGCTAACAATAAAATGTACTGTGTAAATGGAGAGATATTTTCTGGGCTAAGGTAACAGACTTTATTTTTATATTTTAAAAAAGGTCTGAATTATGTATTAATAATATAATAAAATACAACATAATACATGGAAGAAAATTAATTTTCAAAATCACTTTGGCTGCACAGAGGAAGCTGAGTTGTGGAAGTAGAGGCTACATTAGTTCATCATGGGAGAAGATGTACCTAAAAGAGGAGAGCGAGCAGTTGGGAAACAGAAAAGATAACAATGAGCTACACCAAGACAATGATGGTTGCTAATGCAACCCAGGAAATAGATTTAAATATGTTTGAGAGCCTATGTCAACAACATTCAGGAACTAATTGAATATTTGAGCACCAGAGTTAAAGGACAAGGGCAAATGTACATTCAACTAAGATTTGCTGAGTACTCTCTATGTGCCAAGCATTAAATTATATGCTGTGCCCCATGGATAATTAAATGAAAAGATACATTAATTCAGCATCCTCCTGGGAAAGGAGACAGATTAAAAGATATAGTCTCAACCCAAAAGAAGTCTACATGCATTCCTTTAAGTACAAACAAAAATCTAATGTGGATCCTAATTAGCTGAAAATTATGAAAAAATGATGCTTTCAAATTAAAGAACAGCCCTATTCTTAGAATATAAACATATTTAGGAGAATCTAAATGTGTTTGATTAACAGAGAAGGATAATGTGAAGTTAAGGGAAAGAAAGATGCTCAATCATCCATGAATTTGGCTCAGACTGAGCAAAATCATAAGTTAAACTATAATCCAGGAGATGAGAGTGGAGTTCAGACGTGAAAGAAGACCAGGCCTCTCCACTGCTGGTTCTCACTCCTGATTGCACTTTAGAATCATCAGGGAGATTTAAATAGCACTGATGCCCAGGCCACAGCTTAGAAGATTCTGACTAAATTGTCCTGAGTGTGGCCAGGGCATCAGAAAACTCCCAGGTGACACCAATGTGCAGTTCTGCCCAAGAAATACATATACCCCAGGAGTTGACCTCATCTCTAGGAGTCCTTGATTCATGATCTAGATATTTACTCCAATTGAACACAGCTAACAAGGACGTAATCTTAGTGCTAAAAGATAGCACTGGCCTCTGATTCTCTTCGGGAAGCATATTATAGCCAGTAAACTCCTGTTTTTATAAGAAAAAACTAAGATACATAATTTTAGTACTTCTACCATCTAAATAGCTTTTCCAACCTTAAAATTGCACATTACACACTAATGATTACACACATTAGACTGTAGCACATTACAGTCTAATGATTTTCTTCCACCTCTGTTTTAGAAATAAAATTGTGGGGGTAACATATAAGCCTCCTCCCTCTAAATCTGCAATAAAATAATTTTAGTTCACTTTAGAAATGCTGGCTGATATAGAGTTCTTAAAATTGTATCCCTTTATGCCATATTCTATAAAGAAATATTATATTAATGAATGTGAAATAAGAACTAATCCGAAGAGCTTCTGTGGACTCTGAGAAGAGCATTATATCTTCCCCCTGACCTTTGCAAACGAATCAGGTAAATACCGATTTAAAAAAATGTTATTTCAGACCTTGGATGAAAATCATCATTATGTACCTATCATAAACTCAGAGAAAAATGAACAACTTTGGTTGTTATTAAAAGCATGTGGAAAAAAGAACTGTAATATTCTCTCTCAAAGCCTTTGACTCACGATTGTCCTTTAAAGACCAATGCAAAACCAAAATTCTCAAGGAGCAAAGAGCAGATAACAAGGCTGCAAGAGGTTCCCTGTTAACAATGATTTCTCTCCAACAAAAGGAGTCTACATTTCTTCTGGCTTTTGCTCTACAGGACTGGTGTCTGTGTGCAGGCAAATTCACTAAGGACTCTAGATCCAGGTGACAACTGATCTCTATAACCCCTGGTCCCTCTATTCAAAATCCAGCCATGACCTGGCCTCACCTGAGACTTGTTAGAAATGCAGACCCTCAGCCCTACCTAAAACCTATTGAGCCGCATTCTGTTTTAACAAGATCTCAGATGATTTGAATGTGCTTGGAAGTTTGAGAAGCTCTGGTCTAAAACCGAGCTACTAAAAGTATGATTTGCGGAATACCGGCATCAGCATCACCAGGAGCTAGGTGAAAATGCAAATTGTTGGGCTCCATTCCAGACCTATTCAAGCAGAATCTGTTGGGGTGGGTCCTGGAGCCCAGATATCTTACTAATCTGTTCAGCAGAGTCTTTGTGTACAAGCTTTGAGAGGCAGTAGTCTAGAACAGATTTCTGCCCCAGCCCACCCCACCCCACAATTGCCCAAGCTGGAGTGCAGTGGCATAATCACGCCTCACTGCAGCATCCAACTCTTGGGCTGAAGCAATCCTCCCACTTCAGCCTCCCAAGTAGCTGGGACCACAGGCATGTACCACAATGCCCAGCTAATTAAAAAAAAAAAATTGTAGAGATGGGGTCTCAATATGTTGCCCAGGCTGCTCTTGAACTCCTGGTTCAAGCAGTACTCCTGCCTTGGCCTCCCAAAGTACTGGGATTACAGGCATGAGCCACCACACCTGGCCTTTGCTCTGTATTTCTTTGGTACTTCACAATGCACTGGATTTGAGGTACTATACTGGGCACATCAGAGATACTAAAGAAACATTATTCTGTGATTGAAAAGTAAGAGGAGAAGGCTTTTTCCTTCTGAAGTTCTGGATAATGCCCAGAGGCTAGTAATTAATGGTAACTCAGAGTCAAGTCAATAATAACAGTAGATTTATATTTCATCCTCATACGCAAGCTTCTCCCAATGAAAACTGTCTCTGTAACCCTTTCTTGTTTAATAATCATGACCAAAACTCCCAAGAGGTCAAGGAGAAAAGTGAGTAAGAATGCAAACAGAATAAACTTCAAGAGTGGAAGACTAAAACTCAAGTCACTTTTTAAGTTAAATAAACCTAGGAAAAATTGAAGGAATTCACTTTGAAATTATAAACATTAAGTACTTTTAAACAATAAAAAATAAGGAAACCAAAATATTGAAACTAAAATATCAACTACCAGCTATGTATCCCTGGCAAGTAACTTAAGCTTTTGTTCATAATGAAGTATTTCAAACAGAAAAGAACAGACAGTAATACAACAAATACCTATGTAGCCAGCACTCAGAATTAACAAATGTTAACATTTTGCTATATTTATTTTAGATTTTGAAGAGGATAGTAGAAATCTCTTTGGCCTCTTCCATCCCTACTTCCATTATTTTCCCTTCTTCCCCAAAGGCAAATAACTATTCCTTGTTTAATTATTATTTTAGTAACATAATACATTAAATAATCTATAAGTATACATTAAATAAGTAAATATAAACTTAATTTATGTAATTAAATAATATATTAAATAATTATATATTACCTACGAATAGCTAATTGTTAATATAACATTAAATAACATAATTTTTCCACATACAATTATATCCATGAATTATACGTGATATTCCTTGATATTCTGAATTTTACGTACATGGTATTACACTATATATCGCTCTTGAACTTGATTTTTTCATGCAATATTATGTTTCCACAATTTATGCACATTCATATCAGTATATCTAGTTCATTCACTTTAATCAGTGTATAATATTCTTTCTTAAAGCTCGTTTACCTAATCACAGACAATAAGCTATATCCAACTGAGGTCTACTATTAAAACTATTCCAAATGGCCGGGCACAGCGGCTCTCACCTGTAATCCCAGCACTTTGGGAGGCTGAGGTGGGCAGATCATTTGAGGTCGGGAATTCGAGATCAGCCTGACCAATACGGAGAAACCTCATCTCTACGAAAAACACAAAATTAGCCGGGCGTGATGGTGCACGCCTGTAATTCCAGCTACTCAGGAGGCTGAGGCAAAGGAATCGCTTGAACCCGGGAGGAGGAGCTTGCGGTGAGCCAAGATTGTGCCATCGCACTCCAGTCTGGGCAACGAGAGCAAAACTCCATCTCAAAAAAAACAACAAACAAAAAAACACGACTCAAAATAATCATCATTGTATTTTTTTTTGCTTTTTTGAAATTGAAATTTAATTGTATTGTATGTTACATCAATCTTTGGAATATCTTGAGACTTTTGGAGTCTGAGTGGTCAAGTTTTTACAATTTTCCATGTAGTCATTGATAAATGTGTATTCTTCTCTTGAATGCAGGGTTTTAAATATGTCTATTAAATCACACAATTTCAATTGTTCAAATATTTTATACTTTTACATCTTCTCAGCTTGAGGTATCCATTTCTGAGAGAAGTGTGTTAAAATCTGCCCTTATGATTAAAGAGGTGTCAAATTATCCTTGCAAGGTTGGACAATTTTTTATGTAAATGTGAAGTCAATGTTATTGGGAATGGGCATGTACATGATTATAATATTTTCCTAGTATATTATTTCTAATATCACTTTTTTCACTTTTTTACCTTTAATTTTATTTCATCTGATATGCTTGCTATAACAACTTTCATTGGTTGGTTTTAGGTTATATTTTTTCACATCTTTACTTTCAATTTTTCTGTGTCATTCTGTTAGGTATTCCCCTTGCAAAGCACATTTAACCATATATAACTACTTTTCCTAGATATTCAATTTGAGGGTCTCCAATTTTTAATAGGGAGCTTTAATCCATTTATAATTTTTCTGATCACTGGTCTATTTGAATTTTTGTCTTTCATCTTTTGAAGTTTTCTATTTATAATAGTTTTTCTTCTTGATTTTTCTACTTCCTGCCTTCTATTTCCTTTAGAAAAACAAAATGTTGTTACTGTCTGGTCCAGTAATCTCATTACTGGTTGTTTATCCTTCAGAAACAAGAGATCAGAAAGCACATGTGCATGAAGATGTTCCACATAGCATTACTTATAAGGTTAAATTGGAAACATAGGTCCAACAGTAGAGAACATGATGAAATGTTTTCAACCACTAGAAGTATTTTTGAAGCTTATGTAGTATAACAAGAAAATGTTTAATGATGTGCTATAGGGAGAAAAAGCAGAATACAAAATTTCATGTATAACATGTGTACCATGATTTCAACTATGTAAAAAAAATGTTGGTGTTTGGTTGAAAGATGTTCAGCCCATCTGGTTCCTTTGAGCAGCACTGCCCTCCTCTGCTGTGGGTACTACGTGGGTACCCTGGCACATGCAATCTTAACATTTAACTCAGCTTGTATCACACATCCCTCGTTGTTTTTCACTCTCAGTAGTCCTAGCCAGTGATGGATATATTCATCCAGAAAGTTCTCCTGAACTTACTGCATTATTCAATTCTTCCGAGTGTTCTCCAGTGAAGCAGAACCAATAGCGTGCATGTATATGTGTCATCGTATCGAGTGCGTGTGTGTGTGTGTGTGTGTGTGAGAGAGAGAGAGAGAGACAGTGAGAGAGAGAGAGAGAGAGATTTTAAGGAATTCATTGACAACATTGTGGGGGCTGGTAAATCCAAAATCTGTAGAGTAGCCTGGCAGGCTAGAGACCCAGGCAAGAGGTGACGCTGCATTTCATGATGGTGATCTGCTGGCAGAATTCCCTCTTGTTTGAGAGAGGTTAGCCTTTTTCTATGAAGGCCTTCAACCAATTGGATGAGGCCTATCCATGTTGCAGAGAGGAATCTGCTTTACTCAAAGTCTGCTAATCTAAATATTAATTTCATATAAGTGATACCTGCACAGAGGAATCTAGAATAATATTTGACTATTTGTATATGGTTGCTTAGCCAAATTGGCACACAAAACTAAATATCATACTCATCATGTTCATGCTATTCATTCATCCACCGTCCAGAAAATTTTCCTTGAAAACCACATACATGCCACACAGGCACTGTTGTCTTTCCACTCATCCAAGGTAATGCTTCCCCCTCATGGCAATAAATCCCAGATCAAGTGACCACCCTCCTAGCCACAGGGAATCAGCTTTGGAAATGCTCCCCCTCTTTGAGCATGGAACGCCTTGCATTAAAAACGAGAAGATGCAAAAATGAACAGTATCATACATAAAGAGTGAGCTACTTTCTTTTAAATTACGTCTTGTGACCCTAGATTTTATTTTGTTTTGTTTTGTTTTTTTGAGATGAAGTTTTGCTCTTGTTGCCCAGGCTGGAGTGCAGTGGTGTGATCTCGGCTCACTGCAAACTCCGCCTCCCGGGTTCAAGCGATTCTCCTGCCTTAGCCTCCTGAGTAGCTGGGACTACAGGCATGCATGATCATGCCCAGCTAATTTTTATATTTTTAGTAGAGACGGGGTTTCACCATGTTGGTCTCGAACTCCTGACCTTGCAATCCGCCTGCCTCAGCCTCCCAGAGTGCTGGGATTACAGCTGTGAGCCACTGCACTGGGCCTGTTTTGTTTTAATGAAATGGAATAAATAAATTCAAAGCTCGGTTAAGTAAATGGAAATTAGGAAAAGCCACAACAAAGAAATGTATTCAAGGTAGAAATTTAGTTCTCAGGGATTTTCAGAGGTTTATGCTTAAATCTTTAACACAAGAAATAAAAGTTCTGGAAAATGCTTTTCCATTCCCTTAGGATGGCCTGCGCTTATTACATTAACAGAGTGTCTTTTTAACTGGCCTAACAGCAACCTCTCTGATGCCAAATTGGCAGAACCTCTTCTATCCCAACCTTCTGTTTCTGGGTGAAAAATGATTTTTGAAGCAGGTTTGGCTTATGCTACGCAAAAACTTTTCAGAGACCCACAGTGTCCAAGGTATTAAATAACAGATGACAAGAATGAAAAAATTATAGTAGTAAACAGGGCAATCATAACAACACTTTAGGTACCTTTCTTCGAGTTATGATAAAGGTTTTGGGGTTGAGAGCATAATGGTTTTATGGTCTCTCCCTAGAGAGACTGCGTATCAAGAGTGATTATCAACCTAACAGCTTTTTTGTCTGTTTTCTATTAGTTATTACTTTTTTACCCAGAAGGGGCCTGGGACAAGATATGGCCTCCTGATATATCCTCCTGACAGCTGAGTTCGGTGCTTCTGACTCTAGGGACCCTTAAGACATCCTCATAGGAATGTAAGCCTAGTACTTTTGATCCTGGTGGTCTTATAAAAATGACTGTGATGAATGGAAATAACACAGCTTTATATTTGGAAACACTAAGTTTCTGAGGTAGCTTCCCATTGATGAATGAAGCAATTTGACTTTTGGCATAACTGATGCTCCAACATTTTGTATTATAAATAATTTCCAAAAACATAAGGGTAGATGAGGTTCTGATTGGGGGATACGGATTTACATTGATTTTTCTTAAGACTCTGCCCCTCTAGCCTTAAATAATTGTTATTGTCTATGTACCAATAATAATACCCATTAAGGAGAAAGAGTGACTTAAGAATCCCAATCTGCTTTTTTCTTTTCTTTTTTTTTTTTCGGAGACAGGGTCTCCCTTTGTCACCCAGGCTGGAGTTGCAGTGGAGCGATCTCAGATCACTGCACATCTGTCTCCCAGGTTCAAGCAATTCTCCTGCCTCAGCCTCCCAAGTAGCTGGGATTACAGGTGTGCACCACCACACCCGGCTCATTTTTGTATTTCTAGTAGAGACGGAATTTTGCCATGTTGGCCAGGCTGGTCTCAAACTCCTGACCTCAGGTGATCCACCCACCTCAGCCTCCCAAAGTGCTGGGATTACAGGCGTGAGCCACAGCGCCCAGCCAGGATGGCCTTTATTATTGCTGTTGTTGTTTGATTGTTTATTGTTTGATTTTGTTAAGAATCATGAAAACAAATACACAATTCAAAGAAGATGACAATAGCTTTTGGAAAGGTAAAAAGAATGAAATGTTTAATTTAAAAATCTAATCTCTAAGGGTCTCACAATTCTCTATTAACTCCCATCATTCTGTAATTCTGAAAAATGAGTCATTCAGAGAGACAGAGAAAATGAGCTGTCCCTGAGCTCTGAAACACCAACTTCTTTAAAGATCTAATATCCTACAAGTTTCTTTCTCTGTAAATATGGGAATGAGTCAATAAGCTGAATAAGGCAGAGGAAAGGCAGGTGGAAAAAAAACTCACTGTATTTCAGAAATCTTTTCTCTCCTACCTATACTAGAAGGAAGAGGTCAGTAGTCAATCAGCCAACTAGCCAGCCACCCAGTGTTTTATTGTATACTACTATTGCCTATTACTAGGTAATGGGATCACAATCATAAATAAGACAGGAAGGTCCCTACCATCATGTAGTTTACATTCGACCCCATTTTTTTATCTCATTCTTTTATCAACTTAAAAGGGAATGAGTTATTTATTATGTTTAAATGTGAGAACCAATGCCATCACATTAAAAGATGCTGGACATCATTGGTCATCAAGAAAATGCAAACCAAAACTATAATAAAATACCACTTCATACCCACTAGGATGGCTTTAATTAAAAAGTCAGAGTGTTGGCAAGGATGTGGAGAAATCAGAACGCTCAGAACGCAAAAGAGCAGCCACTTTGGAAAACTGTCTGGCAGTTCCTCAAGTAATTAAACATGGAATAACCATACAACCCAGCAATTTCACTTCTAGGTATGGATCCTAAAGAATTGAAAACAGATATTCAAACAAATACATGTACACGGTATTACTCTTCACAACAGTCTAAAGGTATTAATAGATACAATTCAAATGTCCATCAAACAATGAATGGATAAATAAATGTGGTACATCCATACAATGGAATATTATTTGACCATGAAAAGGACTGAGTTACTGATACATGCTACAATATGGATGAACCTTGAACACATGCTAAGTAAAAGAAGCCAGTCACAACCACATATTATATAATTTCATTTGTATGAAATGTTCAGAATGGGAAAATCTATAGAGACAGAAAGTAGATTAGTGGTTACCAAGGGCTAGGGATAAGGTGGAAAAGGAGAGTGATTACTAAAGCATATAGGGTTACTTTTACAGGTAGTAAATAAGTTCTAGAACTGACAATCAATTTTATATGCACATAGCTGTGAAAATAATAAAAACCATTACATTATATATTTTCAATGGGTGAATTATATATGTGTGTGAACTATATCTAAATAACACTAGTGTTTTTTAGTTTTTAAAGAACCAATGCCATGATTATTGTCTCAAGAGATTAGTTATCTCTCTCCTAAAATAATCATTGTATTTCTAAATACTTTTGCACTAGTTTATCTGTACTGTTCTTATTTCTATTAAAGTCATTTTTGTACACATTTAATGTCCTCTACTGGAATTCCAGCACCTGGAGGGAAGATATCTACTTCAGCTTTGTAACCCCTGAAGCACCAAGTTTAAAGCCATTTTTATATAGTATGCACTTAATTCACTCTTGAGTAATTGAACCATTCATTGGTGAAAATTAAGAATTATTTTATTACTTGGTAATTGCTAATTGAATATTCTTTTTAAAAACACATAGTAAATGACAGCCTTTCCACTTAACACATTTCCTTGACTCTCTCTTACTGTTTTGTGGGTGGCCTGCAACATCTGGCCTGGGCCATCTCTCCAACCTTAACTCATCCACCTGTCCTCTGCTCTTGCCTTGTCTTCCTTCAGTTTCAGAACTATGTGTTGCCCCTTTCTACCACAGGGCCTTTGCACTGGAGTTTTGCACTGCCCTCTCCTGATTTGCGTCCACTCTTCTTCAGATGGCGGCTCAAGCTTACCTTCCTCAGGATGCCTTCCTGTGGCCAAGGACCACATCATGTCTACATAATAGTAGCTCACAAATCTTCCCACTTTTCCTCATGACATTTTGCACTTATCACAGTTTGCAATGACATTTACTTGTATGATTAATTGATATATTTTTCCTCCCTAAGTTGTAATTGTGATGAAAACAAAGCTGCCTCTTTTATTTGCACATGCATCTCCAATGCCCAGCACAGATCCTGGGAACTAGAAGGCATTTAGTAAATACTTTTGAACGAATTTATGAATTGGGTTTTATTAATGGTCAATCAATAAAACAAACTGCAGAAGAACCTCAGTGCTAACATGAGCAAGATTCCATGTGTCAAATCTGGTTCGAAGAACAGACATACAAAGGGATGATGAGAATCTATAAACAACTGTTGAACACAGCCAGGGCCAAAAAGTAGACCGGCATAGGTCCTTGGCTGGCTGAATTTGCAGCAGCACAATCTGAGGGTTAAATTCCTGGGGACTCGGCCCCCACAGGGATGGAGGTGAACTCCCAGAGATCCTGGAAAAACATGTGCAGATGTTGATGCTTGTGGTGCAAATTACAAGAGGAAGGGGGTGAAACACATGGCCACATGAAGACAGCTGCCTAAAAATGGAAACCCAAGCTTATTATGCAGGAATTGTCTCCCTCCCTCTAGATTAAAAGCAGAAAGGCAGTAACAATACCAATTGTGTCAATAAATGCTGTCAGTAAGAGAGAAGACGGCACCAATACTCTCAATCACAGGAACAGTTGTACTTAAAACCACTGGAAGAAGAAACTAGCAGGAAAAAGACAAGAGATAGAAACATCACTCAGACTACCATGGCAGTAGACAAGAAGGAACTTACAAATAAAACCAGTATTGTGGTTGAGTAATTACACCCCTCACCAAACAATGTCCCAGGCCATGTTGCGAAGATAACTGGTCACCATTATACCACTTTGATAACTATGGGACACTTTAAATCACACTTACTATTAGAAGCCCATGAAATAGATATACAAAGCCTGTGGCACGCTACCTGGCGCATGATGAAGAACTTAATCTATGTTAATTTTTTAAACTTATTATTATTAAGCCCAAAGTTTTATATTTTATTATAAAATTTGTAAAACTGCATGGACATTTGCTCCTGTGTACTGAAAGCATTCTAGATGGTTCAAAAAAAATATGCTGGCCAAAATAAATTCCAGATAGATTAAAGATTTAAAATAAAATAAAATAAATGAAACTGTAAAAGTAACTTGAAGAAAATTTATGTGTATTTTTTATTTAATCTAGGGGCAAGTCAGCCCCATATAAGCATAAATGGAAAGGGAAAACCTATAAACCACAAAAAAAGATATATTTGGCTACCAAAAAAGGTAACACTTGCATATGATAATAACTACTATAATCAGAGAAACAAAGCAAATGGCAAAGGGAAAAATATTGCAGCATACTATAAAAGGCTAATATCTTTAATACCAAAAGAACTCTCAAAAATCAATAGAAAAAAGATGAATATCATTAGAAATGAGAAACCAATTTTTACCTATCATTTTGAAAATAATTTCTTTTTGAGTTTTTTATTGTTTATATTAATGAAAATGTGTTGGCAGGGTGCATGCAATGAGCTGCTTGCTCACACATTTTACATTATATTGATATATATTTATATTTTGTATTTTTTATATATATAGTCTCTTAAAATGTGCATGCCATTTGACCTAGAAACTCTACTTCTAAAATTTTATCTTAAAGAAATGAGGTTAAGCTCAACTATAACTGCAAGTTATGTTCATTGCAGTGATACTTAGAATCACCTTAAATGCTCAACATTAACAAAATGATTAGATAAACTATGTTGTATCTATGTTCATATTAAATGAGTTAATATTTGTAAAGCAATGAAAACTTCGGTGCACAATAAGTTCTAATAGGTATTTAATATATGAAGAAAAAAAGAAAAAATAAAATATTATACAGGCATTTAAAATGATCCTATAAAGGATATTTACTGATGAGTCAGGATGTGAATAATTTATTCTCAGACTGAAAAAACATGCTACAACAGTATACACAATATGACCTGATTGTTGTAAAATAAGTGTATGTGTGTATACATATGCACGTATACCTCAAAATGAAAAAACCAGTTCTCTGGATGAAGTGATTTTTACTTTCTTCAGTCTTTTTTTTTTTTTTTTTTTTTTTTTTTCTGAGACGGAGTCTCGCTCCGTCGCCCAGGCTGGAGTCCTGTGGCGTCTCTCGGCTCACTGCAAGCTCCGCCTCCGAGGTTCACGCCGTTCTCCTGCCTCAGCCTCCCGAGTAGCTGGGACTACAGGCGCCCACCACCACGCCTGGCTAATTTTTTGTATTTTTTTAGTAGATACGGGGTTTCACCATGTTAGCCGGGATGGTCTCAATCTCCTGACCTTGTGATCCGCCCGCCTCAGCCTCCAAAAGTGCTGGGATTACAGGTGTGAGCCACCGCGCCTGGCCTTCATTGTCTATGTTTTCTAATTTCCTGTAGCATTCATAATACATGTGTAACACATTTTTGAGCTCAATAAGTTTGAATTTTAACTTGCTAAAAGGAAGAATTTCATAAATTTTGTAAACTCCCCTAAAATTTTAAACAAAACTTATACGAAAGTTTCTATAAATGCTAGAAAACAATGGACATGTACATTCTTTTGTAACCATTTAGATAATACAAGATTTTTTTTAATTCCAGCACTTTGGGAGGCCGAGGCAGGCGGATCACCTGAGGTCGGGAGTTCGAGATCAGCCTGACTAACATGGAGAAACCTGTCTCTACTAAAAATACAGAAGTAGCCAGGCGTGGTGGTGCGTGCCTATAATCCCAGCTACTTGGGAGGCTGAGGCAGGAGAATCACTTGAACCTGGGGGGCAGAGGTTGCAGTGAGCCGAGATCGTGCCATTGCACTCCAGCCTGGGCAATAAGAGTGAAACTCCATCTCAAAATAAAAAAAAAGATGTTTTCTTTTAGATTCATTTCAGAATTGATAGCAATTCCCACAGACCATAATTTTGCCTTAAATTGTTTTCTTTTTATAGGGTTGAAAAGATTCTTAGCCTGTGAGATTCACACAGATTACCAAGGAATTATTTATCATATTCGAATGCCAGCTGAGATTCAAACCAAAGTCTTGAATCCAGATTTACTCCACCTGATTATTCCCAAATCAGATTTATTTTCCATAGACCACCCAACTGCCTCCAAATGACTGTAACATTCAAGCCTCAGCCAATCAACAAAGTCTTGACAACCCAATTGGATCAACAGCAAAGTCCATCTGATCGATTGTGCAGACAAACCATATTCATGAAAAGGTAACTGGGGAACCAATTAAATTTGAACAAAAATGGTTGATGCAGGGCCATTGATGGGCAAAACCTTAGGTACAGCTCACCAGGACAAAGCCTCTGCTAATAATCTAGAACCAAAAAATTATGCTACTGAGTCTCTCATTTCCCATTTGAAATTCTATGAAACAGCAGGAGATTCCATAAACGCTTACGAAAAAATAATAAAAAGCTGCCTCTCCTCAATAATTTTTCCAACAAGTTGTTAACAGGACCATGTCACTGAAAACTAATTTAAGCATCAATCTTTCTTATGGAAATCCCAGCATTTACTTTCCTTGTTTTGCTTTCAAAGCAGGTTCAGCCATTGAACTTAAAAGAAAACTGCTGAACCAGAAGGACTTTTTCTCTTGGAAACATTTTAAGGGCAAAAGCCATCTTTATCTTTCTACACAAGTTCTTGAGTTCATGTAAATCTCCCCTGAGAGACTTTAACCCCAGAGACCTACAACAATCTCTCAATCCTAAAATTAGTATCAATTGTTCCATACCTAATTCTTCATAATTTTGTCTGATTATTCAGTTTGAATGCATTTATTACTCCAATTATAAATTATAAATTAAAAAACAATCTGATCCAGATTGGAAAGAATAGTTTTGGGGCTTGAGGCCTGCACCTTTGGCTTCCATAGAAAACCCTTCCCAGATGCAGCTCATCCCAGATCTCCCTACGACACAACTAAACCTTTCCATCCTAAATCCATTTGTACAGATTCTTCCAAATATCACAGGAACACACAGTATATAAAGTCTGAAAGCACATACAACAGTGATGAGGAAAGTGACAAACACACTACTTCTGTGATTCCAGACCAGCAGGCCAGCTGTTGTTCTCATCACTACATCCTTTCCTGAACCCTCTGGAGGCTTCGCAATCTGGCACTCACCCTCAGTGCTACACTAATCAAACAGAACAGGAAGCAAACGCTAACCTGTGCATCCACTTTCCTACTCTCCCTCCTGTTCCGTACCCTCACCTTCAACAAATACAGACACTGAGCAGGTGGGAGAAGCTGAGTGGGGAAGGAGCAGACTGCAGGGAAGTTGTTGGAACATGCTGGCTTGGGATCCACAATTTGAAGTAATATGTCCTTTGTGCTTATAAAGCCAGGTGTCCTTTGCCCACGAGAAGACCAAAGATGATAAAAATGCAAACTACAGTGCACAGCCAATGGATACACGCCCAGCAAAGTCCACTGCACTCAAGAGCCAGCGGAAACCTTGACACACAGTTCAAATTCAGGTCGCTGCTTCAAAATCTCATCAGGAGCATGACTTCATTTGAAAACTTTCTAGGACAGCTGAGGGTTTTCCTTGGATGGCATTTCCCCCCTTGCTGTATAGTGACTGTCAGCAAGATTCTCTATAACATTAAAAACCAGGAGAATAAAAAGCAGCCCATTCTCAAGGGGAAAGAGATTTTGCAAGGATCAAAAAGAAGCTAGAGCAAGTGGAATAGAACTAACCCATTGGTACTGGTTATACTCAAGAAAGTCAAATTTTCAAAGAAATCTTTTAAGTGCTGACATACTTAGAATAAAATGGAGTAAAGAAAATGAATTTCTCAAACAAGGTTCGCAGCAGGCATCTGGCATGGAGGAAGTTTTAATCTTGAGGCAGAAATCATAATTAGTTCATCTTTGTTCTCCCTCAGAGCCTAACTGGTACCCACAGGCAGTGGGAACTCAGTAACTGTTCACTGAGCTAACCTCTTTTTACTATTTTGTTTATTATACCAGTAGAGAAACCTGAGAAAGTATAACAAATTAATAGGAGAGCTGTTGGATGACCCAGAAATTAAACAAGGTAGAAGTTCATATCTCAATTGTGATGATTAATTTTTACATGTCAACTTGACTGGGTCATAGGTGCCCGATAGTTGGTTAGATATTATTCTGGGTGTTTATCTGAGGTTGTATTTGGATAAGATGAACATTTAAATTGGTAGACTGAGTAAAGCAGGTTGCTCTTCCTAATGGATGTGGGCCTCATACAGTCAATTAAAGACAAAAAAGCTGACCCTCCCCTGAGTAAGAGAGAATTCCTCCTTACTGCCTACCTCCCAGCTGAGACACTGGCTTTTTGCCGCCTTTGAACTTGAACTGAAACATCAGCTCTCCCTGGGTCTTGCAAGCCTGGTGGTCTTTGGACTGGGACTATGACATCAGTTTTCCTGGGTCTCAAGCCTTCAGACTCAGACTGAAATTATACCATCAGCCCTCCTGGGTCTCCAGCTCGCCAACTCATCCTGCAGATCTCAGGACTTGTCAGACTCCATAGTTGTGTAAGCTAATTCCTTATAAGAAATCTCTTTTATACACATATACACATATCATATTGGTTCTGTTTCTCTGGAGAATCCATCTCAAAATCATCCTCCAACCCCTTCCATGACCACCCACTCTCTTGCAAGAAATATTGTAGGCTTAGACTAAGAATAAAGCACCTGGTAGCCTATGTTAGGGTGAAAATTAGACCTATGTAATATTCAAGGAAGTATTTAATGTTTAGGAACATTCAAAAATCCATGGGGACTGTTAGGGGTTTTCCCATTGCAATCCAAGTATTTGGCATCAGGTGAAAAGCAGCATTAAATAATGCATATGCTTTCTATTTCCTGTGTAAATACTTAAGAAAAACATACAGACAGAAAAATGTAGTCCAAAAAGTTTCATTTTCTCCATTCTCATCATCAAAATCCATGCTAAAGTTTACAGGGATACACTAAAGGGACTTGTAAGAACATGGAACATCCACCCTTAAATAAGAGAGCCAACAGCAACCACATGCTCTGTATGTCACTCAGTATGTCATAATGCTTTCCAGCATTGTGAAGAATACTGCCCAGTAAGATTGGTGACCAAGAGAGGACAGTGAAAGAAAATTAACATGGAAACTGTGTGACCTCAGCCAGTGGGCTGTGGGCTCCAGGAATGAGTTGACTTCACAATGAGGGAACAATTCATGAGACCGGTTCCACATGCCTCCTTAGCTTATCTAAGGTTATGATGCAAGTCCATTTCTACAGAGCCAGGTTCATTTCACAACACTGAAAAAAACAGAAGTGTACAACCCCCATGTAGGTCTAATCTGCCAGGGATCAGTATATCGAAAGACAAACAATCTCCATTAACCCGTCAATAGCACCGTTAATAATTGGACTTATGGAATCAATGCAGGCCTCTCACTGGTATTAATATTTTCAAATCTCTACCAAGTCTTGCAGATCCATGTTGTAATCTGAAAAGGTATTTATTTGTTTTGTCTTGTGCTGTTTCCTGTACTCAACACTGGCAAATGAGTATACATGCGTAGCATTTTTAAAAATTGTACTAAGTACTTTAAATATATACCTCATATAATGGTTACAATTATGAGGTGGATATTAGATTATATGCATTTTATAGATAAGGAGATTGAGGTCTAGAACATTTAAACCATACTTTTAGGTACACACAGCAATGGTGAAGCCAGGATTTGAGCCCAAATGATTTGACAATAAGTTCTCATTTTAGCCCTTACACCAGACCTCAACACACCAAAAAACCCAATACATAGAGCACCAAACCTCATATGTCACACAGCCTCTACCAGATAAGGAACTGACATGACATGAAATAAAAAGCAGTCTCATTGGAGAAACAATCCTAAAACACAGAGAGCTGCCCTAGATTTATTTTTTAAAGACCAGAACACAGAAGAGAGGAGAAAAACACCTGGGCCTGAGTTGGTGTCAGATTTCTATTTTACTTCCGAAAAAAAACCTAACTCGAAATCCAAATTACATAACGCTCCAAATGACTCGCTTAGCCAGTTGCCTTTGTTCCAATTTGGTCCCTGGAGGATGTTAGTCAGAGCTACTCTCTGAGGTTTGGCAGAAATTAAAAAATCTGAGAGAATTAGCATTCTAATGTCCAGAGGATACAGTGACAAATTAGTTTGCGAATGCTCTTCAGTTAATAAGCTCATCCAAATTGGCATCTCCCAATTGAGATTAAGATGCTCTGTGCTGAGTTGCCACACCCATAGTTTCTGTATGCTAAAAACAATTCTATAAAGAAAAGATTTATTCTAATTCTGATTAACTTCTCCTGCATTAAATCAACTACTGGAAGTCTGCAATGCCAGGAACCTCACACTAGGAGACGTGAAATACAAATGTGATCTAGTCCTCATCCTTGTGGCATTTACACCCTCTGGTTGAGAGGATGGGAAATAAGCCAAAGAAAGGACAGCAACAGAGGACCTAAATTCTGATTAAAGACCACACAAGAAGCTAGACAGTTTGGTTAACAAGCAAATCAATGGAGTGGTCTATTCACAACTCACGTAGGAGTTCAGAAGAAAAGAAAAAGCATGTGTGACTGGTGAATAGGAAAGACCGCACAAACATCATGAAATTGAGCTAGATATGGAAAGGTGGGTAGGATTTGGAAAGGTAAAAAAGAATATTCTAGAAAAAATGGCCTGAGGCACAACAGAGGACATTATACTCAAAGCCTGTCGGCCTGACTGGACCAGAGGTTTGAGAAAGGAATAGTTTATTTGAACAGGTAGGCAAGGTAGAGAGTAGAGCAAACCTTAGATGTCAAGTTAAAGAATTTGGAATTTTGTCTTGCCAGTAAGGTGGGCCACTTAAGGTTTCTGATGAAAGGCCCAAAAAGCCTAAGGCAGCACCTGCGTGTGGCACTCACCAGGCAGAGGTTGGGAGCAGACAGAATCTGGCAAAGCGGACAGCTTAGGAGTCTGTGGCTGTAGAGCAGGCTTGGGGGAATGAGGTCCTCAGACTCTATAGGGAATTGAGAATGGCAAGGAGAGAAGGAGAGCAATGCTGGCTGAGCCCTGTCTACATGCAGGGCACCATGCCTCCATGCTCCACATTCATTTTCTCATTGGGGTTGAACAACCACCCAGAGTGTAGCTCTTATTCATCTCATTTTACAGACAAGGAAAGTCAGGGAAGTTATCCAAACGTATGACCTGCAAATGGAAGAAAAGTGATATGTGCACTTTGGATAAACCAATAGAGTAGGTAACTAGTAGAGGGTATGAAAGGCAGGATGAAATCAATCATGCCTAATTATGCCTATAAGGTTTCAAACAGTAAAAGACTTAAGGTCTCTCCTAATAAAAATATGAACCCAACAAGAGCACATTGGATACGTAGAGTCCCCTTTCTAGGCTAGCTGTTTGCCCTGGAAATGTCTGGAGTGTGCCCCCAGTAGAGCTACACAGATCACAATCTGTTTACTCCCACTCAGGACTGAGACGAGCTCCTGACTCGGCATAAGGCTTGTGTGTCTAGTCTTGTGTGGCGCAAGTGTTGTTTTGCTAAGAAGGATCAACAATACCATCTGGAAGACAGGCTTTGGGGGCTGGGACACTTAAGGCCTAAATATTAATCCAATGCTTATTTACCTAGAATAGACTGGGCCACCTTGGGAAAATGGGTCTAAAATCTGATTGTTCCATTCCCGTGATCCAGTAAAGGGCATCAATGAACATTGTTTCAATGCTCCTCCAACTCATGGGCCATGTTAGTTTGAAAGAAGACGTGTCCCCAGTGCAAATGGAAAATGGTTAGCTTACTTCAAGGCAAAATGGATATGCTGGAAAGAACACAGCTACCTTTCTTAATTGGAACTGTGAAGTAAATATACACTTGTACATTAAACTGTCTCTTAGTCATAAAGGGACTAACTTCATCCTCACTAAGGAATCCACCTATCAAAAATGATTTCATCCTCCATTGGAAAATAACAAGACTTGTGAGTTGACGATCAAACTGTTCTCATCATTTTAGAGTCCAGATATCCCTGACTGGCCCTCTATGGTGAACTTGGTTTCCAAGAATAAATGTGATTGACTTTGACAGGCCCTCAGGTGCTTTTAGTTTTCTTCCAACATCATCTAGAGGGAAGAAGAACAAAACCCAAATTGAACCTGTCTTCTTAGACCTTTCCTAAGGAAGTCCAGAGCAGGACATGAAGGCATGTATGATTCCACTGGCATGTTCACAACCTGTTGCCAGCCTCTGCTGATGTGCAAGGAATGTGTTTAGAATTCATGCAACATGATGGCCCTGACAGCTTCCATTGTGCACGTCATGCTTCCAGTTGTGATTCATCAATGAGATGAGATACAAAGGACAGTTAGCAGCAACATGACTCTACCAGCACACTCACAAATAGCCCAGAACATGTAGACACATTGGTATACAGCATCACTTGCCTCCTCCTCCCCAGAGACCCTACTCTCACACACACCACACATTCCTAGCCAATTGCTTCTATGTTGAAGGCAATTTCTGTTTAAAATAAATCCAGAAGACAGATCATTGAAAATAAGCAAATAAAACTACATGTATGGGGTAAGGAACATCTCTGGGAATCATTTAGCTCTGAAAATAGACGAGTCATTTCTTCCACTTTCCCTTCCTCAACTGAAATGTGTTTCTGAGCACATTTCACACCCATCTGTCAGGCTGGGAGATCCATGATGGTGTCATCTCATGTCCTTTCTCTCACCCAGGCAATGGACACAGGGGAGGCCAGTTTGTTACCAGAGGCCAGGTAGTTAAGCATGTCTAAGAGCAGAATGTGTCTGAGTTCATTTAGGGGCTTCACCAGCCACCATGCCACACCCACGTTTCAACCCTAGAGTCAGACTGTTTTGTTGGATTGAACCACATTTTTCTTTTTCAGAGGTGGTTCTAGAAATTTCTAGAAAAAAATGGGAAAATGGCCCTGAGCTCAGTAAAGCTGCAATCCAAGTGTCCTAAAAGGAGAGGTGTACAAAATGCCAAAAAAAACCCATGAACATTGTTCAACAAGTCTCAAGGTTTAAACACCCTGCAATCATTGTTATGCAGCCAAAGTTAGAATTCAGTTCAACACAACTCGCTGTGTCTTTGTTGATCATCCCCTCTGACTTCCTCCAGCGTATGCTGGGGTGTGTTGGGAGGGGGAGGAACATAAACATGAATGACAAATGGCCTCTTTCCTCAAGAGCTTATCTCTCTTGAGGGAAGCTGTCATAGAGAGGAATCACGGTAGTATATCTAAGGCCAAATGGAATTAGTGCATAAAACAGAATAACCGAAGCATTAGAGAGAAAGGGGGGACGACTCATCAATTTTCGCTGGAGAAAAGGCTTCTAGAAAGAAATAGTCCTTAGCCTGGGCTGGAACAGGGAGAAGCAAGGAACAGCAGTCCAAGCAAATGATGAAAGACATAAACAAAGGCATGTCCAGTGGAAAGCACCAAGTGCATTTGGGGATTGCTAGACTGGATGGAGTACAATGTGGGTAAAAATGGGCAAATCTCAAAACATAAGTTATTGTCAGATGACATGGGGCATTGAAGGCCATGCTCAGTAGTGTGAACTTGATCCAATAAAGAGAGTCACTAAGTGCTTCTGAACATGGAGAGGATACACTGGGCTTCACAGGTGGCCCTTGCACCTCCAGGGTGAGCTTGACCCTGAGGAAGACTGGTTCTCTGTTTTCCTTTTTGATTAATTCTCTCAAAGGTCACAAGAGGCCTCCCTTTATAGCAGCTCTTCAAACCTGTAAACATGCTCCCCTGATGCTACCCTTGTATTTTAATCAGACTTACTTTTTCACGTCTTTCTCTTCTTTAAAGAGAAGCTATTTTAAAAATCTATGTGCTTCCAAGACTTCTTCCCAGGCAAAATTCAATAGCAATCCCCTTCCCCCTCTGCCTCAAGGAGGAATGGGAGAAGTGGCTGAGCTTCAAGTGCATACGATGCTAGGGGAGTCACTTGAAGCTTAAATTCAGAGGAAAACAATCTTCTCTCGGACTTAGCTAGAAAGGAACTCAGACTGGACATCAAGAGGCACCAACTGGAAAACAGAGGGGTAATGTATCGCTCCCCCTGTAGAATACCAGGTTTCAAAACATATGGTTACGGGAAACATCTAGATTCTACTGATAAATGTGATGCCTGGTGAAGTTTGACAGCCACAGGTCTAAACGGACCTGGGAGCAGAAGTGCCAGGTCCACTTAGAGCCCAACACTAGCTTTTCAATAGTTGGGCATTAACTGAAAATAAGGGCACAGCTCATTCTCTCTACACCCATGTTTGTTCCATCATACTTCATATCCCTATTCCCAGAAGTACTGCTCATGTCTCCTAGGAGTTTCTCTTCTTCCTCACAGTAAAATCCAGCCCCCATCCCACAGCCTGTAAAGCCTTGTATCTGCCCTTCCACTCTCCCAGAGGATCCTTCAGTGCCAGATACAGTGGCCCTTTGTATTTTTCAAACTCTCCAAGTGCTTTGTACTCTGCTCAGAAAGCATTTTTTTCCAAATTTGAGCATGGCACACTCCCTCACTTCCTCCAGATCTCAGCTTACAGGGCACCTCATCCCAGAGGGCCTCCCTGACCATACCATGCGAAACAGCCCCCAGAGGCCAGCTTTGCTCTCCATCTCCTCCCCTGCTGTGTTTCTTTGTGGCAATCACCTCATATATTATGTATGTGTCTGCTTATTGTTATTCATCCACACCCCCACTCTAAGTTAGGAGGGTCCAAACTCAGCCCTGATCATAATGTGTCCCCTGAGCCTAGCAGAGCGTCTGGTGCAAAGAGGTCACTCCTCTCATATTGGCAGGAGCTGTGGTTAAATAAGAGTGCCACAAATACTCTAGAATAAGGAGAAAGGGAAATATCCATTCTCCCCTCTTCAAGTAAGAGTCTCTAGAATGGTCTTGGGAAGAACACCTCTCTTCCACTCTATGTATGTGGTTAGGAGGGGCCTTGATTGGTCTAAACCAGTGGTTCTCAAAGTGTGGTCCCCAGAACAGCAGCGGCATCACCCACCTCCATCCCGCTGAATCAGAAACTCTGGGTGTGGGGCCAATGATTTGCATCTTCACAGACCCTCCTGATGAATGTGATGCCTGCAGAATTTTGACCACCACAGGTCTAAATGGAGCAACTCATTTTATTTCTCCAACTAGGGTGATTGGTTTAGAAATGGCGACAGCCCCAATCAGAACCAATGAGGAGCATGAGGCTTGCTGGGGTTTCTGGGAGAAAAGACTTGCTCTGTTGTCTAATTTCTCCGAAGCTATAACCATGAGGAACTGGGAGGAGGACCATGACCCCACCTGAAACTAGAGCCAATGCAGAGGAAGATGTGGCAAAAAAAAATGGAGAAAAGGCAAACCTGGGGGACCTCATGGAAACCTTGAATCAAGTCATGTGTGAAGTGAAATTCGCCCTGGCTTTTCAGTCACATTAGTCAATTAATTTTCATTTTTACAAATGAAATGTGTTACAACTTTAACCACTTTAATGGGTTTTCTTCATAGGCAACTAGAAAAAGATCTAATTAATACAAGGTGAGTAAAAGTACCTATTGCAGCCAAATAGGAAACAAGGGACGCCATCAAAATGCAAAGGAAAATGACAGTGCCACACATGTGGGCTCCTGTTGTACGCTGCCCTGAGCTGTGACTCTCCACCACCTGAGGGGGTCCTGGGCCTGAGGCTGATATGGGAAGGGCCTCTTACCCAGTCCTGAAGACAGCCTGTGGAAGAAAATGGGTGGCTACATGGACCAGCATGACAGGAAGTCGGTCACAGTTCCCAAGAACTGAAGGACAGACCCCAGGAATCAGAGAGCAGGGATGAAAGGGTCCAGGAGGGAAATGAAAGGCCAAATTCTTGAGCCACCAATGCCTGGGGCTGCCTTTCACTGGCCTCTTGTGGCTCAAGGTCTGTGAAGGACCAAGGACAAAGCAGACACAAGTGACCTTACAACTCATAACTGTGAGCAATTTCACTGATTAGTGCACAATTTTCTTGCCTTATTTCTGCATCATCCAGTGATTATTTAAAAATTCTGTTAAGAGATTTTCCACCTGATGTAACTAATGAAGAAGGATGCCAGTGACACACAGGTGACAGTCCGTGAAGAAGTGAAATGCCTTTTGCAGAAATGAGGGGTGCCGTACACCTGAGACTGGTGTGCCTTTGCTCCCTGCAGGAACACACATCTGTTGCACATTAGAATCACATTCCATCTATTCCACTAAACAGTTACCTGGACTCCTTTCTCCAGCATGGGAAAAAAACGTCGTGATGCTTCTATTAAAATATAGATAATTAAAAGTGTCAATGTGATCCCAAGCCTTAAGTGGAAGCATTTGGACTAAACTATTCAACAACACAGACTAGGCCAGACTAGAAATGGAGAAAACCAACCCAGCACTTCTCAAACTTTAGTGTGTACAAAGATCATGTCCGGACCTTGTCAAATTTGCAGATTCTGATCAGGGGGCCTGGGGTGGGGCCTGGGAGTCTGCATTTCTAACAAGCTAATGAAGCTGCAGGTCCAAGAGTGGCGATTTGAATAGTAAGGATCTAAACCTCATGCCAGTGTGGTGACATTACGGAATGTGTGCTGGGGAGTGTGGACATGTCTGAGCATGTGTGTCTCTGTGTGTATACGTGGGTAGCAAGTGTATCCTCCTCACCCCAGATGTATTCTGCAAAGGAACATGGCCCTGACTCTGAGCTTATCATAGCAAGTCAAATAAACTAGAACAGTTATTGGAACCTAAGGCCACTGCACCAGATATAATGAGTCCAGTAACATGGAATCCCTTTGAGAGCAAAGAGAAAATCCACTTTAAAACTCCACAAGAGGGATCTGTCTTCAGGGGAAAAATGATTTGACCCCTCACATGAATGAATCATAGACAGGTGAGATTCTGTGAAATTGATCTTATTATGCTGGAAGAGTACAGCACAGGAAGCACACAGAGCCTTTGGGATGGGTGCACAGGCAGCAGAAGGGGTTGGCTGCGTCGGCACTTTGGAGGTGCACGAATGCAGTACAACACTCCCTGGCCAGACCCATTCCTCCTGCCTCTGGGCCAACTGCCTCCTACCCATCCTTTTTAGCTCAGCCCAGATGTCATTTTCTCATGGAGGTCCTTCTCTGATTCATCTGCTTTTCCCCTCCCCACACACATACGCATAGTAGGTCTGACCCTCCTGTATAAGATCTTCTTACACAACAAATTGTTTTCCTTCTTAGCATACATATCATAGCATAGATACATGTTTATTTCTGAGGATATTGGTTGAATGTCTTCTTCATTAACTGGACTATAAACTCCATGAAGACAGGAATCATGCTGTTTATCTCACCCCTGTAATCGTAACACAGAGCACAGTGCCTAGCATTTAATAGGGCTCAAAAAATATTTATATAACAGTTGAAGAGAGAGAGGGAGGGAGGGAGGAAGGAAACAGAATTTCTTGACCTGGTGTCCACTGACCTGCACCCCAGGCAGAGAATCCCCTGTTGTAGGCAAAGGTAGGAGTGCATTTTTCCGGGAAAAGGAGACTCAACTCTCTCAGAATCTCAAAAAAACAAACAATGAAAAAAAAAACAAACTGTGACTTCTCAAAAGTCAAGAATCACTGAGTTGCTAATAACACATCAATTGAGAACATCTTAAGCAAGATGTGAAAAAAAAATCAGTTTCTTTCTTTAGAAACTGTTACTAAGTGGTCCTTGAAAGCAAAAGATGAAAAGGAAAGAAATAGTTTATAAGCACATGACATTGGAATTAAAAATCCTAATTCCATGATGAATTCAGCCTTCTATAGCAGGGTCACACATGAATGTGTATTATCTTAAGAATTAATACTGTGGACCAGAAACAAAAATGTGAGTAGAGAATGGCCACCATTTCGAAATCCATAAATTTCTCCTTAAAAGGCGGATAAAATCGGTTTATTTAAAAATTCAGTCAACATAAACCACAGCATATTATTTCCAAATAATTTTGACAATTTTGTCAAAATAGAACTAAACAGAAAATTTTGTTGAAAAGACAAAAATCTTTTACAAGAAAAAAAATCCTTCAAAATGAAAATACATTATAGCACAAGAAATATTTGCAAATTCCTGGTGTTTTAGCATAGTTTAGAAAACACAGAAAATTTGGGGGTGAGGATGGCTTGCCAGCAAGAGCTATTACCAGATTATGGTGGTAATGGTCAAAAGCACAAGTGCTGCCCGGGTCAAACAGATTTGGTTTCAAATCCTGGCTCTGCCTCTTTCTTGCCTGGTTACCTTGGACAATGTTGGTAACTCCTGTAGCTCAGTTTCCTCATCCACACGGGGAACAACACCTGCAGGGAAAGCCCTTAGCTGCTGCCAGGCACATAGTGAGCACTCAAAAGTGTAAGCTCTTACTCCTGGCCTTATGATTGTTCTGTACATTATTATTGGCACTGGAATACAAATCAGGCTTCCCAGACTTCCAGGCACATCGCACATGTTCAATCAATGCCAGCTAACATGACTGTCATTACCTCCTGTTATCAAAGGCAATGGGCTCATTATAGCAATATAGCCCTCTGTTTTCAGACATCTGATCTTTTATTCTCTTGAAGTAAATACCAAACTCAGCTGTCCTGCAGTCCTTAGTTGCTATGTATGTCAATAAATTCTAGTAGTGGCCACAAAACTACGGGTCAGTATCTGCTTAATATCCTTCCTCCCTGGCTTTGATCACAAAGACAAAATGAAGACTTCAATTTCCTGGTTTCCTCTTCATATGGAAAAGCTTTCAGGGGTTCTGAAAGGTCTTCTGGCCCAGGTTCTTTCAGCAGTTCAAATGCATCTACCTTCATGCTCGCAGATGGGCCATTTGCTGGGGATACAATGAAGAAACCAGTTCACCCTCTCTCTCTCCCTCCTTTAAACTCCAAACACTAGGTAAGATGGTAAGGATCATAAAGAACAACTCTTTCATGTTAAAAGAATTATTAATTCCAGTATCGTCACCAGATTTCCCCATTTCCTTGAAAATCACATATTTCCCTACAATCTGTGCCCATTGACCAGACTCTTTAAAAGCCTGAAGCCAGTAAAAAGGAAGCAGATTTTTACAGATACATCCTGTTGGCTGTTCTGGATGCATGGGCCTGTACTCCTGGCTCTGGGCCTCTCCCTCCTGTGCATGGTGGGAGAGAATTTGGGCAGCTCTGCACAGGAATACTGGGCTTCATTTCTGTCCAGCAACAAAGCTGCATTGTATCCAGTGTTTTCTCCTCCCTCCCTTACTGGGTCCTGGATAATTCATCTAAAAGTTACCAGGGTGGTTCCCCACACTGGCGTCTCTATGGAAAGCATCTCAGCGACCAGGAGAACTTTGACTCTGGATTCTAATTCTGGCTTCCCATATGACCCAGCCAAGTAAGTCCAGCACTTTCTCTGGGCATGACTTCATGAACGAGGAGGCAGTAAAACCAGTGCCCTTTTTCTTCGAAAAAAAAATCAGGGTATACTTTAAACTACTACAGGCCAAGAAAATGCCACCGAGCTCAAATCACCACTTTGGTCTATCTAGGTGTGCATAAGATTAGCTCCTAACCCTTTTAACCAGGGACCTACTTTGGATTCTTGTCTCTAATGTTTAGCAATTGATTGCACAGAAGAAACCTAAGCCCTGTTCATTCAAAGACTCAAAAAAAGTCTTTGAGTGAACAGGGACTCAGAAAATTAAGTCCTCTTGGTGACCCAAAGGAATCTGGGCACCCACATGATCCTGGACTGTTCTTATAATTTCCTCACCTGGCACAATGATTCTCAAGATGTGGTTCCTGAACCCCAGCATCAACCTGGGAACTTGTTAGAAATGCAAATTTTCAAGCCCCACCTAGACCCACTGAATCAGCTCTGTAGGTGATTCCATTTCATGCTAAAGCTTGAGAACTATGGACCTAACACATAGGCTATGTAATAGGTATAACAAACTACTTGAGAAATAAATGAATGATGAGCAAATGAAGAGTCCTGAGCTTTACTAAACCCCTGCTCAGTATAACCTGCCCATAGTTAATGGTGGAAAACACTGCAGCGTGCCCCCTCCATGTCTGGTGAATGCTGGTGCATGAAACTGTAATAATTTGGCCTCTGCTTTTGCTTTCTAATTTCCTGTCCACACACCCTGAAGTCTATGGCACCACCTCACAGAACAGTCTCTCAGCTGCCTGTGCCAGGCTCTCCCTAGCCTCCATGGCTGTGAACATGAAGTCTTCAGTGGCTGGAATATTTTCCTTTGTTCTCTTCCCCAGCCTCCTGCTCCTCTTTTTGTCCAGCTAAACCCTACATATGCTTTTGGTTTTGGCCTAGAAGTCACCTCCTCCAGGAAGCCAGCCCCCAGGCAGAGTACGTTTCTCATAGCATCCAGCATATCCTCTATCAGAAAACACAACCCTCTCTCTCGACATTCCTGTTAACTTGTTTTGCTCATTCATTAACATGCCCTGCAAGCTCTGTGAGCTAGAGGACTCCTTTCTCATTCCCTGGAGGACTCCTTTAGAATTCCAGCACCTTGAACAGTGCCTGGTGTCTTATTTAATCAATCAATCACAACTGTAAAAGAATCTATGCTCTTTTTTGGTAATAGGTAAGATGTGCCTATTTTAATTTATTGATTGATTTCATTGGACTCCTAGACATGAATAATTGACCATTAATCTAGAAAAGATGCCTTTGGATACACTAGTATAATTTTCTCAGCACTTTCTTCCTTAATAAAACTGCCAACCCCCAAGTCTTTTTTTTTAATGTGTACACTTCTGAATATCTGGTCTCGGCTACACAACTGCTCCATCTCTGTGTGCAAGTGTCATGGACAGTGCAGCAACCCTGCTGCTCCTTTTACTTGCCAAGTCAGAAGAAAAATGAGACTGAGTCTCAGATTTCCGAATAAACAGAGTACAATGTGTTGGAGTGTCCAGGAATGCAAAAGCCTCCACTCCTATTTCGTATTTGCACATGCCCCCATCAATTTTAATTTTTGCCAAGTTGATTGGGAAACGGACAGAGTCCTGGATGGCCGTCAAACCCAGCACAGCTCTGAGCCCAAGCCCAAAGCCCTGATACTGCTCCCAAAACAGCACAGAGGCCAGTGTGCCTTCTCTGAGAGGCCCCTGCTGCTGCCAGAACACCAGCTGATTTCACAAGATGCTGTGCCTGCCCATGTGGTTTCACTGAGTCATGATGCTGGCCTCATAATGCATCAAAGCTCCAACCAATCTGTATGTGGCCTGATGGAAACCAGCCCACACAGGGCCACCTCTGAGGACACCCACCCCAGGTCCTCTTGCTTGCAAGGAGTTCTGGCACCCAGGTGGATATCCTGATTTTTCAAAGGGCGACCTGATACCACAGCACTCAGGCCTGTTCGCACAAGAGCCACTAGGCCTTGCTGGTGATGTGACGAGGAGAAAGAGACACCTTGGTCATTCCATCTGGGATTTACAAGGGAAACCTCATCCAGCCTCATGAGAACCTGTTGGGTGAAGATATTATCTCTATTTCATAATGAAAAAAAAAAAGGAAATTCAGAAGCGTTAGATCCTTTGCCAATGGCCACTGTCACTTACTCTCCAACTTGTTCCAGAAAGGATTTAAGTCAGCTTACAAAACTACATGCAGAATAAAATAAAATGCAATGTGAATGAGAGGAAAGAAACAGGAAAGATAAAAATAAAACCAGGCTTGAGGTTAACTAAAAAAAATCATGCCTGGAAGTTCTGTATATTGGATAGAAATGGGTCATAAACTTGGCTCTGAGCTGTCTGATAACTCCTGGGAAAAGGGAAAAAATACAGCTCATGTCCTCAAGTTCTTTCACTTTTCTCAGAGGAGAGAACTTTGAGTCTTCTTTCAGAATCTTTCAATATTTCATTTGCATACAAAATGAACTAACATTATTTTCTCCATCCAATGAGGAGAAGGCAATAGGGCAAAGGGAAGCTAAAACGAAAAGACATAAGCTTAAAGATAGAAATACCAAGGAGATCTCAGAAGTCCCTTCCCCTTTCAAGGGTCTTCTAGGAAAGGTGGTCCTAACTGCAACTGACACGCCAACATTAACTTTGAATTATCACATAAAATTAAATTATACTCATATTACTGTTTACAAAGGCAAGGAAGATGAGCATGAAAAAAGTTAAAATTTGTCATGTATTTCTTCTTTTCCTACAGCCTGAATTCTACCCCTACAAACAACAAAACAAGACACCTGAGCTCCTTCTCAGCCTCCACCCTGTAAAGCACACTGAGGGCGAGTTGATTATTTCTCAAGTTCAGAGTTGTATATTCATCTTATGGAATTAATTATCTTTTCTGCACCTTCCCCTTCAGTTCAATCTTATCCATTGAAAGAATTTATGAAAAGTGCATTATGGAAATTTTAACTCATTCCAAAGTGTTTGTGTTTATTTTTATTTTTGTTTCATTTTAGGAAACAGTATCAATTTCTGCACAGAATGGGAAGAAGTTATTCCGAACGAGTCTAGCAATGACCATGTAAAATAAAGAAGAAAACCTCTTCAAGTACTGGCACCAGATGGCATAGGACGTTCTGAAGGTAGGTAAACACCACACAGAACAGGCTTCTATAATAAAATTATATTAATAATGAAATTGACCTTGACTGAGCATTTGCTCTGTACCAGGCCTGGATACGTGCCTTATCTGGAATGACTGATGCAACCCTCACACAAACCCTCATAGCAATGGGGTAGGTCCTCTCCGCATCCCCTTTTACACATGGGGGAATAATCAGGGGCTTCAGTGGGTGAGCTCGCCTGCCTAACAGCAAGGGCTTGCAAGTTAAGGAGCTCAGAAGTTGACCCAGGCAGTCTGGCTGCAAAACCAACTTGACACCTGTACCACACTCATTCGTACCATTGTACTTGTCCTTTTCTAAAAGCAGCAGTCATGGCGGCCTTCAAACAGGCCTTGCCCTGTCCAGTGTGGGACCTGCTGCTCCCCTGCCTGCCTCCTCACTGGCTCTTCCCAGAGGGCACGTTCCCTTCAAGGGAGAGCTCCCCACACAGTCTTTTCCTGCCCACCTACCTCAAAATCGGCCACCCCCAGGCCCACCCCATCACACTACCCTATTCCCACCATTACTCTTCTTGCAGTCAGGATGGCCTTATTTCTCATGCATAGCTGTCTGCCCACACTAGGCAATGATTTTCTGAAGGAAGAGCTTTGTCTCTCTTGCTAAGTTCCAAATCGCCATCCCTATGACAGAACCTAGCATGTAGCAGGTGTTCAGCTGAAAGCTGTAAAAAGGAGTGAATTAAATAACTGATAAACTCCTCCTCTGAGAGCTCATGGCAGAACAGGATATTTGAAAACCCGAGTGGACAGTGATAGAAGTGTGTACACTCTGACTGTTCTCTGATGGAGCCCCCAGACCAGGTGTGCCTGTCAGGCTAGCTGCTCAGCTGCGCAGGCGACCTGGAATGAGTCCCTTCCCCTCTCAGTGCCTCAATTAGCTACACGGTAAAATGAGGAAAACACTCCTCATGTCAGCCTCATTCTCATGCATGCAAAGATCTTTACACCCATAAATAATGAAAATATAATTAAGTTACACCATTCTGCCTCCTGCTAAGAAGTAATCAAGAAGTCCCCTAAGCAGCCAAAAGAGATGCTACAAAATAATTAGTGTTTTACCTGCTACAGTGACACTTATTCAAATCTGTGCTCAAAAGTCCCTTCTAATTGCATCTCAGAATGTAATTTTCTGAGGAGAAACACTATAAAATTCCAGGATGTTTATGCTTAAAATAAACTTAGAGCTAAATATATAAAATCAAATCAAAATGGCATTTAACCTTGACCTAGGAAGGTTATGCAGTAAAGAATTAACCTTGCCCAAAGAGAGTCTGGTCTTGCCCTCTGCCTTTGGCCACAAAGAGACAATCGTTAAGCCCCTGGAATGTCCTGCCTGACAGGAGTGTGTTTTTTGCCTGAGGCATTTGGTCACTAGACAGTCTAACAATAGGATTTAGTATGGGGCTTTGGGCTATGCAATAACATTTCCAACATCTAGAGAAATTGAAGACCAAAAGCATTAGCACATTACACCTCCAAGAGGGGCTAGAAGATAAGATCATCCATGCAGGTGGCATGCGATCGGGTTCCAATAAAAACTCTGAACACCAAAGGCTTGGGTGAGCATTGCTGGTTGGCAATGCCCAGTGGATACTGTGGACAAGAGGAGTTAATGCCAGCCCATGATGCCACGAGGTGAGGACAGCAGAAGCTCTATGTTTAGACATCTCTCAATTCTGCCTTATGTATCTCTTTTGATTTTGATCTATATCCTTTTCCTATAATATAAATCACACCCATGAGTATTACCACTTGAGTTCCTTCTAGCAAATTCCTGACCTTGAGAGTCCTCTGGGATCACCTCTAAACTTGTGGTGTCAGAAGTGAGAGTAGTCCTGTGTGGACTGTGCCCTTTCTAACTTTGAAGCTGGCTAACTATACAGTTGACTCAATCTCTCTACAAAGATTAATCTATCTGTTAAGATATGAATAGTTTTCTATATTTTCTCTTTTTAAAGAAACAGTATTTGTCTTTCTTCAAGATGAAAAATTAAACATAAGAGGATTTTAGACTTGGATAAAATGATGTTCCATACATTTTCATACCTTTCTGAATGAATTCGTGTCTTTCTTTTTACTTGGGCTCCAAGAAAATTGGACTGACCAGATTTTGAAGCTAAAATTCAGGTAGCTAGAAAGCTTTTTAAGATCCTTGTTTTGGGTGACTTGGATGGATCAAACAGGAAAAAGCCTACTTGTGGGTGAGGTGGAGAAGAACGAATGAAAGATTGAAGGGAAATCACCATAAAGCTTTGAGTCCAGCCTGACAGAAGGCTCAGAGCCAATGACAGGGCAAAAGGGATGCGACTATTAGGCAAATTGCTGAGTGACGCCAAGGTAAAGGACTAATCACCCCATTGGAGGTCCAGTTGTTGTAACACCATACAAGAAGAGGCTAGTTTGAGGACCTCAGGCAAACTGAGAGAGTCAGGGCAGAAACATCTGTGGATGCGAGTATTTCATAAGAAGACGACAAGCCCAAACACTACCTGAGGGACAGAAGAGGAACCAGGGGGTCCAAGAGACTTGTGAATTATAAATAGGCAGAGGTAGATGGAGAGATTCAGAAGGGTCATCTTGCCTGCCACTGGGAGTTGCAAATAGACTTGTGCAATAAGAAGTGCTCACGGCATTTGGAGCATCAAAGGTGGACCAAAGACTCTACTCACTCTGACCAGTTTATTACATGAAAAGACAGAGAAGTGTGCACACTTTGACTGTAAGTGTCTAATTGTGCATGGGGATAAAGACCTAAGATGAACTCAGAATTGGGGACAGCAAAAGTCACAAGGAGATCAGAGAGGATGCCAGTGAAAGGCAGGCTAGGAGAAGCAGCCCTTCTATGGGTGGTGCTGGGTGAAATACAAAAGGGTCAAAAAAGAAGAGGCTCCCCATTCCCCAGAGAACTTAAAATCCAATGCTGAAGAAATAAGAAGCAGTGCAACATAGAACATGAGTTAAATGATAATAAGCACAATTGGAATAACTAAAAACTAAAGAGCATTTTCCAAAGTCTAGGATGAAACTGGAGCTGTGTCTTCAGCTTAATTCATGCCTGAGGTTGCATTTTTAAAAAATTTTTTCAATCAGACCTTGGTGATGACCTTGAGCAGTAGGATATAAATAACTCCTACATGCTTAGAGTTCCAAAAATGGAACACTAGGCATAAGTGGGTTAAATCAATGTAGAAAGTGAAGGCATCTTAGGGAGGCAGGAGAATGACATGAACTCAGAGGCAGGGATGTTCATTGTGTTTGTAGACACGGTGAATTAAAAACAGACTTTTAAGGACTGAAATGTGATAAGTGCTACAACTGCGGTGTCTACTGCCACCTGGTGTCAGCATACCTTAATTACGAACTCAGTGTGACCTAACAGTTGAGTCGGCTAAGGAAAAATAAAAGGCATACAATGTCACACTTTAAAATAAAACATCCCATTTGATTTAGGACCCTAGTTCTAATGGCAGTTCTTGACAAGTCATTACAAGATGTAAACAAAAATGTTTTCAAGCATGTTGTTCTTTGAAGTAGGGGAAATTGACTTGATTTTAATTATAGAATAGCATTTAGCTTTATATGATTTTTCTCATACACAAACACATAAAGTCTGTACCCCTTGCCTGTATATTTTCTATTGCTTTATAATAAGTGATCAGTTTCCTTTGTAAGAACATACAAAGTCAGTCATTCAGGAAGTTTGTGATCTTCCCCTGGATGCAAGCCACTGGCAGTCCCAGGATCCCAGTATATCCAACACGAAGGTCCTGTCAGAGTTCCAGTGTTCTCCCGCACGACCTCCCACCTCCTACCTCCCAGTACCTCAACAGGAAAGGACACATCTGTGAATCCTCTGGCATGACTTCAATTCCTTACAGCTGTAAAATCCACTGCATGGAAGGAAAAGAACATTTCCTAGACTGGGAATCCCCAGACACTTTCCCAAACTGAACAAGTGAACAGGGTTTTCGCTCTGGTGAATGATACCCCGTCAAGGAGAGTGCAGAGAGGAAAACAGTCTTGAGATGATTGTGGTCTCTAAATGTCTGGGCTTCACTGCACTTCACATTCATTTTTCTGACTTCTCTGAAATGCAGTCCTGCCCTAACTTAAGAGTTCTGCTTTGTGGGCAAGTTATACTTACTTGCAACAATTTCTTCCAAGATGTGAGTCGAGTTAGGGAAAAAGCCCATTGCTGGTATTTCATAGGCACAAGGAATAAAAAACTTTCCCCAGTTTGACCCACAAAGGCATAGCTCATCTCCTGGCCTCTCGTTGTGCCCCAGGCTGCCCAGGGCTTGTCCTATCCTGTGGCCTAAGTCCACAGCGGGAAGGTAGGTTTGATACTGGCTGCTAAGGATCTCCAGAGAGCCTTTGTGGTGCGAGTTTGCCTATTCCTCTTGGATTGCTCGGTTGGCATCTGGGACATGAAGGGAGAAGCAATATGAGGCTGGAGAAGAGAGATGAATATGAGATGAAAAAGGAGAAAGAAGGCAAGAACACACCCAACACTTTTTCTCTTCGAGGTAGCCTACATTTGAATCCAAATATAATCTAAACAACTTCACGTTAATTTTTCCAGGTGGGTACACAGTACACTGCCTCTCCAGCTCCCAGGAATTTCTATAATGCACTAATAAAGGATAATGCAAACAATTATTAAAGAGGGTTATCTAATTTGAGAAGTCAATTAGCAAAGCTAAGACTTGAGATGTGTTATCAATGCATTTGGTTAAAACTTTTCTGCAGTTTGTAACTAAATTATTTTGCACCCAAACATATTCAGTTAGTTAATTAAAGCAAGCTATGCTGATTGAAAAGAACTTAATTATATATCAAATTTTTATGCCAAATTAGCCAAAATGGGTCAAATTGATTTGTGAAGCTTAAAAAAAATTCCCAAAACAGAAAAAAATAAAGAAATATTGATTACTATGAAGTAATTTCTCATTCATTTACAAAGTGGTAGTTTTTCAAGTACTTACACACTGGACTGTTTACTATTAAAAATGTTAAATTGAATAAAAGACCAAAATAAATAGGAGTTATAAACCATAGACATTGCAGGGTGGGCACAGTGGCTCACACCTGTAATCCCAGCACTTTGGGAGGCTGAGGCAGGCAGATCACCTGAGGTCAGGAATTCGAGATCAGCCTGGCCAACATGGTGAAAACCCATCTCTACTAAAAATACAGAAATTAGCCGGGTGTGGTGGTGGGCGCCTATAATCCCAGCTACTTGAGAAGCTGAGGCAGGAGCATCATTCGAACCTGTGGGGCAGAGGTTGCAGTGAGCCGAGATTGCGCCACTGCACTCCAGCCTGGGTGACAGAGCAAGACTCTGTCTCAAAAAAATAAATAAATAAAATAAAATAAACCATAGACATCTCAAAAGTAAAACCTAATTCAGAGACATTGTCATTATTATTTTGACCTTATAAGAAGCATTATCTCATAATTATCATAGAATTTGCCCTGTGGGATTTGTTGTAAGAGTAAGGAAACCCAAAATGGGTAATATTTTCTCAGAAAAAATACTCTATTTGCATTCTCCCTTCCCTCTGTTACAAGACAGTGGTGCTCAGAAAGTTATTTGGGTGTGTTATGCTACTTCATTCTTTGTCCTTAAAGGAAAATACAGATATTTTTTGGAGAATGGGGGGAAAATAAAATAAATTTTTGAGTCTTGTAAGGGCTCAAAAAATGTGTCACAGCCACAGATCTGACTATACTTTTGGGTTCATTTTAGAAATTCCACCAATGATATCAAATGTACCAGCAAAAATTTACATGTGTGGGATGTATGATTGCTGATTTTGCCTTACTTTTTCAACATTATTTACAAGTACAATGAACACATGACATTCTCATGAGACAAAAAACAATAGTTTTTTAAACGATTGCAATGCAATCGTCACTTACACTACCTGGAGGAAGTGTCGCAAAAGAGAAACAGTTGATTTTGAGATTGTTCCACAGATGCATCAGGGGGAGTTTATGTAATCAGTCCTCCGTGATGACATCAGGAGAAAATGTGGACAATCAGAAAGGTAAACGGTGAATCCAGGGGCAAGCTTCTCCATAGAAAGTAAGAGATACAGGACAGCAGCACGCTCTGTGCCAGGACTACCGTGTGCCAGCGCTGTACCCTCCACTGGCCTCAGTCCTCAGAGGAGCAATCCTGCCAGGTAGTTACTGTGTATCAGTTCTTTCGATAAAGGATGTTGAACTCAGCTAGCCACCAGGGCACACTGCTAACAGTGGCAGAGCTGGGCTGGAGTCCAGCTTGCTGTCCCCTTCCCCACGGCTCATTCTCAGTCCATTGCTCCATAAAGTCTCCTACAAACCCTGAGGTTAGGTCCTTTCTGGAGCTCCACTGAGAAGAGAATATCTTTCCACATTGCACCTGGTTTATTTTCTTCTTCTGCCACACATGCACTTGGAAATAAGGGGGAGAAACAGGATCTGGCCAACACTGGCCACTCTCCCTTTCAGGTTCATGAAGGTGCATCCTCCTGTTGGACTGTGAGATCACCAGCAGAGGGCAGGGCAGGCAGAATTGCCCAGCTCTCCTTCCTGAGCTCCTCTGCCCTTTCCAGGAAGAAGTGGCCCACTGTGGAAGGGCACTCTACCATGACACAATGACACTGATCAGGAGAGCACAAGCCTACTTCCCACCACATCCTGGCCTCTAAATCTCCATGCACAAGGATCCCAAGAACATTCTCATGAGCTGCCCAACTCAGGGCATCAAGCCCTTTACACAGCTAAGCATCCTCCATTGTAGATGCTGTAGAATCATTAAGGGCAGAAGGGGAGCATTTGCCTGGCCACCTAAGGAATCCAATGCTCTTTATTCATAAGTGCCCAAGTCATCATTCGTAACTTCTGTTGAAGCGCTCATCATATTTCTGTTGCAGTCCAGAAATCATAACACTAAATAAATCACCGAAGGCAAAAAGCATAGAAATTCAAAAAAGAAACTAATCTCTTCAGACCTTCTCTCCAATTTTTGTTTTCAATACATCCCTTTGAAATGGGATAAAAATCAAAGGTGTAGGCTGCTTGGCCCTGGGAGAAGCACAGCCTTTCCATTCTATTTTAAGCAGAGAAGGGTCCAATCCAAATTTGCAAACAGGATAGAGGAGCTTCCAAAAGAGATCTTACTCTTCTTCATTACTGAATTAATCACGGAAGAAATGATGGCAACAATTATAGAGCGCTGACTATGTGCAGGCATTGTGTTAAGCACATGCATTCATGTTCATAATCTTACTGAATCTGGATGGCGACTCTTCAAGGTAGGTTCTTTTATTATCCCCACTTCACAGATAAGTAAGGTGAGGTTTAGAGAGCTTAGGTCATTGTTTTAGGTTGCATAGCTGGGCTGGATTTTGAATCCTGGGGCACCACAAAGTTCTTAATTGCTATATTCTACTGCTTTCCATCAGACCTTCAAGTGAGGGTTTTTAGATTCCAAATAAAGCCAGGTTTGTCTATCTAGCTGTTTAACTCACTGCAAAGTCTCACGTTAAGATCCCTCAGTTTCACTAGACAAGAGGTCAGTCTAGGGGTGGTACAGAGAGGAGAAAGAAGGGAACCCAGAGAATTCAAGTTATAACAGGAAAATGGCTTGAAGGAGCTAAACCCATGACTCGGAGCCAAATGGTTTGGCACATACAGCCATGTTCGGGGATTTGTGATGACAGGGACAGTCTTTTTTCCACCCCACTTCGAGCCGCCTTTATAGAACTTTATCTTTTATGTCCAAAGATCAAATAAAAAAATCATATTTAATGAGAACTAGGGGAAATAAACTGGTGGTAATTAAAGAGTAAAAATAACCTCTCTGTGGCTTCAGACCACAGGAGTTTTCTAATTTTAAGAGGCACAGGCAAATCACTTAAACAAGGCCTTTTGGGCTGTGTTCATCTTGTGTTTCCTCCCACACCCACAGTGGTTAAAGTTATAGGCAGCCATAGCTCTTGAACCCATGGAATTGTGTAGTAAATGGAAGTACACCCAGGCCAAACTCATCAACTCAGAAACACAACCTTGCAGTGCGGAAGTCAAATCCAAGTCTCCTTTGTAACCAGTTGCTTTGCGTGGAAGGGGGTTAAAAAGAGTTAGAAAAGGTTATGGAGTCCTGAGTCTTAATAAGAGTCCTTCCTCCCTCCATCCTCAAGCCCTGTTTCTACTGTCATCTGACTCTAGACGTGAAGTCTCACAGTTGGCCAAGATCCAAATAATTCTCATTTTGCTTCCTTATTTTCCATGTGCACATTTGATGTGGGCTAGACCATAAGGCAGACCTAAACTCTTCCTCAGGTAGAATAACCAGACTCATTCAAACACCCAAAGGCAGCCAAGTGACTTGAGATTCCGTTTAGGGGAACCAGCTCTGCCTTGTACTACTGTGGTTTAGGCCAGAATTTGGGAAGCCCTCCTCAATCTTAGAGTTAAGCTAACACCTGGAAAAACCCTGCAGTGTAGCCAGCTTTCCAGTAAACGTGCAGACCTATAAAAGCATGGAATTGCCTGGAGGACATCGCTCTGAAATACTTCTTTGAATTTCCCAATTTGGGACCTAGAATGGGGCTGACTCAAGATGAGATCAGCTCCTGGACAGCAAGAAGATGCCTACCCTGGGTTTTGAGCCTTTGTCCTGCACAACAAGAGATTTCATACACCATGTTCCAAGGTCAAGTCTATTATTGGTCTGCAACCCAAAACCATTCCCCAGAACACTGTACTTACCGGTAGAAAGTGGCGTAGTCCACAGTCGAGTGGCAGGTCTGAAACTCCCAGGATTTGAGCTTTTGGCATTCTCGATGGGCCCGGAGCTTTACCTTGACTGTCCCTTGACACAGTTCAGGCACTGGCTTTCTCTGAGGTCTGTTGCAGAACTCATTGGACTCCACCCTCCAAGATTCAGCAAAGTCATCCACATCAAACTTGAAGTTTCCATCTCCACCAATTAAGTCATCACGTTTATGTCCATTGTAGTTGCCACAAAGACCACAGAGCTTGCCCTTGAGATGCGGCGCAGCCATGACTTCTACAAAACTGTCTCCATCCCAAGATATTTCCAAACCTAGAGGAGGAGGAGAGGAAAAGGAAATCAATCACTCATTAACGCACTAATAATTCCCAAATGTATACATCCTTACACAGAACATATGACTGACTGTCCTCCAATAAGGAGCACCAAGGGTTGGTCCAAATTCTTGGTTACCTCTTAATCTCACTATAGTGAATAATGTGTGAAATTATCTGAGTCATTTGCTGGTTGGAGCTTAGAATTTTTAAACCGTATAAAGTTTGTCCTGATAACATCCTATGTACCCCTGGTTTGACCTACAGATGACTATCCCTTGACATCCTATTCTAGGGTTTATATTTTTCCCTTTTCCTAAGGTAATCATGTTGGTCCAAATCATGCCTTCATTTATCTAATGACTACTACAATGTGCAAATGGAAAAAAAAAGATGATTGTTTTTTAATGCAATTATTTACAGCCAGAAATTCCACCATGTAATTATTCCCCCAATGCCAAAGGAAAATTTCCAAATCATTTCCTATAATGAGAATACTAAAGCAATCAATATTTAGTTTCTGAATATATCCCCTTCAAAGGCAACACTGATATAATGAAAACATTTGCTCCCTCATTATTTTACAACCATTCCTGAGGCATGGACACTGTTTGATTAACATTTCTTGGGGTTTGGGGTTGAGTTGTTGTGAAACCCTTCTAATTGCTATCCCTCAGGCCTCCGTTCTGGGTTTGCTCAAAAGCTTCAACATTTCAGGCGGTGGTGGAGGCTACCAGGCCATGGGCAAGAGTTCTTCTTGTGCATACATCAGCAGGCCAGTACTGCTGGTTCATCAAGGAAATTCTCTTTACTCCAGAATGTAGAGAACTTAGACCCTTCTTGGTTTGCTAAGCTGACTATCTAAAATGCTGAAGAAATTATCTGAAAGTATGCATATACCTCCAGACATGCTGGCCCAAGACTTCCAGGAGCCACACTGGCCAATGACTCTTCTGAATGGTGGAATTTTTATGTCACAGGTAGAACAGCCATGTTATGCTGTCACACAGCATAGATACATCTGACTAGAAGGTCAAGAAGAAATGCTGTCATATCCACTCTGACACTGTGTGTGAAGATACCACCCATAAAAGAAAGGAGAGGCTTTCATGAAAAGTCTTCTGAGGTTCAACCCAAAACAAATGACAAACTTTTCTAGCCAGAGTTTTTGTTTATGTCTCAAATGTGTGTTTTCTTACTGTTCTGGCAACACCCTGGCAGTGCCTGAGTCTCCCCAGTGAATGGGTGAACTTTGTACTAGTGAATGCAAGTGGCCACCTGTGGCATGGACACCAAGAAACATCTACAGTGGATCAAGGTGTATTTCGGCCCTGGGACTTCTCCTAATTCACTCTCTGTCTCCAAAGACTGGCACCCACAGAGGAAGCTTCTTTTTAACAGAATGGTCTCTGCCCACTTACCCCGTGTGGCCATGTGTTTTGTTTGTTTGTTTTTTAGACAGTCTTGCTCTGTCGCCCAGGCTGGAGTGCAGTGGTGCGATCTCAGCTAACTGCAACCTCCACCTCCCGGGTTCAAGCAATTCTCCTGCCTCAGCCTCCCGAGTAGCTGGGACTACAAGTGCATGCCACCATGTTCAGCTAATCTTTTGTATTTTAGAGACAGGGTTTCACTGTGTTGGCCAGGCTGGTCTCAAACTCCTGAGCTCAGGCAATCCACTCGCCTTGGCTTCCCGAAACACTGGGATTACAGGCGTGAGCCACTGCATGCGGCCTTTTTTTTTTTTTTTTTTTTAAATCTTTCCTCTTGTGATCCTGACAAAAACATTTTTCATTTTGCCTGTTTTGAGCTGCTGGAAAGAGCAAAATGACTTTCCTCCTAAAAGGCTTTTTGTTCCTGAAAGATCAAGATTAAGCTGATGAGCAAATGTTCAGAAGTTGGAAGATGAGGTGGTGATGGGACAAGAGAAATAGTGGGAGGGAGTGTGGGAGGGAAGGAGAGAGAGAGAGAGAGGATCTTGTCTAGATATGAAATTGGCATAAGGCAGCAACATCAGAGTGATGTGTGGAAGATCAGGAAGAAACACCCAGAGGTAAGACTCCTAAGCCAATACACCTGAAGTCTGGATATAGTCCAAGAGGAGAGAAGGCTGACAGATAGCATTCCTATGAGTAGGTCATACAACTGCCACAAGAGTTACTTCAAAGAGAGATACTGGTAGAATAACCCACAGTCTAAAACTGGGTTTCTCAAGAAATAAATGGAAAGACCCATAAGGAAATCACTGTATGGTCAATGGAAGAAATAGAAACATTCTTAGACCAAAAAAAATTTTAGAGATTTCTTGGTTGAGAGAAGAGTCTGAGTTCAGAAAAGAAATTAAACAGACTTAGATAAAGAAGAAAGAGAGCCATAGGAAAGTCTCTTTGGGGAATAATTTGATAAGGAGAAGACAGTGATGGGACCAGGTATGAGAGAAGGGACATACAGCTGGAAACCCACAGGCTGGGCTGACCTCCCATGTGGATCTCTGTGAGAAGACCATGTCAACTCTGGCAACTACAACTATCATAGAAAACGAATTCTATTTCTTCACACCCTATCATCCAACACGTTATATAGCACATAGTACGTACTCAGTAAATAAATGAATTACCCCGGTAACACTGATACACTCAATCTGTGAAGCCAAAGACATTGTGAGTTTCATGCTTGTCAAGACACCGAAATAACCATTTTGAAAGATGACAAGCAAACTATAAGATGATTTGTAATACACTCTGTCAGGTATTGAAGAAACTTGACCTCACAAGCCTGTAGCTAGGCAGCTGCCCAGCAAGAGAAATGAGGGGAGAAAATCAACTCCATACAAAGTCTAACTTTTACAGCATAATTCTGAAGATTTTCCATGTTGCAAAATTTTCCAAACTACAAATCTCTTTCCTAGACAGCAGGCAAATACTGTTCTTCTAAGTACCACAAATGGTTGAGAATGTACACACCAGGGATTTCCAACGTCTTTACTACTGACAATGCTATACTAAATTTGAGACTTGGGGCAACTGAGTTCATGGGAATTCAACTCACAGTGAATGACTGTGTTCTTTCTTTGCAGTGGACTGGTGGTCCATACACTTTGAAAGATGCAGATCTGCCGTGTTTCCAGTAAACCCTTCTCAAAACTCGTGACATCTCATTCATAAAACACGATCCCCAAAGTAAGAGAATAATTTGTAATTCACTCTCCTGTCTTCCTCTTTCTCCTTGCCATTATTACATTAAGAAGATTTTTCACAGACCAATGCTAGGCTTTGCATTGTGAAGGGATGACTTACTCTACTACAGATGCCCTTGTCTGGCTATATCATCTACATATGCATTTGCATGGATATTTTTACCCTCTACATGAGCAAAATCCATACAAAGTAGATTACAGTAGTGAAAGACCAAAAAAAAAAAAAAAAAAACTAATAAGTTGTAATTGAGGGAATTGCTCTTCCAAATAATATTTTAAATAGGCATCTTATGAGATGAAAACATCATGGAAGGGTTTGAGAGGCTGATGATAGTCCTTCCTGCAGCTGGGATGAGTTTCTCCATTCTCTGCATGGGAAATTGGGTAGAAATAACTGGCAGAGTCAGAAGGCTAAAGCTGAAGCATATGTCTCATCTGGGGATGCGAGCAGCAGCCACATTCCTTCCACTGCAGGAAGGGCCTTCCAATTTTCCCTTCTTACTAGTGAATGCTTTACCAACTTGTTCTTCCCCCTTCAAATATGTGACCTAGCTCCAGACCACTAGTTGGGTTTTTTGTGGTTTTTGTTTAATTTTGTGGATATTGTTGTTTTGCATTGTTTGTTTCCTGGTTGTTATTGTTGCTTTTGCTGTTGTCCACTGAGAGAGAACGTGCAAAAAGGAGAGAGGAGGTGCAAAATTTGTAGCTATACCATAGTGAGGTTTACAAATTGATAGTTTTTCTATTCAAATTTTACACCAAAGAAAGGGGAAGGTAGGATGTATTCTCTGGGTTCATCAAGTGTAAAGCTCTACCAAAAATAAAGTAAAAAGCCATGCTCTCCATGTGTTAATGCTTTCAGGTAGATGTGATGTAATTCTTTCAGGTAAAGTTGATGAAGTGAACAGATGGTAGAAAGGAAATATTTTAAAATTATTTGCTAAGTGTCAAGAGTTGGGGTGGGAGTGTGTGGTGGAAGTGGACAATGCTCTCTCGAGCTACTAAGCCTTAGTTCTACCCTGCTTTTTATATTAGCTACGCAACTACAGCCTAATTCCACCCAAACTACACAGCCACCTGTGTTACCCTGCCAAATAATCCCATCGTAAGTGCGGAGCACATAAACCGCAGGGTCAAAGAGTCATTCCTCCCATCTCCCATCTTCCAGCTGCAGGCTTGAGTTTTTGAAGAAACTTGCTATTTTGAAGAAAGTGCCCCTTGATCACATGAGCTTATAAATTTTTTTTTAAATCTATGGAAGAACACTCAAAGGAAATGCTGTGATATTTCAAATACATAATCAATAGGTGGTAAAAAGATAATATCCCTAAAGGGTAGTTCAAACTGAGATGGAAAGACTAGGGTGGAAAACACCATTGTCTGGAAATAGAATTGTTTCATTCAAAGAATAAGTGTAAAGTAAGTTCAATGCCCAGAGGAATAGAATTCTTCTCTAGGAAGCAGAGGGCTTGTGTGATTCGTGTGCTACAGGAAATTGTTCAGCTGGGTATTGAGTTCCATGAAAATTACTTGCATCTTGGAAAGAGAGATAGAAAAAAAAAAGAAATTGTAAAACTGAGTTCAAGGCACAGAACAGTTAAATTCACTAATCTAATTATGGCATTTATGATCTATTATTATTCTCTTAGCCTCATCCTTTTGCTCATTTTTATAACATGGAATCTTTGTAAAGAGTACATTTATTCCATAAGGTTGTGTCAGCTGCGAATGGAACACTATCGAACCTCTTAGGCTGTTAGTCATCTTCAAGTACTCAAGATTTCTTTGAGAACTAGGCTGTGGTTGACTAATAATTTCCATATCAGTAGAATCTATTGTGTTCAGCTAGCTTGCAAATAGTCAAGGTGCTTTTAATTAGTGCTGTGTAATAATGGGTCATCTTACGCACATTTTACAGGGAGCCAAAAAACTTTGCCTCCTTGAAAGGAATGTCCTGGAGCCTACATTTACAGAGCGCCATGTCTTTTGGATATAAGAGCAGGTGTGTGAATTTTCTGAGCAGGACTAATCCCGCTAAACTTGAATGAGTAGATCTCTCACAACTGTGAAATAAAGAATAGGAATCTTTTCCCCTTATAAAATGTTCCAGTATATTAATACTTAACATTCTGTCACTGAAAACATGTCATACTCTAACTAAAAGCTCCCTGGGCTGCTTCTTGGTTTCCTGCCTTAGTTTAGCTAGGCTGGCATTCCATAAGCTCAAATCAACTTATCAAAATACCTTTTGGCTTGAATTGAAGTAATTGCCAGGGTTCTGAAGGTATGGTAAAAACAGTCTCTATAGCCCCTGAAAAGTGCCTGCTTTGTCAAATGTTTCATTATCTAAAGAAACGGGAATCCAACTGATACTTTCACACTTGTTAAATTCTTATCAATGCAAACAGCAAGAAATACACTGATTTCCTTAGAAGTATCATGCTTTAAAAAAATAGAGTATGCCAAAGGAAAGGCAGTGCAATATCCAACTGACAAAAGATATATATTAACCAAAGGTAGCATGGAAGGAACCATACATGATACACAAAGTGTGAAAATGAGCTGAATTTATGCTCTGGGGCTGATATTCAAGGACTGAGTTCTGCTTCTAAAATGCCTTTCTTAGGTAGCAAGTAACAGACAAGAGTTTGAGCCTCGTGGACCACTGGCAGTCAAAAATAGTTTGGCCCAAGGGGGAATATATGTGCTCTTGGAGTGGAAAGGCAGAGACCAGTGAGCCTACAGCACCATGCGCTGCTGAGAAAGAAGGGGCCTCGGTGGCATAGAACAGCCACGTGGAATATGGCTACTCCTGCATACCAGAGTCTGCCAAGAACAAGCCCTTCTGCTGTGGACATTTATGTTTCTTTTGAACATCACTGATACTAAGCTGTTTACTTTTGAGGACTCCGCTGCAAAGACTTGGACAGATGCTAACATAGAAACACTATTTCTCCCAGATGTGAAACTGCACATAGCTAGCTGAGCTGGGAGACACTGACAATTCCAAGCTGGGCATCGACGGCCTAAAAGAGCAACAAAACTTGAGAGAGGGGTTATGTGGAGAGTACAACTGCTATTTTTAGACAGAGGATGGAAAGGTTCTGGATGTGGGAAGATTGCAAGACTGGTGGGACTGGCATCCAATTGCAAGACTCCATACGGTCCGAATGTCTCCAGCTGTTTGTGGCATCTTCAGGATGTGACTTCCCTGTGAGTGGGGATGAGGCAAGTCCCGCAGTTGGAACCTGGCTCTGCCTTGGGTTTTTGCTCGGAGGAGGAACCACATCTCCTGAGTGCTCTAACCGAGCAGTGCTGCTGAACGGGTAAGTGAGGCGGAGGCTAGAGCAAGAGGGAGGCCACAGACGCCCCACCTGCTTTGGTGGTCACTTTCAAGAGGTAGCCATCCAGGTCGATGTGGAAGTGTGGCGCGCGGCAGGGGAGCGCGATGCGCGAGCCGTTCCAGCGCACGGTGAGGTGCTGCTGCAGGCTGACCCTGCTCTCGCCCAGCACCAGCTCCACCGACTTGGTCCACGAGAAGGAGCGTGTCCGGCGGGCGTCGTTCTTCACCAGCACCTGGAAGGGCGAGGCAGGGGAGGAGCAGTCTTTTGTCAAAACGTACTGACACGTCCCCTGAAAGTTAAATGTCCGACCGTCAAAAGTGTTGTAGTGGGGATCTCCAAACACCGTGCAAACGCCGGGCTCTGCGGAGGAGTGAGAGACAAAAGCCGGGTCACAAACCAAGCCAAGGATTCACAGAGAAATCAGGGGCACCTGCTGGGTAAGGGGAAGCCTTAGCAGAAATGCACTAAGGGAAATCAACTTAAAAAAAAAAGTGGTCGTTTTTAAAGGTTCGTGTCAAACCTCACAGAATACTCAGAATACTTCTGGTTCTTTTATACTTGAAAGTCATTTTAAAACCTCTGAATTTTCAAAGCATGCCTATTTTGTAGCCTAGATATGCTTCCATGATCTTAACGTAGGGAATGAAGAAACTGAACTAAGATAACTAAGAACTGGCCTTACTTCACCACCCACACATACAAGAGCAAAGTAAGTATATAAATAAACAAATGGGAGCAACATCAATGTCAATACACCAAGACATTAGCATGATTTTCATTTAACTAATTCAAAAAAATTAGAAACATGGTGTGCTGAATGTTTCTCATGCTCTTAAGGAAAGCTGATACTCAACACCCGTGTATTTACCTAGGATAAATCAATAGAACTGCCAAACAGACACGAGTTTAATAGTATCAGGAAACAAATTGCTAATAATATTTACAGATAGTCTTTATACGTTTTCCAAAAATTCCTATGTTTTGATCTAAGGACCATGATCTAAAACTGGATGAAAAATAAGTTACGAAATATAATTTAGTACAGTTAAGACATTCCAGTAAAGTCATCATTCTGAAATATCATTAATTCAAATACTTATGAGATCAAAGTAAAGTTTTACACTTTAGGGCAGCCCTAAGATTTCTATAGAAAATTAAATATTGTTTATTTTTTAAAACAAATCTTGGCGTTGGTTTGTTCTGCATGTAAATATATTTTATCCGTTTTCAAAAAGGCATGAAACAACCAGGAAATGAGGAATCCATTTAGAGATAGTAGCCCAAATAATTAAAAAAAAAATAAAAAGCACAATTTCCAGCCAACACTAGAATAATAGCCAGATCAAGAATAATAACCAGAATAAAAATACTAGGTCAAGAATATGAGAATGTCATATAAGTAATTTCTCAGAATATCTAAGGGAAGAATTGAGTCAAGACAGAGGAAGGATGTGCCAGCTGATCTGATAGCACCAAGGGGATCCAATGGAAACATTTGCTTTTAATTTCTAAAGTGTTTGGAGTGTAATGTTGCTTTATGTTATGATATATTATGTCATTTTATATGTCAATTTCATATGACTCCATACAAAGCACATACATTTGGAACTTAATAAATTAATTTCTTGTTCTAAATTAGTTTTCCTTGTCAATATTTAATAGAGAGTATAAAAGAAAAAGTTTTGGCATTTATGAGAATTTCAATGAACAAATACTTGAAAGAATATATAAAAGGCACTCCTCAGGGTGGAGGGTGGAAGAAGTAGGTGGGAGAGACACATTTTGAAAGCTCAGCAGTAATACTCAAATTCACCCTCCCTTTCTGTTCCTTTCTTATTCCTTTCTTGGTCGCTTTTCCTTCTGACTCCAATTTTACACGGTGTGTTGCTTCACATTTCACCCTTTTCCCACCTTCCTAACTCCATATCTTCTCAACTAGTTCCCAGCTATCTAACCTCTTCAGAGTGCATTTATCAGTCCTTTCTCCATGTGATTACTTCCAAAATCATCCTATCCCACATTTCCCCCAACATTCTCTCTCCCTGGCCATGAAATGGAATCTCTCCCTGGCCATGAAAATGTTGCTTTTTGGTTGAGGGAGAACAAGGCAGTTCTTTGGGACCCCAAGTGGCATCAGGAGAATGACAGTTCGGAAGTAATACCAACATGTGCCACAAAAGGACTACATAGTAACCTGATGACCAGATGCACCCAGTTGAAGAGAAGGACTTTTCCAGGTCCTTAACTCCACCTTCTCAGCAAGACTTCCCAGACCAACCAACGTTTTTGAGCTTTTGAGCATGCTACAGATGGACCTCAGCTTGGAAAGGCCAAGGTACCTCCTAAGGTTTTGAAATTATACTCCTGAGGAAGTCCTCTCTCAGTGGGGAGCAGGCACAGGGAATGCCCACAACCTGCTGCCCACACTCTCCTGTGGCAATCTTCTCCTTGTACCAGGGACACCAATTACATTAAAATTATCATTAATTAAAGCACTAATAGCTAACAGTTGCAGAAAACTCATCACATACCCTAACGCTCTTCTACATGCCTGCTGATCATGGATGCATCATCAGAAAATTGGTATTCAGATTGTCTCCCAATATTAAACAAACAGCTGAGCACTTTGTAATACAATCCATAAAATGAACTATGATCTAGTCACTGAAAAAGTTTGTGAATAATCTTCATGACTGAGGAAATGCTTATGACATGTTAAGTGAAAAATCAAGGACAAAATTATATGTACAGGATAATTTTAACTATGTTAAAATTAATATGCACAACCCCCGCCAAAACATACACACCCCAAAATTGAAAACAGTGGTTATTCCTTGATGGAAGAGCCATAAGTGACATTACTTTCTTTCTTATGCTTTTCTGTTTTTTATTCGTTGTTATTTTTTGTTTTGTTTTTTAGAGTCAAACTGTGGGCACTTGTAGATAAGGCCAATTACATGACAAAGCAAGTCGTCATAGAAGCAGCAGAAGATCTACTGCCTCAAGTGACTCTGGGGAAGCCTGAGCTTGCTCATAGCTGGGCGGGAAGCAATGGAGAATGTCCAGGGAGACTCTGGGCAAGGGAAATCATGTGTGAACAGGGCTGTCAGGAAAGATATTTTTCAAGAGGCCCTAACTTATGGAAGAGAAGGGTTTGGAAATCGGGATGATTTTTCTGTTTGACAGCAATATTGAAGAGGCCAACAAAATATCATGACTGTGAAGATGCCTGAAAATTATGTGTTGCATTTGGGGACATTTGTATCATGAACTAAAATAATTTTGAAACCTTGGCCCTTTTTCCTGGCACCTCAAGGTCCCTATGCCAGATCCTGCAGGCGCAGTGAACTTGTGCACTAGAGAGTGTCTGCAAGTGAGAATTCTCAGTGTTACAAGAATCTGCCTGGCTGCAAAAGGAAAAGGCTCGAGAACACTTAGGGGACAGAAAAGAACACAGCATCCTCATATAATTTTTTCCAGTGGACCCAGTGAAATGAGCTTCAGTCCAACACGTCCAGATGTCCAGTCACACTCTTCTGGAAAGCCTGGCGTGATAGGCAGAGGGAGGGAGGCTACAGAAATAGACCATCCTGAAACTAACCTTGTTTGAATATGCGTAAGTCAGAAGATGGGGAGAAAGATGCCAGCTTATGACTGGTGGCACATTTTTGCATAGTCCTGTAGGTCAAATCATTAGATCTCATCTTTGTTTTGAGTTGTTTTCAACATATGGATACAAATGCACAGGTAAAGGGGGGTAAAAAAGATCAGAAGTGTACAAAACCAGACAATAGGAGTGAGTGTTTTTTCTCTAAGGTAATAGAATTATGTGTTACATTTCTTTTCCTCTTTCTTGTTTATGTGTATTTGCACTATTATTTACACTTACATTTCATTGTTTACAATGACTATGTATACTTTTGGAAAAAGAATATTTGCTTTAAAAGTTTAAAAAATACTGGATTAAAGACATACCACTTTGATGTTCCATACCTTAATAAGATTGCTATGAGAAATAAGAGTGACACTGCCTCTGAAATTATAGTGCCAATACTTTTCTCCTAACCACATCAGGTACATTTATTTATGTCATGGATATATTTATTCTAATGAAATGCCTTTCTTCTGAGAGCAGTGATTATTTTCAAAACATCTGTCAAAGAAAATTAAGGGAAAATTATACAATCACATGTTCTAAAAAAAAAATAAGAGAAACTGAGTAAACTCTAATCCTACTCCCCCCAAACACAACAAAACAAAAACATAAAAGCATAAGGAAGGGGGAAAAAGCATCATTCATGTTTCTGCCAATAAGAAACAGCCACTGTTTATAATTTTGTGCATGTATTTATTTGAACATAGTTACGATAATTCTGTACATGAAATTTGATTTTCTATTTTTTACTTAACATGTCGTAAGGTTTCTCCCGTCTTTAAAATGTTTTTTCACTTTGAAAGCACAGAATGGAACTTCTATCCTTAGTCCATTACTTCAGCAAAGAGAAAGGTCTCTCCAGCTCATCATACTTTGCTACTACACGGATCACTGCATTTCCAGAAATAATGCTCTAACCATGAGGAAGCCCAACACATAAAAAAACACGGCTTTAAACCTTTTCAGTCCAAACTGCAGGGAAACAGGCCCCACGAGATCACTGTGTCATGCAGGGGCTCCAGGAATCCCAGAAAGGTAAGCGTCGTGATGATGCCAAGCTTGAGTGAAGAATCAGGAAAGGCTGTTTGTCTAGGCCCTGCCTGAACAGTGATGGAGGCCTCTGATAGAAAGAGGCTGTGGTGCAACCCAGAACGACCCGAACTTCTCCATTCAGGAGCCCCCCATCTTGCACAGAATGTCACTGACAGCTATTGGCCCAAAAGGGACCTAAGGGTCAGCACATGATCCACCACGTGGCACCTGGGTGCCTTCCTTGGCCTCTTAAATGGGAAACAATCTAACATGTATGGGGGTGGGGGTGGAAAAGAGAGGAGTAGGTCACTTTCCACCAACCTGTAATCCACCAGAAATAGTAACCAATCTGTATATAAAAAACTGATTTCAAGAAATATTGTGTAGGTACATTGTTAAATGTTATGAATTTGCTTTCACATATTTTCCATAATTCCATGAGCTCACCAACTTGAAACAAAACAGCAAACAAAGTAAGCAGTCCCTAACTACAAGATCTCATCTAAAACACATCCAAACCCACAGCCAGTGCTACCATCCAGGCCTCTGCCATGGAGCCCAGTGCTGGCCCCCCTCACCTGGGCCCTGCAATGGCCCATGCCTGCCCAGCACTCCCTCACAGTTCACAGCACATGCATCCTTCAGCTCCCGGCCCAATGCCAGCTTCCCACAGCAACACCCCTGCTGCCTCAGCCAAAGTCGTCTATTTCCTCTAAATTTCAAAAGCAAAACTGACCACATAGCCCAGATGTTCTGGGACAGTCTTAATTTCAAATACTCTATCTTGTAGTCACACTATGTTTTTCCTTTTAGGGGTCAAAAATATGGTGTACCAAACTCATAGCCTGCTTATGATATATTATTTTCTTCCTTAGCTTATAGTTTTAGCATATTCTTAACTTCTAAGCCAGACCTTAAACTCCTTGTAAGTTTTATGTGTACCCCTCAGTGCCTGGCACACTGCCATGTATACAGAAGGGTCTACAGGTAGACACATGCCTCATAATGATGTTTCCATCAACAACAAACCACATGAGTGACAGTGGTCCCATAAGATTATAATACTGTATTTTTACTGTAGCTTTTCTATGTTTAGATGTATTTAGATACAAAAATACTTGCCATTGTATTATCATTGCCTACAGTATTTGTACTGTACAGGTTTGTAGCCTAGTAGCAATAGGGTGTGCCATTTAGCCTAGGTTTGTGTATAAGTGCACTCTATGATGTTCGAATAATGGCAAAATTGCCTAATGATGCACTTCTCAGAACATATTCCTACCATTAAGCAACATATAACGGTATATATGTAATACATGGATTCTTTTTTTAATTACTCAAAAAGTATTACTGCTGTAACACATATTATGTACCAATAAATGTCTGTTGAATGAATGAGTTAGTTAATTAATTTGAGAACATATTTTGGTGAAAAAAAAATTGCCCACACTGAACTTACTAAAATAGTTCAGTGTAATGACACATACAGCAGGTAACCAAAATCGCCTAATCGATTAACTGAATAATTAATGAATGCTCTCAGAATAAAGAGACTATTAGGAAAAAAAATTCTGAAAAGTCAGGAACATTATGGGGGAACTATGTCTGGTGCCAAGAAAGCTAGCTGAGAAATCCAAATTCATGGGAGTCCAATTTCTCCATTTGAATAGGGATAACCTACCCTACTAAAAATTATTGTTAAAATCAAAAAGCTAAATCAGAATCAGAACAACATGGGAAAAGAACTTACCTCTAATGCCTAATATGACCAAGAGTGGTCGGCAGAATAATGGACCCCCAAACATGTCCACCTCCTAATGCCCAGAACCTGTAACTATGTTATTTACATGGCAAGAGGGAATTAAGTTTGCAAATGGAATTAAGGTTGCTAATCAGCTGGTCTCAAGATGGGCACTTCTGAAAGAGGTGAATGTATTCACAAGGGCCCTTAGCAAAAGAGGAAGGCAGGTGCATGGGCCTTACAGTGTGAAAGGGACTCAACCTGCTGTTTGCAAGTTTGAAGCTGGAGGAAGGGGTCAGGAGCCAAGGAATGTGGGCTACCTTCAGAAGCTGGAAAAGGAAAAAAAAAAAAATCGATTCTCTTCCCTAGGGCATTCAGAAGAAACACAGCCCTGCTGACACCTCGATTTTAGCCCACTGAGACCCTTTTCAGACTTCTGACCTCCAGAACTATAAAACAATGCATTCGTGCTGTGTTAAGCCAGTGAGTGGTAATTTGTCATCTGCAGCCATAGGTAACTAGTACACTTAGCAATCCAGCGTGGCTAGTATAAAATAACTAGTGTATGCCAAGTACCACGCCAGATGCTTTCTGTATTTTCAGTATCCCCTTTCATCCTCACTATCCCCTTTCATCCTCACTATGTCTGTGCACATTGTATATTCATACCCTAATTTTTTAGCAATGAGTTTGAAGAAGTTGCCTTGTTGCCCATGGTTACTCGGCCAATAGTTGTAAGACGGAATCCAACCCAAGACACTGTGGCTTCAAGGCCATTCCTTTCCCCACAGCATCCTGCAAACTTGTTAACTAGCTGGGGTCACAGAGCTCTTTGATAATCTGAAGAAATGTGTAGACACTCAAATCCTCTCAAATGCAGAGGTTCATAGAGACCCTGTCAAAAGACTGATCAATGCTGTCCTAGGAGTCTGGGAACACCTATCTATAAGCTAATTATAAACAATAATATATGATTCTCTTATTTAATGTGTTTCTATTTCATCTCCCCAACTACATTAAATGTTTCTGAGCTCAGGGTCTGTATCAACTTTTCATTCATGTCCTCCAGAGCACCTTCCAGAATGCTAAAAGCTCACTGAATGTTAATATGCAGTTCATACAGAAGATGCATTTTTGCCACTCTCACTATCCAAGAACCGACCTTAAAACATCTTCTTCCCTACTTAAACCAGAAGTTTTTATTTATCAATTGAGAGAACTGTATATCTAAGCTAAAGAGATGGGTTTCACAACTCCAAGTTAACCTGGCTTCCAGCTTTAAAGCCTCCTTGGAGCTTGGCAGTCATTGAGCATATTATTGCTTTGAAGAGTCTTGTGTTTGAATCCTGATTTTGCCACTTAAGGCTTATAAAATCATGCACAAACTACCTACATAACCTCAATTTGTTTGCCTATAACATGACTCTAAGAACAATTACCTTGCCGGGTGATTATAAAGATAGCATTGCAAAGCTGCCTAGAACATAAGAGATACTCAGAGTAGTCATTATTCATTTGCTTATTATAAATGTTATGCAAGTCTAGCAAATAGTTATCTAGTGCTGGCTAAAATGGGGTTGAGTAAGACTGTAATGAACTTAGAAAGTATAGATTTGTTGAAAAGACAATGTAAATTGAGGTAGTCTATAAAAGACATAAAATACAGATTTGGGGCTAGAATGAAGTAAGCCTTCTAGGCCAAAAGAAGAATGTAAATAAAGTCATGGACATAGATAAGAGGGCAGCTTATACAAGAAGAGCAGGAGGCCAATCGCACCAGAGTGCAGAGCTGCTTCGGGAGATACAAGACACCCAAGTTGTCTAAATAAATTGGCCTGAGATTTACTGCCAGCCTGAGAAGTTTAAATGTATTCCAAACAACCAGCATTTCTTGATGTGTTTCCTGTGAAACATCAATCCTGCCTGTTGCTCTGCCAAAATAAGTAGAAATTAAAAAAAAAAAAAAAAAAAAGCTCTGCCGCTCAAATTAGTTTGGGAGGCACTCTATACTCCAACCTCTTTCACCATGCACGTCAGCATATTAAGGGCTCTGAGAATTCTGCAGTAAGAAAACACATTTAAGTTTACTTGACCCAGCATTTCCTGAGTGTATTTAATCACAGAACCTTGTTTTGAAAATATTACTCATCATTATCCCTCAGCACTAGTGTTTTATAAAACAAACTCTGGGAAACCGCAAGGGAAGGAAGCTGGTGTAGGTTTCTGTGAAAGCTAAGTTTGGGTTCTGACAGGGGTGTGCAAAAAGGGGTGAAGGAGAAGAGAGATGGAGATTACATGCAAGCAATAGGATGAGTGTCCGGCTGCCATGGGAATGGCAAGGAAAGTATTTATTTGAAAAACATCACAAAAAGACAATCAAGCAAACCTGATGATTGATTAGCAACATGGGGGAGAAATGCCAAAAGTATGAGAAATAACATTAAGGCTCAAATCTTGTGCAGCTGGGATATGGGGGTGCCAGAATTCAGTCAACAAACAGGGATTGGAAACAGCCATTAGCCCCTCCATCCAACTCCCAGCTCAAATAATTGGGGGAATCAAAGGTAGAAACTATTAACAAAATTCAAATGCAATACTTTGAAAGAACATGTTCTCCAAGAAGCTGAGATCTACTACATTAGCATCTTGTTAAGAAGTGATATGTTAAGGACCTCAAAGCTTAAACAAATCTGAAACCAGAGTGAGAAAGTACAGAAAGGGCACCATGAAAGTGGAGCTGTGGGTTTACAAGATGAAAAAGCAAAAAGTAAAACAACAGATACTTGCACTAAAGAAGGATATGGAAAGTCAGAGAAGAGGGGTGTAGCAATGAATGAGGGCAGAGAGTACTAACGCGGAAGGGAACAGAGATAAGAAGAAAGAATGACAGCATTCATGAATATGAATTTCACATCAAAGGGCCATGCAAAGCACAGCTAATGAGTCATCTCTCCATACTCCCAGCAAAGGTTACAACTGAAGTATTGTAACCTAAGAGACTGAAGAGGTTAAAGTGACCTCATAAATGTAGGTACATTTTTAAAAAGTAAGTAAATACAACTGCTTGTAAGTAGAAGCCACTAGTCATGTATAAAAGAAAGTAACTGGCAAACCTCATATCTGTTTGGAAGTGAACCTCCAAAATGAATACAAATGTAGTCAATAGAGAACAGAGAATAGTGCATAAAAGTTTGGGCTTTGGAGTCTCGTAGGCCAGTGTATTAGCTGACCACAAACTATTTAATTTCTTTCACCCTCAGGCTAATGACAGCTTCTAATTCATAGGAACATGGTAAGGATTAAATGGCAAAATGGAGAGCATTTATCACAATACCTGACTGATATGGACTAATGTTCAATAAGTCGCTGTTAGTTATAGGAGCAATTGCAGAGGCAGCAGAAGTAGCAATTTTTGTTGCTTTTATTTTGCTCATAGGAGATGTGACCTCCAAAGAGGAATAAATCTGCCTCAGCTCTGCATATAGTAATGTATAATTAGTTATACAGTACTTCCCACCAAGTGTATTTTTTAAGTTTCACAGCTTGGGGTTTCTATTGTTCATTTGTTTTGTCGTTTAGCTGTATTTTAGGTGTATCATTACCAAGGAGTTTCCGTCACACATACCCTCAGTCAAAACTGGATACTTGCAATTTTCCTGAGATTCAACATGGCAGCCTTGGCTACATTGTACCAGATGTCTAATAATGAATTCGCATATCTTTTTCTATATAAAATGCATTCTTTTGAAATTAAGCAAGAAACTAGCTTTTAATTGAACTATGTCATAATGCTACACCTATATTAAAAATAGCTTTCCCAAGCAAAAATCCAGGGAGGCCTGTAGAATGAATACTGGATTAGGAGATTTTTAAAAATATGCAAGTCCTCATCCCAGCTCATTCAGTTAGTACTGCTGTGAGTCTCAGTTTCCTCACCTGTGAAGTGAGAGGTCTAACCTCATATTAAGGTCCCTTCACTTACAAATTTCCTGATGCTAAAATGGTGATGAGCTCCAAAGGCAGGGCAACTCTGCTCTTACCCATTCCTGGTGGAAATTATATACAGAGTTATTTCAAGTTCAAAACTATGTGTACTTAAAAAGAAAATTTGGGGAGATCTTCACTTGACCCCAGTAACTTGAATTACCACGAGAAAAAAAAACTGGAAAAACTAGTAGACATGGAAAACAAACAAAATGGAAAACCAAGCCAGTTTGTCAGTGAGCTCAGAGCATACCAACCACCACTTCTCTGTACTTGAGCAGAAAGACGGAGATGCCACAGTAGAAGAAAGCCTGGGGACTTGAGTCTCCATTTCCAACCAGGTGTGGTTGGAGGGACAACACTGTTAATTGGAAATTCCTCTTAAGGTCCTTCGCCAGTCTCCAATGCTTACAAGTTGTAAAGCCCTCCAGACCTTCTCTTCCCCTTCTTAACTTCAACTGGTTATCAAACTGTACAAAATGACAAGGAAGCTAAGGGAAGTAATTCCAGACCAAGCTTTCGGGCCAGCTACCTGGTTGGAATTCAGGCTCCACAACTATCTTGAGCGTCCTTCTTAACCTCTAAGCCTCAGTTCCCTCAACTGTAAAATGGAGCTAACAGCACTATTTGACCACAAGACGGCTGTGATAATCAAATGAAACCAAATGAGACTGCCCAAGATAGTGTTTAGAGACGGCAGATGCCAAATAAATATTAGCTGCTGCTGCTGCTGGTGGGTACTACTGTTGTTATTATTGCTATTATTGTTATCTGTGGATGATGATGGTGGTGATTGTTAATTCATCAAATAATCACTTATCAAGGACTTACTGAGTACTAACACCCTGTGGGAATTGACAATAGGTGGTAGAGAAAAGGTGATTCCTAATAACTTCAGTCTCCTTCAACTCTGTACTAATTTACAGCAAGAAAAATTAAAGTAACAGTATCCCTTAGAGCAGAACAGCATATAAAACAGAAGACAGACTGATTTCCTCATGCTCCTTCCAGCGTGGCTTCTACCGGTGTGGGATCTCCCAGCCACCATGTGTGGTACAGTGGGTTTTATTTGCCACCCCTGTCTGCTGTTTGGGCCTGAGGAACAGTGTCAAGCCCGACTCCAGATGCTGGAGCAGAAACTTCAGTGGCCACTTAGGTTAACACCTCCTTGGCAGGGCTAAAGTCAACACCACAAATTCTTATTCTACAAGCATCTTGAGCTCTGGTTTCGAATTTCCTTGCTTTCCTGAGTTAAGGACAGACTCTCGGTGTTAAGGGACCTGGAGTTGCTTACAGCCCTGGAGGCCAGAAACCTTGCTCAAACACAGAATCACTAATTTGCAGAACCTCTGTCAGTGGAGATTTCTCATAAAATGGGCCCCTAGGTTGCTGTTTCATTATGGTTTTTTTTCTAGGGAAATAAATGAAATTGTTATTATAGTCTCCCCCTCCTACAGCCATTCTGTTAATTGGAGCTACCTGTACGCATCCCAGAGGGCTTACATCAGATGTGCCAAAACGAGTGGCTGTGGTGGGTGTAGGCAGCAGGCAGGGCTCCTAGGAGAGCAGGCACACCAATGCAGCCTGCACACAGCTGGAAACCAACCCTGGGGGGTTTAAAAAGTCACCTGGCAACTGTGAGCCTCCTCTCACCATGAGCTGCTGAAATTTGATATTTCCTGTTACTTCTGGGACATGTAGTTGAGGTTATTTCAATTAAATGCACATCTGTGCTCGGCATATTCAATCAGCCTCAGTGTTATGTAATCGTGAACTTGTGTTTTAAGCTGGGATTCTGATGGTTAGGTCTGATGTAGCTACAGGTACAGCTTAATGAACCACCAGGGACTGGGCATGCACGTCTGGGCTGCCTTTGTCTCTGCTTTTGTGGATGGCTGAGAGATTAATTTTCTCATATACTCAATCTGTCAATCTCAGTCTCTCTCTCTCTCTGCCCCTCCCTCCATCCCTCTCTCCCTTTCTTTCTCTATACACATCTCACATGCACCTTTCTTATTAGTGACAACTTTGACCCTATGTATTATTTCCATGTTAGAAAACAGATATCCTGCCAGCAAAGAATTTATCTGATTCAGGTCTCTGTTGGGTGGTTAGGTCAAGATTCCACCTGCTATTTGCCAACACACAGTAAAACAACATTTTGCATAAACAAAATGCTACACACAAAACAGGCAAGTGGCCTCCCTGGCACCTACCCTGTGCTCATGTGTGCCCAGCCGAGGCAAGTCCAGATTGGCTTAAGGCTAGAGTCTCACACTTTGGCAAGAAACAGCATTTGCAAGAAAGCTTTATGAAGTTTGTGTAGCCCACTTCAAATATTTTGTTTTAAATAAATCATCAAAATCAAATCTAATTCTTTTCAGTTGGAAAGGGAGAAAGAGAGCCTGTTCCATGTTATGAAAAGACAGCAATGCTTTTCATACTTCCCTCAGGTCTGATTTTAAGAGGACTTTTGTTCTCCTATTTTGAGAGAATCATCATTGCTCCTTCAGGCCAACCCTACAAAAACTGTCTTACTGTGGGGAGGACAACGGCATTGTGCCTCCTCTATTATTTCTTACCTACAAAATTGTAAATTACCATTACTGCTGACTGTTGTAAGGAGAGGCCCATAAGAATGTTCTATAGATGCACTTCAAGTTTCCTCTTCGTTACTCCTTTCAGAGATCTGAGACAGCCCCCAAACACTACCAAGATTAAGACTAACCCAGGCAATAAGGGAGAAATTCTGTGGGATTTTAGAAACAGACAATGTAATGCCACTACTGCTGGAAATAATGCAACACTTATTTAACTACCACAGGTAACCAAAATAAATTGGAGAGTATGTGAAGCTCTGTAATCAATCCATTTAATTGACGTATGCATGTATGTGTGCATGGAGGTATTCTTGCCTCCTTTCAGAGAAGGGCTGGAAGTAGCTTACAGACATAAAAAGTAAATAGCTGAAAACACGTAAGAGTGGACATATATGATGAAGTCAGGAGTAAGCTTATTACTCAAAACCTGCATGCTTTTAGAGGTGGAGTACAAATTTATTTTTAGCTTCCTAGCAACAAAAGCAAAGATAGCAACTTTTTTTAATCATTCAAGATATAATTACGCCTTCATAATTTTTTGCAGGGTTAGAGAATTAAAATACAGAAACATATTCAATTAAACTCAGAGGCTTCCAGTCTCACTTTACTCTCCTACTGCATCTAATCCACAGGTGCCAAGGGTCAGTTATGGCTACTAGTATCACAGGTGCTCATGTCTGCATTCACCCATGCTGTTTCCTCTATTTGGAATGCCTGTGGCACCCAATGAGGGGTAACTGTGCTCCCCAGGGGACATTTGGCAGTATCTGGAGATATTTTTGATTGTCACAACCTTGCAGGGGATGCTACTGGCATTTAGTGGTTAGAGGCCAGGGATGCTGTTAAAGATCTTGCAATGCACAGGACAGCCCCACGACAGGATGATCTGGCCAAACTCTCAGTAAGACTGAGGTTGAAAACTCCGCAGTAACATCATGGGGAGAGAGAGAGAGAGGGAGAGAGAGAGAGAGAGAGAGAGAGAGAGAGAGAGAGAGAGAGAGTGAGTGTGTATGTGTGTGTGTGTCCGAGAGAGAGGGAGAGAGTGTATGTGTTTTAATAAGATATAAATTAGTTGTTTTTCTGGCTTTAGAAAACACTAGACTTTTTTGTAGTTTCATCCTTGCTTTCTCTACTCTAGAAATCTGTATATTAAGAGAGCTTTCATAATTTACAAAGGAGGAAAAAATGTGCCCAAAGGTTTGTTCTGAATCCTGAATATAATGACAAAGAAATTTCAAAGTAGGAGGTCTCGAAGCCACAGCTAAAGGACATCAGAATAAATCTACCTGAATGTGTTAAGAAAAACTGGGCATTGCTTAAAAATTGGAAGTCATCCCATCTCTTAACTCAATCTGAACAAATAAGCCTCGCCAAATAGAATGCATTTTACAGCAATGATGGAAGAACTGCTGGAGAGCAGGAGAGAGTAAACAGATGGAAAGAACACCAAAGGAAATTGAGAAATAGCCATCTGATGATATAATTGAGACTTGGACAGAGAACCACATGCCTGGGCCCTTCCAGCACTGACTGACCTGCTCCGCGCAGGTGCAGAGTCACTGTCCTCCCAGTGCCCCTCCAGCTGGGTGGCCTTCTCCCTTGCCAATTGCCTCTCTCAGTGATAGAAGGCATGAGCTCATTCACATGGTTAACACAATATGGTACTTAATATAACCAGTTTAAAGCTTGCTTCTATTTTATAATACCTTTCCTTCCATTTGTATTCTTTTCTTTTTCTTTACGATGTCACCAGTTTTCTAGATATGGAAAGTCCAGCTCATAATGAATAAACTGATAATATAATGTAGATTTTTCTCAACTATCTCAATAATCACCTATTTGATCCTTGCAAAATAAAGTCAGATAATTCAAGATTTAGACTGCTTCTTACAAGATTGGTAATTTTTTTTTTTTTTGACAGAGTCTTGCTCTGTTGTCTAAGCTGGAGTGCAGTGGCATGATCTTGGTTCACTGCAACCTCTGCCTCCCAAGTTCAAGCTATTCTTGTGCCTCAGCCTCCCAAGTAGCTGGGATTTCAGGCACACACCACCACGCCCAGCTAATTTTTGTATTTTTAGTAGAAATGGGGTTTTACCTTGTTGGTCAGGCTGGTCTCAAACTCCTGCCCTCAAGTGATCTGCCCTCCTCGGCCTCCCGATTACAGGCATGGGATTACAGGCATAAGGCACTGCGCCTGGCTGGTCATATGTTTTTATGAAGCTGGTAAGCAGTGATCCTGCCTGACAACAATGTGATTGGCAGAGGTAATGAGTCTGTGCTCATGCAAATTGAAAGAGTTAACTGGAAAATAAGAGGCATTCCTATGAGGTCTGTCTCTGCTTCAACTGGAAGACACTTTATGAGGAAATGCAAACATCTCCATTGACATGGATACAGAGGAAAACTTCATCAGTGTAGACTCTATTCTGCTCATCCAGAAGGGAATTAACTGGAAGGCAGCCTCTGAACCATCCATAAACAAAGTTTCCTCAGGGTTTCTGGAAGGATGATTAAATGTATTAGATTGTACACGTGTTTTTAAATCAACTGGTGTGTTAATCATAGCTAATTTGTCTTCCTGCATTATTCTCTACTAAGTCGTACTTCATTGGCCTCCTTTGAGTTATTTTATGTACTTCATTATCTTTAAAGTAAACCTTTTTTATTAAATCTATAATTAAATTTTCATTAATTCAACCAGCATTTTTTCCAATATGTAACTGTTTAATAGCTCTCTGCTTCTAAAAATAGCAACATATATAGTAGATAAATATTATATTTAATAGTTTTATATAAATACACACACACACACACACACACACACATATAGTGACCCTGCATATCTATTGTCCAAAGGCACTAATCAATTAAAAAAATAACAGAGTCTAGTAATTCTAGTAATATCAACTCTATTTTAGAGAATTGGAAAGAACAAACCTGTGCCCATGTGAAAGCTGCTTTCAGCTGTCTTCCAGACCACTTCTCTAAACATAACTGGCTCAGAAAACACACTGATAGACTTTATGACTTTGTTAATCCTACTTATCATACATGGGAACTAATTTGACAGTGACATTACTAATACTCCTCTTTCAATAAAACACTCCAGGAAGCTATCTCAAAACCATATGAATTTCAGGAGGACTAAAATGGCAGTTTGCTAATAGATCTAGGCATGTGTCTACATGTGGGAATGATATGAAGCTATTGCTATGCTCTGTCTGTATGATCAGTAGTACAGTCTCAGACAGTTTTCAGAATAGGCCATGCTTAGAAGGAACTTTCAAGAATACAGTTAAAAATAGTCATGAATCACACAACAACATTTTGGTCAATGATGGACCACATATAGGACTGTGGTCCCATAGGAATATAATACTGCATTTTTACTATACCTTTTCTACTTAGATACACAAATACCATGTATTACAATTGCCTACAGTATTCAGTACAGCGACACGCTGTACAAATTTGTAGCCTAGAAGCCACAGGCTATACCATATAGGCTAGGTGTGCAGTAGGTTATACCATCTAGGTTTGTGTAAGTGCACTCTATGATATTCACACAACAACAAAATCACCTAAGGATGCATTTCTCAGAAGGCATTTCACATCCTGTTAAGTGACCCATGACTATAATAGGATGGCAAAACCATCAGCCCGATGACTTCTTGTTTTCTCTTTGCCAACAGCAAGACTGGATGCACCCAGGTGACATGGTGATGAGGTGGGGGTGGGGTGAGGGAGCAGGAAGTGCAGCTGTTTGGCTTTATAATGGGAGAAGGAAAGCCCCTCCTAGACTTTGTATAATGTTTGGTTTTACGGATAGCATTATCTTAACCGCGATGACTACAAATGCTATTAGCAGTTAAAATGCACATTAAGTTATCTGGTCCTTTTTAAAACCTAATCAAACCATTTATCTTCTTAATTTCTCATAGCAACAAATTCTGATGGAAGTATCTATATTTGTCTCCATTGTACTTCTGTGGGAGAATTACAATTGACTTAAAGTGACTGTAGGGAGGTGAGATGATCCCATCCTATATATACCTACAAAAATAAAATGTGTGGGAAACATACACCCCTATTTTTCTTGTTGCACTATAAAATGCAAAACAAATACTAATAGCACATTTTCAAAGGAATAAACTTACTTTCAGTGCAAATAGGACAGCATCCTTTTCTGTTGAGAATTTTGCCCTAATCAGAAGAAAAACAAATACAAAGTTACTGTTTAAAAAAAAAAAAAAACAGGGTCTCCTGAGGACAAATATCTTTTTAAAATCTAATACAAGATAAACCAATGAAATCAGTCCAAGCTGTATTTGAACTCAATGCCCAGATGGTGATGAAGATGGTGAAAATGAAGTTTCAAGTATCAGGTTCTAAGGCCAGGCAAAGTCATTCAGCAAGCTTTCCTGTTTTTATCCTCCAAGAAATATAATACCTAAAGGGCTCACTAGTGTGATTTTTCTCACATGGAAGGAAGATGAAGACAGTCTGGACTCAACCTTTTCATTGATACCCAAATCTAGCCCTTTAGAGACCAAGGGCACACACATAAAAATGAGAATTATCTGTCAACCTAGCGAACCCTACAAGACCTTCTTTCTGTCTTTGCTTGTTGGAGAAGCTTAAACAATAAACTGTAATCCAAGCTCAGGAATCATCAGCACTATGGATATGGGCAATATCTGTGCTACAGATCAAATTCAGTCAGATTTCTTGTTTCAGAAAATGGTATGTTATCCATGTTGAATCACTGTTATGCACTCAAAGCCAAGGAAGCTGAGAATTTTGAAACACTGAGTAATGCTTCATTACCTTTCTGGAAATACACTGCAATTTCCTACATTGCACAACTTTTGAGTTTTTTAATGCATGACATTTAAAGGAGGTGACGTATTCTCAGGACTCATATCAGAAAATCAGTTGTCTTATCTCTGACTCAGTGGTTAATCAAAGAGAAAAAGAAATGTAGAAGAAGTTTAACATTTAGGGAGCACTTGCTATATAACAAATATCTTATTCGATATTTTACTTATGTGATAACATTGGGTTAGTGATAAGGATTTAATACTTATGACCTATTAAGATTTAATGAACATTAGAGATTTTATAATCACTGTTATTAAGATGCACAAGAACCTTATGAGCTGAGTATTTCCCTTTTTATAGGTGAAGAAATTGAGGTCATGCAACACAAGAGTAGTAGAACCAAAAATCAAACCTAATTTTGTCTGACCCTAAAGGACATTTTCTTCCCACTGCAGTTTTGTCCTCTTGAGTCCTTTCTCTTGAATATAATTTAATATTTATTATCTGCTATACACTAGACTGAGTGCTATGCATTCCTCATACTTTATCATTTAAATTTCACAATAACCCTCCACATGCAGTTGTCCTTATCCCCTGTTTACAGGGAACTAAGGAAACAGAGACCATGGAGAGGTTGCCAAGGCTCATGTCAAAGCCACATGGCTCACACACTGCTCATTCACTCACTCACTACTGGTCATTTCCATCAAGAGTAGGCTTAAGTACTCAAAAAGAAAGAATCAGATTGACTTAAAGGATTCTGGTTAATTATTGAAGATCTTTAATCAGGTCTGATTTGTTTTTGCATCAGCTAGGCCTAAATGATACATTAAAGGCTTTGACAACTTTGAGTGAGACTTAAAACTCAGCCCCAGCCAGTCATCCCATAGTGTGGGGGCATCACAACATATTTTCATTGCCTAGAGCTCTGCTGTCAATTGCAATTTGGCACAGGGGTCTCTTTTGGTTTCTCAAGACTGAAAGCAGTTGCAGATGAAGCCAAATGAGGTCAGCTCAGGCCCAGGGAATGACGGCCCCAAGAGGATTAAGGTGCTTTATCCCAATGCAGCAGAGCCACCTTAAAGCCAAGACTCCAAACAAATGTGACTACGATTCCCTACATCCACATCTCGGTGGAAACTTCCATCTCTCGTCTTCAGAAAATGAAAGTGGCAGTGATGATATCACTAAATTAGATGGGGGAATAAATCAGGTACAAGCTGTAAAGTCAGAGCACCTGTGTAATATGCAATTAGCCGTAAGACTCTGGTCATGCTGCAGGCTCTTCCATAAGCAGGGTCTAGAAATACCACCCACCTCAGAGGGGTGATGTTAGCATTAAATGAGATTAGTGTTGTCACTATAAAATCTCAGTACGTATTAGAGATGGAGAGATGACAGTGTCCTGATGACCCAGTCCCCACTTCAGCCCTCATAGCCCTTCTCACAAATGGCACTCCTTTGCCTCTGGGGGAGTTGCAGGATGGGGGAGGAGAGGCAGGATTGACAAGGAATCCAATCATAAAACCCTTCTTCCACAAGAAACATTTACATCTGGAAAAAGAGAATATGCAGTAGCCAGGAAAGACAGAGCAGGGAATACAAGCTCCTCCTCTCTATCTCTTTTTTTTTTTTTTTTCCAAAATTTCCCCAGGCAATGTAGGGGAGGGGAAGTAAGTTTTTAACAAGATTTCCATGGTAGATAGAGCTGAGTTATCTTCCAAAGACCTCCTGCTGGCCCCCGAGAAGGGAAAGTGTGAACTGGAGGAGTGGTTGGAAGGAAGCCTAGAAACAGAAAGGTGGCCCCTGAGGCCGGGGCCTTGGCAGGGGCACCAACAAGCTTTGACAAGGCGTGGAGGGGGTGGGTGGGGCAGGGAAAGGCCTCTGCTTGGAGGAATGGATGCCCCTGGCCCAAATGTGGTCCACAATGATGAAAGGCTAATGAGACACCAGTGACATAAAGAACGTTGACCTCCCCCCACCATCCCCTCCCCCAGCAAGAGCACAATGAAAACTATCAATCCAGCTACAAGTGGCAGAATTCAAGTGAAGCTGGAAACTCCACGGCGGCCTGCTGAGGCTAGTTACTTGAGCCACCAGGTTGGCACAGCATCCTGTTTTTGTCTTGTAGAATAAGGAAGCCCATTATTACTAACATGTGCTGCAAGAGTTCATTAGCAGCGAGGGTTCCCGGAGGACTGGCATAATGATGTGATCCCATTTTTCCCAATGAATATTTATAAGCAGACCATGTTCAAGTCTACTTATTGTATCTTCTTTTTTTTTCTTTTATGGGAGGCTTTCAGTTTTATGTCTGAGGCTTTTTAAAGCAAGACTAATTAGGGTTTTTTTTTTTCTTTTTTTCCTCTCCTCTTTATTCAGTTGTGCAATAGCAACAGCTGTTGTTTTTTGTGCCTCATTTGGCAGTCAAGTAAAAACAGCAACTTTTGTTTATAATAATAACAGATGTGAATAAAATTAAAAGCTGTCTATAACAGAGAAGGGAGGACATGTCCTGAATATATGGATATATTTTTTCATTCACGGGAAGGTGTTGAATAGGTTTGACACCTTCCCAAAATGTATAAAACTTTAAAAGGTTTCAAGTTGCTGAGGTGAATTCAATGAACCTCATGCTTTAGAAGATAATGGTTGCTTTATTCAGTGTGCTGGAGCTATGAGTTTTTGAAAAGAGATATTTCCATAAGGATGCTATTTCCATTTGGGGCTACAATGGAGGCCAGGATTAGAGAGAGAAAACTTCAGCAAAGAAATCGGGGATGCCGTGAGGCAGGAGAAACCCCTTGGGGAAGTATTAATAAATAAACCACATATTACTTTGAATGGCTATAAGAGGAAAGCTCTGATTTGAGAAGGGAGAGAAAAGAGGAAAAGGCAAAAGACAGTTACGATGTTAAACAAAACCTGGCAAAAGAAAACAAAGAAAGAGATCTTGCAGGAGTTGGAGAAATTTTACAGAATGAATGGGAGATGTCAATAAGAAATCAGAATTGGGACAAGAGCAAAGCAGAGCTATTTTCATGCAAGGAAAAAATCTGCAAGAAGAATGAGCAAACTTTGCAAGAGGCATTTGACTAGTCAGGAATGTAGAGGCTTTGGGGGAGCTGGAGTCTGTGTTCGGAAGATGGCATGCGACTGTGCCACACACAGGACATTTCTCAAGACGCTAAGGTAAAGTCAATCTGTGTTCCAAACATACCTGTGGGCAGCTACTGATGGGAATGCACTGCTTATTGCGACACTCCGTCCTGCCTTTCACACAAGCACAGATGGTACAATTGATAGAGGACCACATCTCTCCATCCTACAAGAGAGGGCACAGGATCCTGTCAGCAGCTGGAGGCTGACAGGAGTTGAGGCAACAGACTGTAACCTCTCCATGGAGGAAAGCATTTCTTGCCCTGAGTGAGGGACGCCATCATTAGACTAAATGACTCAGGTGTCTGTCTACATCCAACTGATTTAAGATAAAGATTAGTGAAGATTTCAGATTGTGTGCAAGCATGTGTGTGTGTGTGTGTGTGTGTGTGTTCCCCCTCCTGGATATAAAAATAATTATTGTGTGTTTAACCAAGTCATATTTATGTCTTGTTGTCATGCATTGTTTACTTAGTTCCACCCTGGGGGAAAACCAAGCATGAATTTTCATACATGATACAATGACAGAAATCTAATTTTCCCGTTTGATAAGACTAAAATATTTAAGCTGTCCCAAGCACCAATAGTTAATTGAGATGTCCAGAGGTGGTTAATTACCAGATGTGCCATGGTTCTGGCCCATACAGGACATGCATAGAAGACAGGCTAATTCAAATGACTCCCAGTGCTCAGACAGACACTTGATGGGCAAGCCACTGAAAATGCAGAGCTCAGAGAGAAGACTCCAAGTGCCATGGATATCCTGTCCCTGCCTATCTAGTCCTCTCCTCTTAAAATGCAGGGCAGCATTTTGGGACACATTTCCTAGACTAGATCCTTGCTCAGACAGAAAGAGCTATTTGAGGAATTTCTTTCACTCATGAAAGGTATAATCTGTGAATGCCAAATACCACAAAAAGCCCTTGTACCTCTGGAGGACAGGCAGGGATGTGCATCCTTGCTTGTGGGTAAAAAAGATCACAGACAACAGAGTTGGGCTGAAAACAAAACAAGGATTCCTTCCTGAGCTTGCAGATCCAAGCAGCAGATTTTTGTTAAAAACAGAAACAGTTGAGATATTTGATGACTCCCCTGCCTCTTTCCCTTCCTGACTTTTTGAAGCTATTTTAAGGACTGTCTACCCTCTAGTGCCTTTCAAGAAAGACCTAACTGAATCTGCCTTAAAGGACACCTGACTGTTCCAAGTTCTCTGAGTACACATTTCTAGGAATCCAAGTCTCCGTGAATTATTTTAAGCCTCAGTCATTTAAAGGAACCGTTTTTACAAGGTGACTTACAAGTGTATTGCAGCCGGGCGCGGTGGCTCACGCCTGTAATCCCAGCACTTTGGGAGGCCACGGAGGGTGGACGACAAGGTCGGGAGTTCGAGATCAGCCTGACCAACATGGCAATATCCCATCTCTACTAAAAATACAAAAATTAGCCAGGCATGGTGGCATGCACCTGTAATCCCAGCTACTCAGGAGTCTGAGGCAGGAGAATCACTTGAACCCGGGAGGTGGAGGTTGCAGTGATCCAAGATCACACCACTGCACTCCAGCCTGGGCGACAGAGCGAGACTCCATCTAAAAAAAAAAAAAAAAAAAAGTGCATTGCACACAGCACCATGGTGAGAGTGAGAGTGAGGCTATTTCATCTGGGTGTTCTGGAGACAGAGGAGGAGGCGACTTTATATCAAGAGGACATATGAGCATCTCTGAAAGTCTGATGTAAACACAACACACATGCCTCCCCCTTCACTGGGCATGACACCTTATGTGTTTTTTTGTCCTCAGTTGTTTTCTCTTTTTTAATTTTTTTTATTTTATTTTTAGTTCTGGGGTACATGTGCAGGATGTGCATGTTTGTTACATAGGTAAACGTGTGCCATAGTGGTTTACTCCACCTATCAACCCATCACCTAGTTATTAAGCCCAGCATGCATTAGCCATCCTTTCTAATACTCTCCCTCCCTCCACCCTACCCCCCAACAGGCCCTAGTGTGTGTTGTTCCTCTCCCATGTCCACATGATCCCATCATTTGGCTCCCACTTATAAGTGAGACCATGCGACACTTCATGTCTTCTTACTATTCCATCAGAACCAAGACCTCTCCCTCCAACTACTTCAGTGTGATAGGAAGTGTGGCTCAGTGCAGCATGCCTGCAGAGCTACCACAACTGACTTGTTTATGTGGGTCTTGATTCTCATGGGTATCATGAGGTGACAGCTTCGGTAGAGAGTGATTTGACTCCTTCCACCCCTAGGGAAAATGGACTAGATAGGAGGTACTTTGGACAAAGCCAACCATCTTGCATTTTGAAGTTTAAATGGCCATTGCACTGTTTCCCACTTGGGGTCCTCAGAGAATAATGTAAAATACACCTGAGATTGGTAACAGATGGCCAAAAGACAACCTTTTCCATTCAGCTGGGCAGAGCTCTCTCACCTGGCTCAACTACATACACTATTAACATCCTTATCTGAATATCTTCCAAATGAGAAAATTTTTCTTTGCAAAGGTAGCTTTGTGAAAAACTTCTAAAAGCTTCAAGCTGTATAGATCCATCAGGATCTTGACAAGGATCATCACCTTGACAAATGTCATTGAGCATCTCCAACGAGATGAGGTACTCCTAGGTATTCAGGCAGGTTTTACAGGCTTAACATATTTCAGCAAAAATATAGTCAAGAAAAACATCTTTCAGACGGTTGATTCTCTGCCCCTATCTGCACTTGATTCTAACTATAAATGTATATATAATACTGTAATATAAATACATTCTATTAATATATGCACACATATACATTTGTATATGTATATAGAAATTATGGGATAACCCAATCTGCCTAGTGTCTGGAGCTTTTTAATTGTCAGCGTAGTAATACAGGAGTTCCCATGTGCTTGTCTCATGACATACCTGGAAAATCTTGTTGCCAAATTTGCATACTTTGATGTCTTCTGGGGGCACTCGTAGGAGGCACTCTTCACAACAGCCCTCCTGGCCTTGGTCACAGCCACCAGGGTGGGAGCACTTCCTCTTGCAAACCACAGTAGAGTCCTGGGGGCCCAAAGGCAAAATAGAAATTAAAAATGATTTTCGCCTCTACCAAACATCCTACCTGGCCTTCCTTTCATAACTCATAACTATCTGTGTCAAAGTCTGTAAGGTACCCTATTTTAATTTATTGCAATAAATCTTTCATTCACTTCAAATTGTGATTTGTTGATTAAGTATCTAGACTAGAATATCAGGGCACTGTGGAAACTATGGCACGTAACCCCTACCTCCCAAGGATTTATGATTTCACGTTCCAGAGACTGATGAGCCCACTCCACCAGCATGTGGCAAGACCGCCCAGCTCCCCACGAACCACCAGTTTCCTTCTTCCTGCCCTCTACCTCTTTGCAACCTGCACTAATAGTGCTCTCTTGGGTCTCCTCCACGGCTTTATGCCACCTTTTGGAACTTAACGTAAAGGCATGATATCTTTGGTCAGAGGGTAAAAGTTAAGAGCAAAGGCACCACCTCAGGACAAGATTCCTCAAGTGTGTTCTGTGCTCACCAAGGGACTGAACCAACAGTTTCAAAACTGGACCTGGGTTCCAGAGCTCTAATGTAGTGGAGTGACTTTGACCAGGCCACTTACCCACTGAAGGTGAAGAGTTTGTATCATCTGTAAGTTAAAGAAGTGTGATTTGATTTCAAAAAAAAGTGCTCTTCTGCCTATTGTTTCTCAGGTTTACTGTGCCTCTTAAATGTAAAATACCTGGCACATAGAAATTATTATAAACCAACTTCAATTGGAAAAAAAAATCCTTTGTCAAACTGCATATCTTGATTTCTTGTTTAAAAACAAGGGCACTCCCTAGCTCTCAAACAATGCATATTTCACCGTAGATCTCCCTGCTTTCATTGTGTATGTGTGTGTATGTGTGTGTGGAGAGAGAGAGCGTGCTTTATGTACATATCATTAGACTGTGGTGCCTAGCACTATGTTAAGCAATGAGAATACAAATACAGAGATGGATAAATGTACTTCTGTCCTCAAGGAGTTCTTCGCAATGTAAGAAGGGAGGTAAATGTGTAATCAAGCAAATTGCAATTATAATGTGGTAAACAGAACTAGCAAAGGTGTAAAGATAGCAAAGACAAGGGAAAGTTACCTATCCAGGTAAGTCAGGAAAGCCTCTCAGGTTGAATGACACCTGAGATAGGCTGTTGTGGATGAAGAAGCATCTGCTAATCAAATTTAAAGATGGTAATAACATTGCTGGTAGATAAATTGTCCAATTTGAAGGCACAGAGATCTGAAACCATCCTGCATGCAGAAAACTACAATTGACACTTGAGCAACATGGATTTGAACTGCATGGGTCCACTTACACTCAGAAATTTTTTCAATAGAAGTTACATCAAGTGTGCCTGCCTTTCCTGCCTCCCCTTCCACTTCCTCTGCCTCTTCTACCCCTGAGACAAGACCAACCCCTCCTCCTCTTCGGCTTACTCAATGTAAAGAAGATGAAGAGCTTTATGATAATCAACTTCCACTTATTAAATAGTGAATATATTTTCTCTTCCTTATGATTTTTTAAATAACATTTTCTTTTCTCTAGCTTACTTCATTATAAGAATACAGTATGTAATACATAGAACATACAAAATATGTGTTAATTGACTGTTTATATGATTGGTAAGGCTTTCAGTCAACAGTAGGCTATTAGTTAAGTCTATAAGGAGTCAAAAATTAGACATGGATTTTCAACGGTACAGGGAATCAATGCCCCGGCACCCACACTGTCGAAGAGCCAACTGTATTAAATCACATTCAACAGGTTCCTGCACCTGCCATGGAAATCATAAGAAACACTGGATGGGGATGCTAGAAAGGGAAGCTCAAAGCAGACAGAAAATAATACTGATTACTCAAAATGATTGCAGCTTGATTTTTCAAGCATTTAATATCCCCAAGATGACTGTGAATTCATACTCTAGTAAAACACCCTTTTGGAGGAAGAGTATTAATTATACTTCCTGCTACGCACAGAGACGTATTACCTAATCATCTCTCAAGGAACCCATGAACCCAAAGCACGGCAAGCATAACTAAATCCCATTCATGGGATGCCAGGCTTTCCTGTGAGCAAGAGAATTGGGAGTGTGATATGTTTCATCAAAGGCTCAGTATCCCCAAGAGGAAGCTATCTCCTGCGAAATTCTTAGTGGAGAGGAAAAGTCCTGAGGATGAAGGCCAAGGCAAGAAGCGGGTGCTATACATTTAGCATAGGATAACACAAACCATGGGAGGAGGAAAAAGCTTCGGTAAAGTATTCTCAGGCTTAGGAATTACTCCATGTTTGGTGTTCAAGGGAACGGACAGTTCAGCCCTTAACCAACCACCCGCTGAAGTGGTGCATGCTACTGAACAAAGCATGTAATCAAGAACTACTGAGCTCTAATCCCAGCTATTGACTCATAGCTGATATTGAGTAGAGCTCCCCTCTTTCCCTCTCCCGACCTTTAACTATTAAAAACAAACAACAACAACCATCACCACCAAAGTGTATTCTAAACTTGTCAGACAGATGTGATTCATTAACTCACTAATGAATAATCCTAAAGTCCTCCCTGATAAATGTATTTCTTCTTGGTTTCCAAAATAAATTACTGCATAAGTACAGTCTATGAATGTGTGATGTGTGTCCCTTTAAAATTCTGAAGCTGTGGAATTCTTTCTTTAGCAGTAATTAGACTTCTGGTTGCCTTTTGAGAAAAATGAGCAAAGCTTCAAATAAGACATGATACAATAAACAGCACATAAATACTCTCTTCCTAAACTGCCAGGTTTATCTTTGTGATGAACTGTAAATCCATGCCTTTCTCTTCTCTTGAATGTGATTAAAAGCAATTTTTATTGCCAGGTGTGTTAGAGAATTCATCTTGGATAATTAGAGCCAGAGGGCACAGCCGTATGTATTTGTCTGATTTTAGAAAATCCTCAGAACAGGCCCTTGGAGCCTGATTCTCACTACAAGGAGCTAACTTCTTGGTCCTTAGAAGATGATTGAGCTATAGTGTGGGTCCTATGTGTAAGTCCTTGGTGACCTTGAGTATGATTTTCCTTGTAAAATGGCATTGTTAATGCTTCCTCCCAATAAATAACACACCATTGGCTTTGGCTATGGCTGTGATGTTAACACTGAAACCCAAACCCTATCATTGCTGGACCACAGCCTCTCAGAGCTGCCTTACCCTGCAGGTACAAGCTGTGCAGTTATCGTACAGAAATGAGGATCCATTGTCATAAACATCACTTCGAAAGAGGCAGCTCCCAAAAGGGAGGTCAAACACTTTCCTCTGACCTAGAGAGAAACAGAAGCACAGTGTAAGTAAGACAGAATCGGGGATGTCCCATTTTGTCATCGGTGATTCCATCATAGGTCCATTATACATTCTTATAAGACCACGTAAGTCTGGAGCACAAAAATAGAGTCTTGGGTCAGACATGCCTAAAGGATCCCCAGGAGTCATTAGTTGGGATAAAGTTTGTTAAAAAAGAGTTTGATTCCACAATGAAGCTTGTAAGTTCAACAAATCTATAATGTGTTCATCACAGTGAACCAAAATCACTAAGACATGAGCTCCCCTCATGGAGCTCACAGTCTAGTGAAAGGGCAAACTCATCAAAGGCTGTTTCAATACAACAGTAAGGTAAGTTCTGGAAAAAAGACGATCTAGAAACTGTGGGAATTGGGAGGTCAGAGAAGAATTCTTGGAAGATATAATGCCTGAGGAGCTTCTTAAAGAATGAGTAAAATTATCTAAAAATTGGGTATGGGCAGTGGGGGAGGTGGGTGGAGGTAGGAGGAATCAGCATATCTCAAGAAGGTCTCGAATGAGCAAAAGGAGCTAATGAAATATTGTTTGCTATGGTTTGAACATTTGTGTCTCCACAAAATTCATATGGTAAATTCTAATCACCAATGTAATGGTATTAGGAGGTGGGGCTTTTGAAAGGTGATTAGGTCAGGAGAGCAAAGCTCTCATGACTTAGATTAGTGCCCTTATAAAAGAGGCTCCAGAGAGAACCCTCACCACGACGTGACAACAAAGTAAGAAGACACCAACTATGAGCCAAACAGCAAATCTGCTAGCACCTTGTTCTTGGACTTCCCAGCCTCCAAGATGAGAAATAAATTTCTGTTGTTTACAAGCTACAGAGTTTATAGTATTTTATTAGAGTAGACTAAACAGACTAAGATAGCATTTCAGTTATGAAATTACATAAAGGAATAAAGGGTGAAGCTAACTCAAAGGGCACGCAGAGGTACATGTCGAGTGTCCAGCCTTTCATAGGCATAGTATCTCTGTAGAACTGGCTTGGTTTTCCCTAATGTGAGAACCAGATTGGTGAACAAAAGGACCAAAACAGCAATCCCAAATAAAGAGTACAATCTAATTTCCTCCTTTCTTTTAATAATTGAGTTTCTACTCTTTGAAGCACATTAAAACATCTCTGCAATGTTACTTTAATTAAAGACTAAGTTAATTCATGTTCACTGATCAAATTTCTATTCGTACCACTCTTTCTTCTTGTAAAAGATTAATAGCAATTTCTGTTTATCAGTAGGCCCAATGAAATGCTCAAAATACCTAAACATACTAAACACTGTTCTCAGAATTAGAGTTGTTGGAATAACTGTTAGTAGGAGTCAAGAAAAACATGCTGTCTTCCTATCATAGCCAACCTCAAGGCCAGGATACAATATAGATGCAGAACTAAATCATTAGTTTGGTTCTCACCACCAAGAGCAAACTTGTTGGCCCTCAAAAGGTGGAAGTGAGTTATAATTTGGATCTTACATATGGACTCCCTCGTGACCACTGAGTATGATTTCTCCAGGCCTCACTGACTTCACTCATAAAATGGCATCATCAATACCACATTGCCATGTCACTACCTCTAACTATGGTGTTAATATTAAAGCATACAACCAAAAACTCTTTCATGACTAGGCATGATTTAGCATGATGATTGTTAATTCCCCAACTAACGCAGGTATTATGTGCACACCCAGGTCTTAAGTCTCTTGAACTTCCTAAGAACTGACATACTAAATTAAAGGATTATCTGCAAAATAAAAAAATTCATTCTTTCCCTAAATATTCCCCTAAGAAACCCAAATAGGTTTACCCTGAGGCATCAGAAAGCTGTGCACAGCCTGGATCACATAGATTTTGCCCATCCCATTATAATCACTTCTGTCTAATTGCACCTTAGTTTTAGGACATTATAATAAGAAATATGAATGAGCAGTTATTTTTTGTATTTACTATAAAAATGATGGTGAAGTCATTTTTCACTGCTTTAAATATTATCTTCCTCTTAATCAGTCCATCAGAGATATATTTCTGTCCTTTAATAATCTAAAATATCTCTGCTTCAGTTGAGTAATTTTTTTTAATTGTGATAATCTGGTTTGCCTTTTTACTATCCTTTATCTACATGTGCTTCATGTATTTTGTAAGTGGTCTTAAATCCTTGTTGGCAAAAGGCAGAAGATAAATGAATAGATAGATACAGAGCTCTGTGTAGAAGCTTCATCCTCCACCAATCAAAATGCACCTTCTTCATGACTGAGCTCCACATTGTTTCTGCAGAGGCCCTTCTACCGCTTAGAGTTAATGACCCCTTTCTGCATTCCCATAGCCTGTTGCCTATACTACCATTATAGCGGGCAATATTGTTCCACAGGTGGAGGAATGGCTGGATGGGTCTATTGATCAATTGATTTATTGACTGATTGACAAACAGACTCTTCAATGTGCTTATCCCCCTGAACAAATGTGACCAATCGCTTAAACTCTTCCTCACTAAAATGAAAATTTTACCTAAAATTGTGAATATAAAGCTCTTGGAGCAGTGCCTGATATTCATTACACATCCTCAATAAATGGCAGATGGTATGTATTATGATTATTAGAGGTGATATAATTCAAATATGAACCTGGGCTGTGTCAATTAGAGTGCACTGGGTGCTGCTCTGTGTACACTGACCTGTGCTGAGACTCTCCATTGAGAATGAGGAAAACAAGGAAAGGAATGTTGTAATGCAAAAGGCAGAGGTATATCATGTGAATGAACCCTGCCCAAGGGAAAATTTAAGAGCAAAACAGCACCCAATCATCTAAAGTCTAATTAGACTAAGATTTCAGCATCTAGAAAGCATCCCAGTGTTTGTTTGCTTTTTTGTCTCTGTTTCTTGCTGTGTGGGGATGTTTGTTTTTACCCTCAAAGAGCATAAAATCTTAACCTTAATCCCAAAGTCATCATGGTCCAACATAAGATAAAACATTCGAGGGAGTGGTTCAGAGACTTTGTGTACAGCCTGACTTAAGACATTTCCATGTCATTCCATGGGGGTCTAGCCCAACCAAAAAAGAGATTTTCAAGTTTCTTAAAACTTATTGTTCCTTTTGTAGTATGCCTTATAACCATAAATGAACAGAAAAACCTGCATTCAATACAGTAGCTGTTGCTCATATGGGAAGCTTCTGAGTTGACTCAGCGTATCCACAGTACCAGCTTCAAAGCATGAATCAAGCTTACTTATCTTTGGAGCCAGACCCAAATGTCACCTCCTTTGCAATGGCTTTCCTGCTTAAGTGGCCACTGCTTCCACCATGGCCCACAGCATGATGATTTGTGCCACACTGAACTGGCTAACCCTATCCCAGGGACACTGACACACACTGGCAACCCAAACAGAACACACAGAAGTGAAAATGTCTTTAATCAGGCATGTCTAAGCAATTCTGCTTTGTTCTTCTGTTTCACATTTACTTTAAACATGTGTGTGTGTGTACGTGTGTGTAGCAGGTGTATGTGTGTTTGTGTGTGTGTAGCAGGAAGGCAAGCATTGTTAGATGAAGTTAGCAGAAGAAGCCATCAAAGAGGAGAAAGCTCCTAGTTTTAAAAAATACCTTTATTTGTCAACTTGGTCATAAAAAAATAGACTTCATGGTATGGCTGTGCTAATTTGGGAACGAGAAAAATAAATCAACAGGTTGTTTCAGAGTTGAAGACAGTAAACTCTGAAAGAAAGGAGAGAGGATTCAAGAAAAAGGCGTGGGCATTAACGGACAGGAGGCTGGAGCTCAAATAGAAGGGACAATCAGTAAAATTCTCACAAAGGCAAAACAACTAAGACCTTTTAAGAACGAGAGCGCTTAATATCCCATTTTATTTTGTTCAATATGCTTCTGTGTAAAATAATCACTCTTATTGACTGCAAACCCTCAGCGAAATCTGCTCTCCATCACAGGATGTAAACAGACTTAAGGGGAGATGCCTCTAAAAGGACAAAATGATAGAAAGAGAAAGAAAGCAAGAAAGTAGGAAAGTGAGGAAGAAAGGAAGGAAGGAAGGAAGGAAAGAAAATCAAGAGAAATAGCAGGAGCAGAAACACCAAGCCAGAGGCGATTAGGGAAAATATTAGCCCCTCAAGGATCCCTGGAGATTCTAAGGAGGTTGCTGGAGTTTCTATTGTATTTGCATGGTGGCTCAAGCCACCATACTTATTTGAAACTTAATAGTCTGACCTCAACTTGCTCAAGAGCCCAGGAATCATTAAGAAGGTATCATAGGCTGGGCATGGTGGCTCACGCCTGTAATCCCAGCACTTTGGGAGGCTGAGGTGGGTGGATCACAAGGTCAGGAGATCGAGACCATCCAGGCCAACATGATGAAACACTGTCTCTACTAAAAATACAAAAATTAGCTGGGTGTGGTGGCACGTGCCTGTAGTCCCAGCTACTTGGGAGGCTGAAGCACAAGAATCACTTGAACCCAGGAGGTGGAGGTTGCAGCGAGCCAAGATCACACCACTGTACCCAGCCTGGCAACAGAGCAAGACTCCGTCTCAAAAAAATAAAAAAATAAAAAAACAAAAAAGAAGAAGAAGAAGAAGGTAGCATATAAGCAAAAGCCAAAGAACCTCATGCTCTAGAAAATACCCATCATGAGTTGTCCCCTTTCAGCTGGCAACATGCATGCAGCCCTCTTGTGACACCAGGGAAGGTGAGCTGCAGCAGGTTAGAGCTGGGCTCAGGAATCACACAGATTTGTGGTCGGATATCAAATCCACAACCCACTCGCTGGGCTGCCATCAAGGAATCTACTTCCTTTTCAGTATAATAAAATTAATAATAGCACCTTCATTACACATAGGAATTATATACTTAGTACCTACATTTCACAGCTTCTTAAGAAGATAAAATGAGAAAAAAAAAAAAATAAAGTGCCTAGCATGGTGCCTAATACCTATTAAATGTTCAATAAGAAAGAGAACATACTCTCTTTCTGTTGGCTATTATTCACTATTTCCTTCCAAAACTCTCATTTTCTTGCATGTGTTTCTTCCTGCATGGTTTTGACTCTGAAAGTAACACTAGTCTATATTCCTCTATGGGTTTACTTCAAATACCTTTAAAATATGTTCCTGTTAATAGGCATATGCCCTATTAAAGATAGTTTCTTTGATACTTTCTCACCACAAGGGAGAATTACCCCAGGTCATCTGGTGTACCCAGTTACAGATGCAAGTGAGGACAAGAGAGAAGCCTCCCTGGAGGTCTCCGTTAAGAAGCAAACCCTGTACACACCTTCCACTTCTGTAATTAGAAGAGGGAGTTGTCTCTAACAAGCCACGAAATAGGACAACTTGAGAATCTCAAAACAACAACGTGGATAAACACTCCCAGCAGAAACTTTGAGAAGAAATTACATTGTTCTTTGACCTGAAAATAGTAACTCACCCAAACATTTGGGGCAGCACTGTCCTGGGGGTATGTGACTAAGGTGCTGGGGACAGGAGAGAATGGGACAGACTTCTCTCACACATTGTGTCCTGCCTCCCTAAGAAAAGAGAGAAAAAAAAAGCATATTTAGAAAAGTAAGTGCATGTAGATTGTACAACCAAGATATCTAGAACAAACCTAAGGCCCTTCCATAGTATTAGGTCCCTAGACTGACTGCTCAGGCCCATGTGATTTTCCCCAAGCGTCCTTTGATCTTCCCTGTAGGCCATACAAATTGCAGCTGCAAAAAGACTGCCTTTGAGGAGGTGATTCCAGCATCACCTCCTCTCACCCATCACCACTTTTCTTTATCTTTTTGCATCTCAAAACCACCTTTACAGTAGGTATAGGATGATCAAAACTCTCTCTGTTTGCTTGGGATTGGAAACTTTGAGTACTAAAACCAGGAAAGTTTCATGCAAACCAGGATGAGTGGACCATCCTAATAGGTCACTGCCTTCTCTTTCTATCCTGCCAAGCAAGCAAAGGAACGCTTTGGCATTTTGAGACTTTTCCTCCTATCTTCCAGTCACCCATCTTTCTATAGGTTCTGTAGACATCTTCCTCCAGGAAGGCTTCGGTATCTGCCACAGCTGGAAGGTGCTGCTAAAATGGCTCAAGGAGGTTCCAGGTAGATGAAGTGGCCAACCTGCTGAAAATGGATACACTGAAAGCCCATATTCAGAAGAACTATTTCACTGAATTCACCACGCTATCCAAATCTGTTTTCACTAATTAATTATAAGATTATAAAGATTGATATGAGACGAACTGGCAGAGTCTCAGAAACCTATTTGGAGAAGTTATGGAGTCTCTGAATATTTTCCCTGCCCCCTCATTCTCATTCTTGACCCTTTCTGTTCTCCAGCACTCCATACCTCCAACATCCACTGCCCTCCTGGTTTAACCTCAGCATCCCCTCTTCCCTGCCTAAGGATATAGTCTGACGACTTCCCCTCCTATCCCTCACCAGAGGTGCCTGCTTCCCCAGCCCCAGTTAAGTTGTAACTTCATATTCAGAAAGCTGGGGTAGAAATAAAAAGGTTTTCCAGTTGATTTACGTCCAACGGGCAAAGCTGATGTGAAAACTATCCTATGCAATAGAAATTGTTATGAAAATTTATAAATAATTGAGGTTTTCTTTTCTTTTCTTTCTTAAGAAAATCAGTGAATTTGGTAAATAGATCACTCAGCAAGTGGAATTTCAATGAATTCGCTTCTCTGGGATTTGAGCTAGAAACCAAACTAGTACCCGCAGGTTGCTTGTCTTGAGTGCATAATTTATATCTCAAGAGGCCTCAGGAAATGAGAAACTCACAGCTCAAAGAGCTGTGGACCCCACAAGGGAAAGATTCCATCTGATGCATTTCCTCACACCTTCCCCACTCCTTTCTGGCCATAGCAGAGTTAGCCTCAGCCACCAGGGGCCTGTCCGTTCCCATCCCAGCACACTGTGGCCGCCTGTTGTTTCTGTTTTCCCTTCCTGTTCTCGCCATTTTTATTATAACAGTTTATTTTCTGGTGGGGATGGATGAAAAGGGGAGGGCATGTTATATGTCTTTTAAAATATTTGCTATTTTTTTTCACCTCTTTAATGTTGGATTCTTCCCCCAAACCAATAGAGAACATGCGAAAATACCAGAAAAAGCTCTTCTGTTGTTTTTACATTATTTCCGAATCAACAAGAATCACTAAAAATCTCCCCAGAATCCCAGGCTGCTCTGAGATTCCTCACTCAACCCTGCATAATATTAAAGTTAGAGGCCTTTCATCAGACTTCAGGGGCATGTAACCTGAATCGTGGCCAGGCCCTGGGGTCAGCCCCAGCTTAGACATGAAGCACAAGAGGGAGGACCCAAGATGCTGCCCTTAGCTTTTAATTTCAAAGAAATTCATCTGCAAGCAACTTCCTAAAATCCTGAAGCCTCGGGCCACACAAGGTTGCCTATGTACTGGCCTCTTGTAGGTGCACAGAGAATACATTCTTTTCATTCATATTCTCTGTTCTTGTTGGATCAGCATCTATTTTTCAAGCATATTTTAAAATTGAAATTTAAAAAATATTGCACAATTGCAAAAGAGTAACTCATCCAGTGCTTTGGAAAGCTGGCAAAAGATTATGTGTACTGAAGTAATTTTCCTTACAATAAGGACAAAGAGCAAATTTTGCATACATAATACAACTGCAGTTTGTGCTTCCCAAGAGTCCGTTAAAGTAACTTGAACTCCAATCTGGGTTTGCTGGTTTAGTCAAGTTTTATTTTGTTTGGTTTGCAGTATTGTGGCAAAGCCCAAGTCCAGAGGCTGCATTCCAATTAATGCCTCCAAAGAAAGTCCAGGCCCTTCCTAGGAACACAGTTGCAGCTCACAACCTGCTTCTAAGATTTCAACTCAGCAGGGACTCTGATTAAACTATAATCTGTGGCTATGCTATAGGCTAAGAGAGTAAAATCACAGAAGTAAACATTTCTGTTTCTAAAACTGAACAAATTCCTACTGTAAATGTACTATCAGATGATCGCAGTAGCTTTCTGATTGGCTTCTCTGCCTCAACTCTCTTTCACTAATCCATCCTGGAAGGTTCAATGTGACCAGGCCTTCTTTCCAGCATCTATCCATCATTCCATTATTTTATTAAACATTTGTTTAAGGCCTATCATATCCTGGGGATACAGCAGTGAATATAAGACAAAAATCATCCCCTTTAAGGAGTGTATATGACCCATGAGCATGCCCCACCCCTGCTAAGGTTGAGGATGACCTGCCACTTCATCCAGGATAAAGTTCAACCCACTCGAGCTAAAAGCCAATATAATAGAGACCATGTGTTCACCAAAATCGGTTGCCTTTTTCTTTTGACAGTGCTATGCTACACTTCCCAGACTCTCTTGCAGTGAGATGTGCCCATATGACTGAATGCTAGCCAATGGGAAATGGATGGAAATAATACAAAACACTTATAGGTCTACATCAATTCTCCATGCTCTCACTTTTCTCTCTACTAGACAGATGGCCAGCTAAATGCAGAAGGCATCATGAACTTTACAAACAATTGAAAGAGTCTGGTTCCCTGGGTTACCACATGGAAGTCTACCTGCCAGATCCCTGCAATGAACTGTGAAACAAGCAAGAAATACATTTTGTTACATTATTCAGATGCATCGGTTCTTTATTATCTCATTAGCCTACTTTGTCAAAACATTCCATAATCTCTTCTCCAATCTTCTTTTCTCCCAACTCCAGCATAAAGAGAGAGTTTATGGCCCCCAAACATAAATTATGGTTTCCATCTTCGTTAAATATACCTCTTTCCAATCTCTCACAACCCCACCCCCATCATTAACCCCTATCAAAATCCTGCTTCATTCAAGGTCAATTTCAAGCCCCTTCTCACCTGTGAAGTCTTCTAGAGCCTTCAGTTCCTAGTAACCTCCTCCATCTTTCTATGTCTCTGTTGCCATCTATACCCCTGTATTTGGGGCACACAAATACATAATTTTTGGCACATACATAAAGGCTCAATCCTGTAAGGAGACATTGACTTTACTTCCAAGCTAAACTGTCTTGGGGGTAGGGGCCAGTCCTCTGTGCCTTCTATCCTTCAGAAGAGCAATGAAACAAAACCTCAATAAAAAATTAGTGAATGAAAGGCAGAGCTACCACACAGAATGAGCTCTAGAATCTGAATGAGTATTTCAGACCACTTTAACTACAGGATGCTGATGACAACTAAGTCCAGGCATAGTTCTGGGCTGTCTCATCCACTTACCGTTGCGTTTTATTGGGTTTTACACATTCTAGCCTTGTGTTTTGCACATTTTAGGTACTGTTTGTTGGTGTTAATACATCAAAAAGGAAAATTCAATTTCAGCATGTAAAGCTGGTAGGATGCCTATAAGCACAGTTGAAAACTATGTCTCATGTATTTGTTAAATGTTTGAAAATTCCTAAGTGGTTAAAATACATAAGGACAAATGACTGTATTCTTATCTGGTCAGCAAGAAAAGAAATGCTAGGAACTTTCATTGTACTTGTGTGTCATAATTTTCATCATCTGCCTTTCCTTAGAAAGGTAAGTTTATTCTTTAGAGAGATGGTCATTTGTTCAAATTGCATATCCAAGTGCTTCTCTCAAAAATTAGCTATTTTTTAAAAAGAAAGATCTGAAACCTATGCCAAGTCTATTTCCGCTCCTTTATTTTTGTTTTAGATGATTCCATTAAGAACACAATTGCTTTATGTAAAAGTTTACCTAGAGCAGCAGGTTTGTGGCATAATAAAAACCTATCTTCCTGAATATAGTGATGGGTTCAAGACGATAAAACAACAGCCATGTGCATACACGATGCTTCTCCAACAGCTGAGTGCCCAGTGAGACTTGGGGGCTGAAAACCACCTTGTAGCGTGTGATGTGGCACTCATCTCCCAAACAGGAGCAGAGCTTGGCTCCCTAACAAGAGGCTGGGAGCAGAGTAGTGCAGTGCTAACCCGTTACAATGACTCAGCTACACTCTTCCACATTCTAGAGCAATTTTTCCTATGCCAAATTCTTTGGGGAAAAAAATAGAGTTCTCTATTTTTTTCTCTAGAGTTGCTTCTGAGATGGAAGTGGGAAGAAAAGAGAGAGAAGTTGGAGGGGGCAGTGTAGGGGAGAAATACGTCTTTAGTGCAAAGGATTTAAGTGTGGTCCATAATCTTACATCACATCAGCCTGTAATGAAAAGTTGATATGTGAGCAAAGCAACCAGTCTGAATTACAAATTGGGTCAAAAAGCTTCACCAAAAACCATGAATGTCCTTAGCCATGCCTTACTTTGGCCTAGAACTGTATCTTGCTAAGTTTACAGAGCATGACACTTAACTTCCTGGAGTAAAGATTTTCAGATTTGGTTTTCCCTGTTTTTGGTCTGCAAAGAATAGTCTAATCTACAAATCAAAGCAGAAGAGTGACAGCAGATGAGGTGGCAGACTGAGGGGACAGTAGCAGAGTAGACAAGGGGAGACAGGACACCTCCAATAGGTAGTGAGTGACAAGCCTGGGTTGTGCCAGGTACTGTGCTTAGGTACTTTTATCATTTTACGTAAGTCTCCAGAAGACCCTGTGGGCATGCTTTTGTCACCCCTACAGCAGAGAATGAGCCTCTAAGCCTTAAAGAAATTGCTCAGAAAATCTGCCACCCAACAAGTAAGTGGCAGGGTTGAAATGTAAATTTAGTTCTAACATCCAAGCTGAGTTATTTCCATCTAATAGGGCCTTTCCTTCCAAAGACCACAGCACAATTTCTCAGCTGGAGTGTGAAGTATAATCAAAGCGATGGCCAGAACTTTCTCTCCTTCTAGACGTCTCTTGTGTCTTCCCTGGTAGATGCTGGTTGTAGCTTTATGTCTGCTTTTTATCAAAATGGCTTAGATAAAATATATTGCCCACATTTTTGTTACTTACTTAGATAAAATCCAAATTATGCATCACCTTTTGCCTCCAGGGCTTTTTCCTTTCATGTTGTCTTCTCCTCCCACCTCCCTTCTTTCCTTCTCTCCCTCTTTTACATTTTAAACAAGATGCCCCTAATATGGAAATCTGAAAGTTTGGGACTTCTCTCTTTCTGCTCTTAGGAAGAAGATAAAGTGTTCACCATCCCCATAGCTAATTTATAATCCACTAACACAGGACCTTTACTCACCTCTTCCACTCAGTTGAAAGAACATGCTTTTGAATCTACAAATAATAATGGGCCATTTCCATGCTTTAAAACTTTTAGTGGCTCCTCATTCTATTCAGGGTGCTCAATCTAGGCAGTGGGTCAGAATCACCCACAGGACTCTTGTAAAAAAAAAAAATTATTGACAGCTTCATGTCCAAGATTCTAATGCAGAACCCAGGCAACTGTATTTTATTAAAGCTGCAACTATGTCTCAGTCGTCACTAAGCTATTGTCTCTGGACTCCAAACCCACACAACCTAATTCGCACTTTGCTTTCTGGTGTTGAAGCTGAGGCTCTGCATGCCACATTTCTGCTTTGCTAGCTTAGTCCAAGATAGGCTCTGCCTATAGGGGCACCAGATAAGGGACTGGTTCCTTCTGTTTGTTTCCCTTGGCCTCCTGTCCCCATTAATGCTTCTTCACCAGGCAGCAGCACTTCCTTCCCACATCAGCAACTGAACCCAGTTTAGAGATTTTCCAACATTTCATGCAAGTAAAACCAGCTTCATCTCAACATTCTACTCCAGCCAGCTGGCACTCCCTCCTCAGAAGTCTGAATTTCAGCTCCACATAGCCCCTCCTCTAAGTTTTAATAATTCTACTCTCATCCCATTGTTCCCCGACCCTAGAGGTGGTGGTATCATCTAGTAGGTGGCATTGTCACAATAACTTAGAATTCTCTTTTTGCCATTCAGTTACCTAGTTAATAGTTCTTTATATTTAATCCTCTATTTTCAAATAACTGGTATGGTTTATGCCTCCTGATGAGACCTTGACTGATACAAGATGTGTTCCTGATGAGCTGCCAAGTGTGGGAACTCAGCTTTCAGCCCACCCTAGATTTCTCAGACAGAGCTAGAGGGCAGTGCACTTACTGCCCCAGAGCATATAATACTTTAAAAACATTAACAGAGGTGTTTATATAGATATACACACATATATACATATACATATACATACACATATACACACACTATAGTAGGATACATCTGGGCATGTATACACCACAGTGGTATAAGTGTGTGTGTGTGTGTGTGTGTGTGTGTGTGTGTGTGTGTATTTGTGTGTCTTACCCACTAGATTAGAGTTCCTCAACCTTCACACTCCTGACATTTGGGGTCAGGTGATTATTTGCTTTGGAGGCTGTTCTATGCACTGTAGGATGTACAGCAGCATCCCTGGCCTCTACCTGCTAGATGGCAGTGGCACCCTTCATTCTCTGATTGTGACAATGAAGCATGTCTCCAGACATTGCCAAATGTCCCCTGGGAAACAAAATCACCTCCAGTTGAGAACTAGAGTACTAGGCCAATGATTCCTCAAACCACAGTCCAGGAATGCGCATTTTTAATAACTTTCCTGGATGAATTAAATGCCTCTGTCCAAGGCACTGTGCTTTGCCAAATGCTTCACTGGCATGAGCTTCCAGTAAGTAAGACTTAAAGCTTATTTATCTTATTCATTCCCCCAGCAGCTAGCACACATCATAGCTTCTAACATGTGCTCAAGACAAGTGTTCTGAAGGATGAAGCCCATTTTTCAAGTGGAACAGTTCTCAGTGAGAGAAGAACAGGCCTCAATTCACTTCCCTGGTGGCTGGAAGCCACTTTTCTTCAGGCTTGTGAAGGAAGAGGTCAGCGAGAAACAGTGCGGGTGGAGACAGAGCTGTGATCAGAGCTGACAGGGTAGAACTGTGCTTCTCCAAGGAGTCTGTGCTGAAACCAATGCAGGCTTTATCATAAAAATTTGTGAGGATCTTGGAAGCTTTCTGACCCCCAAAACCTGGACATATGGCTACATATGAGTTTTGGTATCCAAGTGATGAAATAAAACTCAACTCTGATTCTATACATAGATATTCAAGAACATGTCAGCAAAGCTCGATGAAGACACTGATTTTATCCCATAAAAATAGCAAACAAAGACCCCTGAGAAAGGGTCTATGGGGCTGACAAAAACAAAAACCCTTTTGTACTTCACGACCTATTAAGAGAACTATGAACTAATGCCCTGTCTTGAGAACCAAGCCTGAAACAAATTCCTTTTATTTTGCATGCCAATTAATGTTTCTAAGTATAACTGCATTATTGTTATTATTGTTTATATTATTTTATTAAGTTTTCTATTGCTGCTATGATAAGTTACAAATGGAGTGTCTTAAAACAACACACACTTATTTTCTTACAGTCAGAAGTCTGGAATCAGTTTCATGGGGCTAAAATCCAGGTATCAGCAGGCTGCATTCCTTCTGGAGGCTCTAGAGAAGAATCTGTTTCCTTGCCTTCTCCAGCTTCCAGAGGCAGCCTGCCTTCCATGGCTGATGGCCCCCTCCTCCATCTTCAAAGCTATCAGTGCAGCACCTTCAGACCTCCCTCTGACTGTGCTCTCTGCTCATCATCACATCTCCTCCGACTCTGACCCTCCTGCTTCCCTTTTATAAGTACTATTGTAAGTGGGCAGCCCACCCAAAGAATCCAGGGTCACCTCTCCATCGCAAGGTCCTTAACTTAATCCTATCTGCAAAGTCTCTTGTGCCATGTAAGGTCACCTTCACAGGTTTTGGAGATTAGGACATGGACATCTTGGGGCCAGGGGATGCATTATTCTGCCTACCCTAATTATTATTAAATAAATGACATTTAATTTCTCTGTGTAGTCCCAAATGTCATATTTCAGGCCTAATGTGACTACAACACACCTCACCAAAAAAGCTAGTGTTTCTAATGCTTTCCTAAGGAAAAGATAGCCAAGAAGCTCGATTTAAATCCTGGTCTTATGGCTTGCGATCTGAGTAAGTTCACATCCACTTATTTTTTCTTCTTCCTGCACCCATGTCTAGTTAGAAGGTGAAATTCAAACCAGACAATCCAATGTTTTCGTCTTATTCGCCCTCTCCTTTTGTCATAGGCAAATTATAAGCGCTGATGGACAGCTTCAGGAGCAACTTTCGGTGTTAATGAAGTAAGAAAACTGTCTTTGTTGCCAACAGGTCTTTTCAGGGGCGCTATGCCAGTCTTGCTGGCCAGCACCAACCCCTTAAGTTGAAGTTCCCACTAAGCTGTGGGACTTGGCCAGGCACCCTCTGGCCCAGGCTACAGAGCCCTGCAGGGACATCAATGTCCTCTCATGGTCAGCTAGATGACTCCCAAAGAGTTTAACCATGTTTGCTATATTTCAAGATTCTTACAGAAAAATGCCTCAACCGGTCTCGGTGGAGGGGTTACAGAGCAGGCACTGTGAGGCCTCAGCCTGTGAATAGCACAGCTAGATGCCTTCTTTCTACAGCTGCACAAGTGAGCAGGTCCAGCCTGGCTATAGAGACAGTGTTAAACTTCAACTGCATACAGCGGCAGAGCCAAAGATCATAATTTCATAAAGCAAATATTAGATTATTAAATAAATACATGATGGAAATGTCTTTACCATAGTTCCACTAATCCCTTTTTTGTTTGTTTGTTTTTAAGAGACAACTTGTCTCTCTCACCCAGGCTAGAGTGCAGTGGCGCAATAATAGTTCACTGTGACCTCAAACTCTCAGCCTCAAGCAATCTTCGTGCCTCAGCCTCCCAAAGCACAATTACAGGTGTGAGCCCCACTGCCCAGCCACTAAACTCCATTTGAAAAGGGGATTTGGTTATTGTGTTTGCTTAAGTCTCATTTTTAAAGGTAAAATTGGCCTCATCTTCCCCTTGGAGTCCTTGATCTTAGCTCTTCCTGCCACTTAGCTGAATGGCAGTTTTCCTTGTTTGTTTGTTCATGTGTTTGTTTTCTTTTACGTTTTTTCTTTGAAAAAGAAAGAAATTCTTCTCCTTCCACCAACTCAGGCTTTCCACTCAGGCAGACACACAAATCACTGATGAAAGACTGCGATATTGTTTGAGGCAAATTCCAACTGGTTCTGGGTGTCCACAGCTATTTTACTTTCCTCTTTGTCTATTTTAGAATGAGGAAGATAAGCCCACCCTATAGGCCCAAGCTCAGATGAGATCTCTAAACAAATGCCCTGGGAACCGAGAGGAGAGGCAAAGCTCTGGAAGTCTGAGTAGATTTGCACCCCTAGATTGTGTGGTGTGTGGAAGCAGGTGCTGAATGATAGCTGGACTCAGTGATCTGCCCCCAGCAAGGTCTTTCCCCTTCCAGGGCTAACTGAGCTGAAACTGGAGGAGAGGCGGGGCCTGCTGATAAGGGCCCTGACAGCCAGCTCCTGCCATGCCTCTGAGCCTGGGTGTTCCCTCTCTGAAACGATCAATAAATAAACAAGTAAATCCACAGGAGAACACCTCCTAATATTTCAGATTCCTGGAGACCTTGCAGACCACCCTGGTAGGATGTTTCTCAACTGCTGCCCAGAAACAAACAAACAAAAAAAAGTGAAAGGAAGAAAATGAGCCCTTTTCCTTTTCTTGCCATTTTTATCAAAGTTCAAACTTTCATCATCACGGAAGTAGTCAAAGCTGTTACAAGCCTACTGCTGACACATCAAACGCTTTATCTACAGCCTGGCCCGCTTCCAGGCAGATGAAAAGAACAATCATTTAGAACTCACACCTCCTATGAGTTATGAGCCATTCCTAAAAGGAAGGAAATAACACCATTATGCAGGAGAAAGGGCATTTTTTCATGTTCCCCAGGCTATCTACATCACAACAACATTGGATAGGCACTAAGAAGAAAGCCGAACGGAGGCCTTTGACTGCTCAAGACTTCTACAAATACGGAACTGCAGAGACAGAAACCCAAGACATCACCAATGAACTGTTTTCCTAAAACTTTCTGTTGACCTTTAAGTTCTGGCTACCTAAAATAGTTTATATTGTTTTATTTTGTTCCCACAATGCTTCATATGGGTTTATCGTTTGTCCCAAAGTAGGTTGAAGGTTCACAGAGGGCAGAAGCCATATTCATTAATATTTCTTCTGTCTTCCACAGTGCCTAGCCACACAGTGAGGCCAGAGTAACATCAGAAGTGTTTGGTTTTCAGTTAAACACCTTCTTGTTGGGTTGTCAGTTAAAGCTGAAAATAACTCAAAAATGTTTGTGCTCCATTGAGGTTTCTTGAGGTACAAAAAATATCTGTTATCTTGACATGAATGACTCTTAATTAAGATATACCTGAATCTCTCTCACTGTATTGACAAAATTATACTTAGAAGTCTTTGAGGTTTTCCTTAGTATGCCTGAGCACACTACGGAAAAATAAGATTACATTTAAACTTCATTTTCATTTCTAAATAGCAATTGAAGTCACGGCATCCTTTTTGTTCACCCTTTCAATATACATTTGAGTTTCTGTATGTCAGACACTATGGTCTTTAAATGAAATAAATCCAAAATATCTATTTGGTATCCATTGTTATGTGCAGTTCTCTAATTTGTATCAGGTGGCAATTTCCTAAAATTTTAACAAAATCTAAAATGTTGTAAGTACAATGTCATGAAGTTCTATAGTAAACACTCCGTGGCCTCCATCAAGGAACACTGCGCAGAGAGACTAGAGGTTTCCGGCACTATTCATTCAAACTCATGATGCTCCTGGGTATTGGTCTTGTCAAACAATTTTAAGTTTGTGTTTTGAGACAGGCTGCAACCCAATCTTGGCAAGCTCTTGGGACTATCCTAATCTAGGCCATATATGATCAAAGAAAAACAAGTGTACAGTCTGTTGGCACCAGCTGTGGTGGGGGGTCCCAGCATGAGCCAAAGCTAGTGTTCTGACATGTCTGGGCAGGTCCAGTGAAAGGGAGAGGTTCACTCATCGGCTTCTCCTGAGAGAAAATCCACCCTGAGGGAGGAAGAGATGAACAACAAGAGAATCACCTACTGACTGAGCCTGACAGAAGGAACATGCTATCACCAACATAACTTGGCATCTGTCACTCACATCATCCCAAGTTCAGTACCACAGATGCCTGTATTCTCCTAGAGGAGAAAGAATACTGAAAGTAAAAGCACAAAAGAATTGTTTAACTAAAATCTTTGTGAGATTCAAGTATAGGCCCTACTGATTTAGGTGTCCTATAATTGAGTAGAACACAGAAAAAGGAAAGTGATATTGGCCCTTGCCACTTCAGTGGAGACTTCCATACTGCTTTGTCATCTGAGGCCTCCAGGACACTAGCTGAAATGTGCAAAGATGGTGGAAGTAGTGGCTGTGCCAGGCTGAGAACCAAAGTGCTTGGAAAAATGGTGGCAACATCAAACAGAGGGCACAACAGCAGACAGACATGGCAGAAGAGGGAATCTTTTCCGGCTCAGGAAAGTGGTATTTCCTCTATCATGAACTCCGACTTTCTAGGAAGGCTCTCCATCTTCCTACTGAAAGATGATCTATGTCAGCAATGCTCAGCATTTGGCAGTATAGCACAAATCCACAAGGCATATTCTCTGACAAATTGATTCATGTATTGGCCAAGCAGAAAGAAGAAGTGTTTGGCCAATAAGTTATATTAAATTGAAGTTCTCCTGGAATAATATTAGGCCAGGTTCAGAAGCATTGTCTTGTAATCTTGGCCAGAACATGCTGAGACGCCAGAAGGGAGTAGCACCTCAGTGAGGCCATGGCTGGATGGAAAGCTTATGATCATGGGTGAGGTCTGAGTGGACCACAGCTCCGTAACTGTGACAACATGCTTAACTCCAAAGGTCTTTCTCAAGAAGGATGGAGAAACACAAGTCTAAACCAGTTAAATAGAAGAAAATTCTACCTGAACATTCTTAGTTAGTACCTTATTTCAGATAATGATACAGAAAACGACAGCAGTTCAGGACTTTTTCTTTTTAAGACCATAACTAGAAGGATAGAAGTTTAAGGGCTTACCAGAAGTACCCTAAATATTGCACTAAAAACCACAGACAATCCTGTGAAGATAACGGAAGACAAGTGGAGGGCCACCTTTGACTAGAAATCCAGGAATGCCCAATCTACTTAAAAGAGATGTCAAGGCTTCTGTGGTCAATGCCCAAGGGCAAGTCCCTCAGAAAATGCCCAGGGCTCTCTTCAAAGACCAGTATTGAAGGGGAATATTCTTGGGGCAAATGTCCAGAATTAAGGGACATAGAAGTTCAGAAAGATCATCATTTTATTCTACCAGCCTAACTTAAAGTTGATGGTAGTGTCTTAAAAACAGGCAGATTAAGTGAAAGCTTACATACTGAAGGCTGAACACTTAGCTTTTTTTTTAACCAGGAAATCCAGAAAATCACTTCTTAAGGTGGTCTATATTGTTTATAAAGAGCCTCATCCATTGGTACTACATGTGGTTGCCAAGTTCAGAGAACTGATATAAACAAATAACTCAATGTGCATAATCAACTCATGATCAGAACATTGCTAGCTCCGAGTGGCTGAACATATTTTTGATGTGAAGAATGTCCTGCACATTCCCAAGTCTGTGAATTATAGATATTGTCCTTTCAGTGAGGTATTTCTCTTAATATTTAGATGGTACATTAAATGTTTTTTGTTATAAGTAGCTACCTGATAAGTGTTTATGGACTCTGTGAATGAAACTCTAAGACAAAAGGTCTCCATCCTCCTTCCAAAAATTCTTGAGGTAGAAAATAGCTCCCATTTATATTATATACTTTGCCTAAAATGCATTGTGTGGACTTCCATATACAATGACCATTTAGTGTTTTTGTTTTAGGAAAGTGTTTCCAGTGGTCTAGGACAAAAAGTATGATCTACTGAGCCTTTGACCTGGTTTGGCCTGTTGCAGCCTTGAGGATTAATTCTTGTTCCCTCTTTCTCAAATCCTCTCAGCCTCTAACTGTGAAATGAAAAGTGGCCCACTCTCTAGAATCAGTCCTGCTGGAAAATGGTTGTTCTCACTCCAACACTAATAAAACATGCCATGGTAGGGAAACGGGAAACCACTAGAGCAAAGTGTTCAACATTAATATTTCTTGGAGGGTCTGATGAATTTTACTTTAAAAAGCAGAAGCATTCTTAAAACTTGAGAATGAAAGGAGCAGTGTTTGAAACAAAATTGTTCATGGTAAAAATATTAAAGGATTCTCTTCTCAAACATTCCGAACTCCAAAGGGTACACAGTTACCCATGTAGCCCAATAGTATAAGCAAAAAGCTACGAATCTGTGTAAAGAGGACATTTCTTTCATCCAATACTTAATATGTGAGGTGTCTGCATCAAAATACTCTTGAAGACTCCAAATCTTCTCTATCATTCGATTTGTAGAAATAACAATATCCATGCATGCGGAACTTATACCATACTCCAGATAATGGGTGATGAATCAAAACTTTGAGGAAAAATAATGACTTTAAAATGTTATGGAAACCCTACTTCCTGATGACACGAGAAGATCTATGGCTTAAACTCAATACAAACCAGGAAATCGTTCCAGATTCTAAATCAAGGAGGAAAGCTGGAAGTACATATGGTTAAGGGAACAAACTCATGGGGTTAAGAGCTCCTTCAGATTCCCAGTTCTATTCCTTGCTGTATTGCACCAAAGTTAATTAACTTCTCCTAAGCTTCAATTTTTTCATTTGTAAATTGGGAAGAACAATAGTATTCAGTCTCATAGAGTTCATGAAAAGAACAGAACAACTGAGGTAAAGCTTTTAATTCAGTATCTGGCACATAGTAAATGCTCAATAAATGTTAACTATTTTATATATATATATATACACACACACACACATATATATTTATATATAAGATATATTTATATATATGTGTGTGTGTATATATATGTGTGTGTGTGTGTGTATATATATATATATATATATATATATATATATATATATATATATGGTCAAATTAATTTTAAATGCCATGCAGCTCCATAAAATAATAAATGAGTTACCTTGGGGAGTTTATTTAATTGGAGTCTTGGTTATTTTATCTCTAAACAATGCTATTTTCCTCGCAAAGCTGTTGTGAAAATTATATGCAACAATGTGCTTAAAGTGCCCAGCACAGTGCTTGCTCTATAAGTGTTATCAATTAAAAATGAACCTCTGGCACCCTCTTCCCCACCTCACTGTCCTTGGGTTTAGCCAGTCAAAGTATATTTCACTGGCCAAGAGAACGGGGCTATGAAAGGTACAGAGCTGTGGTGACTTTTCCTCTGAAAAGTTAGGAGAACATTTGTGTTTTCCTTGGCACCAAGAACACATGGGTAGTCTTTGGGGTGTACAGTAGTGTATACATCACCCATGTATTTGCATAAAGTTTCAAAGCACTTTCTTGATATATGCAGTATGACAGCTGCTGTCACAATATATTTATATAAGTTCAACACAGATTTTATAAAATAATCTTGCAAGTCTTTGTTTTCCTAAGGAGGGGTTTGTTTGGAGGCTGGGGGATAATCATTTCATCTCACTGTGAAAAACAGCACATGCTGACACACATCCTTTACCAATGACACAAACAGATTGGTGTTCCCTATTAACGTGTGAGGCAACCCCGCAGTTATAGTAGGCCACTATTACCATTTTTAAAATGTCTTTTCTGAAAGAAAAAAAACAGCACTGATGGATGCAGTAACCACAATCCATCTGAGGTCTAGAAGGAAGGATGAAATAGATAACTGTGACTTTTGCACACAGAATTCTTCCAGCTAATTGTCGTATTCCCAGCCTGGCTGTCCTTTTGTCCACATGAAGGACTTGACCTAACGTGAAAGACAATGAGAATTCCTTGACACCTGCCAACATTCACCTCAGTCTTCCTCAGAGACACAAGTAGCTCAGATTAGCCAAATCTTTCCATCAAAAAAATCAATGTATAGGGAGGCACAGTGTCTCAGGCCTGTAATCCCAGCACTTTGGGAGGCCAAGGTAGAAGGATCATTTGAGACCAGGAGTTTGATACCAGCTGGGCAACATAGCGAGACCCTGTCTCTACAACAAATAAAAAATTAGACAAGCATGGTGGCAGTGCCTGTAGCCTCAGGTGGGAGGATCACTTGAGCTCAGGAGTCCAGGTTATATAGTGAGCTATGATTGCACCACTGCACTCCAGCTGGGGCAACAGAGAAGACCCCATCTCGAAAAAAAAAAAATCAATGTAATTTCTATCAATAATCTCCTGCAGCATCTTCTAAACTAGTACTTCAGAGAACCCTGTTTCATAAGATGTTAACGGTGGTTCCATGACACAAGACTTCTACAAAGAAATGAGTAATGTTGGGTTAAACAAAGTTAAATAGGTTCCTTCATTGACGGCTTTTTAAAATCTTTTAACAAATATGGATATTCCATTGGGGAAATACAGGATATGGTGTTTCTCAAACTTATTTGACCATAGAACCCTTTTGCCATGGCACTTGAACATATTCTGGTGTGATATAAAGGGAAACACAATTTGGAAAATGCTGATCAACTTCAATTTTACTACTATAGGTCTTTCCTAAGGTTCTATAGCTGTATGTTTCTTCCTCCTTGAGGCAAATTTCTTGCTGACAATTATTAGTTAAACAAGTCTATATATTGAGTAATCGATCGTATGCCCCAAAACCTTTGTCTTCCCACCTATATATATATGATATCAAATAATATGGTCTTCAAATTCCATTTAAGATTATATTTTTATGAATTCCAAAAACCACTCTTGTTAATACAAGCTACATCAAGATTCCTGCTCAGAATTGAATTGAATTTTTGGAACTTTTATTCATTTAACTATAGAAAAAAGAAAAGAATTCTAGGTTTCAACATGACCCTTTTCCAATTCTATAAACCAGGTCACCCTACCAATGTCTGGCATTTCTGGAATATTTATAAATAACCATAGTATAAAAACTCTACCTCCCACATCCTCTGAAAACATAGCTGGCTACAAATTCCCCAGGAATATTATGTGGGACATGTGGTTTCCATGCCTTTAAAAGGGGTATTTGTAGGCTATCCTGAGGAATATTTCAGCCAGGTCTTTCTCCTGTCTTTTTCAGCCTAGCAAACTTTGCCCCTTAGTCCTGCTCTGGGAGGCCTTAAAAAAGTGATACATTTGAAACAAATAGATCCCTTATAGAATCCTCAGTAGGTGGCAATGGCAGAAATAAAGATCCAAAGAAAAAGCTTGTTTACCCCATGTAGGTCTCTTTAGCAGGGACCTCATAGGGCCACAAGTGAGGCTGAGACTGGGTTGGTTTGGGTCAAGGAGCTGAGTAAACAAGGAAAACAGTAAAGCAGGAGCTTTGGGATTAGACAAGGACAACAAGCTGGGAGCAGCAAGAGCTAGCTCCCTTCCTTTTGCCTCTCCTCCATGTGGGCCATGCTCTTCTGATGAGGCAGGGGTGGAGATTGCTGAATTGCATGAATTTCACTCCCATCTCTAGCCTGGTCCCCCAACGCTGAAATTAAAATAATATCAACAAAACACATTAATTTGAAAAAATATGAGAGGTTTGAACCAGCTTTCCCAATCATCTATTTTCATTCTCACTTTTGATCTTCAAATTTGGCACAACATGCACAAACAATTTTATATCTATAGTCAAAGACTGTGTCAATTGCTCACCACCATATCCCAGTGTCTAGCACAATGTTTCTTTCTAAGAAACAGTCACAAGTTTTTGTTGACAGACTGCAATACCATTGAGTATTCTACCTTCCCTACTTGAAATCTCAGCATGTACTTTTCATTTTTCATAATTAACATTTTATTGTCCATTTAATATTCCATGATGACAATATTCTTCATCATAAACTCATAATCACTTTTCCAAATTCTAATTCTGTCTTTAGATAAGAAAGGCTTCATGTAGAATCGTTCAGCCTAAATCATTCATGGCAATATACTAATTGCCATGTCTTCAGCTTAGCTGTCCATCTCTCCACATGGAGGAGTTGGCCAGATAGAAAAGACACTGGCAATTTGTGTTTACTCTACACAGGCTCCTCTATTCTGCTTCAGGTGAGTAGAACCCACGGTTAGTGCCTCCTCCTAGGTACACAATGTGCATATCTGGAAGCATCAAGATTGAGGACCAGCAAAGACATCTTACGGACATTTCTGGACAAATACGAAGAAACCAAAGGACAATGGTAATGCTACAAAAAAAAAAAAAAAAAAAAAAAAAAAAAAAACAGAAAAAATGATTTGGACTGTATGTAAACTAGATATGAATTCTTAGTTGATGCCATCACATATGAAAAGTATAGCTTAGACTAGTGGTTTTCAAACTTTCTAATCTCAGGATCCCTTTACTCTCTTAAAAATTATTGAACCTACCAAAGAGTTTTGGTTGACTTGAGTTATATCTTATCTACAGATTGATGTTTACTACATTAGAAATAAAACTGAGAAATTTTTAAGTGTTCCTTTTAAATAACAAAAACCCATTTCATGCTAACATAAATAACCAATTTAATGAAAAATAACTGTATTTTCCAAAACAAAAAAAATTAGTGAGAAGTATGGAATGGTTTTAAATTTTTGCAAATTTCTTTAATGTCTCACTTAATAAAAGACATTGGATTTTCCTATTTGTTTCATTCAGTTTATTGCAATATGTTGTTTTGGGTGTGGCATCAAAAGAAAACCCAACCTAAACACAGAAATGTAGTTTTAAAATAGAGGAGGGTTTTAATAGCAATTTTGTATAATTGTGGGTACTCTTCTTTGATATTATACCAATATAAAACCATATCAATGAACCATTCTCTGCTATATTAAAATGTATTGCTCTATCTTGTACTTTGAGTGGATATTCTACCCATGCATTATTTTTTGTAACAGCATGCATCAGTCATGTGGAATATATTGATTTGGGCAGATCTTCCAAATATTGGTATACTTCATTATAAAATATCAAAAATAAATCATTTTTAATAGCATCTCTTCAGATAATTATATGAGTATTACAGAGCTGTCAAGCTCACAAAGAGAGATAAAAATTTTTCAAAATTTGAATTTTCACTTGAAAGCTCAAATGTTATCACTGGCAACAAATACTGCCACTTGTTTTCCTTGAAATGACATGCTCATTTTTTAAAAAATTTTTGAGAAAATGTCTGCCAAGTACTCAATTCTTAATAACCATAATTTGTCTGTCAAATCATGCTTTCAAGTAAAAATGGAATTCCATGAAAATAGCGGTTGGGTCAGTTCACAACTCAAATAAACACATAAGTGTTTTTCCTCTAGATATTCACTGAATTTCAATATGCAATCAATTTTTTTTGCATACTTCTCATGTTTAAATGGGGTATATTCAAGAGTAACATTTAATAAACACTAATAATTTTTAGTTTCATCTAGGAGATTTTTAAGTGAAAAATGGCATTTTTCTTTCTCTTTGCTACTGAAAGTACACAGTGGTGAATAACAAATGACAACTAGTACACCTCATGTCATTGTCTTGCTCTGTGCTGACTCCAGCACTTTTACTCACCATCGGAGCAAATGTGAACATAGTCAAAAAGGCAAATAGTGTCTTTGTGTTATAATAAAAATAGTTTTTACCTTGTGAACCCCCTGGAACTGTCTTGGGGACTCCCAAGGGTCCACTGACCACACTTTGAGAACTGCTGACTTATATAAATGCTTTGACTTTTACATTCTTGAAATCTACCTCATGCAGTAATTCTCATAACCATGATAAGCAGACCAAAGTTTAGCAGCACATTTGGGTCATGCAAATGAACTCTACGGTCCCAGGGAAACACCATACATCACCACTTACATCAGCAAGCTCACTTTGCAGACTGCGATGCCATATAGGCTACAAAGCAAGGAAGAGGAAGTCAATAGCCACCCACGGAGCCAGCCAAATATGGGCCATCAAAGCCAGAAAACATGAGTTTTGTTCCAGTAAAACTGTCAAGAATCCATAATAGTCATTTACACCCATATTTTCAGGTATTCAGTAGATAGAAATAAAGCCTGTTGTGTGGGTAAAAAATGAAGTATGAGCCTAAGAGGCAAGGCTGAGAAAGAACAGATGCTTATGTCTCTGGAGTTTGCACTTTTTCTCTAAAAACACATCTGTCATCAACTTCAACTTAGAAGACCAACAAAGCACTTGTATAAATAAACACAGTGGCCATTTTCATTTTAGTAACTCTGAATTCTTGTAATCAATCTGATGGCCCTGAGAAGCCCGCTATTCCTTCCCCAGTATGCTTTAAGCAGAGCATCCTCAGAAGATGGTCATTGTTTTAAGTAACCCAGGAACTAAAAGAATCAGACCTGGTGTGCTGAAGTCAACAACATGGCTTTTCAGCTGCTTGCTTAGAGGTCTGATCTGAAGAAAACTGCATGAGAAGTTTAAATATTCCCCTCATTGCAAAACCTATTTAATCTTTGCATTAAGTTGATCCACGAAGAGGAAATAATCCAATGGAAAACCTGTGATGCATGACAATGATGATAGTTGAATGTCTCTGCTGTCCAATAAAATCATCCTTTTGCCTCATCCCCCTGACTGTCCCTAATCCTGTTCCCCACCACTGATCCAAATCCAGATCCCCAGAGCCACAACCTAAACCTAGCTTCCAGACTAATCAGGGCTAAAGAAAGAGGATCACCCAGTCTCAACCCCATTACCATCATCCCAGCTCACCAGAGGGACTGGATCCCGAATTATCCTTTTTACCATGCCAGGCCACAAAGGACTATTCTAACGTTGAACCCAAAGTAGGGAGTCCAGAATTGTGCCTGAAACTCCAAAAGAGTTCTTCAGCCTTCATCCTGACAGCTCCTGACCACAGGTATCGGCTTCCAGACCAACTCATTACCCTGACCCTGCCCTCACACACTCCCTGGAGCTGAAGCTGGACAAGTCAACTGATAGACCTGTTCCAGCTTCTGAATAAATGCAAAAAACGAACAGGCAGTTTAAAAATATCCTGGGGCTCTATATCCAGCGCTTGTCCTTTTAGGAATGCAGCACAAGAACACACTCCAGGCTCCCCTGCTATTCCACAAATCTGGTTCATAAGCAAACATGCCTGAGACCTGCAATGAGTACTAAGTGCTAATTGAGTCTCCCGATCTCTTCTCACCCACACTGGCTCATGCTTTCAGGCTGGATTTCTGCCTCAGTCACTCCTTTAGTCATTGAATACTTAATTGCCTAGCATCCGAGACCTACAACCACTGCTCTCTTTGCCCCTAAATCACAGACTAAAGGGTAGATCCTCCTTCTTGCAGCTAGAACTTCCTAAAGAGGATCTGACACTTGCCTTGCTGGATGTGTGAATACCATGCACTCTCGGCTCCTAAAAGAAGGCTCAGCCCTCCTGGGATCCCCTATATCATCTCAGGCCCCAGACACCCACCATTCGCCTGAAGCTGGGCTGTGGAGGTCTTTCTCCTATGTGCCTGACCCTGTGCTTGATTGAACTTCAACTTGCAGAACCTACCCTCTACTTCCTTCCCCACAGCCTCTCAGGCAAATGAAAATGTATATTTAAAAATCAAAGGAAGCAATTCAGATATCATTTAAAATATTATAAGTCATTTGATTAAAAGGTCAAGTTAAAGTTTATGGCAAACTGTCTTGGAAGGACCATGTTTGCTGTCTTTAAGGAAGAACAAACCACTTTCAAGCTTGTTTATAAACAGCAATTACATGACTACATACAAACAATTTGCGTGAAGTCTACAGATTCCTTTTATTTATTCATTAAAATAGAACACCTGAATCATTGCTTACAAGTTACTACAGCTTTATATCCTTGACAATTCTGAAAACTGTATTACCTGACACCTAGCAAAGAATCAAGAGCAAAACTCTAAGCCCAAGTTTCTCCTATTTGAGAAACTTTCTTTCTTTGGGCACCTGCATCAGAATTATCCAAGTCACTCCCTAAAAACAAGTTCATTGCATAAAATGAATTCACCTTGTACTTACTGTATCAGAATCTGAGGGCAGAGCCTGGGATTTTGATACATATTTGCATATTCAGGATTTGTATTATTATTAGCATTAGTATCAGAATGTGACATAGCAAGATAATGAGGTTAGTCAGGAGAATAAAATGCAAAAGAGCTAAAATAATCCATCTCTACCACTATAGGAAGTCTATAGATCATATCTAAACTGATACATCAAGAAAGAGCAGTACATGCATAGAATTGAGTGATATGGAGAAAGACATCAGAAGAAACAGCTAAAAGCATTGGAATTGGTCACCTATGAGGAACAGGATACCTATGAGAAACAAAGATTAGAGGAATGGGACATTACTGGTTTCATCATGAACTTTTAGCACTATTTGATTTTTTTTTTTACCATACCCCTCCCCAACATATATATATATATATATATATATATATATATATATATATATATATATATTGTTTTTTTTTTTTTTTTTTTTTTTTTGAGACAGAGTTTCGCTCTGTCACCCAGGCTGAAATGCAGTGGTGCAATCTCAGCTCACTACAACCTCTGCCTCCTGGCTTCAAGCAGTTCTCCTTCCTCAGCCTCCCCAGTAGCTGGGATTACAGGCACGTGCCACCATGCCCAGCTAATTTTTGTATTTTTAGTAGATGCAGGGTTTCACCATGTTGATCAGACTGGTATTGAACTCCTGACCTCAACTGATCCACCCACACATATTAATTTAACTGAAAAAATAAAAACCCATTAAAAATAAAGAAAGTAAAATACTCATCAGATTTTTAACTTATTCAGACTAGGATTTCCATCCAATTTCCATTAAGCTATGGTAGTAAGATGGTTCTTCTTGAAAAATAACCATTGGAATCAAGGGAGGCTGTTTTTTTTCAACTTTGGCATACTTTAACAGAAGACAAAGTCTACCAACATATTCTTTTACATCTTAAATTCTCAGTGGTCTGCTTCATTAAGTGAATAAAGACATATAAAAGAAACTTCCCTCTTAATAAAATGGGCCAAAACACTAACTAAACCCAAGTGATCACAAATGGATTCTAAACACAACTTGGAACACTTCAAATGTTTTGTATGATAGCCACACAATTCCTATGAAAGTGTTACAGGAGGAGGCATAGTCCAGTATTCTCTGGAAACTCCTGTACTTTCTCTTTATCCAATCTCTATGTCAAATTTCTATAATAGGAGTTGGAGTTCATACATTTAGGCCCTCCTCAGAAGATTTGAAGATGATTTAAACATTTGGCAAAGGATATTGGAAGTTGGGAGGAATGTACTCAGGACAGCAAAGACAGAAACATGGAGAGAGACAGAGAACAGGACAAGCATGGGGGAAGGACAGATAGCTCAGAGGAGCTGATTCTATGACTAACATCCCTCAGCCACGGTGGCAGTGGTTCTCCTCTTTCAGCAAGAAAACACACAAAGGCACACAACCTTATGAGACTAGATTTATTTCCCACACTGAGTAAGCTAAATCTTTGTCACCCTAGTGCCATCAGACCTCTTTCTTTCACAGTCCAGGGTTACAATAAGAACATTTCTTACCTGAAGAGTCTGGGTTCCCCAAGATGTATGACGACTAGCCTTAGAGGACACACTGTGACAGCAGTGGATCCTGCTATGAGCAGGGTCAACAAGTTATCTATCACTAAGCCATTGTTTCTTCTGTGTGACTTGGGAAAATTTGAAGGCCTACAACATGAAGGAGATTAACTTGGCTATGTGCAAAACGATGCCACTTTCATGAGAAGATGTTTCTCGAGTACAATGGAGCCCAAGATTCTTCAGGTTCTACCCTTCCCTGTAGCCTTCTCAAATAGTCTTCATTAATTTTACTGCTCATTTCAAAGAGCATTCCCAATTGGCTTAAACCCCCTCAGATCACGTGTCAACCTCCATGACAGGAGATATGTTACTGTCCACTTTTTACTTCCAACAGGAAGCCCAGAAGGATGATCCGTCATAGCATCACCCTGGAGAGCATGAGGCAACTACTGTATCTGAGACAAACTCCGGGTCACTGCAGGGAAAAGGAAGGCGTTGCTTGAGCATATTGCCAATATGATAAATACTTTTCTGCCTCTTCTCCTCTTCCTTTTTTTTTTTTTTTTTTTGGCAAACCTTAAAGGGATTGGTTCAACAAGTCATAATCTTGTTAAGTGAAGCCAAATCTAAATTAACCTCGCAGGCCCTTTCTTATTCCAGGCTGAGCAGTAGAGCTCAGAAAGTTGCCTGTAACAGGGGTTCATTATGTGTCCTGTAGGGCCTCAAAAAAAGACTTGAATTAAATACTGAGTTGAAGTTTCCTGATAGAGAAAACTTTTATGAACAAGTTCAGATTCTTCCTTGAATGTTTTGCAGTCTCGAATATTTTAAAGTCTCCATTTCCACGTGGATTCAAGAGTTTTTCTGCCCTAAGAGGCTGTAGAAATGCGGAAAGAGGTTGCCTGAGCAGCACTCCTCACTGGGAATTCCCCCAAAGCTGGCACAGGACGAGGGAAGGCAAAACATGGGAAATGATCCCTAGAAGAAGCCCCCTGCAGAGCATCACCAGCAAAATGAGGCTAAGATAGTAAATCTTACTAAGTGGGAATCGTTTTAGTTTCAAGTCTAATATTTTCCAAATTAAAGCAGCTTCCAGAACCTTGTAGTTTGGAAAGAATTCCTAAAAGGCCCATCATGTGATGAAAGGGCTGTGGGAATTTCTACCCAACTGGTACACCTTTCATTAAGCCAAGATGCCTCCAGAAGCCATGATTGATAAGCTCCATGGAGCAGAACAATTATTAAATTTTTTGAGAAAGGTCTTCACCACAAATTCTTATACTACTTGTTGGTCACTGGAACCTCATCACTGCCATCACAATGCAGGAGTCTGTACAGTCCACAAGAAAATAAGTTCCCTGAGAGAAGGGACTCATCTCTGTTTTCCACTACATTTCAAGATTTTGCATCATGTTGCACTCAATAAATATTCAATGGATGGAGGGATGGATGGAGGCACCAAGTATGAAGTGATGAGTAGAGCTTGGACAACTTGGTATTTTCTTAGGATAATCATCTCCCCAGGAATGAGGTTTATCAAGAAGATACCTGCTAGATATCCTTTATGTTTCTATCCCATGAATATAAGCCAGTGGGAAAAGGTGGTAATCTGTTGCCTTCAGTAAAGCATTAGAAACTGAATATGAGTCACAATTCTCCTACAAATTCTTTGATAATTTACTTTGGAGCCAGACTTTGGTTCCAGTTCAAGCTGGGTCATTTAATTGTTGTGTGACCATAGGTACAATTGCCTCATCTGACAGTGGTAATACAAAGGTTTCTGTGAAAACTAAGCAAAGTATCTCGCTTTAAACCTTCCTAAACAGTCCCTGGCATATATAGGACCAATAAATACTTCTTCTTAGGGTCATGACTACATAAAAATTACTCATTTTGATTAGATTTGAATTCAGTAAGTCAGATTAAAATCTTTTGAGGGAATATTTAGAATATTTTTTAAAACCATGTTATTACAACAGTGGCATAAGACAATTAGTCTCAATTAGATAAAGGAAATTTTCATTACAATTGATCATTCAGTGTTGCCAAAGAATTCATGGGATAACAAACATCAGTGGTTAGAACTCAGTTAAAGAACTAGCCATCCTAAAATATTTTTCCAAAAGTTTCAAAACTTAAAAAAATGCTCTTCTCGTATTTGCATTAACTTTGCCCAAATAAAAAGCCATTTCTTCTACAAGGCAGTGATTTTCTTTTGCATCAAGGTTTGCGAAGCATCTCCTCCTACATCAGTTGTGAGTATTTATAAAGCAGTTAACAAACTGGAATGGAGAAGGCCACTTAAACTAACCTTTTATTTATTTTAAGCCTCTCTCTTTATACACACACACCCTATAACATATGCATATGTGTGTGTGCGTGCGTGTGTGTGTGTGTGTGTGTGTGTGTGTGTGTTAAGAAATTCATCCTGTTAAATCTCATTGAAAGACCCCATGCTGCCTGCAAAGCAGGCTGATAATTGCTTTCCCTATCCTTATTTTGTCCACTACTAACTGGTGCTCTTGTCTGCTGGGACTCAGCAGACACTTCCCTAAGGAAACAATCCTGGATAATTCAGTCCAGTCATCCTGCTCTTCAAATTATCTCCCAGGACTACTTCGCCTTTTACTCCTATGTTTTATTTTCTCCAAATCTGATCCACAAACCATGTACATTAGAAGCACATGGGGAATTTGGATAAAATGCAGATTCCCATGATGTACCCAGAACTTCAGGATCAAAATCTCTGGAGTGGGGCTCAGGAACCTTCATTTCAGCAAGCATCCCATGGAATTCTTACCACTAGAATTTAATCATTTCTGATCTGCACATACTTTCAAAGGTGATTGTCATCTACACCCTTGGATGTGAAACAGGTTGAAGATCTCCCAAATCTGTAACTCCAGATAAGACTGTGCCCCCATCCCTTAAAGCTAACTGCCAACTTATTTCTATACCAGATTTCCAGTAGGCAGGAAACACTGAACACATTTGCCATTACTTTACTTCCATATCCACGGTTTATACTGCAGGGAAGTCTGATCAGATTTTTTTCATGGATTAAATCTTTCAGTGGCTCCTGTCTGCCCTCAGGACAAAATAAGTCAGTAAGGAGATCTTCTGCCTTCTTTCCCAAACTCTTGCTTTCACTGTTCACTCTATTCATTCTAAATCACTTTCTAGGACATTTCATCTTTCCTCTGGGCCCTGAGCCTTTGTACATGCTGTTCCCTCACTTCCCTTTCAAATCCTTCTTTCCTCTGGTGTATCCACATTCCTCTGACATTTTCCAGATTTCAGCCTGGGGAAAAAAAAAAAAAAAAAACCTTCTAAAAAAACCTTACAGAACAGCTTCCTCCATCCCCAACTATAGCCAGATCCCCTCCTGTGAAGTGTGGGTGACACATTCTCCTGGCCTCTGGAGCACCAATTACTCTGTAGAGCTTCTGAAGTACTTCACACCTCTTTACAGTCCTTTATATGCTACTCTGTAATTGCTAGTGTGTTGACTTTCATTCTTCACTACAGCTCGGTGAAGCCGGAGCCACGTCTGTCCCATCCACAATGGTACTCCAGCAGATGACTCAAGATGTGCCCCACAGTAGAGGTCCACATGTATTTGCAAAATGAATAAGTAAACAGCTGAATGGTCCTTGCTGCCTAAACTCCATCAGATATGAGAGAGATGCTTTTGTACCTGTGACATCATCACTTCAAGGAGGAGACCAAACTCAGCAACATCAGGCAGCTTGCCATGAAGGCTGCATGAGCTCATTCTCCAAGGACTGTATTGAGGTTGGGCGTATAAATGATGCGGATCAGAGGAGGGAAAAAATATTTCTAATGTGTCTTGATTCCCAGAAGTAAAATCTGAGTTGGAGGTGCTGAGACGAGAGTCAGTCTTGGGTAGTGAAGCCCTTGATCTTGGCCCTCTGACGAGAGAATGGCTCCTAGCCTGCTAACATGTACAGTTTCCTCTGAATCGTAGCTGTCTGTATGGTGTGATTTATTAAAGAATTAGAACCTAAGCCTCCACTGTATGCAAACTGTTTGGAAGCTGAAGGAAGAAAGGAATGTTCTCTTTCAGTTTCTCCAAAGCTATATTTTAGACACAGTGATGCGATCCTGCAGGCAATTCGATCTCCAAAGCAAGATGCTCATTCCCCAAAGATCATCATCTTCCAGGGAGTAATTAAATAAGTTGTCAAGCAAGTCATCCATCTGTGGGGTTACTGCTCATCAGTCCTTTGGAAACTTGCAGTTGCCTTTTCCCATCTCAAGCACTGAAGAAGATTTTACAAGGATATCAGGTACTGGGGTATTTCTTGCTGCACAGCTGCAGCAAATCCCACTCTGAATCAAGGCAAGCAGCCCATTTCAATTCCAAGGTGAGGCAAGAAACATGCGACATAAACCACACTTTTTTTCTTTTATTTTTTCTTTTTTTCCATTTTGTTTTGTGATTTTATCTCCTGGAAATTTGTCTTTCATCTTCCAGATTTATATGGGAAAAGTGAGACAACTTCCAAGGCAAAATTCCACTGTAACATGGTTCCTCTCCAGCATGAAGCATCTCAGGAATTATTCGTGATAAAGTCAAGGCAGAAAAGCCAAGGCAGACCTATGTCAAAAGGATCAGAAACTCGAAGCATTCACCAAGTGCAAGCCACATTTCAGATTGGAAATGAAAAATGGGACACAGCCGACTCGTCTTGGTGTCCAGTTTCATCTCTCAACTTTTGCGAGGCATGCAGAATTTTGCCAGGCCCTTTTGAAGGTGACGATAAGATTCATGCACAGCTTTTCTAAATGAGGATCTGAAGCTTATAAAACTAAGTCCACCTTCAGTGCTAGATATCTGCTTGCCTATTTTTACTTTGAAAGACTAGAACCATATAAAGCTTCTCAATATGTGCTAAAGGGGCAACTTCTCTTTATACTTTAGGGCAGTTGGAGTGAAGAGGGACAGAGGAAGCAGGTTTCCATGTGGTTGCTAAGAGAGAAAATGTTTCCTTATGTTCCCAGATCTCCTCTCTGAAGTCACCTACTTTTCCACAGCCCATAATTAGAGCCTTCAAACCATTATGTCCTCTATTTTCTTCTAGCAAGTGAAGTTGAAGGGTAAAAACTGGATATGGTGGCTGACGACTTCAAACTCAATCAATGCAGCTCAGCTCACAGACATTGGTTTTGGATGGCAGCACTGACAGGATAAGTAGTGGATTTTTAGGCCACATTGAAGTAATGCACCCTTGCCCAATACTTATTCATAAAACTCAACTACGGGTTTTGTTTTTTTTTTTTTTTTGGACAAGTTTAAGTATTTTTGGTGGAGGCACCACACAGAGGAGCCTGGGATCTCCCAAGAAGAGAGTAACACAGGTGGTGGTAAGGTTAAAATTTAGAAAACAATAAGTAACACACTCAGGCTTCTATACCAATCAACAGCTGGCTCTCCCTTTAGATAAGTGATTCCTAAAGCATGGACCAGCAGCCTCAGCATTACTTGGGAACTCCTTGAAGTGTAGATTCTTACACCCTGCCCTAGAACTACTGAACAGAGACTCAGGGTGAAGGCTCAGTAATGTGTGTGTTAAAAAGCACTCAGGGGATTAAAGTTTGAGAATAACTGTTTAATTCAATGGCTCTCAAACATGGCTCATTGATATGGTTTTGTTGTGTCCCCATCCAAATCTCATCTTGAACTGTAGCTCCCATAATTCCCACATGCCACAGGAGGGACCCAGTGGTAGGTAATTGAATCATGAGGGTGGGTCGTTTCCATGCTGTTCTCATGATAGTGAATAAGGCTTATGAGATCTGATGGTTTTATAAATGGGAGCTCCCCACACAAGCTCTCTTTTGCCTGCCACCATTTAAGATGTGAGTCCTCCATTCACCTTCCACCATGATTGTGAGGTCCCCGCAGCCATGAGGAACCGCGAGTCAATTAAACCTCTTTCCTTTATAAATTACCCAGTCTCGGGTGTGTCTTTATTAGCATCGTGATTCATAACAGACCAATACACTCATCATTAGCATGACAAGGCAGCACTTTAAAACTTCTGGATTCTGAAAGCCACCACACACCTACCGAACCAGACTCTCCTCAAGTTCAGATGATCAGTCTTCGTCAGAGACCACTACCTAACTCACTCTACAGAACCAGCATAGTCAACAAAAAAGCCATCTGGAGTGACTGGCCTTCCAGGAAAATGCTGACAATTTTCCAATTCCTGGTTCCAGTTTCTAAAGAGGCCATGCTTCACCCAAACTCAGTAATGTCCCCCAAATTCCTTCTGGGTTCAATATCAAGTTGATTTCTGATTTAAAACTAAGTTGATTTGTGTTCCTTCTAATAAAACAACAACAACATTGACTAACACCAACATTTTACCTGAAAATTCAAAGTTTACAATAAATGTGTATTAAACAATAAATGGTCCCATTGCTTCCACCCCCACAAAAAAAAGGTTTTTTCTGTTGGAAAAATGGGTTTGTCAGGGCAGTTACAAAACAAACTGAAGTGTTTTCTATGAGGGCGTTACTCAAATAAAACTGTAAAATTAGGAACCACAGTGGTTGATATATTATGAACAACTTAACATCCAATACAGGTGAGGTGATGAAAAGACAATCCAATCACTTAAAATAAATTCAAGTATTGGTTCAAACTCAGTAATTCCACCCCAGGAACAAAAAGAAGTTGCAGGTGTGATCTTAAAATGCAGTCAAGAATCTGAGAAATCATAAAGAGTTGAAAAAGTGCCAGAGACAGGCCAAGGATCAGTACTATCCTAATTTTAAAAGAGAAGGGAAAGGTGAATTTTGGAAATTTCAGACTACTGAGTTCAACCATTTGCTTTAGAAAGTTTTCAGGCCTTGCATTACACAGGTAGATTTGAACATTTGGGAAAGAAAGTAAAGGGATTATGGGCACTTGCAAGAATTATTCAAGAACCAATCACAGCCCCAAACTCTCTCAAGACTGTTTCATATAGTTAGTTACTACGGATCAAAGGATCTTTGAGCTGTGCAGCTGTGCTGTCTCTTTATTTCAGTAAGGTAATTGGCAAACATCGCATTATTTTCCTGGAGAGAGGATAAAATATACGTGGGATAAATGATAAATGCCACCCAAAAGTTTTCATCAGCACAATACATAGGATTGGGGATAGACTGTGGTCCTGATGGAGTTTTCTGTAAAAGCCTTAAAACCTGACAGTGCTTCTCTCTCTCTCTCAGTCTCTCTCTCTCTCTCTCTCACTCTCTCTCTTCCTCTCTCTCTCTTTCTCCATCTGTCTTTTGTACTAGCTTTCCAATGTCCTATTTGAATGAAGCACCAAAGTCACGATTCCAAAAATGCTACTCTACAGGCTCCTAAAACATATGTTATTTTTCAGGAGCATTGTGGCTGAGGTGGAGGCACACGCTCAGATCTCTCAGCGTGAGCCACATTGCTCAGAACAAGGTCCAGGAGCTCTAGATTCAGGAAATACGCCACATTATTCAGTCCCATAACATTGTTCCAGTTTTGAGGGCTCCATCAACAGATGTCCTTTCTGGACAGAATTAGCAGACAATGAAGAAAAACTGATATTTCTCTGACAGATCAAGTTTTTCATGTGCTCAACTGCATAGGGAATGTGCATTTTCCCTTTTACAACTGACCAAGCTTTGTTGCTTTCTGCTCTTTTCATCTCACCAATAGAAAGTTGGAAGCTCTGTCACAGGCAGCAACCGTGGGGTTGCTTGTGTCCATGTGTATATGCCAGCTATTAGGAACAGTAATCATCCCTCCCTAACCTCAAATTCCAATAGGTGGAATTCTCACAGGCATAGATTTACTTCATTGATAACATCAATCTTAACAGTTTTCACTTTTATACATTTTACTTCGTATTAGGTTACTCTTCTAAGAGCTTTTAACAAATCATCTGATCTTCACTCAACACTGTGAAGTATTATTATTATTGTTCTATTTTACAGATGAGGAAGCAAAAGCACAGGGCAGTTAAGTAACTTGTCCAAGGTCACACAGGAAAAGAGGGATGGAATTTGAATTCAAACCCAGGTAGTGTGGCTTCAGAATCCAGTTTTCTTAACTTCTGTGTAACAGTCGACTCACCTTTACTTTGGTATATTTGTTCTTTTATCTAGAAGAATTTCAATCCACATTTAGATGAATCTTCAGAATACATCCAGTCATGACATAAGAAGCATGAAATGAGAGACTCTTTATTATGAAATCACAAGAGTATTCAATATTCAGCCTCCCCCCTAGAAGAAGGGACATCACAGAGGGCAGAAACCCTACTGAGTGTGCATATTACAGGTAAGAAAACAAAACAAGTTTGTAAGCATCCTTTTAAAACGAGGGAAACACTAAAAATATGCCAGTAAGTTAAAATTAGTGATAAAAGAAAATGGATCATTTGATGCCTATTCTTCCTAATGAAAGGTGTGTAAATATACAGATATTCTCTCTATTGTGCTGACTTCACTATTTTATTTAGTGAACATATAAAAATATTTATGAAGGCTTTCCAAGGTTTACTTACAACCTCAATTCCCCAATTTCCTATAAAATCTTAAGTTGCCCAAACAAGAACTCTTATACTATAGATGTTTTCAGGGCCTGAATCTCCCCAGATGGGGAGGAAATTCCACACTCCACGGTCCTGGCCAGGCACAGTATCGTACAGTAAGGCCAGAAGACTCAACAGACCTACAGGGATGAATGGGCTGCTTTGATAGGCTGGAATCTATCACATCACAATGATGCCTTCAAGGCCATTGAAATGGGACACAGGGTGGCCTCGCATGCATTCACAGGGCACAGACATCTTGTTTGAAGGATATCTCTCCTCTCTTTGCTCTAGTATTAATGCCTTAGTATGCATTCAAGGAAGTTTCTCCTCTGCTGTCTCTTCTCTATGCTGCTCCACATCTCTGACCTCACTGACCCACTGTCAAAAACACCCAGAATCTTCCAAAACCATCTCCTTTTGGGTTGATCTCCTCTACTTGCCTTTCCCATGTGTCCCCACATTAAAGAGGGAAGAAAACAGCAACCCACAATGTGCCTTTTTTGTAGGTGCTATGATCATCCTTTCATTTAATTAATTGCTTATCCACTGATTTCATCTATTCAACAAGTAGTAAATGAGCTCTAGTATTTCACAGCACTGTTAGGTTTTCAGTGATGAGCAATTACAGAGAGGGTCCTTACCCTGATGGGCAAAGTAATCAGAGAAGAGGCAATGAAAGAATCCCACAAAACTATATTTATTAAGTGGTGAGGGAAAGAAGATGGAGCTATGGCAAGACTTTACATGTTTTAAGCAGAAGAAGGACATGATTAGATTTTCATTTTTAAAAGCTCTTTGGGTAAAAAGAGGAGAAAAGTTCATAGCAGTTTCAGTCTGTCTGTAGGCAATAACCACTGATGGCTGCTATAACTCATAGGGGGAAGGTTGATGAGAAACTTAAAATGGGTGGGTCATGCTAACATCTGAACCCACAAATCAAACTTAACCCTCACAAAAATAGGTACAACCAGGCATTAGGTGCCTCCTGATGGAAGCTCATGAGACCAACTGTGATGGAGTCTTCCTAGAAAATCAAACTTATGTCTGATCAACCCTCAAGGAATGTAGGATTTTGGTAATGGTTTCGCAACTCTAAATTTACTTTTAAAATCATGGAATTGTACACTTACAACAAGTGAATTTTATGATATGTAAATTATATTTCAAGAGAGCTATTTTTAAAAAGAATGCAAAATAAAAGCTCTCACTATTAAAATTTTAAAGATAAAATAAATTATAGTACAGAGAAGGAGACTGGTTAGGACGCCTTCGCTGGAGATCAACTGAGAGACAATAGAAGCTTGATCTAGGATGGAAGTAGTAGAGTTGAGGAGCCATAGATTCAAGAAATACTGATGATACAAACTCTATAGGACTCAGTGAGTGGGGGACAGGACAGAAGAATCAGGTTCCAAATGTAATTCCCAAGCCTCTGGCTTTAAAGAGAATGGAGAGTTGTGCCACTGACTGAGACAGGGAACTTTAGAGAAACAGGGCTAGTGGAGTATGATCATGATTCAGTTATGGCACCTGAGAAGCATCAAGCAGAGATGAGCTGGGGCTGCTGGAGCCCAGAAGGGATTGAGCACAATGTTCTGCGTGCAAGTTTTAGATCTTTGGGTCTTTTCAGCAATGTCTGCCTGTTGTTGAGCCAGGGTTTCTGGGCTGAAACATCTGGGGATTCCAGAAGTCTGACAGCCAAAACAATGGCACAAAAGATGCTGCCCTTTCAAAAACATGTGAGCTAGTAAGTTTTTATATTTTTTAATATCGCATAGAAACAACAGATGGTTAGAGTTTTCACATTGATTCCATTTGAGATTGTCTTTGAAGACAACTGTTTAATTATTTAACCCAATTAGATTTATGGTTATAATTGATATATTTGATTTTCCTTCATGAGTCTTTTCTAAGCTTGTTGTTCATATTTCCTCAATCATTTGATTTGGTGTCATTATTAAATGAGTAGTTTGTTGGTATAGGTTGATGCTGGTTTAATTCTTCTATTAGTATTATTGATATTTTCTTTGGTTTTATTTTTCCCAGGTTTTGAGATGGTGTATACCTCTCCATCTCACCCAACTGCACTCTAAGAAGGGGTATAGAAAAAAATTGTGTCTGGTTTTCTGTGTGTATGTGTGTGTCAGGTAATAGGAAAAGGAACAGGAATTACTAAATATCTTCTGCTCTTTTTTGGCAGACAGCTTAAATAAAGGAAAATTAAATATGTGATAAACTGAAAAGTGAGTCAGTTTCCTTAACTAAGACCTATTTGCCCTATGATTAATGCCAATTCCTTCTGGATACCAACATTTGGTTTCTACCTATCCCAGTTTTCAGAACTCTTGAGAGTATATCCTTTGATGTTTGGGGGGATTATTTTTGTGAGAAGTTGTAAGAGGTTGCATTGAAGACTACAATTTAAATGAGATTTTTAAACATGAAATCCCTCATAGGAAATCAAACTGAAATGAGAGTCATCTAGTCTCTGTGAACTTTTAGCCTCTGCTATCTTTTTAGCTTACAGAAGTTTCTTGTTCCCTATTCTCCTTTGTACAATCTCTTGGTATAGAGTTTGTATTGGAAAACTGATTTCTCTTATTTCCTTCTTATTAAGTTTCTATGCCCCTTACCAATTTTATCTTAATAATTTGCAGATTTCATTTGGCTTCATTTATTCTCATTGTTGCTATTTTGAGGCTTTCCCAACTGCTGCATGACATTCAACTCTGGATGCATTCTTGGGATTTTTCTTTTCAATTAAATGCTTCCAGAAACAAAATTTCGGAAAATGGGTTCACCCTAGCTGACTCAAATCTGAAAGCCTTTCCAAGGAGATTTTACAGGGAAAATATTACTGGCTTAAAAACCCCAAGCACTGAATTCTGGGCTGCAATTTGAATTTGGCTTTCATTTTTCATATCTCCAATGTAAACATCCTAGCAAAGTAATGGTCTTTTCTAAGATGGGTACAGGTTTCTGGAATGTGCTTGTTCTTCTTATTCAAAAGAATTCAAAAGAATTTCAAGGTACAGTGTAAATTTGCTTTCTTTGTTTCTTTTTTCTTTCTTTTTTTTTCTTTTTTTTTTTTTTTTTTTTTGCCCTGACCAACTGAAAGCAGCAAAGGCCTATTTACATTCTGGTTTAAAAGGTTTTCCTTTAATGGAAATTTTTACTCATCTTCCATAGACAGCGGTATGAAGATGAGTGAGCCCAGTGGAGTATTGTGAAACTTTGCATATACAAAATATGCTTTTTATTTCCTTCCAGTGATACCTTTAGAGGAAGCCAAACAAGTTTCTAATAAATTCTTAAAGATACAGCATTATTCCTCGTCCTTGCTACTCAAAGTATGCCTTATGAACCAGCAACATTGATAACACCTGGAAACTTGGTAGAAATACAGAATCTCGGGCCTCACCCCAGACCTACTGAGTCAGAATCTGCAAGTTCACAATATCCTCAGATGATTAATAGGCACATTATAGTCTAAGAAGTATTGCAACTAGATCCCAGGTTGCTGCTTACAGTAATCTCCTTATTTTCTAATAGGTAGCCTTACTAGAATCATGGCCTGTATAAAAATAAACTTAAGACAAATTCCACTCTCAGAGAAAACACCATATATGCCCAAAATAAACTGAGGAGGTTTTTGTTTTTTAACCAGAACTTAAACTTCAGAAAAGGAAATTCCTCTTAAATTCAAGTATTCACAAATCTCACAAATTAAAAAGGCATTTTCTAAATTATTTAATTCCGAACACCAAATTACTATTTCAGAAAAACATGCTAGGCTGAATATATGTCAATTAACACTAAGCACAGTCACCCAATGGAATCATTAAAAAAGAAAAGAAATTTAACAAGGACATGACAATTATTTCTGGAGCAAAAGTTCAGATTTCATAAATGTAGAATATCATCCCACGCAAACCTTTGAAAGATCATATTAAGAAGTAGTATAGCATGTAGTTACATTACGAAACTCATGAATATAACCCTAGAGGTGAAAGGAAAAACCAGTCTCCCTAATGTTATATCAGTGGATACTTGTGACAATAGCAATCATGCACTGATTTAAAAAATACTGGATCTCAAGCAATCTAAATGGAAATGAAGATGGTTTACTTTGGAAAATCACATTTGATGATTCAAAGAGTAGCACAAGTGATGTCAAAGATTAATGACAAAGTTGCATATAATTAGGGTGAATGAAATTGTTTTACAAAATATAAGAATGGAAAATGGCAATGTTCCCTAAATATCATCTCATACAACAAGTAATTTTAAATATGTATGTATAACTAAATTAATAAGTTAAACCATACAAGTCTACTTTTGACTATCTCATCTACACTCCTAAAAACATAATCACACAACCATGTGATAGGTGTTAATAATGAACTATGCTCAAACTACATATAGAGGAAGGAGTAAGTCATTAGGGTGACCAGAAAAGACTTCATAGGAGATGACATCTGAGCTAAATTTCAAAAAGGAATAGAAAAGGAATAGAAGAAAATGACTTGAAACATAAGACATCCCATGTTCTGAGTCCTGGAGGTGAGAAGACATGGCAGGTTTGAAGGAGAGTGTGGTTTATAAGATGTATGAGGGATAGTGGATAAATAAAAGTATTTGGAGCTAGAAGTAATTGTTTAACCCACTGACACCAGCATAAGGAAGGAGGAAGCTGGGAAAAACATGGTATCTCATCATAATTACCTAGAAGGTCACCTTCCTTCTATCATTGTCTTATTTCAACAAAAATATAAGACGGTCACTTTCTTGCTCTTATGAATAAGTAGCTAGTCAACACAGAATCACAGTACAAGCCTAGAGACACAAGCAAAGTGATGCTGTTGAAGAAAAATGTTTTGAGAAGTCTAGAGATAAAGCCTGAAACTTGCTGAACAAGCCAAAAGAGGAGACTTGGAAATCTTAGCCTTAGTTGACAATAGTTTTTTGTTTCTAAATCATATCTCTTTCCTTTGTCCAAGGATGCCTCCCCTCTTCCAAAAGAGCAGCAGAATGCCACCTCTCTCTCACATTTATACGGTTTTATCCACAGGATACTCTTTTCCATAATTATATTTATTTTTCATATTAAGCATTAGTTTTTATTATATGTGTAGTAATGATATTCCCCAACAGCTAAGTCTGCTACTTGCATTTTGAGGTGGACAATAAGGCCAATACACCAGTCTTGTATGCAACTGCCAAGGTGGTCCTTACTAGAACAAGTGGAGACTCTTCCCCAAAAGCAAGTCCTCCCTTCCACTAATAGAGCACCCTCATAAAACATAATCTGAGTAGGTTTATGAAGGTTATTTAATCTTGTGGCCCCTAATAGTTCAGAAAGAATAAGGTCTAATCTCAGAACATTCTAATATGCAATCAAGAAAAAGTATAATAATAAAGACACATTCAAAAATTCTGTCTTACTATGTTAATCTTACTTTTAATAAAATAGGGTTGAAGCTGGGCTTGGTGGCACATGGTTGTAGTCCCAGCTACTTGGGAGGCTGAAGTAGAAGGATCATCTAAAATTAAAAAAAAATACTGGGTACAGTAGCTCACACCTATAATCCCAGGACTTTCAGAGGTCAAGGCAGGAGGATCATTTGAGGCCAGGAATTTGAGACTAGCCTGGGCAACATAGTGAGACCCCATCTCTACAAAAAATGTACAAAGTTAGCCAGGCACAGTGTCTACTCAGGAGGCTGAGGTGGGAGGATCTCCTGTGCCCAGGAGTTCAATGTTACAGTGAGCTATGATTGCACTACTGTGCTGCAGCCTCAGCAACAGAGTGAGACCTGTCTCAAAAGAAATAATAATTAAAAAGAAAAAAAGTAAACAAAAAAAAGAAAGTAGGGCTGAGTGGATACTTCCCTAACAAGATGCTATCTATATGAACTCCAAGCCAGTCCCGTGCATGATAGAGAAACATTGGGACATTGCCATTCAAGTTAGGAACAACTTGAGAAAGACACCAGTAACATTGAATGTCATTCTTGAGGGGCTAGCCAGCAGTTTTACAAGAATTAAAACGTATAACAGTAGAAGGAAAAATTACTATTATTGTTAGGTGATATGTTGATTTATATGGAAAGTCCAAACATGGCCTCCTTCAAAAATATCAGGAAAATTCTGGAAAATCATAAAAAGATGAGACACATATTATTAATGTAAAACCATCAAAATAATTGAAAAAAAACTGGGAAATTTTTTTTTAATCTCAAAGTGGGAAAGGCTTTCTAATAGTGACACTAAATCCAGAAGGTGTTAAAGAAAAGTGGATGAATTTAACAACTTAAAATTAAAATATCTGCATGAGAAAATACTACTACAGAATCAACAGTGACAAATTGAGAAATGTCACACATGTCACAAAAGGCCAATTTCCTTTGCTTATAAAAGCCCTTGGAAATCAACATGAAAGACCAACAACCCAGTAGAGAAAGAAACAAAAGACTCTTCACAAAAGTGGAAATACATATAACTTAAGTACCATATTTCATTAGTTCTCATTTTGATTGTTATATTTTAACATTTTAAAATCCAGAGGAGACTTACAATCAATTTCTTCTTAAATTTGATAAATATCTGTACATAAAAAGATATTAAACTATACTCAATATTAAGATAAAATCAAATTAAAACTAAAATAACTTAATATTTATCACCATTAAAACTGACAAGAAAAACAATAAAAATACTGTGTTGACAAGGGTATGGTCCATCAGGCACCCTGATACACTCTCAATGGAGGTGAATATCACTGCAGCCTTCAAAAAGAGCAGTTTCACAGTACCCTAAAACAATTAACATACATGTGCTCTTTGATCCAATAACTCTAGTTCTAGGATTAATCCTAAAGAAATATATTCAGAAATGAAACAGATTCAAATCTATACTAATTATATAATTGTTTATAATAGAAAAAATTAGAAAAATGTATACTTACATGCATAAATAAATTACCCCTATACCTATGAGTAAATTATCCTGTATCTATCAATGGAATAACATGCAGCCATTTAAGAAAATGAGGCAGCTCTTATATACACTGATTTGGAACAACATCCAAGATGTATAATTAAGTGAAAAAATGACACAGAACAGAACATATAGAATACTACCATTTATAAGGATAGGTCATAGGAATGAGCATGCTTATGGCTGTAAATGCATGGACCATCTGTGGGAGAATACAGAAAAATCTGTCAATTGTGATTACCTCCAGAGAAATTTAAGAGACTAAGCAATACTGGTGAGTAGAAGCCTGTATTTTCACCATTTATTATCTTGCAGCTTAGGAATGTACATGTGCATGTGAAATCCCTTAAAAAATAAAATTAAAATTTTGATTTTAATACAATATGCCTAAAGATTCAAAGCCCCTTAAGAGCAAAGTACAGGAAAAGTTGAGAATCATTGCCTATCGCAATCCCCTCATTTCATAAATGAGAAAATTCATCTACAATTAAGCAACTTGCCCAAGATCACTAAGATTATCTCAATGTCCTTTTCAATGCTAAGGTCCTATGATTTTATCTTATTTTAGTGATGTTAAGGAATCAATTGAATTAGTTATGGGAAGGCAAGGCTTATTGCCCTCATTCACTCATTGAATTCTGCCATTCACTGAATTCTAACCTAAGCCAGAAAAAGATTCTCAGAAAATTATACTAGGAAGGTGCATTGGCAGAGAGGGGCTGATCCACTTTGAAATAGGTGAATGAGAGACATTTAGCCTGACGTGCTCCTCAAATCTCCTTCATTCTGTCCTGTTCTCCACTTCTGGTAGAGAAAAACAGTCACATCAAAACACAGATTGATTGCTTTGATAGCTATGCTAATTTGCACTACAGATCAAACTATGGCCACCAAATTCATGAACTTCTCTCAAATTGCATCGCAAAGAGGAAGAGATAAACTACAATACACAGACGTCCATAACTGAAACATCTCTGTTTGCAAGTAAAATAGCATTATCTCCTGAGGGTTCCTGGTGACTAAGCAAAGCTCAACTGTCAAACCACTGGCCTATTGATAGTTAAGCACAATATGCTTCCTAAAAAGCACCTCCTGCTCCTGGAAGCAGCAGCTTCACCCAAGAGAGAATATAAAAAATTAGCAATTTTGACTTCTGGAGTACACATCAAATTTTGCTCTGATTGCTTGCATAGGCTCTGCTTTCTGGTTTTATCATTATTCTTCCTCTCTTTTGGCAAATGATAGAGTTTAGGAAGGTGTTTCCTTTCCACTAAAACCTAGCCAAAAATACAAGCTAATTTTAGGGATTCACTAATACACAGTAAAACCTAGTCCTTAAGAAGACATAAACCAAAATCTCTCTCAGAATTTAAGAACTCCTCATAGTTTATCTTTATTTTTCTAAGGCTTTTAAAGTGAAATTAGCATTGTGTATAGATTTCTAAACAAAAAAAGATACAATGATTATTTTAGAAAAAAATTCCTATTTCGAACATATTTTTGGCCATTATCTTAGCTGTTAGAGCAGTTTATTTAATTTTTTTTACAAAGGGTGGAATTAGAACTCAATATTTTCTAATTCATAACAGTAAAGTAATACATATTATAATATCTAGAGTTGTCAAGCATGCAGGGGAATACCCCTTTACAAATAATGGCTACAATGTAAATGAAGAGAATCTTTGTGGAAAGCAAATTGCCAGGGCATTATAAAAAATTCAAGAATATTAATATCCATTGACCTAGTGAGTATATTTTTTAAATATATTATCTTAGGAAAAAATTTAAGAACACAAGGAAAGATTTAACCTCAAGAGCTTTCCTAGCACTTAAATAATTGATAAAATAAGTGCAAAAATAATATAAAGTGATTTTGAAGGACTTACAATTTCTAGAACAGTAGAGTAAAGACTTCCAAAAAGCCATTCCTCCATAAAGCAATAAGAACTCTGTCAACAATTATCAAAATCAACATTGTCAGGCCAAGAGCAGCGGCTCACACCTGTAATCCCAGCACTTTGGGAGGCCAAAGTGGGAGAATCACTTGAAGCCAGGAGTTTGAGACAAGACTGGGCAATAAAGTGAGACCCCCATCTCTGCAAAAAATAAAATAGGAGGCTGAGGCAGAAGGGTTGCCTGAGCCCAGAAGTTCAAGGCTGCATTGAGCTATGATCCCACCATTGCACTCCAGCCTGCATGACAAAGTGAGACATCATCTCTAAAAATAAAAATTAAAAAAAATGTAAAAAGTCAACATTGTCAGAGCTATCAAAGTTAAAAGAAGGCAAAAATCTGAGGTGTGTATTGAGAAAAAATAAGAGAATCTCAATAAGAATAGCAAGCTTTGAGATATTTTAACTTACATTAATCTTGTCCCTCTCTACCCAGTGTTACAATAGTTTTAAAAAACAATAGCTTAACAATCATAGTAGCTTTGAAATCCACCAACCTAGAAGCCACTAGAGAAAGAAGAATGGATTCAGAGCTCCCTAAAAGTCCCATCCCCAGGGTACTGTCACTATTTTACCTATCTGTCAGCTTGCTGAAAAGCTCCACTCTCAGAACTTGTCATTATTTATCTCTCACTCAGAGTCACTCTGTCCTAACCCCAGTGCATTTGTTAAAAACTATCAGTGGTAATTGTTTAATATTGCAGCTACTTGAAGCAGCATTAAAGCAGGAGTTAACAAGATACTGAGTAAAATATTTAAGGATGTCTATAGGGGGCTTTGAGAAGCTCCTACATAACCCTGGGATCCAGAAGGTCACATAACTGTGCAAGGCACCACGCATGCCCAAGAAACACCTAAGAAGGCTCAAAACTCTTATTGCTGGCTAACCTTGAGGCTCTGTGCAATCCGAAAGTGAAGGATAAGCAGGGTTGTAAACTTCCCACTGAAATTTTGAAAACATGCCCCTCATACAGAGCCCTTTGGCAAAGGTTGGGAGTCGTACTGGTTCAAGACATTTACGGAAATCTCTATCCAGTCAATAGCTGACCATTGAACTAACCGAGCAGAGTCACTGGCCACACATGACAGAGAATACAGACTTTGCAGAATAAGTTTAAGAAAGTCACTTGACAAACAGCAACAATGATAACCACAGAAACAAACAGCAATAACAAACTGGGGCAAGGAGAAAATACAATTTTTCAGACTTGCTATATTATGTTATCATAAATGCATCCAGTTTTCAACAAAAACAATAGCAACAACAAAAAATGAGATATGCAAAAAAACACGGAAGTTTATTTGACGACACATAAAGTAAGCAATATAAACTGTCTTTGTGAAAGCCCTGAGGTTGGACTTATTACAGAAAGACTTTAAACCAGCTATTATAAATGTTCAAAGAACTAAAAAAAGAAAGTCTAAAGAAAAATAAAAGTATAACAATCACTTCTAATTAAAGAATACCAATAAAAAAGCATCAAAAAGAAGGAACTAGAATACTAGAATTGAGAAATACAATAACTGTAATGAAAAATTCCTGCAGGAGTTCAACAGCAGATCGAACTGGCAGAAGAAAGAATAAATGAATTTGAGGACAAAACATTTGACATTATTTAGTCCAAGGAACAGAAAGGAAAAAGAGTGGAGAAAAATGAGTCTCAGAGATGTGTGGAACGCTACTAAGTGTACTAACATGCCAAAGATTATAGTCCTGGAAGGAAACAGGAAAAAGGGGCTGAATGAATATTTGAAGAATAATAGCCAAAACATTTCCAAATTTAATGAAAACATTAATCTGTACATCCAAGAAATTCAATAAACTTCAAGCAGGATAAAGTGAAAGAAATTCATATGTGGACACATCATAGTGAAATGTGGAAAGACAGAAAATTTTGAAAGCAGCAAGAGAAAAATAACTCATTATATACAAGAGAGCATCAATAAAATAGCTGATTCATCATCAAAACCACTAAGGACAGAACATATTCAAACTGGTGAAAGAATAAACTATAAATCAACATGTATGTTAACTACATGCAACAAAACTGTTGTTGCAACACAAGGGAGAAATTAAGACATTACCAAGTAAATAAAAATTAACAGAATTCATTACTAGCAGATATGCCCTACATAAAAATACTAAACGGACTCCTCTAGGCTGAAATAAGCGGACATTAATCAAATAAAGAATGCCATTAGAGGTGACTACATAGGTAAATATAAAAGAGAGTATTTAATTTTTTTTCTACAGGATTTAACGGAAACTGCATAATACAAAACTATAAAACTGTGCTGATGGGTTTATAATACATAGAGTGCGATTTGTATGACAGTAATAGTAGAAAGGAAGGGAGAAATAGAGATATATTGGAACAAAGTTTTTCTGTATTGTTAAAATTAAATTGGTATAAATCTGAACTGGATTATCTTAAATTAGGATGTTAACCAGAATTTCCAGGTCAACCGCTAAAAAATAACATTCTCTTTTTGTTTACATATATGTATGTGTGTATATATATGTGTGTGTGTGTATATATGTGTGTGTGTGTACACACATTTATACTAGAAATTTATATTAGAATTAAAATAGTATACTAGAAAATTTCTACTTAACACAAAATATGATAGTAATGGAGGAACTGCAGAACAAAAAAGACATAAGACATACAAAAACCAGCAAAACATCAGATAAAAATCCTATCTTATCAAAAATTACATTAAATGGAAATGGGCCAAATATTCCAATCAAAAAGCAGAGACTGGCAGAATTGATTTTTTTTTAAAGCAGGATAAAACTATATACTGTCTACAAGAGACACACTTTAGATTCAAAGAAACAAGTAAGTTGAAAGTAAAAGGATAGAAGAAAGATATACTATGCAAAGTAACTGAAAGAGAGCAGTAGGGACTATACTATCATCAAACAAAAAAGTCTTTAAGACAAAAATTGTTGCTAGAGACAAAGAAAGACATTTTACAATAATAAGAGGCCATCAGGAAGACATAACAATTATAAACATATATGCACTTAAAAGAGGCCTAACATATATGAAGCAAAAACTGAAAGAATTGAAGAAAGAAACTACAAAAATAATTTGAGAATTCAATACTCTACTTTCAATAATAGATAGAACAACTAAGCAGAATATTAACAAGGAAATAGAAGACTTGAAAAACACTGTTAATCAAGTAGGCCTAACAGATACAAAGATGCTTCTCAACTTATGATGGGATTATAACCCACTAAAGCAATCATAAGTTGAAAATCATTAAAAATGCATTTAATACAACCTACCAAACTTCATAGCTTAGCCTGAGCCTACCTTAATCATGCTAAGAACATTTACATTAGCCTACAGTTGGGCAAAATCATATAACCCAAAGCCTATTTTATAATAAAATATTAAATATCTCATGTAACTTATTGAATACTGTACTGAAAGTAAAAAACAGAATGATTGTATGGGTATTAGAAGTACAGTTTCTACAAAATGTGTATCATTTTCTCACCATCATAAAGTCCTAAAATCATAAGTTGAGCAGTCATTAAGTCAGAGGTCATCTGTCTACAGAGAACGCTCCACTCTAAAACAACAAAATACACACTCTTCTCAAATACACATACAACATTCTCCACAATACACCATATATTTGGCCATAAAACAAGTCTCAATGAATTTTTAAAAATTTAAATAATAAAAATATGTTCTCTAATTTCAAAAGAATAAAATTGAAAGTCAATAAAAGAAGGAAATTTGGGAAATTCAAAAATACATAGAAATTAAACAACACATTCCCAAAACCAGTAAGTAAAAAAAGACATGACAAAAGAAATTAGAAAATTCTTTTAGATGAATGAAAATAAAAACACTTATGGGATATAACCAAAATAGTACTTAGAGAGAAATGCGTACCTGTAAACACTTATATTTTAAAAAGGCAAACAATCTCAAATCAATAACTTAACCTTCCACTTAACAAATTAGGAAAAGAATAGTAACTAAACCTTAAAGTCACCAGAAGAAAGAAAATGATGAAGACTAGAATGGCAATATGTGAAATCGAGAATAGAAAAACAGAATTCGATGAAACCAAAAGTAGGTTCTTTTAAAATTTCAACAAAATTGATAAACCATTAACTAGACTGAACAGAAAAAAAAAAAAAAGAAAGCAGATTCAAATTACTAAAATCAGAATTGAAGCAAGAATATTGCTGCTGACTGTAGAAAAGTGAAAGATTATGAGGGACTATTATGAACAACTGTATGCCAACAAATTAGAAAACCTACATGAAATGGACAAACTCCTAGAAACACACAAACTACTGAATCTGACTCAAGAAGAAAAATTTTAAATATCTGAATAGACTCATATTCATGCCATATGAAGAAATTTAATAAGTATTCAAAAAATTCCCATGAAGAAAAGCCCAGGCCCAGGTAGCTTTACTGTTGAATTCTATCAAATGTTTAAAAAACAATTAACACAAGTCCTTCACAAAGTTTTCCAAAAAATAAGAGTAGAGAACACTTCCCAACCTGTTCTATGAAGCCTTTATTAACCTGATACAAAAAAAACAAAGATATCACAAAAACCCTACAGATCAAACACTTTTTGAATATAGATACAAAAGTCTTCAACAAAATACTAGCAAATTGAGTACAACAATATATAAAAAAAAGATATAGCATGTGAGAGTTATCGCAGAAATGTAAGGTTGGTTTAAAATATGAAAATTAATATAAAGCATCATGTTAATATAAAAAAGGACAAAAACCACAAGATCATCTCAATAGATGCAGAAAATGCATTTAACAAAATCCAGCACCTATTCATGTTCAAAATACTCAACTAACTAAAAATAAGAGGAACTTTCTTGACATGATAAAGGCATTTACAAAAAAATCCACAACTAGCATCATACTTAATGGTGAAATGGGCTATATCCCATTGGCCAATAAGATGACAAGAAATACCTTTGCGACAACTTTCTATTTTTTCACTAACTTTTAATTTTGAAAAGTTTCAAACCTTCAGAAACTTAAAATATAGTATCATGCACACCCAAATGTCCTTCACCTAGAATCAGCAGTTTTTAGTATTTTTTAATACTTTTCCCTCTCTGCTGGGAGAGAGAGACAGAAAGAGAGGAAGAGAGAGAGACTTTTTCCTGAACCATTTAAGATTCCTTTGTAGATACCTTACCCCTAATTAAGACTGTATCTCTTAGGGTTAAAAATATTTTTCTTTTCTTTTATAACCACAACATAATACACACTAGGAAATTTAATATTAATATAGTACTATCATCTAATATATAGTCAACCTTCAAATTTCCCCAACTGTCCTAATATCTTTTATAGTATTTTTTTTCAATCCAAGATCCAGTCTCTTTCATCTATCTTCATCTAAAAACACCGTCCAAATTTCTTTTTTTCTTTTATAACATTGAATGAATAAATGAATGAATGGTTGCACTCCCACACTAAAACATGTCAGAGTCACAAGGACACTAGAGACTTGGGATGGTTGAACCACATAGCTCCTTTTTGAACATAATTTGGTCACACTGTTCCTAACCCTTCTTTTCACCTTCTCTTCTCCAGCCTGTGCACTCGACATGTGATTATTACGTGATGCATGAGTTTGTTGGAGAAAAGAATTACAGATGGGCCATTTTTTAGTAGATCAGAAAAATGAACACAGATGTTAACCAATTTGTGACAGACAAATATAAAACTCTATCTTGATCATTAGGCTCTGGTTATGGCACTCTCCCCTAGAGGGTTTGATGAGGTCTCCACTTCATTTCTGAGCGTAGTGGCCTTTTAAGTTCTGAGAATGGGGAGAAATCAAAGAGGTATTTAACAGAAGGAATTGAGGGAAGGTAAGAAAGAAAAGCCTGGAGGATAAGATGTGCTCTCTATGGCCTCCCTGCCCTCCTTTAAGCCTTGTCATCATTCCCAAGCCTCAGGTTTATGCAGAATTCAACTCCAGCCTTTCAAACTCATTTGGACTCATTCAACTAGGATTGTGGGAAGGTCAGAAACTGAGCAGCCAACAGGCTGGATACCCTCTTATCTAGATTATCAGCTGTGGACTGAAGGTCCCAGAAGGAAAGGCTCTGAGAGAAAAGAGAAACTGATATGAGGCAAAATATACTTTATCTGAATAAATTCAGAAGTTGTGGTCAAACTATATCTTCTATAAATGCTATAACAATACAAACCAGTAAATAACGTAAAGCCTGTTCCACATTAATCAAAATTTGAACATACAAAAATTATTTCCTAATAAAAATAAAGTTTACAAACAAGTCTTCCTATATCTGATTATTTTTATGGGGAGAACACATCTTTTTAAAGCTTGAAATTGTTGGGTTTAATTCAAAGCTACCTTACCATTTTTTTAAACTAGCTGCAAGATCTTCTTGACTTAGAATTCTAAGTTCTCATTCACCAAGTTGCACATCCTCTGCAGACAAAGCTCACGGTGTCCTCAGTGCCCAGGCAGGTAAAGTGAAGTCAAAAGGGAACCAGTGCCTAGAAACTGCCATTTTGAATTTTGACTCTAAAGCTGTGTACAAAGGTTTGATTTCCTCTCTGGGAACATGTAAGAGAATGGTGCGAAGCACCCCACTGCTAGAAAGAATGACTTCGCATGAAATCTCTTTATAGTCATTGCCAACTTTAGGTTCAGGGGCTCAGAGCAGGCGGGCAGGGAAGAAAGAGATGTTGAGAGCTCCTTGCTCATCTCCATACTGCAAGTCATGAAATCTTGAGACAGCCTTCCCAACACTAGAGGCTTCTCTCCTGCTGAGGCCTTCAAAACTTCACCTTCTTGGAAGAAAAACAAGTAAGACAAAAGAAAGTTGTTTGGCTTCTAAATTAGACTGGCCTCTCCTCTGATGAGCAGGTCGGCCACTGCGCCAGACTCTGTCATCTGCCAGGCCTTCGGCAGCCGGGGGATCACATCACACTGTTTGGCTGCACAAAGCCATGGTTAGGGCTGCTCCCCACACAGATCCAGCCAACAACAACAGCCCAGCTCACCATTCAGCCTTGACCCTGTGTTCTTGTTCACAACGTTCTCAGGGAGTCTGCTGAAACTGAACGGGAGAGGTTTGTTTGAAGTGTTTGTGGATTTGTAAAGTTAGAGGAGGTAATCCAATCTGCCCCCAGTAAATCTTCAACTTGAGAGTGCCTAAGTTTTGAGAATTCCAGAGTATTCCCTTCCAAAGAAGGAAAAGCATTCAAGAACTCACAAATTAGAGTCTGCTCTGACATTCCAACAAGTCACAATTTAAAAGCAAACAGTACTGGTGTTTGAGGGCAATGACCAGATTCCCACCGAAGTCTAGCTGACCTGGACACCATAGAAGGGCCCATTAGAGGGTTTTCTAAACCAGAACAAGGATAACGCACAGACAATTTGATAGTGTTTTCCAAACTAAGCAAGGTAACTCCATTTATCTTGGGTAATAGAATGGAATTCAGGACTTTCCCAAATGTTAATCAACTGTTGATAAATACTGTGATTGGAATTTTGTGTCTTTAGAAATATCAAATGCTTGGTATTTGTTCATTCATTCACTAGGCAAATATTTGTTGAGCACCTACAATGTGCTAAGTTCCATTTTAGGTCGTGGAGATACAGCAATGAACAAAACAATGTCCCAGTCCTAATGGAGCTTGTATTCTACCAGGGCAGGGAAAGAAGAGAAAGACAAAATGAAAAAAGCACATCAGCAGGTGATAAATAAGCAATGGGGAAAAATAAACAAAGTCAGTTTAGTAGGGAGTATCTGGTGGCAGGGGGATTTAGGAGCAAAGCAGGGTTACCATTTTAATAGGAAAAACGTCACTAAGCAGGTGACATTCAAGCATATCTGGCTCCTTCATTTCCTTCAAGGAGCTGAAGAAGTCAGATATGTGGGCATCTGGGGAAGAGTCTTCTGGACAGAACATTCAAATACAAAAGAACTGAGGTGAGAACGTGTCTGACACATTCAAGGAACAACAGGGAGCCCAGAGGGTCTGGAAAAAGTATACAAGGGTATATTACTCCGTTTTCACACTGCTATAAAGAAATACCCAAGACTGGGTAATTTATAGAGGAAAGAGGTTTAATTGACTCACACTTCTACATGGCTGAGGAGGCCTCAGGAAACCTACAATCATGGCAGAAGATGAAGGAGAAGCAAGCACCTTCTTCACAAGGCAGCAGGAGAGAGAGAGCATGAAGAGGGAAGCGCCAGACACTATCGAACAACCAGGTCTTGTAAGAACTCACTATCACGAGAATATCATGGGGGAAACTGCATCCTTCATTCAATCACCTCCCACCAGGTCCCTCCCTCAACACATGGGGATTACAACTTGGATTACAATTCAAGAAGAGATTTGAGTTGGGACACAGAGCTAAACCATATCAGAAGGAGAGTCTTGGAAGACAAGTTGAGGGCAGAGGGGAGCTCTGGCTTTAACTTGGAAAAATAATAGATGATGCCATTAGAAAATCTGAAGCAGAGGGGGACATGACACTTAGAAAAGATCACTCTGGTGGGTAATTAACTTTCACTTTCACTTTCATCCTGATCTCTCCACACAATATCAGTACCAACTGGGTAGAGAATATCAACATGGGATGTGATGGCATTAAGTGGGAGGGAGGAGGGAGGGTCCTGTTGAGCATGAACATAAGACCTGCTCCTTCCTTATCCCCCAAGATAGGTTACACTTGCACTGTCCAATATGGTAGCCACCAGCCACATGTGCGATTGAGCACTGGAAATGTGGTTAGCCTGAAATAAGAATGCTGTAAGTGAGAAATACACACTGGAATTTAAAGTCTTAGTACAAAAATAAAGAGAATGTAAGATATCCTATTAATATTTTTATAATGATTACATGTTGAAACAATAATATTTTGGATATATGGGGTTAGGGATGGTGTATTATGAAAATTATTCACCTTTTTAAACTTATTTTAATGGAAAATTAATTCAACTTTTTAAAAACTTACAGTAACGCAGCTACCAGAAAATTAAAAATTGCATATGTGGCTCACACCATATTTCTACCAGACAGTGCAAGATTAGAATATTACTAGAATGGTGGTAGACCTTCCCATCATAAACAGGTATTAAATAAAGTGCAGTCACTACTTACTGAAGAAAAGAAATGATTCAGACTACAAACCACTATCTCCCTATGCATAGCCTTCTGTATGAAGGGCAATAATTGTAGACAGCAAGAAGCCATTTGGTAGGTTTCTCCTCAGTAAACCAAACCAGAAAACTTAGGCTTAAAATATTTGGGTTTGATATAAAAGTGAGTGTCCTAAAGAGTGAATTTAAGCAGGTAACCATAAAAAAATACGACAGCTAAAAATCACTCAGCTATGCAGGAAAAGGAGTCACCTAGTAGATGCTGGCTAGCAGGCACAGCATGTATTATTCCATGAAATCCTCACAACCAGCTGGGACTTCTTTTATTTAAAAAAAAAATGGGGGTGGGACTCTCTGGGGCTCCAAAGCCCTACAGTTTTACTAAAGCGACTTTTTCATTTCTACATTGAGAAGCAAGGGATCTTAACTTTTTTGTTTTGCACAAAGCTCTTTATGCATGAAATAGCTTCATAGGTCCTATTTGCTGCAGCAACCATGTTAGAGATAGAGGAAGAGAACAGAGGGTTTCTGGGTATTGTTTGCCAAGAAGCAGTATCCCCATTTTATAAATGAGGAAAGTGAGGCTTGGAGCTGTACACTTATTTGCTCGAGGAGCAGAGCTGAATGGAATCCCTGTCTGACCAACTCCAGAAACCATGTTCCACCCACCAGGGCACCCTGGCCTCAGTGGGGCCAGATCCCAGGTAGAATATATGGAACTTGTGAGGTGGCCCCTGACTGTAAGACTCTGAACATGGGACCCCAATTCATAGAAAATTCAGGCCTCTTTTGTACAACATTTGGACAACACCTGAAATAGGGAAGCAACAAGGATTAACACAGAGAAGGAAGCAACACCTTAACATCTGCACAGGCCTCATGGAACCAACGCTGCCAAAAACAGCAGGGGTCTCTGTCTGCTTAGAGAACCTCAAAGCTCTTCCAAATATCATCAATCTTACATGGCCTGGTTTTATGCTAATGTGGAGGCATACCATGCTACTGGAATGCCTTTCCATTTCTGAGCTTAGGAATATAAGATTGTACAACAAGCATAGAAATATAAGGTCCACCCATTCAGCAGCATCCATGATAGAGCCTTGCAACAGGAGGTCTCATCCTGGCTCTCAACATTGTCCTATTTTATTGTCTTCTCCTTGCCTTCAGGAGGAAAAGGAAAGCTTCCTCCACTTCTAATTGTATTTCTGCAAACAGAACCCACAAATCCATCTCATGAGTGAAGAAGTTCATGTCCTCCAAAATGGATGAGAGCCTCTTGCTCTTTATCCTAGATACATATGAGGTACCACACATGTCTTAGTATTTTAGAGAAACTTTATTATGTAAGAGTCTTTTTAGTTTTTTAATACAATAAGCTGTACCATGGCCACAATCATAAGTAAAGACTTTTTGCATCTTTGAATATAATTTATGATAATATTCACTATTTAAAAATGTATATGACTGCATTTATAAAAATTCCCATATCCCAAAAAAGAGTAAATTTTACAGTATAAAAATTCAAAAGTAAATTTTAAGATGTACATTTTAAAATGTATCAGTGACCTATAAGAAAAAATTTTTCTATTAATTGGTATTTAGAGTCAGTCAAATAATTTGCTTCCTGGGAAAGTGAAGGCCCTTTCTGAATTGAGATATTATAGAATTGTAGAACTGAAAAGATTCTAACAAGTCCTTATTTTACTGATGGGGAAACTGAATCCCAAAGAGGTGAGTGGGAAGGTTCCAGGTGACATAACTAGCCAATGGTAGAGGTAGGACAGGACCACAGGTCTCCTCACTCCCAGGACAATGGCCTTTTGTTCACAACAATCCCCCCATGGCACATAGAATCCATCATCACGCCCTAAAGTCAATCAGAATAATCTAACAGCAAAGGCAAAACTTTTAAAAATACCAAACACAAGATGGCCGAATAGGAACAGCTCCGGTCTACAGCTCCCAGCGTGAGTGACGCAGAAGACGGGTGATTTCTGCATTTCCATCTGAGGCACCGGGTTCATCTCACTAGGGAGCGCCAGACAGTGGGCACAGGTCAGTGGGTGTGCGCACCATGCGCGAGCCAAAGCAGGGTGAGGCATTGCCTCACTTGGGAAGCGCAAGGGGTCAGGGAGTTCCCTTTCTGAGTCAAAGAAAGGGGTGACAGACGGCACCTGGAAAATCGGGTCACTCCCACCCGAATACCGCGCTTTTCCGACGGGCTTAAAAAACAGCGCATCACGAGATTATATCCCGCACCTGGCTCGGAGGGTCCTACGCCCACGGAGTCTCGCTGATTGCTAGCACAGCAGTCTGAGATCACACTGCAAGGCGGCAGCGAGGCTGGGGGAGGGGCGCCCACCATTGCCCAGGCTTGCTTAGGTAAACAAAGCAGCCTGGAAGCTCGAACTGGGTGGAGCCCACCACAGCTCAAGGAGGCCTGCCTGCCTCTGTAGGCTCCACCTCTGGGGGCAGGGCACAGACAAACAAAAAGACAGCAGTAACCTCTGCAGACTTAAATGTCCCTGTCTGACAGCTTGGAAGAGAGCAGTGGTTCTCCCAGTAAGCAGCTGGAGATCTGAGAACGGGCAGACTGCCTCCTCAAGTGGGTCCCTGACCCCTGACCCCCGAGCAGCCTAACTGGGAGGCACCCTCCAGCAGGGGCACACTGACACCTCACACTGCATGGTACTCCAACAGACCTGCAGCTGAGGGTCCTGTCTGTTAGAAGGAAAACTAACAAACAGAAAGGACATCCATACCAAAAACCCATCTGTACATCACCATCATCAAAGACCAAAAGTAGATAAAACCACAAAGATGGGGAAAAAAACAGAACAGAAAAACTGGAAACTCTAAAAAGCAGAGGGCCTCTCCTCCTCCAAAGGAACGCAGCTCCTCACCAGCAACGGAACAAAGCTGGATGGAGAATGACTTTGACGAGCTGAGAGAAGAAGGCTTCAGACGATCAAATTACTCTGAGCTACGGGAGGACATTCAAACCAAAGGCAAAGAAGTTGAAAACTTTGAAAAAAAATTTAGAAGAATGTATAACTAGAATAACCAATACAGAGAAGTGCTTAAAGGAGCTGATGGAGCTGAAAACCAAGGCTCGAGAACTACGTGAAGAATGCAGAAGCCTCAGGAGCCAATGTGATCAACTGGAAGAAAGGGTATCAGTGATGGAAGATGAAATGAATGAAATGAAGCGAGAAGGGAAGTTTAGAGAAAAAAGAATAAAAAGAAATCAGCAAAGCCTCCAAGAAATATGGGACTATGTGAAAAGACCAAATCTATGTCTGATTGGTGTACCTGAAAGTGATGGGGAGAATGGAACCAAGTTGGAAAACACTCTGCAGGATATTATCCAGGAGAACTTCCCCAATCTAGCAAGGCAGGCCAACATTCAGATTCAGGAAATACAGAGAACGCCACAAAGATAATCCTCGAGAAGAGCAACTCCAAGACACATAATTGTCAGATTCACCAAAGTTGAAATGAAGGAAAAAATGTTAAGGGCAGCCAGAGAGAAAGGTCGGGTTACCCTCAAAGGGAAGCCCATCAGACTAACAGCGGATCTCTCAGCAGAAACTCTACAAGCCAGAAGAGAGTGGGGGCCAATATTCAACATTCTTAAAGAAAAGAATTTTCAACCCAGAATTTCATATCCAGCCAAACTAAGCTTCATAAGTGAAGGAGAAATAAAATCCTTTACAGACAAGCAAATGCTGAGAGATTTTGTCACCACCAGGCCTGCCCTAAAAGAGCTCCTGAAGGAAGTGCTAAACATGGAAAGGAGCAACCGGTACCAGCCGCTGCAAAATCATGCCAAAATGTAAAGACCATCGAGACTAGGAAGAAACTGCATCAACTAATAAGCAAAATAACCAGCTAACGTCATAATGACAGGATCAAATTCACACATAACACTATTAACTTTAAATGTAAATGGACTAAATGCTCCAATTAAAAGACACAGACTGGCAAATTGGATAAAGAGTCAAGACCCATCAGTGTGCTGTGTTCAGGAAACCCATCTCACGTGCAGAGACACACATAGGCTCAAAATAAAAGGATGGAGGAAGATCTACCAAGCCAATGGAAAACAAAAAAAGGCAGGGGTTGCAATCCTAGTCTCTGATAAAACAGACTTTAAACCAACAAAGATCAAAAGAGACAAAGAAGGCCATTACATAATGGTAAAGGGATCAATTCAACAAGAAGAGCTAACTATCCTAAATATATATGCACCCAATACAGGAGCACCCAGATTCATAAAGCAAGTCCTGAGTGACTTACAAAGAGACTTAGACTCCCACACATTAATAATGGGAGACTTTAACACCCCACTGTCAACATTAGACAGATCAACGAGACAGAAAGTCAACAAGGATACCCAGGAATTGAACTCAGCTCTGCACCAAGTGGACCTAATAGGCATCTACAGAACTCTCCACCCCAAATCAACAGAATATACTTTATTTTCAGCACCACACCACACCTATTCCAAAATTGACCACATACTGGGAAGTAAAGCTCTCCTCAGCAAATGTAAAAGAACAGAAATTATAACAAACTATCTCTCAGACCACAGTGCAATCAAACTAGAACTCAGGATTAAGAATCTCACTCAAAACCGCTCAACTACATGGAAACTGAACAACCTGCTCCTGAATGACTACTGGGTACATAACGAAATGAAGGCAGAAATAAAGATGTTCTTTGAAACCAACGAGAACAAAGACACAACATACCAGAATCTCTGGGACGCATTCAAAGCAGTGTGTAGAGGGAAATTTATAGCACTAAATGCCCACAAGAGAAGGCAGGAAAGATCCAAAATTGACACCCTAACATCACAATTAAAAGAACTAGAAAAGCAAGAGCAAACACATTCAAAAGCTAGCAGAAGGCAAGAAATAACTAAAATCTGAGCAGAACTGAAGGAAATACAGACACAAAAAACCCTTCAAAAAATTAATGAATCCAGGAGCTGGTTTTTTGAAAGGATCAACAAAATTGATAGACTGCTAGCAAGATTAATAAAGAAAAAAAGAGAGAAGAATCAAATAGATGCAATAAAAAATGATACAGGGGATATCACCACCGATCCCACAGAAATACAAACTACCATCAGAGAATACTACAAACACCTCTACGCAAATAAACTAGAAAATCTAGAAGAAATGGATAAATTCCTGGACCCATACACTCTCCCAAGACTAAACCAGGAAGAAGTTGAATCTCTGAATAGACCAATAACAGGAACTAAAATTGTGGCAATAACCAATAGCTTACCAACCAAAAAGAGTCCACGACCAGATGGATTCACAGCCGAATTCTACCAGAGGTACAAGGAGGAACTGGTACCATTCCTTCTGAAACTATTCCAATCAATAGAAAAAGAGGGAATCCTCCCTAACTCATTTTATGAGGCCAGCATCATTCTGATACCAAAGCCAGGCAGAGACACAACCAAAAAAGAGAATTTTAGACCAATATCCTTGATGAGCATTGATGCAAAAATCCTCAATAAAATACTGGCAAACCGAATCCAGCAGCACATCAAAAAGCTTATCCACCATGATCAAGTGGGCTTCATCCCTGGGATGCAAGGCTGGTTCAATATATGCAAATCAATAAATGTAATCCAGCATATAAACAGAGCCAAAGACAAAAACCACATGATTATCTCAATAGATGCAGAAAAAGCCTTTGACAAAATTCAACAACCCTTCATGCTAAAAACTCTCAATAAATTAGGTATTGATGGGACATATTTCAAAATAATAAGAGCTATCTATGACAAACCCACAGCCAATATCATACTGAATGGGCAAAAACTGGAAGCACTCCCTTTGAAAACTGGCACAAGACAGGGATGCCCTCTCTCACCACTCCTATTCAACATAGTTTTGGAAGTTCTGGCCAGGGCAATTAGTCAGGAGAAGGAAATAAAGGGTATTCAATTAGAAAAAGAGGAAGTCAAATTGTCCCTGTTTGCAGATGACATGATTGTATATCTAGAAAACCCCATTGTCTCAGCCCAAAATCTCCTTAAGCTGATAAGCAACTTCAGCAAAGTCTCAGGATACAAAATCAATGTACAAAAATCACAAGCATTCTTACACACCAACAACAGACAAACAGAGAGCCAAATCATGAGTGAACTCCCATTCACAATTGCTTCAAAGAGAATAAAATACCTAGGAATCCAACTTACAAGGGATGTGAAGGACCTCTTCAAGGAGAACTACAAACCACTGCTCAAGGAAATAAAAGAGGATACAACAAATGGAAGAACATTCCATGCTCATG